>NC_000019.10:47240874-47865874 GCF_000001405.40 Homo sapiens
CACAGTGATGTGGCTGGGGAGGAGGGAGTAGTGGAGAGGTTGGGGGGCCCTCCCCAGTCCCAGACCCCCAGGTCTGGAAGATCCAGCCCTGCAGCACCTTTACTTGGCCCCGTGGATCCAGACTGGGAGCCCCCAGCCTCGAGAGACCGTAACGTGCATGGCTGGGCCACTTCAGAGAGGCCCAATTCCTCAGTCCCCTCCCTCCCGGGAGACCCAAGGCAGAGCCGCCTGCAGCTCCAGACCCCAGCTCCAGACTTGGTGAGCCCAGGTGCGGCCCGCCCCTACCCTGGTACCTGGCGGGGCGGAGTTGAGGATTACTCAGCCTCCAGAATGAGGCGATGACATCATCCTGGGGGGGGTTGACTAATGGCCGCGCTGGGGGGGGCGGGGAAGTTTACCCGGTAACAGCGGCTGCCGCACGGCCCCGCCCCCGGGGAAGGGCTGGGAGGGGGAGGCACAGCCTGCGCTGGCGCACACACAAACACACACACACACACACACACACACACACACAGCGCATCCCTCCCCCACCGTCCCACATCTAACACAGCTTCCTGGGGCAAGGGCAGGGGTGCGGGGGTTGGGTGTTTGTGTGACTATGTGTGTGTGTGCTGGAGTCCTCTGTGGATTTGTGTCAGTGTGCTGTTGTGTCAGGGGGTTCACACATTACGGTGGGGTTGTGTCAGTGTGTGCTACTGTGTGTCACTTGATGGATTGTGTGTCAGTGTGATGGTGTGTGTCAGCATGCTACATTTGTCACAATGCTACATGTCATGGGCTGCTGTGACAATGTGATTGTGTGTCAGTGTACAATTGTGTGATGTTCTGGTGTGCTGTGTGTGATCATGATGGTGTGATGTGTGTGGTTCTGTGCAGCATGCTGGTCTGGCAGTGAGATGTGTGTGCCCATGTGATTGTGTCCTGACGCTGGGATCGTATATGTGTCAGAGTGATGTTGTGTTGGGGGAAGATCTGTGAAGGTGCTATGTCACTGTACTGTTCTGTTGTCATGGTTGGATGTGTTTGTGTAATGCTGGGTGTCACTGGGGTTGTGTGTGTATGTCATGGTGATGGTGTGTACGTGTATACAATGCTGTGTGTATATGGGATTGTGTGTGTCACTGAGTGTGTCAGTGGTACTTGTGTTGTGGGTGTTGGGACTGTGTATGTATCACTGTGATAGTGTATGCCCATGTGCTGTGCTGGGTGTCGGGGGAAGATGTGCATACATACTACTGTTATTGTGTGTGCCTGGACAATGCGGTGCACGGTGGGATTGTGTGTGTGTGTGTGACATTATGACTGTGTCTGAAATGCATATCTGTGGGACTGTGTATCACCGACAGTATGTGCATGTGCAATGCTGTGTGTTACTGTGGTTGTGTGTCATTGTGGTTGTGTTTGTCAGGGTGATGTTGTGTGTCCATGGAACTGTGTGTCTAATAGATTGCGTGTATGCAATATTGTCTCTCACTGTGCTTGAATGTGTCACTGTTGCGATTGTATCACTGTGATCTAGTGAGTGTGTTGGGACCAATTGGTTGTGGGATGAGTGTCACTGTATTGATTGTATGTCACTGATACTGTGTGTGTCAGGGTGATGTTGTGTGTTCAAGGGACTGTGCATACCTCATGGAGATTGCATGTGCCTGGGCAGCACTGTGTGTGCCTGTGGTTGTGGGTCTGGGGAGTGCTATGTGTCCTGGGACTGTCTGTGTCACTAAGTTGTTTTTTTGTTTTGTTTTGTTTTGTTTTTTGAGACGGAGTTTTGCTCTTGTTGTCCAGGCTGGAGTGCAGTGGCAGCGACCTTGGCTCATTGCAACCTCCACCTCCTGGGCTCAAGCGATTCTCCTGCCTCAGCCTCCCAAGTAGCTGGGACTACAGGTGCATGCCACCACACTAGAGACGGAGCTTCACCACATTGGTTAGGCTGGTCCCAAACTCCCGACCTCAAGTGATCTACCCGCCTCGACCTCCCAAAATGCTGGGATTACAGGCCTGAGCCACCGTGCCAGGCCTGAGCCACCGTGCCCGGCTGTCACTGATATTTTGTGTGTCTCTGTGATGCTGTGTGTCTGCGTGTTCCTGGGACCTGTGTGTCTGTCGCTGTGTGTGTCATTGTGATTGTGTATGTGCGGTGGGCGACGCTGCTTGTCTCTGGGACGGTGTGTGTGTGTGTGTGCGCGCCGCTGTGATTGTATGTCAGCGCGCTTCGCTGGGTGTCGGGGGAAGGTGCGCGTGTCTCCAGGCCTCCTGCCCGAGAACAGCGGCGCTGCTCTCTGATTGGCCGCGGCCGCGCCAGTGAGAAGCTCCCGAATCCTGCGGTAACTTGGTAACTTGGAGACTCGGCCCGCGCCGCAGCCGCGGGGCTCCGGGCTGGGGGCTGGGAGGGCGGGGAGGGGGAGGGGCCCGCCCCGCCCCTCCGGGGCCCGCCCCGCCCCTCCCCGCCCCGATTTCGCAGGCCCGCCCCGAGCGCCCCTCCCCGGCCCCCTCGCCCCGTCTCCCTCACCTCCAGCTCGGCACCTCTGACCCCCTACTTTGACTCCATCTCCCACACCCTTGCGTCGCTCCTGACTCCCCTATCTCTGCCACTCGCTGGGTCTCTCTGTCTCTCTCTTTCCCATGTTTATCTCTCCTGTCTCTGTCTCCCTGTAGATCTCTCTGCCTTTGTCTCTGTCTCTCATATCCCCTCTCTGTTTCTTCCATCTGTCTCTCCCATCAGTCTCCACCACTGCTGTCTCTCCCCGTCTCTGTCTCCGCCACCTCTGTCTCTCCTAGTCTCTCTCCGCTACCTCTGTCTCTGCCATCTGTCTCTATCATCTCTGTCTCTCCCTGTCTCTGTCTCCATCATCTCTGTCTCTCCCAGTCTCTGTCTCCATCATCTCTGTCTCTCCCTGTCTCTGTCTCCATCATCTCTGTCTCTCCCAGTCTCTGTCTCCATCATCTCTGTCTCTCCCAGTCTCTGTCTCCATCATCTCTGTCTCTCCGTGTCTCTGTCTCCCCCATCTCTGTCTCTGTCGCTCCATCTGACTCTCTCAGCTGTCCCTCCTGGATTCTGTCTCTCTCTCTCTCCCTCCTCTGCCTCAGTCTCCCCACCTTTGTCTCTTCTTCCTGTCGTCTCTCCCACCTCTTGTCTCTGTCTCTCCCGCCCCCCTCTCCCTTCCCCGATGCCCTCTCTCTTACTCCCACAGCCAGGCTCAGAATTCACTTTTCATCCTTCTAAGACAGCCAGCGGACGGTTCGCTACTTCGTCCTCGCCCCTCCCCTCCGGCCCAGGCTTCTGGCAGCAGGCCCCACGCAGGGCAGACTTCAGGAAGGACTTCCCGCCCTGGTTCGGCACGAGAGCTTTATCGCTCGGGCCAGGCGGAGGCCGGGCGGCCCCGTGGCTTCCGGAGGCGCCCGGGCGGGATGAGCTCACTGCGAGTTGGCCAGGATTTCATCAGCTTCCTCCTGCGGACTTGCCCCCGCTCCTTTCCCGGCCCGGCCGCGCGGGCGAATCCGCCGGACGCCTGCTGCCCCCGAGCGGCAGAAGGCGGAAGCACAGGCGCCGCGCAAAAAGCCCACCTTTGCACCAGACGATGTCGCCAGCTCAGGAAGCCTGCAAATACAAACCCAATTCATCCTCACAACCACCAGGGGAGATGGACTATACATATATATATTTTGAGGCGGAGTCTCGCTCTGTCGCCCAGGCTGGAGTGCAGTGGCGCGATCTCGGCTCACTGCAACCTCTGCCTCCCGGGTTCAAGCGATTCTCCTTGCCTCAGCCTCCTGAGTAGCTGGAACTACAAGCGCCTGCCACCATGCCCGGCTAATTTTTGTATTTTTAGTAGAAACAGGGTTTCACCATGTTGGCCAGGATGGTGTCGATCTCTTGACCTCGTGATCCACCCGCCTCGGCCTCTCAAAGTGCTGGGATTACAGGCGTGAGCCACCACGCCTGGCCCCATTTATTCTTATATCCACTCATTCAGCAATTACCACAGAGTCTCCCCTGTGCCAGGCACTGGTGCAGTTGTAGGCATGAGGATACAGCTGTGAGCAAAATGGATACAAATCCTGCCTTCATGGGACTGACACTCTGGTCTGTGGCAGACCACACACCAGGAGAACACAGTAACAATACAAAGCGAAACTTCAAGTAGAAAAAGGAAGCAGGGAAGGGCCGTCAGGAGTGTTGAGGGATGGTGTCTTTGAAAAAGTGCTATTTGCCGCCGGGCGCGGTGGCTCACATCTGTAATTCCAGCACTTTGGGAGGCCGATGCAGAAGGATCATTTGAGGACAGGAGTTCGAGGCCAGCCTGGCCAACATGGCGAAACCCCATCTCTACCAAAAATACAAAAATTAGCTGGGTGTGGTGGTGCGTGCCTGTAATCCCAGCTACTTGGGAGGCTGAGGCAGGAGAATCACTTGAACCTGGAAGTGGGAGGTTGCAGTGAGCCGAGATCACATCATTGCACTCCAGTCTGGGTGACAGAGCGAGAGTCTGTCAAGAAAGCAAGCAAGCAAGAAAGCAAGAAAGCAAGGAAGGAAGGAAGGAAGGAGAGAGAAGAAAGAAAGAGAGAGCGAGCAGATGGGATTGGCTGAGGTACTGGATGTGGATGTGAAGGACAGAGAGGCGTTTAGGGGGCAGCCGGAAGGATGAAGGTTCTGAGAGACCAATTGTCATCATCATCATCATGGCAGCTCTCTGAGTTCACCTACTGTGTGCTAGGCTCCGTGCCGATTCAGAGCTTTACATACATGACCTGGTTACATCCTTATGACCATCCATAGATCCAGGAAGCAGAGACGGGAGCTGTGGTAGGATTCAAGATTTTTATACACATATATATATATATATATATATATATATAGGTTTGTTTGTTTGTTTGAGATGGAGTCTTGCTCTGTTGCCCAGGCTGGAGTGCAGCGGCACGATCTCAGCTCACTGCAACCTCTGCCTCCTGGGTTCAAGCGATTCTCCTGCCTCAGCCTCCTGAGTAGCTGGGATTACAGGCACGTGCCACCATGCCCGGCTAATATTTGTATTTTTAGTAGAGACGGGGTTTCACCATGTTGGACAGGGTTTCACCATGTTGGTCAGGCTGGTCTCAAACTCCTGACCTCATAATCCACCCACCTCGGCCTCCCAAAGTGCTGGGATTACAGGCATGAGCCACCGCGCCTGGCCCCCTTTTTTTTTTTTGAGATGGAGTCTTGTTGCTGTGTTGCCCAGGGTGGAGTGCAGTGGCATGATCTCTGCTCACTGCAAGCTCCACCTCTTGGGTTCACGTCGTTCTCCTGCCTCAATCTCCTGAGTAGCTGGGACTACAGGCGCACGCCGCCAGGCCTGGCTAATTTTTTGTATTTTTAGTGGAGACGGGTTTCACTGAGTTAGCCAGGATGGTCTCCATCTCCTGACCTCGTGATCTACCCGCCTCGGCCTCCCAAAGTGCTGGGATTACAGGTATGAGCCACTGTGTCCAGCCTTTTTCTTTTTTTTTAGACAGGGTCTCACTCTGTCACTCAGGCTGGAGTGCAGAGGTGTGAACATGGCTCACTGCAGCCTCAACCTTCCAGGCCTAAGCAATCCTCCCACCTCAGCCTCCCTCCTGAATAGCTGGGACTACCTTCTTGTGCCACCATGGCCAGCTAATTTTATATTATTTTGTAGAGATGAGGTCTCCCCATGGTGCCCAGGCTGGTCTATAACTCCTGGGCTCAGGTGATCCTTCTGCCTCCGCCCCCCCAAAGTGCTGGGATTATAGGCATGAGCCACTATACATGGCCTTATTTTTTTTAAGACAGTGTCTTGCTCTGTTGCCCAAGCGGAGCAGTGGTGTGATCACAGCTCACTGTAATCTCAACCTCCTGGGCTCAAGTGAGCCTCCCACCTCAGCCTCCTGAGTAGCTGGGACCACAGGTGTGTGCCACCATGCCCTGCTAATTTTTTCTTTTTAATTTCTTTTATATTTTATTCTATTTATTTTTGAGACAGAGTCTTGCTCTGTCGCCCAGGCTGGAGTGCAGTGGCACAATCTCAGCTCACTGCGACCTCTGCCTCTTAGGTTCAAGTGACTCTCGTGTCTCAGTCTCCTGAGTAGCTGGGATTACAGGCCCGCACCACCATGCCCGGCTAATTTTTGTATTTTTAGTAGAGACAGTGTCTCACCATGTCACTCAGGCTGGCCTCGAACCACTCCAGGCCTTTTTAAATTTTATATTTTATTTTGTATTTTATTTATTTTATTTTTAGAGAGAGGGTCTTACTATGTTGCCCAGATGCCCAACTCCTGGGCTTAAATGATCCTCCTTCCTCAGCCTCCCAAGTACCTGGGACCACAGGTGCACACCACCACGCCTGGCTAATTTTAAATTTTTTTGTAGAGATGGGGGGGGGGAGGTCTCATTATGTTACCCAGGCTGGTCTCGAATTCCTGGCCTCAAGCGATCCTCTGGCCTTAGCCTCCCGAAGTGCTGGGACTACAGGCCTGAACCACCGCGCCTGGCCTCTACCTATTCCTTTGTTTAGCTGTTTGTTGTCTGTCTTCTGGAGAAAGTGAGCTCCATGGCGGCAGGGACATTCTAATTCCCATTTCACAGATCGGGAAACTAGAAGGAGGCCCGGCACAAAGTAGGTTCTCATGGGTTCAGGTTTGTTGAATGAATATGCGTGTCTGTTTGTCTCAAGCGGCAGGGAGTGCGCCGCACCGCCCCCTGGTGGAGAGTGGGAAACGTGTCCGCCGGCGTGATTATCAAATTTCCTGGGAGATCTTCAAGTCCGCCCTTAGCCACTGCGTACTAACGGTAGAATTTAACTCCATTCCACAAATAAACACAAAGTATTTTTTATGATTATTTTTGAACTTGTAAAATTTGTTTTTTGATTTCTTGAGACCATTGTTTAAGCTGTAGCATAAGTTACACACTTCTCTAAAGCCTCCCAATTCTTTTTTTTTTTAGGAACAAGGTCTCCCTCGCCGCTCAGGCTGGAATGCAGTGGCACGATCAGAGCTCATTGCAGCCTTGAAGTCCTGAAGCTCCAGACTCTTTTTTTTGTTTTTTGAAACGCAGTCTCGCTTTGTCGCCCAGGCTGGAGTACAGTGGTGTGATCTCGGCTCACTGCAACCTCTGCCTCCCAAGTTCAAGCAATTCTCTAATTCTCTGCCTCAGCCTCCTGAGTAGCTGGGATGACAGGCGCCCGCCACCATGCCCGGCTAATTTTTTTGTATTTTTACTACAGACGGGTTTCACCATCTTGGCCAGGGTGGTCTTGAAATCCTGACCTCGTGATCCACCTGCTTTGGCCTCTCAACGTGCTGCGATTACAGGCATAAGCCACCGCACCTGGCCCTCTTTTTTTTTTTTTTTGAGACAGAGTCTGGCTCTGTCCCCCAGGCTGGAGTGTGATCTCGGCTCCCTGCAACTCTGCCTCCCTGTTCCAGTGATTCTCTTGCCTCAGCCCCCGGAGTAGCTGGGATTACAGGCGCACGCCACCACGCCCGGCTAATTTTTGTATTTTTAGTAGAGACAGGGTTTCATCATGTTGGCCAGGCTGGTCTAGAACTCCTGACTTCAGGCGACCCACACCCGCCTCGGCCTCCCAAAGTGCTGGGATTACAGGTGTGAGCCACCACACCTGGCCTTTTTTTTTTTTTTAAAGAGTCTCGTTGTGTCGCCCAGTCTGGAGTGCAGTGGTGTGATCTCGGCTCACTGCAACCTCCAACTCCTGGGTTCAAGCGATTCTTCTGCCTCAGCCTCCCACATAGCTGGGACTACAGGCGTTCGCCACCACGCCCGGCTAATTTTTTTTTTTTTGTATTTTTACTAGAGATGGGGTTCCACTGTGTTAGCCAGGATGGTCTCGATCTCCTGACCTCATGATCCGCCCGCCTCAACCTCCCAAAGTTCTGGGATTACAGGCGTGAGCCACCGCGCCCAGCCTTTTTTTTTTTTTTTTTTTTAATGTATTTGCTTGTCGTTAATGGGATAGTAATAAGGTTGAGGTTTTTGTTAAGGGGAGTTTACTTATCATTAAACTCTGTAGTTACTACTACAAGGAAACTCTTCCCAAGTACATTAAACACTAGGTTTTATAATATTTGCCACACTGCCAATAAATTCTGTTCACATATTAAGTATGACAAGTCCACTATATGTAACATGTAAGAATGCTATACTAGGCCGGGCACAGTGGCTCACACCTGTAATCCCAGCACTTTGGGAGGCTGAGGCGGGCAGATCACGAGGTCAGGAGATCGAGACCATCCTGGCTAACACGTTGAAACCCCGTCTCTGCTAAAAATACAAAAAATTAGCCGGGTGTGGCGGCGTGCGCCTGTAGTCCCAGCTGCTGGGGAAGCTGAGGTAGGAGAACGGCGTGAACCCGGGAGGCAGAGCTTGCAGTGAGCCGAGATCGCGCCACTGCACTCCAGCCTGGGTGACAGAGCGAGACTCTGTCTCAAAAAAAAAAAAAAAAAAAAAAGAATGCTATACTGGCAGTAGACCTAGGGCCAGAATAAATTGGCAAGTTTTCATTCCATATAAATGTGGGAAAAAAGTGAGTACAACTTTTTTTTTTTTTTTTTTTTGAGACAGAGTTTCACTCTTGTTGCCCAGGCTGGAGTGCAATGGTACGATCTCGGCTCACCGCAACCTCTGCCTCCCGGGTTCAAGCAATTCTCCTGCCTCAGCCTCCCGAGTAGCTGGGATTACAGGCATGTGCCACCACACCCAGCTAATTTTTGTATTTTTAGTAGAGACAGCGTTTCACCATGTTGGTCAGGCTGGTCTCGAACTCCTGACCTCGTGATCTGCCCGCCTCGGCCTCCCAAAGTGCTGGGATTACAGGCATGAGCCACCATGCCCAGCCTTTTTTTTTTTTTTTTTTTTTTGTGAGAGGAAGTCTTGCTCTGTTGCCCAGGCTGGAGTGCAGTGGCACGATTTTGGCTCACTGCAACCTCTGCCTCCTGGGTTCAAGCAATTCTCCTGCCTCAGCCTCCTGGGTAGCTGGGACTACAGGTGTCCACCACTACACCCGGCTAATTTGTTTGTATTTGTAGTAGAGACGGGGTTTTACCATGTTGGCGAGGCTGGTCTTGAACTCCTGACCTCATGTGGTCTGCCCACCTTGGCCTCCCAAAGTGTTGGGATTACAGGCGTAAGCCACCGTGCCCGGCCACATGAAATGTTTAATGTGGTTGATCTCAGCTTCATTCACACTGACTTCAGGGAGTCTGGTTTTCTATGCTCAAGATTGTTCTATTGCTGATTTGCCGTTGTTTTGTTTTCTTTCAGGATCAAGGTGGGTACTTTTTTTTTTCTTTGAGATGGAGTCTCGCTTTGTCGCCCAGGCTGGAGTGCGGTGGCGCCATCTCGGCTCACTGCAAGCTCCACCTCCTGGGTTCACACCATTCTCCTGCCTCAGCCTCCCGAGTAGCTGGGACCACAGGCGCATGCCACCACGCCCGGCTAATTTTTTGTATTTTTTTTAGTAGAGATGGGGTTTCACCATGTTAACCAGGATGGTTTCGATCTCCTGACCTCGTGATCCATCCAGCTCCGCCTCCCAAAGTACTGGGATTACAGGCCTGAGCCACCGCGCCCAGCTTTTTTTTTTTTTTTTTTTTAATAGAGATGGGGATGGGAGGGGTCTCACTACTATGCCCAGGCTGGTGACAAACTTCTGGGCTCAAGTGATCTACCCTCCTTGGCCTCCCAAAGTGCTGGGATTACAGGAGTCAGCCACCGCACCTGGCCCCTCCCAAACTCTTAAGTGCAGAACTCCATGTAACCAGCACCTAGGTGGAGAAACAGAACGTTCTTAGCCCCATTTCCTGACCCTGATTACCCTAATTACCCTCAGGGTAATCATTATCGTGAATTCTAACACCAGAGATTAGTTTTGCTTGTTTTAGAATTTCATATAAATGGACCATGAAATATGTTCTCTTTGGTGTCTGTATGCCTTTGTTATGCAGCCTAATGTTTGCAAGATTCATGCATGTTCTTGTTTACTTTTCCTTTTTTTTCCTTTCTTTCTTTCTTCCCCCGCCTCCCCCGCCTCCCCACAGAGCCTGGCTCTGTTGCCCAGGCTTGAGACTCAGCCTCCCAAGTAGCTGGGATTACAGGCCCAGTGCCACCACGCCCGGCTAATTTTTGTATTTTTAGTAGAGACGGGGTTTCACCATGTTGGCCAGGCTGGTCTCGATCTCCCTATCTCAGGTGATCCACCTGCCTCGGCCGCCCAAAGTGCTGGGATTACAGGTGCGAGCCACTGTGCCCAGCCTTGACTTCCTTCCTTCCTTCCTTTCGAGACAGGGGTCTCACTTTGTTGTCGCTCAGTCTGGCGTTGAACTCCTGGCCTCTAGTGATCCTCCCACCTTGGCCTCCCCAGTGCTGGTGCACCACTGCACCCTGCTGATTGATCACTTTCAGTGTTGCAGAGTCTTTCACTGTGTAAAGACAGGATCATAACTCACTGCAATCTCGACCTCCTGGGCTCAAGCAATCCTTCTGCCTCAGCCTCCTGAGTAGCTAGGACCATGTGCCACCATGCCTGGCTAATTTTATTTTATTTTATTATTATTACTTTTTAAAATATGCTGACTTTAGTTATTTACTTTTTTTTTTTTTTAAGATGGAGTCTCACTCTGCCGCCAGGCTGGAGTGCAGTGGTGTGATCTCGGCTCACTGCAACCTCTGCCTCCCAGGTTCAAGCGATTCTCCTGCCTCAGCCTCCTGAGTAAGCTGGGATCACAGGCGTGCACCACCACGCCCGGCTAATTTTTTTTTGTTTTTTGTTTTTTGTTTTTGAGACAGTCTCACTCTGTCGTCGAGGCTGGAGTGCAGTAGCACTGTGTTGGCTCACTGCAACCTCCGTCTCCTGGGTTCAAGCAATTCTCCTGCCTCAGCCTCCCAAGCAGCTGGGACTACAGGCGTCCACCATGACGCCCGGATAGATTTTTCTTTTTTTTTTTTTTCTTGAGACGGAGTCTGGCTCTGTTGCCCAGGCTGGAGTGCAGTGGCGTGATTTCAGCTCACTGCAAGCTCCACCTCCTGGGTTCACGCCATTTTCCTGCCTCAGCCTCCCTGGTAGCTGGGACTACAGGTGCCCGCCACCATGCCCGGCTAATTTTTTTTACATTTTTAGCAGAGATGGGGTTTCACCATGTTGGCCAGGCTGGTCATGAACTCCTGACCTCAGGTGATCCACCCACCTCAGCCTCCCAAAGTGCCGTGATTACAGGTGTGAGCCACCGTGCCTGGCCACGCCTGGCTAATTTTGTGTGTGTGTGTGTGTACTTATTTTTTTGAGACAGTGTGTCGCTCTGTCACCCAGGCTAAAGTGCAGTGGCGGGATCTCAGCTCACTGCAACCTCTGCCTCCCAAATTCAAGCAATTCTTCTGCCTCAGCCTCCTGAGTAGCTGGGACTACAGGCGTGCACTGACACTCTTGGATAATTTTTTTTTTTTTGAGGTGGAGTCTTGCTCTGTCCCTCAGGCTGGATTGCAATGACGCGATCTCGGCTCACTGAAGCCTCCGCCTCCCGGGTTTAAACGACTCTCCTGCTTCAGCCTCCCAAGTAGCTGGGATTACAGGTGCACACCACCACACCTGGCTAATTTCTTTTTGCATGTGTGTAGTTTTAGTAGAGACGGGATTTCACCATGTTGGCCAGGCTGGTCTCGAACTCCTGACCTCAGATGATCCTCCTGCCTTGGCCTCCCAAAGTCCTGGGATTACAGACATGAGCCACCACGCCCAGCCGAGGCTGAGTCTTTATCTTGGGGACTGGCCTGGGCATTGGAAGGTGTTCAGGAGCAGCCCTGGCCTCTGTCCACTAGATGTCAAGAGGACCCTCTCTTGTGACAACCAGAAATGTCCCTAGTCATTGAGAAATGTCCTTTAGGGGGCAAAATTACCTCCATTGAGAACCACTGGATAAGAACACGGAGTTTGAGGATGCACAAAAGGGAGTGATGTGGCTGGAGAGGGCAGCAGCGGTGACACACACACCACTCAGGCTCCATCAAGTCAGCTCTCCCCAGGGTGCTCTGGGCAGCCTCTTTCTGTCAGAACAGTTGCCATAGTTTGAATGTGTCCGTCGAAGTTCATGTGTTGAAAACAGTCGGCAGGGCGCGGTAGCTCACGCCTGTAATCCCAGCACTTTGGAAGGCCGAGGCAGGTGGATCACGAGGTCAGGAGTTCAAGACCAGCCTGGTCAAAACGGTGAAACCCTGTCTCTACTAAAAATACAAAAAAAAGTAGCCAGACATGGTGGCAGATGCCTGTAATCCCAGCTACTCAGGAGGCTGAGGCAGCGAATTGCTTCAACCTGGGAGGCGGAGGTTGCAGTGAGGCGAGATTGCGCCATCGCACTCCAGCCTGGGCAAAAAGAGCAAAACCTGTCTTAGAAAAACAAACAAACAAACAAAATATATATATATATTTATACAAACACATACACACACATATATGGAGAGAGAGAGAGGTGGGGGTCCCACTATGTTGGCCAGGCTGACCTTGAGTGAGCTCCTGGCCTTAAATGATCCTCCCACCTCTGCCTCCCAAAGTGTTGGAATTACAGGCATGAGCCACTGTATTTGGCCTAATTTTTAATTTTTTTTGTGGAGACTAGGTCTCACTCTATTGCCCAGACTGGTTTCAAATTCCCGAGCTGAAGTGATCTGCCCACCTTGGCCTCCCAAAGTTCTGGGATTACAGGCATGAGTCACCGCACTGGCCTCAAGTGAATTTCGTTACATGCATAGATTGCTATTTGGACAATTATAAGAGGATTAAGTTTCATTGGTATCTCTGAAAGGCTGTGAACAGTAGCCTTAGAAATGGTAAGGAATTACCAGGTACTTCCACTTTCTATGTCTTAAATCACAAAATAAAATGACTGGCACTACAGGCAATCTGGTCTGTCCACTTATAACTGTCATTCACCTTAACTGAGGGTATTCTGTAGCATTCATCATCATTTGTCACAATACCTTTATTATTTATTTATTTATTCTGAGACAGAGTTTCACTCTTGTTGCCCAGGCTGGAGTGCAGTGGCTCAATCTTGGCTCACTGCAACCTCCATTTCCCAGGTTCAAGTGATTCTCCTGCCTCAGCCTCCCCAGTAGCAGGGGTTACAGGCGTGAGCCACAGCGCCTGGTCGGCTTGTCACACTAGCTTTATTATGTCTAAGTTTTGGTTAATGCTGTAACCTCCTGGACTCTGCAGCTATTCAGCTGCTGTTGCTTTGAGTATCTTCTAGTTTTGGGAATGCACCAAGCTCATTCACCACAGGGCCTTTGCATAGGTTGTGTCCTTGGCCTGCACAGGCAGCCTCTCACCCTCCGGCCTCTCCTGCCCCTCTTGCCAGGCATCTCCCACAGGTGCTGCTATTTCCCATTTACTTGTGTCTTCCCTTAGGAGGACAAGGATGGGGTCAGCTTTGTTCATCATCTCAGTTCCCCCACCAACTTTTCCTCCCAGCACGCAGCCTGGCAGTCAATGCTGATTTGGGAGAATGAACGACTGATTCTATCGGTTGAACGTTTATTTTATATATATATATATATATATATATATATATATATATATATATATATACTTTTTTTTTTTTTTTTTTTTTGAGACGGAGTCTCGCTCTGTCGCCCAGGCTGGAGTGCAGTGGCGTGATCTCGGCTCACTGCAAGCTCCGCCTCCCGGGTTCACGCCATTCTCCTGCCTCAGCCTCCCAAGTAGCTGGGACTACAGGCGCCCGCCACTACGCCCGGCTAATTTTTTGTATTTTTAGTAGAGACGGGGTTTCACCGTTTTAGCCGGGATGGTCTCGATCTCCTGACCTCGTGATCCGCCCGCCTCGGCCTCCCAAAGTGCTGGGATTACAGGCGTGAGCCACCGCGCCCGGCCTTATTTTATATTTTATGATTTCATTTACTTATTTATTTTCGATACGGAGTCTCACTTTGTCGCCCAGGCTGGAGTGCAGTGGCACGATCTTGCCTCACTGCAACCTCTGCCTCCCGGGTTCAAGCAATTCTCTATCTCAGCCTCCCAAGTAGCTGGGATTACAGGCATCTGCCACCATGCTTGGCTAAATTTTGTATTTTTAGTAAAGACGGGGTTTCACCATGTTAGCCAGGCTGGTCTCGAACTCCTGACCTTGTGATCCACCTGCCTCGGCCTCCCAAAGTGCTGGGATTACAGGCATGAGCCACTGCGCCTGGCCAGTTATTTATTTTTTTGAGACGTAGTCTTGCTCTGTCGCCCAGGCTGGAGTGCAATGGCACGATCTCAGCTCACTGCAACCTCTGCCTCCCGGGTTTAAGCGATTCTCCTGCTTCAGCCTGTAGCTGGGATTACAGGTGTTACAGGTGCCCGCCACCATGCCTGGCTAATTTTTGTATTTTTTAGTAGAGACAGGGTTTCACCACGTTGGTCAGGCTGGTCTCAAACTCCTGACCTCGGGTGATCCACCCGCCTCGGACTCCCAAAGTGCTGGGATTACAGGCGTGAGCCACGGCGCCCGGCCTATTTTATTTTGAGACGGAGTCTCTCGTTCTGTCGCCCAGGCTGCAGTGCAGTGGTGCAATCTCGGCTTACTGCAACCTCTGCCTCCCGGGTTCAAGCGATGCTCCTGCCTCAGCCTCCCAAGTAGCTGGGATTACAGGCGCCCGCCACCATGCCTGGCTAATTTTTGTATATGTATATTTTTTGAGACGGAGTCTCCCTGTGTCGCCCAGGCTAGAGTGCAGTGGAGCGATCTCGGCTCACTGCAAGCTCCGCCCCCGGGGTTCACGCCATTCTCCTGGCTCAGTCTCCGGAGTAGCTCGGACTACAGGCGCCCGCCACCACGCCGGGCTGATTTTTTTTGTATTTTTAGTAGAGACGGGGTTTCACCATGTTGGCAAGGATGGTCTCGAATTCCTGGCCTCAAGTGATCCGCCCTCCTCGGCCTCCCAAAGTGCTGGGATTACAAGCGTGAGCCACTGCGCCCAGCATTTTATTTTATTTTCGAGAAGGGGTCTGCTCTGTCGTCTAGGCTGCAGTGCGGTGGCATGATCTCGGCTCACTGCAACCTCTGCCTCCCCGGTTCAAGCGATTCTCCTGCTTCAGCCTCCCGAGTTGCTGGGATTACAGGCGCGCGCCACCACAACCGGCTAATTTTTTTTGTAGAGACGGGATTTCACAATGTTGGCCAGACTGATCTCGAACTTCTGACCTCAGGTGATCCGCCCGCCTCGGCCTCCCAAGGTGCTGGGATTACAAGTGTGAGCCACCGCCCACGGCCGGTAGAACATCTGAAGCTTCTAAAGCGAACTCTAAGGTTTCATTGGCACGAGGGGGCTCGAACCACGCCAGGCTTCCAGGCGTCAGTGCCCAGTGCTTGGCATCTACTGATAGAAACCAGGAATGAGGGGCTGGAGGCGGAAACAGCTTGAAGAAAGAGGTAGAGGCCAGGGAGTGAGGACGGTGTCTCCTTTTCCTGGAAGTTGGTAATTCAGGCAGAAGGAAGTTGGATGAGCTTGCGGAACACCCGGGGGGCCAGTCGGCCCCGCTCCCGCATCCATCGCGGAGGCGCGGCCCCTTTAAGGCTCCCGGAAACGGTCCCACAGGACCGGAAGTGACCCTCTTTATTTCCCTTCCTCACGTGGTGCAGGCAGGAAGTGACGCGCCTGGCCCGGGAGCTGCGGTCGCAGAGGCCGACGGAGCCGGAGTCGCGGACGCCGCGGGGTCTCCGGGACAGGTGACCTGGGGGAGGGGGCCGGGAGCGCGCCCAGAGAAGGCGGGGCCTGAAGCCCCACGTGGCGGGGAGTGCGAACAGGCCCGGGCGGGGTCGGAGTTCTCTGCGGGGGGCGGGGACAGGACGCCCACATGGGAAGCTGGAGGGGCGCTGGCGGGGCGGGCCGTTGGGTGGGTGGGCAGGGTCGGGGCGGGGCGTGGCCAGAGCCTGGGCCGGCGGCTGTGGGCGGGACCTAAAAGTTGTGGCTGGACTGTGGGCGGGGCCATAGTGTTGCTTGTTCAGCTGTGTGGCGGGGCTCGGACGCCGGGCGGAAGCTCTGTGGGCGGGGCCAGAAAGTTTTGCCTTACTGGAAGTGGGTCCAGATTCTTGGCCGGGACGTTGGGGGCGGACCCAGAGGCTGACGCAATGGCGGGGGCGGGGCCACAATGTAGTGGGGGAGCCAGGGGGCGGGGCCAGGGTGCTGGCGGGGAATGCTGGGGGTGGAGCCAGAAAGTTTCGTCTGAGCCACGGGCGCGGCCAGAGCGTTGGCCGGGAGGCGGGGAAGCGGGGAGTTGAGCCAGAACCCTGGGGAAGCCATGGGCGGGGCCAGATGCTGACGCAACGAGGTGTGGGAGGGAGTCAGGGGGCGTGTCCAGGAGGTTGGCCAGGCCAATCGGAGGCGGGGCCAGAGGGTTGACTGGGCAGGCCGGGGGCGGGGCTGGAATAATAATAAGAGATGGTAGGGGCGGGTGTAGGCTGTTGCCTGCGAGCCAGGAGGCGGGGAAAGAGCGTGGCTGGGAAAGTCGGGAGCGGGGCCACATTAATGGCCCATGGGTGGGGGCGGGGCCAGAAGTCTGGCGGGAAAGGCGGGGCCAGAAAGTTTTTTCCCGAGCCGTGGGCGGGGCCAGAGCGGTTTCCAGGATGTCGGGGACGTGGCCCTGGCATTCCCAGCCGGATTGAGGCTGGAGCTTTGCACAGAAAATCTGGGGCGGGCCTGGGTAGTTTTGTCCTTGTTGGGGCGGGTGGAGTATTCAGTGGGGCAAAACGCCAGTTCCAGGAAGCCTCGCCAGTGAGTTCTGGGCCTGTGTACAGAATCCTTTCGGGGGAGGCGGGAGGCTGTCGACCTTCCGTAGGGCGCTGGAGACGGGACTAGGACGTCCCTGAGGAAGGCGCGGGCTTGGAATGTTCTCTGAGAGCTTGGGCAGCCAATAAGAGTGGGGTTCGGACTTTCTTTGAGCGTGGGATTGGGAATGTTTCTGAACCTTACCTGGTGGAGCTAGAATATTCGCCTGGATATGAGAGGCACCAGGATGAGCACAGGGAGGTGGGTCTGGAACTTTCTTTTGCAGGCTGGTTGGAGGGGTTGTAGTTGGAACTCTCTTGAGATAGGGAACCCGGGCTAACACTCATACCACAGGGTGTGGCGGCTGGCCTAGAATCAGCCTTTGGAGGAGAGCAGTGTTGGATACTTAAGCAGTGGGTGGGGGCCAGAACATCCCCAAGGTGGGTTTGACTAGATCGTTTACATGGGAACTGGGTGAGTCCACAAAGATCATGAAAGGGCTGAGTCTGAATTTCTATGGAGAAGATGGAGGTGGCAGTTGAAAGGAGGGAGAGTGAGGGCTACAATTCTCTTGGGGTACAGGGTTTTTTGTGTATGGCTGTGAGGATCCCGCAGTATGTTAGAGGGTGAAGTAGGTTGGGGGGCCATTGGCCTTTGTCCTTTTTTTCCCTCTGTCCCCAGGAACCCTCAGTGCTGCGTCTAGATTCTGCAGGGGAGGTTTGCTGGGACCTTGGCTCCACGCAGCCAGCGAAATGGTGAGGCTGAAAAATGGGGTCTCTAGAATCTGAGTTTTGGGGAAGGGGGCTTGGGAGGATGGGATCCATAGGGGCAGACTCTCAGACCCTGGGGGAAAGTCCCTGGTATGGATGGAGGTTTTTCCTTCCATCCCTCA
This sequence comes from Homo sapiens, assembly GCF_000001405.40. NCBI lineage: Eukaryota > Metazoa > Chordata > Mammalia > Primates > Hominidae > Homo > Homo sapiens. Next base: position 47,258,541 of record NC_000019.10, read on the forward strand.
ACTGCCTCCCGGTCTCAGGCAGCCACACTCGATTTGAAATCAAAGGAGGAGAAGGATGCTGAGTTGGACAAGAGGATCGAGGCTCTTCGGCGGAAGAATGAGGCCCTCATCCGGCGCTACCAGGTGCCCTAGCCCCGCCCTGGGAGACCCCATCCCCTCTCTTCCCCGCAGTGAGTTTTTCTCACCTCTCCCTTCCTTAAAACCTTTTCATGGCTCCCCATCACTGTCAGGATAAAGGCCAAAGGCCTTAGCCTGACATCCCTTCTTTCATTCCATTATTCATTCATTCATTCATTTGTTCACAAATATTCCCCAAGATCTTTACCAGCCCCAGTGCTGAGTGGTGCTGGGGATATAGCTGTGACTGAGACAGACCCAGGCCTGCCCCCTCCAGGGTCCACCGTCTAGTCAGGGAGACAGCCCTGTCCTCAGGGATGCCCCAGAGCAGACAAGTCTGGAATCAGGAAATTCAGGGGTCTGTGGGAGTCCAGAGGAGGCTCTTGACCCAGCCTTGGGGATATCAGGGAGGGCTTCCTGGAGGAGTGGACTCTGAGGCTTGAGTGGTGAGTAGACAATAGCCAGTTGAAAAGGCGAGGGGAACATGTTTCAGGCAGAAAGAACAGTTTGTGCAAATGTTGGAAGCAAGAGAGAGCTTGGAGCTTCAAGTTGGAGGGTTGGTTAGGAGAGAATTGACCTGGGCAGGTCAGCAGGGGCCAGGCTGTGCTAGGCCCTGAATGCCACCAGGATGAGTTTGGACTTTGTCCTGAGGGCACTGGGGAGCCAGGGAGAGCCTTGAGCAGGGGTGGGACCGGTCAGAACAGCTCTTTAGGAAGACGCCTCTGGGTGCTGTGCGGTGGTGGGTGCGAGGAGGTGATACTGGAGCCCAGAGACCAAGGAGGAAGCTGGGGCTGGAACCCTAGTGGGAGAGGAGGTACCTGGCTCAGGGCAGGGCTGTTGAGAGGGACTCAGTTACTGATGGGCAGTTCAGGGCAGGGGGAGGAAGAGGGAGGATTTAGGACAAGGCTGCTGAGTAGGTGATGTGGCTCTCCCTGAGATGGGATCTGGGAGGTGGCATGGGTTTCATTTATTCATTCTTCATGTATTCATTCATTTTAAAAAAGGCATATTGAATTTCCCTTGTGGGCCAGGCAGCGTTCTAGACTTGGGATACACGTCAGTGACATACATCACTGAAAGCAGACAGACATTCCTGTCCCCAGGCAGATTCTGCCGTAGTGGAGGAAGCAGACAGTGAGCGAGACGCATATGGTGCTGGGTGCAAATGGGATGAGAACAGAGAGGGTGGCAGGGGAGCTGGTTTCCACAGGGTGCTCAGGGAAGGCCTCACGAGAAGGCAGCATTGGAGCAGAGACCTACAGGAGGTGAGGGGTTGGAGGGTCTCTGGGAAAAGTGTTCCTGGCAGAGGGATCCGCTGGCGCAAAGCCCCTGAGGCAGGTTTCAGCCTGGTATGTTGTGGGAATAGCAAGGAAGCCGGAGTGATCGTGGGGAGAGGGTGAGAGATGAGGTCGGGGAGGTACCAAGGCCAGACCCCACGGGTCCCACAGGCTGTGGGGAAGGCTGTTACTCAGAGGGGCACCACAGGAACGTTCTGAGTGGGGCTGCAACGTGCTGAGGTTTGAGGGATATGAGCGGCCTTCTTGTTCAGAGTCCAGGAGAGAGGCCTGGGCTGGGGCCAGACTTAGGAGGAGTTCAGGGGTCTGGGAGTCCGTCTGGCAGACAGGGCACCTGATGCTTCCCTACCCCGGCTGTCTGCTCCTAGGAGATTGAGGAAGACCGTAAGAAAGCTGAACTTGAGGGAGTCGCAGTCACAGCTCCCCGAAAGGGCCGCTCAGTGGAGAAGGAGAACGTGGCAGTGGAGTCGGTGAGCTCGTCACTGGGGTGTGGGACCCTGAGGATGGGGAGGGGCAGAGGGTTGAGGCCTGGGACCCAGGAGCCCCCAGCTGTCCTGCACCAGTGGGTGGCCTCCATCCTGGCCGCATGCCTCCCTGCCCCAGTGACTGTATTTTCCCCATCTCCCCTCTTCCAGGAGAAGAACCTGGGTCCTTCCCGGAGGTCTCCTGGGACCCCTCGGCCCCCAGGGGCCAGCAAGGGGGGCCGGACTCCTCCACAGCAGGGAGGCCGGGCCGGCATGGGCCGAGCATCGCGCAGCTGGGAGGGCAGCCCCGGGGAGCAGCCTCGAGGAGGAGGAGCTGGGGGCCGTGGCCGGAGGGGCCGGGGCCGAGGTTCACCTCACCTCTCTGGAGCTGGAGACACCTCAATCTCTGACCGTAAATCCAAGGTAGGAGCTAGGCAGCGCCTGGAGCCCTGGCTGAGGTTCTCTGTTGTCTGTTTCTGTTTTTTCCTCCTCTCAGATGCACATTTGTCCTGTGTGTCCATCTTTCAGTATCTCTCTCTGAGCCTTTGCATCTGGCTCTGTTTCTCTCTTCCTCCACCTCCTTCTCCTCCTCCTGCTCCCCCTCTTCTAGTTCCCCCTGTTCCTTCCCTCTCACGCCTAGAGCTCGTGTGTTTTTCCTTGTCTCTTTCTCTCCTACTCCTGCTCCCCGTCTTCTTGTTCCTCCTCGCCTTCCTTCCCTCCCCTCTCCTGCTTAGTGCTGCGTGTCCCTCCCTGTCCCTCTCTGTCTCCCTTTTTCTCGCTCTCTGGTGCATGCTTGCCCACTCATCCTCCGTCCCCATCTCTCCTCCCTTTCTGGCACTGTGTGTCTGTCTGGTGGGCTCTCTCTATCTGGTGTGCTTGTGAGCACAGGCTCTGTGTGGCATTCTGTTTCTGTGTGTTTCTCTTGGTCCCCGGCTTTGGTTATGGGGAGCAGTGATTTTACTGTAACTACCTCACTCACCCCTGACGTGCAGGTCAGCAGGGTGGGAGTCTGTCTAGCTGAGTGGCTTACAGCCCACCGTGGACATGGGTTGAATCTGGTTCTGTGAGCTACCTGGCCTTGGGCAGCTCACTTCCCCTGTGAGCTTCTGGTTCTAGCACTTACACGGGAATAAGAAAATTCAAAAATTAGCTGGACGTGGTGGTGGGCACCTGTAATCCCAGCTACTTGGGAGGCTGAGGCAGGAGGATCACTTAAACCTGGGAGGTGGAGGTCACAGTGAGCCGAGATCATGCCACTGCACTCCAGCCTGGGCGACAGAATGAGACTCTGTATCAAAAAAAAAAAAAAAAAAAAAAAATGCTGGGCGTGGTGGCTCACGAGGCCTGTAATCCCAGCACTTTGGGAGGCTGAGGTGGGCGGATCACCTGAAGTCAGGAGTTCGAGACCAGCCTGGCCAACATGGCGAAACCCCATCTCTACTAAAAGTACAAAAATTAGCCGGGTGTGGTGGCACACGCCTGTAATCCCAGCTACTCGGGAGGCTGAGGCAGAAGAATTGCTTGAACCTGGGAGGTGGAGGTTGCAGTGAGCCGAGATTGCGCCATTGTACTCCAGCCTGGACAACAAGAGTGAAACTCCGTCTCAAAAAAAAAAAAATAATTAGACTTAAATTGGGCATGCCAAGCTGCTGTCACACAAAGACTCCAAAAATTTCATGACCTAAGTGGAGTAGGAGTTTATTTCTCCCTTGTATGCTGAGCCCTGCAGGGAGGTGGGTGGTCCAGGGGGTGAGGCCCTGCTCCATGATGTCACTCAGGGACCCAGGTTCCTGCTTTTTTTTTTTTTTTTTTTTTCTTGAGACAGAGTCTCACTTTGTTGCCCAGGCTAGAGTGCAGTGGCATGATCTTGGCTCACTGCAACCTCCGCCTCCTGGGTTCAAGCAATTCTTGTGCTTCAGCCTCCCAAGTAGCTGGGATTACAGGTGTGCACCACCACACCCGGCTAGTTTTTGTGTTTTCAGTAGAGATGGGGTTTCGCCATGTTGGCCAGGCTGGCCTTGAACTCCTGACCTCAGGTGATCCTACCGCCTCGGCCTCCCAAAATGCTGCGATGACATGTGTGAGCTGCTGCGCCCGGCCTGGTTCCTGTTTTTGTTGCTTGGTGGCCCCTAGGTCCTGGTCATTGTCTGTGGTAACAGCTGGGTTGCCGACATGGTTGCGGTTCAGTTCACAGGAAGGGGAAAGATAAGTCTGCTTTATCACTTTTGGTCATGTCCTGTTGGTGAGAACTTAGACACCTGGTCATACCTAACCTCAAAGGAGACTGGGAAATGAAAACGTTGTCTACAGCTGGCTGGCTATTTGCCCATCTAAAATTTTGTCACTAGCTTGGTTACTAGTAACAAGTAGTTACTAGCTACTTGGAATGCTGGGTGCTGTGGTATGGGCTTGTGGTCCTAGCTACTTGGGAAGCTAAGGTGGGAGGATCGCTTGAGCCCAGGAGTTTGAGACCAGGCTGGGCAACAGAGTGAGACCCCATCTCTATAAAAATTTTAAAAATTAACTGGACGTGGTGGTGTGCCCCTGTGGTCCCAGCTACTTACTTGGGAGGCTGAGCCAGCAGGATCACTTGGGAGGCTGAGCCTGGGAGGTCAAGGATGCAGTGAGCTGTGAACACACACCACTACATTCCAGCCTGGGCAACAGAGTAAGACCCTGTCTCAAAAAAAAAAAAAATCAATAAATTTTTGCTACCATGGAAGGAAGAAGGGGAGAACGGATTGTGGTTGGTGGGGGTAGGTCACCTAACCATCTGCCAAGTAATTACTGTTATTACCACCACTATGATTGCGGCAACCTTGGTGTGCCAGGGCCCCCAGCACCCTGACACTGAACTCGCAGGTTCAGTGGTTTGCTAGAAAGACTCATGGCTTAGATTTATCACAGTGAAAGAGATCACAAAGCAAAATCAGCAGGGGGCGGGGTACCTGGGCTGAGGTCTGGAGGAAACCCGGCATGAACTTCCAAGAGTCCTTTCCCTGTGGAGTCCCAGGGGATGCGCTGAATTCCTCCAGCACTGAATTGTGACAACATGTGGCTTACCAGGGATGCCCACGAGAGATTCAGCACTCCAGGTTTTTAATTGGGGGCTGGTTTATTTTTATTTATTGTATTTATTTAGTTTTTAAAATTTCTTTTTGTTTTTGAGATGGAGTTTCACTCTTGTTGCCCAGGCTGGAGTGCAGTGGTATGATTTCGGCTCACTGCAACCTCCGCCTTTTGGTTTCAAGCAATTCTCCTGTCTCAGCCTCCCAAGTAGCTGGGATTACAGGTGCCCACCACCATGCCCGGCTAACTTTTGTATTTTTAGTAGAGACGGGGTTTCACCATGTTGGCCAGGCTGGTCTCGAACTCCTGACCTCGTGATCCACCTGCCTCGGCCTTCCAAAGTGCTGGGAATACAGGCGTGAGCCACTGTGCCCGACCCGTTATTTTTATTTTTATTTTATTTTATTTTTTGAGACAGAGTCCTACTCTGTTGCCCAGGCTGGAGTGCAGTGGCACAATCTCGGCTCACTGCAACGTCCACCTCCTGGGTTCAAGTGATTCTCTTGCCTCAGCCTCCCGAGCAGCTGGGATTACAGGCGCCCACCACCATGCTTGGCTAATTTTTTTCGTATTTTTAGTGAGATGGGGTTTCCCCATGTTAGCCAGCCTGGTCTCAAACTCCTGACCTCAGGTGATCCACCCACTTCGGCCTCCCAAAGTGCTGGGATTACAGGCGTGAGCCACCGCGCCCGGCCACTTTTAAAATTTTTTGTAGAGACAGGGTCTTGCTATGTTGCCTAGTCTGGCCTTGAACTCCTGGGCTGAAGCAATCCTCCTGCCTTGGCCTCCCAAAGTGCTTGGATTAGAGGTGTGAGCCACCATGTCAGCCTGGAGGCTAGTTTTGAACGCAGGCCCCTTCTGTCTAGTATGTACTGAAATTCCAGACCCCCCAGTAGGAAGGCGAATGCAGCGTACAGCGTGTTGTTCGCATAGTCCAAGCCTGGCCAGCCAGCCTCATCAGTTCACTGCTGACCTGGAGCACGCTGAGAGCAAATGGTCAGATGCCAGCAGGCCAGTCCGAGGAGAGGAGCCTCAGGCCTGCTGGGCAGCCCGTCTCCTGCACCGGCAGCTTAATAGTTCTCCCTGAAGCTGGGTGTCCCTATCTTTATCCCCCCAGGAGTGGGAGGAGCGGCGCAGGCAGAACATTGAGAAGATGAATGAGGAGATGGAGAAGATCGCCGAGTATGAGCGCAACCAGCGGGTCAGTGGTGCGGGTGTCCCCGAGGCAGGGCCGAGCTGCCTGGGCTGCGGGGAGCCCGCGCCAACCCCCTGCTCTGCTGCCTGCAGGAAGGGGTTCTTGAACCCAACCCAGTGCGGAACTTCCTGGACGACCCCCGGCGACGCAGCGGGCCCCTGGAGGAGTCTGAGCGGGACCGCCGGGAGGAGAGCCGCCGGCACGGCCGCAACTGGGGGGGCCCCGACTTCGAGCGGGTGCGCTGTGGCCTTGAGCACGAGCGGCAGGTGGGTGTTGGCAGTGAGGACACCTCGGGGCTCTCAGGGCTTTGATGGGGACTGCATAGCAGGAACCAGACAGATCAGGGCCATGGGGCCTCTCCTTTTTTGTGCCACAGCACAGGACTTTTTTTTTTTGAGACGGATTCTCGCTCTGTCACCCATTCTGGAGTGCAGTGGCACCATCTCGGCTCACTGCAGCCTTTGCCTCCTGGGCTCAAGCAATTCTGCCTCAGCCTCCCGAGTAGCTGGGATTACAGGCAAGTGCCACCACACCTGGCTAATTTTTTCGTATTTTGTAGAGACGGGGTTTCACCATGTTGGCCAGGCTAGTCTTGAACTCCTGACCTCAAGTGATCCACCTGCCTCGGCCTCCCAAAATGCTGGGATTATAGGTGTGAGCCACTGTGCTTGCCCAGGATTTTAATTATTAAGGATTTATGGTATGTTTTGTTTCCTGCCAAGGTAAATCTCCCCTCATTGTTAATGACACCAGCATTTATGAGGCACCTACCACATGGCAGGTGCTGTGTGAGGGGTGGGGACCTGGCCTAGAAGAGGAGGCAGGGGCAGTGTCCTTGCACTTGGTGGTCCACCCCTAAATTGTCCGTCTGTTGGTTCTTCTGTCAGTACCACGTGGCTCTAGTTGTTACAGCTTTGTGGTATGTTTGAGGGTTTTCTTGTTACTAACAGTATTGTTTACTGGGCACTTACTATGTGCCAGGTACTGTTTTAGGTGCTGAGGATAAGAGGTTTTTTTTTTTTTTTGAGATGGAGTCTTGCTCCATCGCCCAGGCTGGAGTGCAGTGGCGTGATCTTGGCTCACTGCAAGCTCCGACTCCCGGGTTCACACCATTCTCCTGCCTCAGCCTCCCCAGTAGCTGGGACTAAGGTGCCCACCACCATGCCCAGCTAATTTTTTGTACTTTTAGTAGAGATGGGGTTTCACCATGTTAGCCAGGATGGTCTCTATCTCCTGACCTCGTGATCTGCCCGCCTCAGCCTCCCAAAGTGCTGAGATTACAGGCGTGAGCCACCGCTCCTGGCTTTTTTTTTTTTTTTTTTTTTTTTTTTTTGAGACAGAGTCTTGCCCTGTTGCCTAGGCTGGAGTGCAGTGGCGCGATCTCGGCTCACTGCAAGCTCTGCCTCCTGGGTTCATGCCAGTCTCCTGCCTCAGCCTCCCGAAAAGCTGGGACTACAGGCACCCGCTACCACGCCCAGCTAATTTTTTGTATTTTTAGTAGAGACAGGGTTTCACCATATTAGCCAGGATGGTCTCCATCTCCTGACCTCATGATCCGCCTACCTTGGCCTCCCAAAGTGCTGGGATTACAGGCGTGAGCCACCGCGCCCGGCGGGAGAAGAGTTTGGAGGCAGAGCCCCTGCCTTGATGAGGTTTCTTCTGGTGGGAGCTGAGTAAATGAAAATATAGTGAGATGTGAGGTCCTACCAAGTGTTGTGGAGAAAAATCCAGCAGCTGAGGGGACAGAGGGATGCTACTTAGGAGATCTGAGAGGGCCTCTGTGAGGAGGTGCCACCTGAGCCTAGTTGATTGTGATCTCTGCCTTGTCATCGCTTCCCTGTGTGATCCTGAGCAAGTGGATGTGCCTCGGGGCTTAGGGGCGGGGTAGGGTGCGGGACATCACCCTGACTCCCTGTGGGCTGGGGGGCAGGGCCGCCGAGCTGGCCTGGGCAGTGCTGGAGACATGACGTTGTCCATGACGGGCCGGGAGCGGTCGGAGTACCTGCGCTGGAAGCAGGAGAGGGAGAAGATCGACCAGGAGCGGCTGCAGAGGCACCGCAAGCCCACTGGCCAGTGGAGGCGCGAGTGGGATGCCGAGAAGACCGATGGGATGTGAGTCTCCTCCCCGCTCCTCTCCCCATGTGGCACGTTGACCTTGGCCCTGACTTCTAAGTCCTATGCCTCTCTCTGGTTTTTCCTGCTGTGTATGAGTGAGTGACTGCCAAGTATCCTGAGATGCCATGGACCAGCTGCTGGAGCTCAGCGGCACGTGAGAGCATTTCTGGTTTTCTTTTTTTTTTTTGAGACGGAGTCTCGCTCTGTCGCCCAGGCTGGAGTGCAGTGGCGTGATCTCGGCTCACCGCAAGCTCCGCCTCCCAGGTTCACACCACTCTCCTGCCTCAGCCTCCCGAATAGCTGGGACTACAGGCGTCCGCCACCACGTCCAACTAATTTTTTGTATTTTTAGTAGAGACAGGGTTTCACCGTGTTAGCCAGGATGGTCTCAATCTCCTGTCCTTGTGATCTGCCTGCCTTGGCCTCCCAAAGTGCTGAGATTACAGGCGTGAGCCACCGCGCGCGGCCGAGCATTTCTGGTTTTCTTTTTGTTTTTGGAGACAGAGTCTAGCTCTGTCGCCCAGGCTGGATGGAGTGCAGTGGGAGGATCTCAGCTCACTGCAACCTCCGCCTCCCGTGTTCAAGCAATTCTCCTGCCTCCGCCTCCTGAGCAGCTGGGGTGAGAGGATTTCTTCTGTGTTCATGGGTATGCTGGGCTGAGCTGATCCAGGCTGGACGCTAAGCTGTGGGTCCCGCTGGGCTTGGCTTCTTGCAGCAGGGTGAATTCACTCTGCGCCAGGGTGTTCATTCTGCTGTCCAGGCTGAGGGCAGCAGCTGCCTGGGGAGCGCTTGCCCTGACATGGGCAGATGCACAAGCAGGCACACTTCCCAGTTGTGTTCGCCAGCACACCCCGCCTCACTGGGGCGGGGAAATAAGCTCTGCCCCCTCCAGTGGATAGGAACACCGGTGGCGGCAGGGACATCAGTTCCAACGCAGGGAGGGCATGAAGGCTGTTTAACAGCGATTAGACCTTTGCATCCTCCTGCCAGCCTCTGACCTGTCCCCAGCAACTCAGATCCCTGAATGTCTCCATGCCTCACCGTCACCTTTTTTTTTTTACTTTTTTTTTGAGACGGAGTCTCGCACTGTTGCCGGGGCTGGAGTGCAGTGATGTGATCTCGGCTCACTGCAACCTCCGCCTCCTGGGTTCAAGCGATTTTCCTGCCTCAGCCTCCTGAGTAGCTGGGATTACAGGCACGTGCCACCACATCCAGCTAATTTTTTGTAATTTTAGTAGAGGTGGGGTTTCACCATGTTGGCCTGGCTGGTCTTGAACTCCTGACCTCATGATTCACCCACCTCAGCCTCCCAAAGTGCTGAGATTACAGGTGTGAGCCACCGCGCCCGGCACCACCACCTTCTTAACCCAGTGGCATTGTTAACCTCAAGTTTGACTTTGTCCCCCGATTCAGTCAGACTTAAAGCAAAGCCCTCATTGCATCATCGTCATGGGGACCAACTTCCATAACCAAGAAGGAGAAGGTTCTGGAAGAGCCGATAAATAGCAGTATTTAAAGATCAGCAACTTTAGGTTTTACCTCATCCCCCATTCTTTCCTGTGTTGAAAGTTTTCATTCACCTATAACTTGTTTTTTGGCTTTGGCTAAGGAGGATTTTGTCTGTTTGCCCAGTGGTCGGGAAGCATTTTGTTGTGGATTGTGAACCAAGCCTGTGCGAGTGTGAGAAATAATTTGCACAGATACTATAGCTGATCTTCCTAAGGAGGAGGCAGCTGGGCTTTTGGGGAGATGTTCTCAGCATTCACAATGAGAAAGTATTTGTTTTTCTTATGTGTCCTAAAAGCAGTTTGCAACAAGTCTGATGAATAATGTTTGTGTGGGCCGGGTGCAGTGGCTCACGTCTGTAATCCCAGCACTTTGGGAGGCTGAGGCAGGTGGATCACGAGGTCAGGAGATCAAAACCATCCTGGCTAACACGGTGAAACCCCGTCTCTACTAAAAATACAAAAAATTAGCCGGGTGTGGTGGTGGGCGCCCTGTAGTCCCAGCTACTCGGGAGGCTGAGGCAGGAGAATGGTGTGAACCTGGGAGGTGGAGCTTGCAGTGAGCCGAGATCTCACCACTGCATTCCAGCCTGGGCGACAGAGAGAGACTCCGTTTCAAAAAATAATAATAATAATAATAATAATGTGTGTCTGGGCCAGGCGTGGTGGCTCATGCTTGTAATCCCCACAATCCCAGCACTTTAGGAGGCCAAGGCTGGAGGACTGCTTGAACCCAGGAGGTTTGCAGTGAGCTGTTATGATGCCACTGCACTCCAGCCTGGACCACAGAGCAAGACCCTATCTCTAAGAAAAAAAAATGCATGGTGTCTTGCTTTCATCAGCATATATTTGAGTCCTCCTCTATGTCATGGAAGGTTCTAGGTGATACAGCAGCAAACAAAACATTTCTGCCTTTTTGGAACTAAGAGTGTAGTGGGCAAGGTGGGTAATTAAGAGGTCTAATGTTAGGCCCAGAAGGATAATGATGCAGAGTAAGCAGCCAGGGTGGAGGTTAGAATTTTAGACTTAGATAATCTGTGTAATAATATTATCTTTTTTTTTTTGTTTTTTTGAGACTGAGTCTTGCTGTGTTGCCCAGGCTAGAGTGCAGTGGTGTGATTTCAGCTCACTGCAACATCGCCTCCTGGGTTCAAATAATTCTGATTCAGCCTCCCGAGTAGCTGAGATTACAGGTGCCAGCCACCAAGCCCGGCTAATTTTTGTATTTTTAGTAGAGATGGGGTTTCACCCTGGTCTCGAACTCCTGGCCTCAGGTGATCCGCCCACCTGGACTCCCAAAGTGTTGGGATTACAGGCGTGAGCCACCGTGCCCGGCCCTAATATTATCTTAGCTGGGGGTTCAGGAAGGCCTCTTAGCAGAGCCCTGAAAGGAGGTGAGGGAGTGAGCCAGTGAAAAACGTGGGAAGAACGTTCCAGGAGCAGGCGCTAAGGCCCTGAGGCAGGAGCTAGGTGTGGTGGAAGAGCCTGCTTAGCTGGAGAGGTGAGGGAGACTGGTGGGAAAGGTCAGATAGGGAGTTGTGGGTCATGTACTTGGGCAAGGGTCTGTGGTGATCCCCCCAAATTTTTGTTTTGGCGCCCACATTCTGAATCTTTTTGTATTTGTCACTATGCTGTCAAATTTGCCTCTTGCCCATCACCTGGTCCTATCCTTTGTTTTTTTTTTTTGAGATAGGGTCTCCCTCTGTCACCCAGGCTCGAGTACAGTGGCTTGATTACTGCTCACTGCAGCCTTGACCTCCCAGGCTCAAGTGATCCTCCCTCCTCAGCCTCCCGAGTAGCTGAGATTACAGGCACGTGCCACCACGCCCAGCTAATTTTTGTATTTTTTGTAGAGGTGGGGCTTCACCATGTTCACCACGCTGGTCTTGAACTCCTGGGCTCAAGCGATCTGTCTGCCTCGGCCTCCCAGAGTGCGGGGATTACAGGCTTGAGCCACCATGCCCGGCCCTGTCCTACTTCTAGTGTCCCCTGTCTGGTTGACCGTCTGTCTCTGATCCGATTCCTGACCCTGACCTCTCCCATCTTCTTGATCCTCTTGTTACCCTGTTCCCCCAGCTGCCCGCTCACCCGTTATCTTTCCCCCAGGTTCAAGGATGGCCCAGTCCCTGCCCATGAACCATCCCACCGCTATGGTGAGTGGGTGCCCTTGGATGAGCTGAGGCTCGGTCTGGGAGTCAGGGGTGGTGTGTGCCACACCTTCCCTTCCCAATGACACCTGGGTTCTGTTGCAGATGACCAGGCCTGGGCCCGGCCCCCGAAGCCCCCTACTTTTGGGGAGTTCCTGTCCCAGCACAAAGCTGAGGCCAGCAGCCGCAGAAGGAGAAAGAGCAGTCGGCCCCAGGCCAAGGCAGCGCCCAGGGCCTACAGGTGGGGCACCCCTTCTGCGGGCTTGCATACCCCCAGGGCTCTCCGCAGGGCGTTCTCTTCTTTGGCTTGCTGTGAAGGTGTGGGTACATCTGTCTGTCCCTGTCTTTGTCTTGGCCCTGTCTATCTCGCAGGTCCGTGGTTTGAGGGGCTTGGGATCTGGCTCTTGGTTTTACCCTCATCTGTCCCCTTTCTGCCGTCACCCATCTCCTCTCCTGCTACCTGCCCCACTTTCGTTCTGTCCTTGACACATGGGGACACACATCCGCCATTCCCTCAGCCCTCCACCATGCCAGATGCTCTGGGCAGCTCCTCCCTAGGGAGGGTGGAGGCAGGAAGCCCCTTCCTCCTGTCTACTCTCCACCCAGGCATCACCCCTCCCTCTGTTCCCTCTAGTGACCATGATGACCGCTGGGAGACAAAAGAAGGGGCAGCATCCCCAGCCCCTGAGACTCCACAGCCTACTTCCCCCGAGACTTCCCCCAAGGAGACACCCATGCAGGTGAGGCTGGGCTGTGGTTCAGGGCACGGGCCTGGGGTGGGGGCTCAGGACCTGTGCCTTGCCCTGACTTGCCTGTGTCCCCAAAGCCACCCGAGATCCCAGCTCCTGCCCACCGGCCTCCTGAAGACGAGGGGGAAGAGAATGAGGGGGAAGAGGATGAAGAATGGGAGGACATAAGTGAGGATGAGGAAGAGGAGGAGATCGAGGTGGAAGAAGGTGATGAGGAGGAACCAGCCCAAGACCACCAAGCCCCAGAGGCTGCCCCCACCGGGATCCCCTGCAGTGAGCAGGCCCACGGAGTCCCCTTCAGTCCGGAGGAGCCCCTGCTGGAGCCCCAGGCCCCTGGCACGCCTTCCAGCCCTTTCTCACCACCCAGCGGCCACCAGCCTGTGTCCGATTGGGGTGAAGAGGTGGAGCTGAATTCTCCCCGGACCACTCACCTGGCTGGCGCCCTCTCCCCGGGTGAGGCCTGGCCTTTTGAGAGTGTATGAAGCTGGCTGCCTGTGTGTGTGTGTGTGTGTGTGTGTGTGTGTGTGTGTGTGTGTGCGCGCGCGCGCGCGCGCGCGCGCGCGCTAGAGGGGTGTGGCTGGTGGGGGACCCTTGGGGCTGGGCCCTGGGACCCAGTGTGCCCCACAGCCCTGTCAGCTGAGGGGGTAGCGCAGCCCATGCTCTTCTGTACTGTCATGCCCGTCTCTGGAATGTCCACTCCCAGAGCCTGCCCCAGCCCTTCGAGCCCCCTCCCCAATAAAGAATTCACATCCTCCAATGACATTCCCCCAGGTGTGTCCTTGAACCCCCTTCAACTCCCCCTGGGCCTTCTCTCTTGGGGTGGGGAGATGTCAGGCGGGAAAGGGGGCTTGACTGGGGCTCCCCTTCCCTAGGAGGTGGCCAGTCAGCCCCTGCCTTCCCGGAGAGTGGGCCCAGCCTCCGAGGAACCCAGGAAGCTGAAGAGGAAGGGTCTGAGGCAACTCCAGGTGGGGGAGTGCATGGGGCATGGGATGGAGGCCGCTGCTTCCTCTTTCTCTGGGGCTGAGGGGCAGAGGGCTTGGGGGGAGTGGGGTGAATGTGTGTAGGTAGCAGTTGGACCATAGAGGTGAGGTGAAAAGGGTGAGCTCGGATAGGGATGGGGGGCTGGAGCCGGGTGGCAGGGGTGGGGCAAAGGGGCAACTTTATGGGCCAAGCCAATAGGAATTTGGTATGGAGGTTGAGGAGGTGGGGTTAAGGAAAGGATTAGAATTTTGGAGTCGAGCTCAGGGGTTTTGGAAAGCACTGGTTTAAGAGTAATGGGGTGTGGATCGGATGCCTTGGCTCATGCCTGTAATCCCAGCTAATTGGGAGGCGGGAGGATCGCTTGAACCTGGGAGGCGGAGGCTGCAGTGAGCCGAGATCGCTCCACTGTACTCCCACCTGGGCGACAGAGCAAGACTCCGTCTCAAAAAAGGTGGTTGGCGTTGGTGTACTAGGGCAGGAGCTATAGGCAGACTACGAAATTTGAACTGGCTCGAAAAGGCCAAAGAGATGGGCAAGGGCAGAAAACTGGATTTAACTGTGGCTGGGATTAGAGTTCCGAGGTGCAACCTAGTGGGGCAAATTAGAATAGACATGCGTACCCGATCAGCATTTTGGGACCGACGAAGTGCGAGCAAGAGGCCAAGCCCCTCTCCACCTACACTCCGTAGGAGTAAGATTTCGAATCTCAGATGGCCTCCCCTTCCCCCAGAGTGGGATTAGGATTTTGGGGGCAGAGCCAAGGAAGGACTGGTTAGAATAGCAGGCGTTGGCGAAGGAAAGGGGAGGGCGGGTCCTCTAGGACTGGCTTGGTGGAGGTTGATGAAGGCCGTGAGATGGGGCGGGGGTGGGAGAGGACAGTTTGCAGCCTTGGGTGGCGCGGGGGCCCAGACCCTCTGTCTTGGGCCACTTGTTGGTCGGGAGCCAGATCTCGCCACACCCGCGTTTCCTCGATTGTAAACGGTTATGTTGGGAGTGTTTGCTGCTGCGTGGGTCCGCTGAGAGGATTAGTCTGGGCCCCGTAAACCGCTTAGCGCCGAGCCTGCTGTGGCAAGGGCTCGAACTGGATGAGAGACGTGGCTAGACGGGGGAGGGGTGCTGGGCCGGGGGGGAGGTGGGAAGACTGCTCCCCTCCGCTGACTCAGCCCCTTCTCTCCTCAGAGGCAGGCCCCGAAGGCCAGGAGACGGCGGAGATCACCGACTTCCAGAGGGTGCGTTTCTGCAAGGTGGTGGCGGCCCCTCCGCTGCCGGGGGCCGCTCGCTGACCGCGCCCGCCGGACCGCGGCCTCCGCGCTCTGCACTAACCTCCCACCGCCTCGCTCCTCTGTCCTCTGCTTCTGCCACACTCCAGCCAGGAGAGGGTTAAATCTAAGGGGGGAGGAGCCAGGGTCTGCGAGCCGGGCGGGGCCAGGGCAGTAGTCGGGTGCAGGCCCCACCAACGGGGGACGTCACGGCACTGGGACGGCTGGGACGCTTCCGCGTTAGTCTCCCATGGAGGCCCTGGGCGGCTCGAGCCAGTCTTCAGGCCGAATCTCCCGCCTCCAGGATTGCATCCGAGGCCTGGCAGCCGGTGACACTTCCGAAGGGCTTGAATTACTCGGGCGCCAGCCCTGTCGTATTAAACGCAGTGCTTCCGCTCACCCTTGAACTGTGTTTCTGGAGGGGGCAGGCTGGGTCGCTGTGCTTGGCGGGCTTTTCTGTGGCGGAAGAGGCGGAAGGAAGGGGTCTTCCTCCACCCTTCTGATCCGTCTTCCCTCCCCCCTCCCGCAGGCCTCCCCGAATTCCTGAAGACGCTGCTGGGAGGGGACTGAAGCTTCCCCGCCTTGATGGGGAGGGGGCGTGAGGAGGGGTTTATCTGGATTTCCAGGCTGTGTTCTTTCTACCCCAGAGCCTAGTCTGGACCCCTTGGCTCTAGGGAGAGGGAAAAGCTGACCGTTGGGGAGGAGCTGGGAGAAGGGGCGCGATTGCGGTGAGGGGCGGAGCTGGAACCTCGGGGCCTGAGGTGCTGAGGATACCTGAAAGCGGGCTGAGAGTGTGCTGGAGGAGGCGGGTCCCGCGGGGGCGGAGCTAGGCTGCCTGGGCGGGGCCGGAATCCTGACAGGCGGAGTTAGAGCGGGGGGCGGGGTCAGCGCGCGCGGGTGGGGCTCTGGCCATGGGCATGGGGCGGGGCCGTCAGCGGGGGCGTGGTCGGGGTGTCGCGCGGGAACCCGCGCGGGAGGAGAGCGGGGATTCCGGAACTAGAGTGTGGGAGCCAGAGGCCGTAGCGGGCAGGGCTCGAGCACTGGAGTAGAGCAGTCCGACAGGTAGAGAAGTGAGACTGGCTGCGGCACAGGGCGGGTTAGGGCTCCAGGCAGGGCTTGAGCGGGACGAGGGGGCGGGCTCCGAGGCGGGCTAGATGCCTGGGCTGGATGAAGTCCGAGTCTGGGAAGAGAACCGTGTTGTGGCGGGAGGAGGCGGTGATTGGGGTGGTGGGGCTAAGCGCGGGGGCGGGGCTGGAGCGAGGGGGGCGGGGTAGCACCTCCGCCTGTCGGTGGTGGGGCGGAGGCTGGAGGGGGTGGGCCTAGGATGCGGAGGCGGCAGCTCGCGTGGGGGCGTGACCATGCTGGCGGGGGCGGGGCCGGAGGCGGGCGGTTTAGAGAGCGGGGCGGTCTGCGGGGTGGGGGCGGGGCCTGGTGGGGGCGGGGCCTGTGCGGTCTGCGGCGCGGAGCCGAGTGGGCTGCGGGGATGCGGGGGACCAGCTGCGTGGGCGGCGGCGCCGAGAGCCCCGGAGGCGCGGGGCTGAGCGAGGGCCCGCGGGGGCGCTGGCTGCGCTTGGCTCCGGTATGCGCCTACTTCCTCTGCGTCTCGCTAGCTGCCGTGCTGCTCGCCGTGTACTACGGTCTCATCTGGGTACCCACGCGGTCTCCCGCGGCACCCGCCGGCCCACAGCCCAGCGCGCCGTCCCCTCCGTGTGCTGCCCGCCCGGGCGTGCCGCCTGTCCCGGCGCCCGCCGCTGCCTCCCTCTCCTGCCTCCTGGGAGTCCCCGGCGGGCCGCGACCCCAGCTCCAGCTGCCGCTGAGCCGCCGCCGCCGCTACAGCGACCCTGACCGCCGTCCGAGCCGCCAGACACCCAGAGAGACGCCAGAGGCCGCGGAGGGGCGAAGACCCGGGTAACTCTCCCTTCCACCCCAACCCGGATCGCCAGCCCTCGAGAGCTCTGTGCTCCACGCCGAGGATGCACCGTCTCTGGATTGGTCCGGCCTTCTTCCTAATGACATCGCTCAGCGTCTCTGGAGCCGTCATCCCGCGGAATGGGGGCCCAGGGGGTGTCAGCTCGGGGCCTTGCCTCTTGCAGCTACTCTGTGGTCAGGCCGGGTCCTCCACCATCAGGAAGATCCCATCCTGAGCTCTGTCTCCTGCCCCTCCTGCTGTGGGATGCTGAGCACAGAGCCCACAGCCCATCTGCCTCTTCACCTCCCTGAATCCGTGTCCATCTGCAATAAACGACAGCCTCGGCTGCCTCGTGCTGTGTCTGTCCTGTTGTCTGCAGAGATGCCTCCCCTCCCAAGTTTGTGTGGGAAAGACCTTCCTGGGGTGTGGCCTTTGTCTGTTTTGTCCCGGGTGGGCTGTTCCCCTTCCTTAAGGAGCTCTTCTTTTCTTGGAGTAGGGAGAAGCAGCTTAGCAGCAGCAGGGCCTTTGAAGGTCAGACAGTGGGAAGGGCTTCCCAGTTTTTTGTGTGCTTGGAGCAAAGGACAAATGTCTCTGGGGAGAAGCAGAGTGTCTGCCCTCGTGTTACAGCACAGGAGACAAGAGGAGGGGTGGGGTGATATAGGACAATAGCTGGGGTTCTGGGAATTGCTGTTGGTGTAATTATCATGTCAGGGACAGAGGCTGAATCACCCAGGGATCTCAGTTGGCTGCCGAGAGGGAACGATGCTGGCCCACTTCCTGGGGTCAGAGAGATGAGAGTGGATGGCGGCGGCGGTGGTGTTGCTTCTCAGCCTGTCTGGAAATCTCAGAGCCAATGACCAAAGCGCTGTGCTGCCTTGGAAGACTGGTGCAGCCTCTGGCCTGGGGCGCTGCTAGGAAACCAAGGCCGGGAAACTGAGGTCTAGCTTCTGGGCAAGGAGTCCGAGGTGGGGAGGCCATGTTCCATCCTGGAAGACTGAGGCCTGGCTCTGGACAGGGCCTGGGATCTGACATGCAGGAAGCTGGTTCCTGTCCAGCCTCCCCGCTTGAGCTGGAGGCCTTCCCAGGAGAGTGAGGCTGAGCATCTTCTCCCACGCTGTGGCTCCTGGAGATCTGTGGAGGTGGTTAGGAAGGTCAGCTGCTCTGCTCACCTCCCCTTTACCCCACCACCACTCCCCAGAGGGTGGTTGTGAAGGGGAATCTAGGAAGCCAGCACTTCTTTGTAGTCAGCATAGGTGATAGTTAGGGGCACTGACTGGGGCGAGACTACTCGGGTTCAAATTCCAGCTCCTCTCATTACAAACTGTGTGACTTTGGGCAGGTCACTTGACCTCTGTGTTTCTTTTTTTTTTTTTTTGAGATGGAGTCTTGCACTGTTGCCCAGGCTGGAGTGCAGTGGCATGATCTTGCTCACTGCAACCTCCGCCTTCTGGTTCAGGTGAGTCTCCTGCCTCAACCTCCTGAGTAGCTGGGATTACAGGTGCCCACCACCACACCCAGCTAATTTTTTTTTTGTATTTTTATTTTTTATTATTTTTATTTTGAGAGAAGTCTCACTCTTGTCCCCCACGCTTGAGTGCAATGGCTCGATCTCTGCTCACTGCAACCTCCACCTCCCAGGTTCAAACAATTCTCCTGTCTCTGCCTCTCAAGTAGCTGGGATTAAGGCCCCTGCCACCACGCCTGGCTAATTTTTGTATTTTTTAGTAGAGACGCGGTTTCACCATGTTGGCCAGGCTGGTCTCGAACTCCTGACCTCGTGATTTGCCCACTTGGGCCTCCCAAAATTCTGGGATTACAGGCATGAGCCACCACACCCGGCCTCTGTTTCTTTTTTTTTTTTTTCTTTTGAGACGGAGTCTTGCTCTGTCGCTCAGGCTGGAGTGCAGTGGTGCAATGTCGGCTCACTGCAAGCTCCGCCTCCTGGGTTCATGCCATTCTCCTGCTTCAGCCTCCTGAGTAGCTGGGATTACAGGCGCCCGCCACCACGCCTGGCTAATTTTTGTATTTTTAGTAGAGACGAGGTTTCATCATGTTGGTCAGGCTGGTCTCAAATTCCTGACCTAAGGTGATTTGCCCACTTTGGCCTCCCAAAGTGCTGGGATTACAGGCGTGAGCCACTGCACCCAGCCTTATAACTTATTTAAAATTTTTAAGCATTTTTTGTTTGTTTGTTTAATAGAAATGGGGTTTCACACTATGTTAGCCAGGCTGGTCTTGAACTCCTGGGCTTAAGTGATTTTCCTACCTTGGCTTCCCAAAGCCCTGGAATTATAGGCATGAGCCACTGTGCCTGGCCCTGCCTCTGTGGTTCTGTAGAATGAAGATGCTAATGGTACTTCTTCATAGACTTGCTCTGAGGAATAAATAAACTGGTGATCTCAAGCCCTGAGAACGATGTCACATGTTCTCTCTCTCCACCACCTCTGTCCCTCAGGGTTTAAAAGCCCCAGCTGGGATCCTCTGGGGATAGCAAGTCAGTCCAAAGCCCTGGCCACCAGCAAATGGTGAGTTTGAGGGAGGGGCCTCTCCATTTCGGTTCCCACTGGCCCCCCTCTCTTTGGTTTTCATCTCTCTTCTCCCAGCCCCATTTTTTCCTACTCTTTCGTTTCCTTGTTGCTGTGTGTCCTGGCTCTTTTCTCTTTCTGTGTTTGTCTCTCTGCGTCTCAGTCTTTCTGTGTCCTGTTTATCTCTCTGGTGTCTCTTGGTATTGTTTCTCTCTCCCACTCTGTATGTCTCTGACTCATTCTGCTCATTCTGTGTCCTCCCTATTGCTCTCTGTCCCCAGCTCGTTCTTTTTTTTTTTTTTTTTTTTTTAGATGGAGTCTTGCTCTATTACCCAGGCTGGAGTGCAGTGGCGGTGGGATTACAGGCGCCCACCACCATGCCCGTATAATTTTTGTATTTTTAATAGAGAGAGGGTTTCACCAGAGTGGCCAGGCTAGTCTTGAACTCCTGACCTCAAGTGAGCTTCCCGCCTCGGCCTCCCAAAGTGCTGGGATTACAGGCGTGAGACACTGTGCCCAGCCCCAGCTGATTCTCTTTCTTCTCTCCTCCACACTTATCTTACCCCAACACTTTCTTCCACCTTGCTCCCCTTCCCCTGCCCCCGCACCCCACAGCTTCCAGGTCCCTAGTCTCAGTGTCCCCTGTCTCCTTCCCTTTATCTCTTCCTTTTCTCCTCCTATTTCTCTTGGTTTCTCTTTTGGTCTCCATTGTTTAATCTTCCTTTTAACAAATATTTTTTGAGGCTGGGCACAGTGGTTCTTGCTTGTAATCTCAGCACTTTGGGAGGCCAAAGCCAGAGGATCACTTGAGGCCAGAAGTTAGAGACCAGTCTGTGTAACACAGCAAGACTTCATCTGGACAAAAAATTAAAAAATTAGCTGGGTGTGGTGGTGCATGCCTGTAGTCCCAACTACTCAGGAGGCTGAGAGGAGAGGATTGCTTGAGTCCAGGAGGTCGAGGCTGCAGTGAGCTATGATTGCACTACTTCACTCCAGCCTGGGAAACAGCAAGATCCTGTCTCTAAAAAACTAAAAAAACAACCCACCCAAAACCCACAATTATTTTTTGAGCATCTGCTGTGTGCCAAAGCTTATTTTAAACACTGGAGACACAGGAGTGAATAAAACAGGCAAAAATTCCTGCTCTCGGCTGGGCGTGATGGCTCATGCCTGTAACCCCAGCACTTTGGGAGGCCAAAGCAGGAGGATCACTTGAGGTCATGAGTTTGCGACCATCCTGAACAACATAGTGAGATCCTGTCTCTACAAAAAATACAAAAATTAGCCGGGCATGGTGGTGCATGCCTTGTAGTCCCAGCTACTCGGGAGGCTGAGGTGAGAGGATTGCTTGGAGGTCAAGGTTGCAGTGAGCTGTGACTGTACCACCGCACTCCAGCCTGGGCAAGAGAGCAAGACCCTGTCTCAAAAAAAAAAAAATTCCTGCTCTCAATGGAACTGAATATTAGTGGGAACACAGACAAGAAATTCAGTTAATAGCCGGGTGCGGTGGCTCATGCCTGTAATCCCAGCACTTTGAGAGACCTAGGAGGGCGGATCACCTGAAGTCAGGAGTTCCAGACCAGCCTGGCCAACATGGTGAAACCCCGTCTCTACTAAAAATACAAAAATTAGTTGGGCGTGGTGGTGGGTGCCTGTAATCACATCTACTTGGGAGGCTGAGGCAGGAGAATTGCTTGAATCCAGGATGGGGAAGTTGCAGTGAGCCAAGGTTGCACCACTACATTCCAGCCTGGGTGACAGAGTGAGACTCTGTCTCAAAGAAAAAAAAAAAAAATTCCTGTTCTTAATGGAACTAAATATTAGCGGGGACAAAGACAAGAAATGTGATTCATAACTTTGAGTGAAAGCAGGGTAAGGGTGATGGGGATGATGGAGGGTGTGGTTACTGGGTAGAAGCCCAAGACTGGTGAGGGTGAGGCTGGCAGGTCTCTGGGGGCTGAGGGAACAGTAAGTGCAAAAACCTTCGGGGTGGTGTGCCTGGCTTGTTGAAGGAATAGCGAAGAGGCCAGAGTGGCTGAAGCAAGAGGGAGTGGGGAGAGCAAGAGGAGGAGGTGAGGCAAGAGAGGACAGGCAGCTTGATCAGGGCCTCATGGACCACAGAATGCAATTTTTTTTTTTTTTTTGAGACAGTCTTACTCTGTCACCTAGGCTGGAGTGCAGTGGCGCGATCTCGGCTCACTGCAACCTTCATCTCCCTGGTTCAAGTGATTCTCTCGAGTCTCAGCCTCCTGAGTAGTTGGGATTTCAGGCACGTGCCACCACACCCAGGTAATTTTTGTATTTTTAGTAGAGACAGGGTTTCGCCATGTTGCTAAAGCTGGTCTCAAACTCCTAACCTCAAGTGATCCACCCGCCTCAGCCTCCCAGAGTGCGGGGATTGCAGGCGTGAGCCACTGTGCCCGGCCACAATGTGCACTTTGGATGAGGTGGGAGCCATGGGAGGCTTCTGAGGTGAGGAGGGTGTGCGCTGATTCAGATCTCAAGACCTTCTGACTGCGATGTGGAGAATGGACTGCAGGGGGCGATGGTGGAAGCCAGGAGCCCAATGAGGACACCACCGCCCTGGTTCAGGTGAGAGACCATGGTGGCTGTGCTAGAGTGTTGGCTGGGGAGGAGGGGAGAAGTGGTCAAAAATCCGTGTGTGGGCTGGGTGCAGAGGCTCACACCTGCGATCACCTCCCAGCACCCTGGGAGGCCAAGGCAGGAATATCACTTGGGCCCAGGCGTTCAAGCCCAACCTGGGCAACATAGTGAGACCCCGTCTCTACAAAATAAAAATAAACTTTTTTTTTTAAAATGAAAAAAGTAAAAGCAAGGCATGGTGGCTCATACCTGCAATCCCAGCATTTTGGGAGGCTGAGGCTGGAGAAATGTTTGAGCTCAGGAGTTCAAGACTAGCCTGGGCAACATAGCGAGACCCCATCTGTACACTAAATAAAAAATCAGCCAGGCGTGATGGCTTGTGCCTGTAGTCCCAGCTATTCTGGAGGCTGAGGCAGGAGGATTGCTTGAGTTAAGGAGTTGAGGCTGCAGTGAGCTGTGATTGTATCACTGCACTCCAGTCTGGGTGACAGAGTGAGACCTTGTCTCAAAAAAAAAAAAGTGTGTGTGTTGTGTGTGTATACTGATAAAAATACACATAGCATAAAGGTTACCATTTTAATCATCTTACCATCTTTTTTTTTTTTTTTGAGACAGAGTCTTGCTCTGCCACCCAGGCTGGAGTGCAGTGGGGCGATCTCTGCTCACTGCAACCTCCACCTCCCAGGTTCAAGTGATTCTCCTGCCTCAGCCTCCTAAGTAGCTGGGATTACAGGTATGTGCCACCATGCCCGGTTAATTTTTGTATTTTTAGTAGAGACGAGGCTTCACCATATTGGCCAGGCTGGTCTCAAACTCCTGACCTCAGGTGATCCACTGCCTCGGCCTCCCAAAGTGCTGGGATTACAGGCATGAGCCACTGTGCCTGGCCCATTTTAACTGCTTTAAAGTGCACAGTTTCGTGGCACTAAGTACATTTACAGTGTTGTGCAACCATCACCACCATTCATCTTTAAAATGTTTTCGTCTTCCCAAAATGAAACCCCGTACCCATTAAACACCATCTCCCCATTCCCCCTCCCCTCAGCCCCTGGCGAGCACTCATCTACTTTCTGTCTATATAAATATGCCTGTTCTGGACATTTTATATAAAAGCAATCATAACATACAGGGCCTTTTGTGTCTGGCTTATTTCACTTGAGTCATGTTTTCTTTTCTTTTTTTTTTTTTTGAGATGGAGTCTCGCTCTGTCGCCCAGGCTGGAGTGCAGTGGCGCAATCTCGGCTCACTGTAAGCTCTGCCTCCCGGGTTGATGCCATTCTCCTGCCTCAGCCTCCTGAGTAGCTGGGCCTACAGGTGCTGGCGACCACGCCCGGCTAATTTTTTGTGTTTTTAGTAGAAACGAGGTTTCACTGTGTTAGCCAGGATGGTCTTGATCTCCTGACCTGGTGATCCGCCCGCCTTGGCCTCCCAAAGTGTTGGGATTACAGGCGTGAGCCACCGCACCACCGCACCCGGCCGCAGCGTCCTGTTGTCAAGGCTTTTCTGGGTGAAAGCAAGTATCAGTGCTTCATTCCTTGTTTTTTTTTTTCTTTTTTCTTTTTTGAGACGGAGTGTTGCTCTGTCACCAGGCTGGAGTGCAGTGGTGCAATCTCGGCTTACTGCAACCTCTGCCTCCCAGGTTCAAGTGATTCTTCTGCCTCAGCTTCCCTAGTAGCTGAGACTACAGGCGCATGCCACCACGCCCAGCTAGTTTTTTTGTGTGTTTTTAGTAGAGACGGGGTTTCACCATGTTAGCCAGGCTGGTCTCAATCTCTTGACCTCAAGATCCACCTGCCTCGGCCTCCCAAAGTGCTGGGATTACAGGGGTGAGCCACCGTGCCCGCCTGCTTCATTCCTTTTTATGGCTAAATAACATTCCATTGGCCGGGCGCAGTGGCTCATGCCTGTAATTCCAGCACTTTGGGAGGCCGAGGTGCGTGGATCACCTGAGGTCAGAAGTTCAAGACCAGCCTGGCCAACATGGTGAAACCCAGTATCTACTAAAAACACAAAAATTAGCCAGGTGTAATGGTGCACACCTGTAATCCCAGCTATTCAGGAAGCTGAGACAGGAGAATTGCTTGAACCAGGAGGTGTAGGTTGCAGTGAGCTGAGATCGCACCACTGCACTCCAGCCTGGGCGACAGAGTGAGACTCTGTCTCCAAAAAAAATTTCCATTGTATGGATAGGCCACATTTTGCACATTTTGTTTATCCGTTCATTTGTTGATAGACAGTTGGGTTGCTTCCACCTTCTGGCTATTGTGAATAGTGCTGCTGTGAGCATGCATGTACAATATTTTGTTTGAACTTTTTTTTGGGCAGAGTCTCGCTCTGTTGCCCAGGCTGGAGTTCAGTGATGCAGTCATAGCTCACTGCAGCCTCCAACTCCTGGGCTCAAACAGTCCTCCTGCCTCAGCCTCCTGAGGAGCTGGGACTACAGGTGTGCGCCACCATGCCTGGCTAAATTTTTATTTTTTTGTAGAGACAGGATCTCCCTATGTTGTCCAGGCTGGTTTTGAATTCCAGGGCTCAAGTGATCCTCCTGTCTTGGCCTCCCAAAGTGTAAGAGATTACAGGCATGAGCTACCATGCCCCGCCTGATAATCTGTGTTTCATTTATGGAGGAACTACCAAACAAAATCTGTATATATATATATATTTTTTGGGACGGAGTTTGGCTCTTGTTGCCCAGGCTGGAGTGCAATGGTGCGATCTGGGCTCACTGCAACCTCCGCCTCCCAGGTTCAAGCGATTCTCCTGCCTCAGCCTCCCGAGTAGCCGGGATTACAGGCACGCACCACCACGCCTGGCTAATTTTTATTTTTAGTAGAGACAGGGTTTCACCATGTTGGCCAGGCTGGTCTCGAACTCCTGACCTCAGGTGATCCACCCGCCTCGGCCTCCCAAAGTGCTGGGATTACAGGCGTGAGCCACCACGTCCACTATGCCCAGCCCTGAATATTCACATTTTTTGCTGCAAAAATATTACCACGTCTGATGGGAGAGAAGGGGGCGCCTGCATCAGGCCTCTGAGAGTGTTACATAATGCATGGTATTCACTCAAAATTGCCTTTCTAAAATTGGAACAATTCTGAGTTCTGCAACTCATCTGTCCCCAAGGACTCCTGCTAAGGGCTTGCGGACCTGTAATTTGGCCCACTGCCAAACCTAGATTCATCTTAATTATTTGCTCAACATTTATTTAATGGCTCAGGGAAAAAACTAACTTTCTGGTAATTTTTTAAAAGTAGAGAATGACGTTCATTTAGTAAGTTCCCATTGTCAATGACATGCTATTTTTAGTGTTGTGTGGTTAGGCGAATGCGTGTTTGTGTTTGTGACGGCCTGGATGAGTGTGTCTGTGCATGAGGGTGTGGTTTTTGTGTGACTGAGTGTGTATATGTGAGTGTGAGTATGTAAGTGTGAATGTGTGTATTTGACTGTTTCAGTGTGCATCTGTGTGATTGGGTGTATAAAAGTGTGTTTGCTCCTCTAATCGCAGCACTTTGGGAAGCCGAGGTGAGAGGATTGCTTCAGCTCAAGTTCAAGACCAGTCTGGGCAATATAGCAAGACCAAGTTTCTACAAAACATTAAAAGATTAGCAGATTAGCGGGGTGCGGTGGCGTGCACCTGTGGTCCCAGCTACTTGGGAGGCTGAGGCAGGAGGCTCTCTTGAGCCTAGGAGGTCAAGGCTGCAGTGAACTGTAATTGCACCGCTGCAATCCAGCCTGGGTGGTGACAGCGAGGACCTGTGTCAAAAAAGTATGCGTGCATGTCTAGTTGAGTCTGTGTGTGATTGTACATTGAGTGTGACTGTGGGTCTGTGTGTGTGTGTGTGCATGTGTGAGAACGTGTATGAGAAGAGGCATGGTGCAGGGTTTAAGGTTTATATACTGAAAGAAAGTTCTCATTTCAGGCGACATCTGTGCCCTCTGCTATTAGAATTTCAGCGGACTCCACAAAATCAGCAAAGAAATAGTGTGCTGTCAATCAATACCCTTTTTGTCCACTAGAGGTCGCCTGTCTACTTTGAGCAGAGGAAACTAATCTATATTTTTACATTTAGTTGCTGGGAGTTTGCAGACACTTCCAGAGATGTGGGAGGTAGGAGTGTGGGGATGAGAGGTGGAGACGTGTGTGTGTGTGTGTGTGTGTGTGTGTGCGCGTGTGTGTAGTTTAGCTATTGCCTTTACTCACCTCAGCTGTACATAGAGCAGCGATCCTCAAACTTACTAGTCTCAAGACTCTTTCATTCTTTCTTTTTTAGACAGGGTCTTGCCCTGTTGCCCAGGCTGGAGTGCAGTGGCCTGCTCATGGCTCACTGCAGCCTTGAACTCCTGGGCTCAAGCGATCCTCCCATTTCAGCCTCCCAAGTAGCTGGGACCACAGGCATGCACCACTATGTCTAGCTAATTTTTAAAATATTTAGAAGAGATGGGGGGTCTTGCTATGTTGCCAGGCTGGTCTTGAACTCCTAGACTGAAGCCATCCACCTGTATCGGCCTCCCAAAGTGCTGGGATTGCAGGTGTGAGCCACCACACCTGGGTGAGATGAATACTATTATAAAAGAGCAAGTTCAGCCCCCTTTTGCCTCTTTGCCTTTCTGCTCTCTGCTATGTAAAGATAAAGCATTCCTGCTCTGTGGAGCAGGAATTCAAGGAGGTATCTTGGCTTCAGAATCACCCAACCTGCCAGTACCTTGACATTGGACTTCCCAGCCTCTAGAACCATGAGCTAATAAATTTCTCTTTATAAATTCAAGGAGGTATCTTGGCTTCAGAATCACCCAACCTGCCAGTACCTTGACATTGGACTTCCCAGCCTCTAGAACCATGAGCTAATAAATTTCTCTTTATAAATTACCCAGGCTGTGGTGTTATTTTATTTTTTATTTTTATTTATTTATTTATTTATTTTTGAGACAGAGTCTCACTCTTGTTGCCCAGGCTGGAGTGCAGTGGCGCAATCTCAGCTCATTGCAGCCTGAGCCTCCCGGGTTCAAGCGATTCTCCTGCCTCAGCCTCCCGAGAAGCTGGGATTGTAGGCACCCGCCACCATGCCTGGCTAATTTTTGTTTGTATTTTTAGTAGGTACGGGGTTTCACCATGTTGGCCAGGCTGGTCTCAAACTCCTGACCTTAGGTGATCCACCTGCCTTGGCTTCCCAGTTTCCCAAAGTGTTGGGATTACAGGTGTGAGCCACTGCACCCAGCCTGTAGTATTTTTTTGGGGGGATGAAGTTTTGCTCTTGTCACCCAGGCTGGAATGCAATGGCATGATTTCGGCTCACTGCAACCTCCGTCTCCTGGGTTCAAATGATTCTCCTGCCTCAGCCTCCCTAGTAGTTGAGATTAGAGGTGCCCGCCACCACGTCCGGCTAATTTTTATATTTTTAGTAGAGACAGGGTTTCATCATGTTGGCCAGGCTGGTCTCGAACTCCTGACTTTACGTGATCCACCCGCCTCAGCCTCCCACAGTGCTTGGATTACAGTTGTGAGCCACTGCGCCCGGCCTGTGGTATTATTTTATAGCAGCGCTGAATGGATGGAGACAGTGGTTGGTCCTAATCCTCAATGTGATGATATTGGGAGGTGTGGCCTTTTGGAATTAGTGCCTTTTTTTGTTGTTTTTTGTTTTTTGAGTCTATCGCCGAGGCTGGAGTGCAGTGGCACGATCTCCGCTAACTGCAGCCTCCACCTCCCGGGTTCAAGCAATTCTCATGAAACCCCGTCTCTACTAAAAATACAAAAAAAAAAAAAATTAGCCAGGCTTGGTGGTGGGCACCTGTAATCCCAGCCACTTGGGAGGCTGAGGTAGGATAATCACTTGAACCTGGGAGGAGGAGTTTGCAGTGAGCTGAGATCACGTCACTGCACTCCAGCCTGGGCCGTAGAGCTAAACTCAGTCTAAAAACAAACAAACAAACAACACCAAATGTACCCATGAAGTGAGTTTAACAGGCAAATAAGTTTCCTTGGGAGACTGAGGTCCCTTAAAGGGGGGACAGCAATATGTGACAAGTGTGTCCCTATTCTAAAGAGGACTGTTAAATCATCTGGAGGCCAGGCGAGGTGGCTCATGCCTGTAATTTCAGCACTTTGGGAGGCCGAGGTGGGTGGATCACTTGAGGTCAGGAGTTTGAGACCAGCCTGGCCAACATGGTGAAACCCTGTCTTTACTAAAAATACAAAAATTAGCTGGGCGTGGTGACAGGTGTCTGTAATCTCAGCTACTCAGGAGTCTGAGGCAGGACAATTGCTTGAACCTAGAAGGCAGAGGTTGCAGTGAGCTGAGATTTTGCCACTGTACTCCATCATGGGTGACAGAGTGAGACTGTGTCTTTAAAAAATAATGAAAAAGCTGGGCGCGGTGGCTCACTCGTGTAATCCCAGCACTTTGGGAGGCCGAGGTGGGCATGTCAAGAGGTCAGGAGTTTAAGACCAGCCTGGCCAACATGGCAAAACCCCGTTTCTACTAAAAATACTTAAATTAGCTGAGCATGGTGGCGGGCACCTGTAATCCCAGCTACTCCGGAGGCTGAGGCAGGGGAATTGCTTGAACCTGGGAGGCAGATGTTGCAGTGAGCCGAGATAACGCCATTGCACCCCAGCCTGGGTAGCAAAAGCAAAACTCCATCTCAAAAAAAAAAAAAAAAAGATAAAATAAATAATCTGGATATGACTTCCTCAAAGCTCTGGCCTTAAAATATTTTTTGACCTTTAGCCAACTTCTCAAATATATATATGTGTATATATATATACACACACACACACACACGCACACACATATATATACACACACACATATACATATATATATAAATTTATATAGCCAGCCTATATAAATATTATCAAGATTTCTTTGGGCTGCATGTTGTGGCTCATGCCTGTAATCCCAGCACTTTGGGAGGTGGAAGTGGGAGGATGGCTTGAGCCTAGGAGTTTGAGACCAGTGTGGCCAACATAGTAAGACCCCATGTCTACTTCTTTTAACAAAATATAAATTTTGTTAATAAAGAATATTTCTGGCCAGGTGTGGTGGCTCATGCCTGTAATCCCAGCACTTTGGGAGGCTGAGGTGGGCATATCACCTGAGGTCAGGAGTTCGAGACCAGCCTGGCCAACATGGCGAAACCCCGTCTCTACTAAAAATACAAAAATTACCTGGGCGTGGTGGCAGGCGCCTGTAATCCCAGCTCCTTGGGAGGCTGAGGTAGGAGAATCAGTTGAACCTGGGAGGCAGAGGTTGCAGTGGGCTGAGATCGCACCACTGCACTCCAGCCTGGGAAACAGAGTGAGACTCCATCTCAAAAAAAAAAAAAAAAAAAAATTTGTTTGGGAAGGGTTGTAGGAATGCTGCCCATGATGATGATGAGATAGGTGCTTCTCCCCATCTCAAGCCAAGTGAGAGAAAGTTCTAGAAAACCCGGCATGTTTTCCCTGGAGTTTGGAGGACATGATGACACCGTTGTAGAGCTCCAGTAATTTTTTTTTTTTTTTTTTTTTTTAATGAAGTCTCACCCTGTCGCCCAGGCTGGAGTGCAATGGCATGATTTTGGCTCACTGCAACCTCTGCCTCCCGGGTTCAAGCACTTCTTCTGCCTCAGCCTCCCGAGTAGCTGGGATTACAGTTGCCTGCCACCACGCCTAGCTAATTTTTTGTATTTTTAGTAGAGATGGGGTTTCTCCATGTTGGTCAGGCAGGCCTGGAATTCCCGACCTCAGGTAATCCGCCCACCTGGGCCTCCCAAAGTGCTGGGATTACAGGCATGAGCCACTGCACCCGGTCCTGCTTTTTTATTAAAAGGAAGCTGTCTCTGAAGTGTCATACAAGTAAAGGGTCTCATAAGTCTCCAAAGGTTCAGAAATTGTGGTTGTGCTCCATGAACACAACTTTCAATGAGAAGCCTATTATTCAGATTGTCCATCTGTCATGGTAATTTGTTGCCCTGGTCCTAAAGTTGTGATTGAAATTGAATTTTTCCTTTAAGGCTGTACTGGGCATTTGTGACTTTCAGTTGCCCTGGCAACAGCACATCCTCCCCACACTGAATAATACTGATGGTATAAAAAACACATGCAGCCAGGTGCGGTGCATCATGGGTGGACATGGGGAAACCCCATCTCTACTAGAAATACAAGAAATTAGCCAGGCGTGGTGGCATGTGCCTGTAGTCCCAGCTACTCAGGAGGCTGAGGCAGGAGAATCACTTGAACCCAGGAGGCAGAGGCTGCAGTGAGCTGAGATGGCACCACTGTACTCCAGCCTGGGCGACAGAGCAAGACTCTGTGTCAAAAAAACCCCAAAAACAAAAAACATGCAAATAAAGTAAAAAGTGATAGGTGGGACGGCCACCTGTCAGCTGTTGAGCTCTACTGTGGGAGAAGGTCTGGGGAAGGATTGGGAGGGGTGTACGCCATGAAGGGTGAGGCTGGGAGTGTTACACGTGTTATGCACAGTAGCAGGTATTGGTTAGAATGAGATAAGCTGCTGTAACAAATAGACCCCCCTGCTGCCCAGCCAACAATGGCTTAAAAAAGAGAGTTTATGGCTGGGCAAGGTGGTTCATGCCTGTAATCCCAGCACTTTGAAAGGCTGAGGTGGGAGGGATAGCATGAGGCCAGTAATTTGAAACCAGCCTAGGCAACATAGCAAGACCCTGTCTCTATAAGAGAAAAATTTTTAAAAATTAGGTGGGCTTGGTGATGTGTGTCTACAGTCTCAGTATTGGGGCTTAGCCTGGGAGGGTTCTTGACTTTGCCCATGTAAGAATTCAAGGGTGAGCCAGTGGTGTTATTTTTTTTTCTTTTTCCTTTTTTGAGACAGAGTGTTGCTCTGTCACCCAGGCTGGAGTGCAGTGGCATGATCTCAGCTCACTGCAACCTCCACTTCCCGGTTTCAAGTGATTCTTGTGCCTCAGCCTCCCAAGTAGCTGGGATTACAGGCATGTGTCACCGTGCCCGGCTAATGTTTTGTGGAGGTGAAGTTTCACCATGTTGCTGGCTGGTCTTGAATTCCTGGCTTCAAGTGATCCACCCACCTCGGGCTCCCAAGATGCTGGGATTACATGCATGAGTCACCGTGTCTGGCTCAGTGGTGTTAAATAGCAACTTTTACTGAAGCCTCAGTGCACAGCTGCAGCAGAGGAATTGCCCCTTGCAGAGCGGGGCTACCCCACAGGCAGTGTGCCCAGAAGAGCAGCCCAGAGGCAGCACTGCTGTCATATTTATACCCACTTTTAATTATATGCAAATCAAGGGGCAGTTTATGCAAAAATTTCTAGGATGAGGGTGGTAATTTCCAGTCACCGGGTCATTGCCATGGAAAGTGGTGCTAAGGTCCGAGTGTTGCCATGGCAATGGTAAACTGATACGGTACACTGGTGGGTGTGTCTTATGGAAAACTGCTTTTGCCCTAGACCTGTTTCAGCCAGTCCTCAGTTTGGTCCTGTGTACAAGCCCTGCCTCCTACCTCAGTAGGGTAGGGCACTGGGCAGAACTGTGTGACTCCCATTCCAGGCCCCAGCTCCTGGAGGACATTTCGAACACACCGTGAGGGGGAAGGGAAGCTGCTGTGTTGAAGGTAAGGACCCAGTCCTGGCAGGTTCATCACCTGCTGACTAAAGAGCCCTTGGGCCCTGAATAATCAGCAGCGGTGGCCAGGCCAGGTGGTTCACGCTGTGGGCCTTAGGTGAGACTCAAACGTGATGGCTTCAGGTGGAACCTGGCACATTCCCGGCTGTGGTGGCTACATGGGAGAGACTCCTTCTGCTTGAGAAAGCAGAGAGGCCAGGCGTGGTGGCTCATGCCTGTAATCCCAGCACTTTCTGATCAAGTGGATCACCTGAGGTCAGGAGTTCGAGACCAGCCTGGCCAACATGGTGAAACCCTGTCTCCACTAAAAATATAAAAATTAGCTGGGCGTGGTGGGGGTCGGGGGGGGCGCATGTAATTCCAGTTACTCGGGAGGCTGAGGCAGGAGAATCGCTCGAACCTGGGAGGCAGAGGCTGCAATGAGTCCAGTTCACGCCATTGCACTCCAGCCTGGATGACAGAGTAAGACACTGTCTCGGAAAAAAAAAAAAAAAAAAAGCAAAGGGAAGTCTGGGCGTGATGTCTCATGTCTGTAATCCCAGCACTTTGGGAGGCTGAGGTGGGTGGATCATCTGAGGTCAGGAATTCAGGACCAGCCTGGCCAACATGGCGAAACCCCATCTCTACTAAAAATACAAAAATTAGCCAGGTGTGGTGGTGCATGCCTACAATCCCAGCTACTTGGGAGGCTGAGGCAGGAGAATCGTTTGAATCCGGGAAGCAGAGGTTGCAGTGAGCTGAGATTGCGCCACTGCACTCCAGCCTGGGCAACAGAGCAAGACAATGTCTCAAAAAAAAAAAAAGGAAAGCAAAGTGAAGAGTAAATGCAACTTCGTCTTGCAGCTTAGCTGCCAGCTTGGCCACAGAGGGGTAGAGCCCCAAGTGCACTCTTGGGGTCCCCGATTCCAGGCCATGGCTCTTGGACAGCATTTTTGGACCTGCCCTGGGCCAGAGGGAAGTCCACAGCCTTGAAGGGAGAGTTCTAGGCCTGGCAGGATTCACTGCAAGCTGACCGAAGAGCGCTTGGGCCTGGAGTGAACATCAGTGGTGGCCAGGCAGTACTTGCCGTGGGCCTGGGGTGGTGGCCACAGGGAGAGACTTCTTGGCTTGTGGGAAGGAGAGAGAAGAGTGGGAAGGACTTTGTCTTGTGGCTTGGGTAGCCCCTCAGCTATAGTAGAATAGAGCGCCCAGTAGATTCCTAAGGTTTCCAACTCTGGGTTCAAGCTCCTGCATGGCATCTCTGGACCCACCCAGGGCCGGGGGGACCTCGCCATCCTGAAGAAATGAACACAAGTCTGCTGGCTTCACCACCTACTGGCTGTAGAACGCTCGAGCCTAGAGTGAACATAGGTGGTTTCCAGGCTCTGGGTACAGCGGGCCTTGGGTGAGACCCAGGGCTGTGCTGGCTTCAGGTCTGACCCAGTGCAGTCCCAGAGGTGGTGGCCACAGAGGAGCTTGTGTCACCCCTCCCCCAACTCCAGGCATCTCAGCACAGAGAGACTCTGGAAAAAGTAAGGGAAGAGAACAAGAGTCTCTGCCTAGTAATCCAGAGAATTATTATTCTTCTTTTATGAAACAGACTCTTGCTCTGACACCCAGGCTGGAGTGCAGTTGCGTGATCTCTGCTCACTGCAACCTCTGCCTCCCAGATTCAAGTGATTCTCCTGCCTCAGCCTCCCAAGTAGCTGGGATTACAGGCGCCCACCACAATGCCTGGCTAATTTTTTGTAGTTTTAGTAGAGATGGGGTTTCACTATGTTGGCCAGGCTGGTCTCAAACTCCTGACCTCAGGTGATCCACCCATCTCGGCCTCCCAAAGCACTGGGATTACAGGCATGAGCCACCATGCCTGGCTTACATATCTTAACTTTTTCCTTACAGTTTCCCTCTCTCTGTCCCTTACAGGTGCTTCTGGAATAGTATTTTCATCTCGTCCACTTTTTTTTTTTTTTTTTTGAGACGGAGTCTCGCTCTGTCGCCCAGGCTAGAGTGCAGTTGCGCGATCTTGGCTCACTGCGAGTTCCACCTCCTGGGTTCACGCCATTCTCCTGCCTCAGCCTCCCAAGTAGCTGGAACTACAGGCGCCCACTACCACGCCCAGGTAATTTTTTGTATTTTTAGTAGAGACAAGGTTTCACCATGTTAGCCAGGATGATCTCCATCTCCTAACCTCGTGATCCGCCTGTCTCGGCCTCCCAAAGTGTTGGGATTACAGGCGTGAGCCACCGCGCCAGGCTGAAGTGCAGTGGTGTGAACATAGCTCACTGCAGCCTCGATCTCCTGGACTCAAGCAATCCTCCCACCTCAGCCTCCCCAGTAGTTGGTACTACAGGTGTGCACCACCACATCCAGCTAATTTTTTGATTTTTTTATAGAGATGGGCTTTCGCTGTGTTGCCCAGGCTAATTTTGAGCTCCTGGGCTCAAGCGATCTTCCCGTGTCAGCCTCCTAAAGTGCTGGGATTACAGGCCTGAACCACCAAGCCTGGCCTCATTTATTCATTTTTAAAGCCCTGTCTATTCTGCCCTCTGATACACCATCCAACACATAATTATTTCAATAATTGAGTTTTTCATATCCCTCATCTCCCGTTAGCTTCTGCTTCATAACCTCCTCTTCTCGCTTCGACTTGCCATTATCCTCCGTCATTTCTCTGAGGATGTTTGTTATGTGTAGTTTACATGCCTTATTAGCTCTACTTCATTGGGAATAGTTTCTTCCAAGCCCAACTGAGATATTTGGGCCTCCTGGGTATGCTGGCAATTATATGCCTCAGAAAAGGTAACAATTCACTGCTTCTTAAGACTATGGTAGTTTATGGCCAGGCGCAGCAGCTCACGCCTGTAATCCCAACACTTAGGAAGGCCAAGGCGGGCAGATTGCTTGAGCCCAGGAGTTCAAGACCAGACTGGGCAGCATGGTGAAATCTAGTCTCTACCAATAACAACCAAACACGCAAAAAATCCAAAAAACAAAACTGATAATTTTGAGGGTTTTTTTTTTTTGAGCATTGATTTAGAGGTGAAGTAGAGAAACCAATTTGTTTTCTTTTTTCTTTTTTTTTTTTGAGACACGGTCTAGCTGTGTCACTCAGGCTGGAGTGCAGTGGTGCAGTCTCGG
This sequence comes from Homo sapiens, assembly GCF_000001405.40. Taxonomy (NCBI): domain Eukaryota; kingdom Metazoa; phylum Chordata; class Mammalia; order Primates; family Hominidae; genus Homo; species Homo sapiens. The sequence goes on from NC_000019.10 coordinate 47,293,193, forward strand.
CTCACTGCAACCTCTGGCTCCTGGGTTCAGGCAATTCTCCTGTCTCAGTCTCCTGAGTAGCTGGGACTACAGGCTCGTGCCACCACGCCTGGCTAATTTTTGTATTTTTAGTAGAGACGGGGTTTCACCGTGTTGCCCAGGGTGGTCTCGAACTGCTGTCCTCAAGTGATCTGCCTGCCTTGGTCTCCCAAAGTGCTGGGATTACAGGCATGAGCCACCGGGCCTAGCCCTCTCCTCTCGGTTTTCTCTGGCACCATGGAACCTACTTGGACCCCAGGTGCACCCCAAAAGTGTGGGGATGTGTAATGTCTTCCTTTGTAACGCCCCTGGGAAGCTCTTCCCTAAAGGCCAGGCGAGTTTGCTGCATCAATGCCCCAGCCACTTCCTCCTTCATTTTTATTTTATTTATTTTTAAATTGCCTTTATAATAATGGCAAAAGCTGGCTGGATGCAGTGGCTCACGCCTATAATCCCAGCACTTTGGGAGGCCGAGGCAGGTGGATCACCTGAGGTCAGGAGTTTGAGACCAGCCTGGCCAACATGGTGAAACCCCATCTCTACTAAAAACACAAAAAATTAGCCAGGTGTGGTGGCTCAGGGCTGAATCCCAGCCACTCAGGAGGCTGAGGCAGGAGAATCGCTTGAACCTGGGAGGCGGAAGTTGCAGTGAGCTGAGATTGTGCCACTGCACTCCAGCCTGGGCAACAAGAGCGAAACTTCATCTCAAGAAAAAAATGCAAAAGCTTTTCATTTTGATGAAGTCCAATTGGCCAGCCTACATTTAAAAAAAAATTTGAATTTTCATTTTTTTTATTTTTTAGAGACATGGTCTCACTCTAACCCAGGCTGGAGTGCAGTGGTGTGATCATAGCTCACTGTAGCCTCCATCTCCTGAGCTCAAGAGATCTTCCTCTTTTTTTTTTTTTTTTTTTTTTTGAGACAGAGTCTTGCTCTGTCACCAGGCCAGAGTGCAGTGGCATGATCTTGGCTCGTGGCCCACTGCAACCTCTGCCTCCCTGGTTCAAGCGATTTTCTTGCCTTAGCCTCTCGAGTAGCTGGGACTACAGGCGTGCACCACCATGCCCAGCTCTTTTTTTCATTTTTAGTAGAGACGGGGTTTCACCATGTTGGCCAGGACGGGGTTTCACCATGTTGGCCAGGATGGTATCGATTTCCTGACCTCGTGATCCTCCTACCTTGGCCTCCCAAAGTGTTGGGATTACAGGTGTGAGCCACCGCCCTGGCCTCTGTTTTTTTGAGACAGAGTCTTGTTCTGTCACCCAGACTGGAGTGCGGTGGTGAGATCTCGGCTCTGCAGCCTCTGTCTCCCAGGTTCAAGCAATCCTCCTGCCTCAGCCTTGTGAGTAGCTGGGATTACAGGTGTGTGCCACCAGGCTCGGCTGATTTCTTTGTATTAGTAGTAGAGACAGGGTTTCACGGTGTTGGCCAGGCTGGTCTTGAACTCCTGACCTCAAGGGATCTACCTGCCTCGGCCTCCCAAAGTGCTGGGATTACAGGTGTGAGCCACCGTGCCCGGCTCATGATCCTCCTTCCTCAGCCTCCCGAATAGCTGGAACTACAGGCACAAGCCCCATGTCTGGCTAATGAAAAACAAATTTTTTTTGAGAGATGGGATCTCACTATGTTGCCCAGACTGATCATGAACTCCTGGCCTCAGGCATTCCTCCTATCTTGGCCTCCCAAAGTGCTGGGATCACAGGCTTGAGCCACCACGCCGGCCCACTCCTCATCCTTCAGTGGGAAGATTCGGAGGTATTTTCTGCTTGGTTTCTCAGAGCATCCCCAGCCGTATTGAGCCCCGGTTTCCCCCAGCTGTGACGCACTGATCAGCACGCGCTTATTGGCTTTTCTCTCATTTCTTTCTTATTTTTTTTTTTTTGAGATGGAGTCTTACTCTGTCGCCCAGGCTGGAGTGCAGTGGTGTGTTCTTGGGTCAGTGCAACTTCCGCCTCCCGGGTTTAAGAGATTCTCCTGCCTCAGCCTCCCAAGTAGCTGGGATTACAGGCGCCCGCCAGCATACTTGGCTAATTGTTGTATTTTTAGTAGAGACAGGGTTTCACCATGTTGGTCAGGCTGGTCTCGAGCTCCTGGCCTCAGGTGATCTGCCTGCCTTGGCCTCCCAAAGTGCTGGGATTACAGGTGTGAGCCACTGCGCCTGGCCTTGTTTCTGACTTGGTTCTCTAACTCACTCCTGCTTCCTGGGATCACCTCCCAAATAAACTGCCATCACCCAAGTCATTGTCTCAGAATCTGCGTTTGGGGAACCCAAGCAAATCTGCCACTCTTCTGTAGATGTTGATGTAGTTTCATATGTATTTCTTTGCCCACAAGACCTTGTTACCTTCTTGGAGGGCTTATTAAAATGGAGAAAATTGCCAGGTGCAATGGCTCATGACTGTAATCCTAGCACTTTGGGAGGCTCAGACAGGCGGATCACTTGCGGTCAGGAATTCTAGACCACCCTGGGCAACATGGCAAAACCCTGTCTCTACTAAAAATACAAAAATTAGCCAGGCATGGTGGCACACGCCTGTAAACCCAGCTACTCGGGAGGCTGAGGCAGGAGAGTCGTTTGAATCCGGGAGGTGGAGGCTGCAGTGAGCCGAGATTGCACCACTGCACTCCAGCCTGGGTGACAGAGCAAGACTCTGTCTAGAAAAAAAAAAAAAGAATACAAATTGCTTATTTCCAAGAAAACATCTCTGCCGTGCTTTCAGATTTTCAGCTGATTACAAATCACGCACCCATGATCAAATCCAACAAGAGATAGACCCCCTGCCATAAAGGAAGAAGGCTGGCTGGGTGTAGTGGCTTATGACTGCAATCCCAGTGCTTTGGGAGGCTGAGGCAGGAGGATCTCCGAGGCCAGCAGTTCAAGACCAGCTTGAGCAATATAGCGAGACACCCCCTCATCTCTCCAATAATAATAAAAAAAATCAGCCAGGCATGGTGGCGCGTGCCTGTAGTCCAATCTACTCGGGAGGCTGAAGTGGGAAGATTGCTCCAGGAGTTCGAGTCTGCAGTTGGCTGAGATCTCGCCACTGCACTCCAGCCAGGGCGGTAGAGCCAAACCTTGTCTCAATAAAATCTCCACAAGGGGGCGCCATCTACATGATGATAGCAGGAAGGGAACCGGCCAGTGTCTCCTGGTGACGTACTCATTCAGCGCTTCTTATACCTTAAAGGTGACCAGGAATCACCTGGGGGTCTTGTTAAAATGCAGGTTCTAATTCAGCAGGGCTGGAGCAGGACCACAGCTCTTGCATTTCCCTCCCTCCTTCCTTCCTTCCTCCCTCCCTCCCTCCCTTCCTCCCTCCCTCCCTCCCTTCCTTCTCTTTCTTCTTTCTTTCCTTCTCTCTCTCTCTCTCTTTTTTTTTTTTTGACAGAGTCTCGCTCTGTCACCCAAGCTGGAGTGCAGTGGTGTGATCTCGGCTCACTGCAGCCTTCACCTCCTGGGTTCAAGCAGTTCTCCTGCCTCAGCCTTCCGAGTAGATGGTGTCAGGCCTCTGAGCCCAAGCTAAGCCATCATATCCCCTGTGATCTGCACGTATACATCCAGATGGCCTGAAGTAACTGAATAATCACAAAAGGAGTGAAAATGGCCTGTTCCTGCCTTAACTGATGACATTCCACCACAAAAGAAGTGAAAATGGCCAGTCCCTGCCTTAACTGATGACATTACCTCGTGAAATTCCTTCTCCTGGCTCATCCTGGCTCAAAAGCTCCACCACTGAGCACCTTGTGACCCCCCACCCCTGCCAGCCAGAGAACAACCCCCTCTGACTGTAATTTTCCTTTACCTACCCAAATCCTATAAAACAGCTCCACCCCATCTCCCTTCGCTGACTCCCTTTTTGGACTCAGCCCTCCTGCACCCAGGTGATTAAAAGCTTTATTGCTCACACAAAGCCTGTTTGGTGGTGTCTTCACACGGACGCGAGTGAAAGATGGGATCACAGGCCCCCACCACCACGCCCAGGTAATTTTTTGTATTTTTAGTAGAGACAGGGTTTCACTATGTTGGTCAGGCTGGTCTCGAACTCCTGGCCTCAGGCAGTCTACCTGCCTTGGCCTCCCAAAGTGCTGGATTACAGGCGTGAGCCACTGCGCCCCGCCAAGATCTTGCATTTCTAACATGTCCAGGAAGCTTGATGATGCGGATCGAGAAAACACACTTTGGTAGCGAGGGGGCTATGGCCTTAAAGTTGGGTAACTGAAGGGGACTCCCCACCTGGACCCGTTTGCCCTGTTCCTCAAGCCAGCTCAGGTTAGCATCTTCATTATTTTATTATTTGTATTTTTTTTGAGACAGAGTCTTGTTTTGTCACTCAGGCTGCAGTACAGTGGTGCAATCTCTGCTCACTGCAGCCTCCACCTCCCGGGTTGAAGTGATTCTCCTGCCTCAGCTTCCTAAATAGCTGGGATTACAGGCACCCGCCACCACTCCCAGCTAATTTTTGTATTTTTAGTAAAGATGGAGTTTAGCCATGTTGGCCAGGCTGGTCTTGAACTCCTGACCTCAAGTGATCTCCCCACCTCAGCCTCCCAAAGTGTTGAGATTACAAGCATGTGCCACCATGCCCATCTAATTTTTTTTTTTTTTTTTTTTTTTTTTTTTTTTTTGAGACGGAGTCTTGCTCTGTTGCCCAGGCTAGAGTGCAGAGGTGCGATCTTAGCTCACTGCAAGTTCTGCCTCCCAGGTTCATGCCATTCTCCTGCCTCAGCCTCCCGAGTAGCTGGGACTACAGGCACCCGCCACCATGCCCGGCTAATTTTTTTGTATTTTTAGTAGAGATGGGGTTTCACCATATGAGCCGGGATGGTCTCGATCTCCTGACCTCGTGATCTGCCCGCCTCAGCCTCCCAAAGTGCTGGGATTAAGGTGTGAGCCACTGTGCCCGGCCAATTTTTGTATTTTTAATCAAGACAGGGTTTCGCCATGTTGGCCAGGCTGGTCTCAAACTCAAGGCCTCGAGCAATCCTCCTACCTCGGCCTTCAAAGTGCTGAGATTATAGGTGTGAGTCCCTGCATCTGGTTCTAACTGTATTTTTGTACCCATTAACCCATTTTTCTTTATGTCTCCCTCCCACCTTCCCTTCTCAGCCTCAGGTAAGCAACATTCGACTCGAATCACACTCTTAAACACTTACAACTTTAGAATTAGAGAATTCTAGAATTTTCAGTGTAATAATATCAGCTTCCATTCTGTATTTTTTTTTTTTTTTAGTTGTTTTAGAGACACAGTCTTACTCTGTTGCCCAGGCTGGAGTGCAGTGGCACAATCACAGCTCACTGCAGCTGGTCGGATAACTCCTGGGCTCAAGTGATTCTTCCACCTCGGCCTCCTGAGTAGCTGGGACTACAGGTGTGTGCTACTGTGCCTGGCTAATTTAAAACAATTTTTTTTTTGAGACGGAGTCTTGCTCTGTTGCCCAGGTTGGAGTGCAGCGGTGCAATCTCGGCTCACTGCAAGCTCCGCCTCCTGGATTCATGCCATTCTCCTGCCTCAGCCTCCCGAGTAGCTGGGACCACAGGCGCCCACCACCACGCCCGGCTAATTTTTTGTATTTTTAGTAGAGACGGGGTTTCACCGCGTTAGTCAGGATGGTCTCGATCTTCTGACCTCATGATCCGCCCACCTCGGCCTCCCAAAGTGTTGGGATTATAGGCGTGAGCCACCGCGCCTGGCCAAAAACAATTTTTTTCTGTAGAAATGGGGTCATGCTATGTTGGCCTGGCTGGTCTCGAACTCCTGAGCTCAGTGATCCTCCCACCTCAGCCTCCCAAAGTGCTGGGATTACAGGTATGAACCACCACGCCTGGCCTCCATTCTGCATTCTGTGAGCTTGCACGTCTCATCTCCACCTACTTTGTTGGTTATGAAGGCTTAGAAGAGCCCCTGGTCCTGAGCAAGCACTATGATTATTACTATTATTTTAAAATTATTATTATTATTTTTGAGATGGAGTTTCGCTCTGTTCGCCCAGGCTGGAGTGCAATGGCGACATCTCGGCTCATTGCAACCTCTGCCTCCTGGGCTCAAGTGATTCGCCTGCCCCAGCCTCCCCAGTAGCTGGGATTACAGGTGCGTGACACCATGCTTGGCTGATTTGTGTATTTTATTTATTTATTTATTTTGAGACGGAGTCTTGCTCTGTCGCCCAGGCTGGAGTGCAGTGGCATGATCTTGACTCACTGCAACCTCCGCCTCCCAGGTTCAAGCAATTCTCCTGCCTCATCCTCCCGAGTAGCTATGATTATAGGCACATGCCGCCACGCTTGGCTAATTTTTGTATTTTCAGTACAGATGGGGTTTTACCATGTTGGACAGGCTGGTCTCGAACTCCTGACCTCGTGATCTGCCTGCCTTGGCCTCCCAAAGTGCTGGGATTACAGGCGAGTGACATCATGCCTGGCTAAATTGTGTATTTTATTTATTTATTTTTTTTGAGATGGAGTCTTGCTCTGTCACCCAGGCTGGAGTGCAGTGGCATGGTCTCAGCTCACTGCAACCTCTGCCTCCTGGGTTCAAGTGGTTCTCCTACCTCAGCCTCCTGAGTAGCTGGGACTACAGGCGTGTGTGACCACACCCGGCTAATTTCTGTATTTTTAGAAGAGACGGGGTTTCACTATGTTGGCTGCGCTGGTCTCGAACTCCTGATCTCGTGATCCGCCCGCCTCGGCCTCCCAAAGTCCTGGGATTACAGGCATGACCCACCAGGCCCAGCCACCCGGCCCTATTTTTATTATTATTGCTGGTGCTGATGTTTTCTGCCCGCCTTTGAGATGCCCTCAGCTTGGCGCATCCTCCAGCTTCCTCCTGCCTGTATCCCTCCCCCGGTGCTTATTGCGGCCTCTGGGCCTTACTCAGACCCCCCGTGGTGCTAGAGTTTCTGGTAAGTTGGTCAGGCCAGGGTCGGATAACTGCATGGGCACAAGCATTGCCGCTGATGAGCCCACCACATCCTGCCTCAAAAGCCACTGTGGCCACAGCTGAGGAACCCTCGTGCCAAGGGAGTGGAGGGTGGTAAGTGGTGGTCAACCAGCCCAGTTTGGCTGGTTCTGGGCTTCCTGTGGCCGCTGGCAAGCTGGTGGCTGGGCACAGCTGCTTCTCCTTGGGATGTGGTAGCTGCAGCCGCCTGCTCAGTCCATCCTTCCTGATGGGGGTTGGCATTGCACGGTGCGATGGGTTTGTGAATGCAAAATAACATGTGCTCCATGTGCCCTTTGGTCATGATTTCTTTCTTTCTTTCTTTCTTTCTTTCTTTCTTTCTTTCTTTCTTTCTTTCTTTCTTTCTTTTTCTTTCCTTCCTTCCTTCCTTCTTTCTTTCCTTCCTTCCTTCCGCCTTTCTTTCTCTTTCTTTCTCTCTCTCTTTCTTTCTCTCTTTCTTTCTCTTTCTTTTTCTTTCCCTCCCTCCCTCCTTCTCTCCTTTCCTTCCTTCCCTCCCTCCTCTCTCTCTTTCTCTGTTTCTCTTTCTCTATTTCTCCTTCCTTCCTTCCTTCCTTCCTTCCTTCCTTCCTTCCTTCCTTCCTTCGTCTTGTCTTGTCTTTTTCTTTTCTTTTCTTTTCTTTCTTTTTTTTTTTTGAGACAGAGTTTCACTCTTGTTGCCCAGGCTGGAGTGCAGTGGCGCGATCTCAGCTCACCACAACCTCCGCGTCCTGGTTTCAAGCGATTCTCCTGTCTCAGCCTCCCGAGTATCTGGGATTACAGGCACGTGCCACCAGGCCCAGCTAATTTTGTATTTTTAGTAAAGACAGGGTTTCTCCATGTTGGTCAGGCTGGTCGTGAACTCCCAACCTCAGGTGATTCTCCCGCTTCGGCCTCCCAAAGTGCTGGGATTACGGGTGTGAGCCACCGCACCCGGCCTTTTTTCTTCCCTTCCTTTCCCTTCCCTCCCCTCCCCTCCCCTCCCCTCCCCTCCCCTCCCTTCCCTTCCCCTCTCCTCTCCTCCCTTCCTCTTCTCTTCCCTTCCCTTCACCATGTTGGCCAGGCTGGTCTCGAACTCCTGGCCTCAGGTGATCCGTCCGCCTAGGCCTCCCAAAGTGCTGGAATTACAGGCGTGAGCCACTGCGCCCAGCATAAAAAAAGGACTTCTATTGATATATAAAAATACAGACAGAAGAGTTCACCAATAATAAGCTTAAAGAATTTTTACAGCTGAATATCCCTGTGTAACCAACACTCAGATCAAGAAAAAGACTTTTCCCAGCATCCAGACCCCCGCCTTCCGTTTTTACCCCTCAAAAATAACTTCTTTCCTGGCTTATAACATCGAAGTCTAGTTTTGTGTGTTCTTGATTTTTTTTTTTTTTTTGAGTTGGAATCTTGCTCTGTCACCCAGGTTGGAGTGAAATGGCATGATCTCGGCTTACTGCAAACTTCACCTCCCGGGTTCAAGTGATTCCTGTGTCTCAGCCTCCCAAGTAGCTGGGATTACAGATACCCGCCACCATGCCCGACTAATTTTTGTAGTTTTAGTAGAGATGGGGTTTTGCCATGTCGGCCAGGCTGGTCTGGAACTCCTGACCTCAGGTGATCTGCCCACCTCGGCCTCCCAAAGTGCTGGGATTATAGATGTGAGCAGCCATTCCTGGCCTTATTGAGATCTTTTACAATCTGTTTTTTTGGTACTAAGTCTTTGAAATCCAGTATGTGTGTCATTTTCACGGCCCATGTTAATATGGACTCACTGTATTTCAAGCACTCAGTGCCCAGATGTGGCTGGTGGCTGCCGTAATGGGCATTGCTGGTCTGGATCTTGAAGAAGAGGATGAAGGGACACTGGCACAAAAGTTACCAACACAGGCCAGGCGCAGTGGCTCATGCCTGTAATCCCAGCACTTTGGAAGGCCGAGGCAGGTGGGTCATCTGAGGTCGGGAGTTTGAGACCAGTCTGACCAACATGGAGAAACCCCATCTCTACTAAAAATACAAAATTAACCTAGCGTGGTGGCACATGCCTATAATCCTAGCTACTCGGGAGGCTAAGGCAGGAGAATAGCTTGAACCCGGGAGGCGGAGGTTGTGGTGAGCCGAGATTACACCATTGCACTCTAGCCTGGGCAACAAGAGCGACACTCCATCTCAAAAAAAAAAAAAAGTTACCAACATAAAAAATGGTGTGTACACACTCTGTCCTGCAATTTCATTTCTAGAGAGTCATCTACCATAAATACTTGTACATGCATACGAGAATATATATACAAAGGTGCTCATTATATTATAACCCAAAATATTGGAAACCACCTAAAATTTCACCATTAGGGAGGTGATTGAGTAAGCAAATTTAAAACTAACAACAGACTTCTTCTTCTTTTCCTTCTTCTTTTTTTTTTTTCTTTTGAGACGGTGTCTCGCTCTGTCGCCCAAGCTGGAGTGCAATGGCGCGGTCTCGGCTCACTTCAACCTCCACCTCCTGGTTCACACGATTTTCCTGCCTCAGCCTCCCAAGCAGCTGGGATTACAGGCGTGTGCCACCACGCCTGGCTAATTTTTGTATTTTTAGTAGAGACAGGGTTTCACCATGTTGGCCAGGCTGGTCTCGAACTGCTGACCTCGTGATCCACCTGCCTCGGCCTCCCAAAGTGCTGGGATTACAGGCGTGAGCCACCGCATCCGGCCTTCTTCTTCTTCTTTTCTTTTTTGAGACAGGGTCTCGCTCTGTCACCCAGGCTGGGTGATCATAGACAGTGGTGCGATCATAGCTCACTGCAGCCTCAATCTCCCAGGCTCAGGTGATCCTCCCACCTCAGTCTCCAGAGTAGCCGGGACCACAAGTGTGCACCACTACACTTGGCTAATTTTTGTATTTTTTGTAGACATGGGGTTTCTTCATGTTGCCCAGGCTGGTCTTGAACTCCTGGCCTCAAGCAATCCTCCCTCCTTGGCCTCTCAAAGTGCTGGGATTACAGGCGTGATCCACTGCACCCAGCTAAAGGATTTCTTATGCTGTTAAAACAGAACAAAGTGTTTTAAAATGTATTTACAAAAACATCATTCTGACGCCAGGTGCAGTGGCTCTTGCCTGCAATCCCAACACTTTGGGAGGCTGAGGTGAGAGGATTACTTGAGCCCAGGAGTTCGAGACAAGCCTGGGCAACATAGTGAGACCCCCGACTCTACAAAAAATAATAAAACCAAAATGAAAACCAAAACGTTATCCAGAAAAACAAAGTGATAAAGTACATTACTGGGGCCCAGCATGGTGGCTCACACCTGTAATCCTAGCACTTTGGGAGGTCGAGGTGGGAGGATCACCTGAGGTCAGGAGTTCGAGACCAGCCTGGCCGACATGGCGAAACCCCATCTCTACTAAAAATACAAAAATTTGGTGGCTCATGCCTGTAATCCCAGCACTTCGGGAGGCCAAGGCGGGCGGATCACGAGGTCAGGAGATCAAGACCGTCCTGGCTAACACGGTGAAACCCTGTCTCTACTAAAAAAAAAAAAATACAAAATATTAGCTGGGCATGGTGGCGGGCGCCTGTAGTCCCAGTTACTCGGGAGGCTGAGGCAGGAGAATGGCGTGAACCTGGGAGGCGGAGCTTGCAGTGAGCCGAGATCACGCCACTGTACTCCAGCCTGGGCAACAGAGTGAGACTCCATCTCAAAAAAAAAAAAAAAAAATTAGCCGGGCGTGGTGGCTGGGCGCCTATAATCCAAGCTACTTGGGAGACTGAGGCAGGAGAATCTCTTGAACTTGAGTGGCGGAGGTTGCAGTGAGCCGAGATTGTGCCACTGGACTCCAGCCTGGGCGACAAATTGAGACTCTGTCTCAGAAAAAAAAAAAAAAGTTATTGGAACAACTGGTGAAATTTCAGTGAGGGCTGAGTATAGTGTGGTATCAGTGGCATATTTCCTTATTTTGATAAATATATTGTGGTTATGTCAGAGAATATCCTGTCATAACCGCAATATAAGAGATACACAGTAACAAATTTATGGTAAAGGAGCATGATGTTTCCAAAGTACTCTCAAATGATTCCAGGAAAAACATAAGTAGACATAGATATATACGCCTGTATTATTTTTCTAGGGTTTACCAGCCCCCACAATTGCATGAGCCAATTTCTTTTTTTCTGTGTGTGTGTGACAAAGTTTCGCCCTTGTCACTCAAGGCTGGAGTGCAATGGCACGATCTCGGCTGACTGCAACCTCCACCTCCCGAGTTCAAGTGATTCTTCTCCCTCAGCCTCCCAAGTAGCTGGGATTACAGGTGCCCACCACCACACCTGGCTAATTTTTTGTATTCTTAGTAGAGATGGGGTTTCACCATGTTGGCCAGGCTGGTCTTGAACTCCTGACTTTCAGGTGATCCACCCGCCTTAGCCTCCCAAAGTGCTGGGATTACAGGCGTCAGCCACCGTGCCCGGCCTCTGTCTTTTTTTTTTTTTTTTTTTCGAGACAGGGTCTTGCTCTTTTGTCCAGGTTGCAGTGCAGTGGCACAATCATAGGTCACTGCAGCCTCGACCTCCTGGGCTCAGGTGATCCTCCTGCCTCTGCCTCCTAAGTAGCTAGGACTATAGGTGTGCTCCACCACACCTGGATAATTTTTTGTGTTTTGTAGAGATGGGGGTTTCACTATGTTACTTAGGCTGGTCTGGAACTCCTGGACTCCAGTGATCTTCCCACCATGGCCTCCCAAAATGCTAGGATTACAGGCATGAGCCATTGCTTCTGGCCCCAATTGCTTTCTTTTTCTTTCTTTCTTTTTTTTTTTTTTTGAGGCAGAGTCTCACTTTGTCGCCCAGGCTGGAGTGCAGTGGTATGATCTCGGTTCACTGCAACCTCTTCCTCCTGAGTTCAAGTGATTCTCCTGCCTCAGCCTCCCAAGTAGCTGGGACTACAGGTGCCTGCCACCATTCCCAGCTACTTTTTTGTATTTTTATTAAAGACGGGGTTTCACAATGTTGGTCAGCCTGGTCTCGAACTCTTTACCTCAAGTGATCTTCCCTCCTCGGCTTCCCAAAGTGCTGGGATTACAGGCGGGAGCCAACGCACCCGGCCGCTTTTACTATTCTTGCAACTTTTTTCATTTGACATTCCATCGAAATAAAAAGTTAAAAAAATTCTTTTTCTTCTGAGGGGGTGTTTTATCAAGGACACCTTTATCAAGGGTCCCGGGCCTAAAAATGTTAAGAACCCATGATTTACGGCTGAGGAGGCAACTTCCATCCAAAATCCTAAAAGTCAAGTTCCTGTGACCTGGCTTCCTGAACCTCCCCGCTCCTGCGCCCCCTGGAGGTCAGGGCTAGAACAACACGGCATTCCTATAATGCTCCAAATCGCCACAAATCGACCTTGGAAATCCTGGGTGAGTAACGCAGACTGCGCACATGGCTTCAATTAGCGGAACTAAAACTTGCTGAACATCGTGTACCCGCGTGTCCATGGCCAAACACAAACTCCACCTTTGTAAAAGTCTAGGTGAATTCCCAGCTGAATTCAGAAGCGTGACAGGAATGGGACTTTTCATTGGTGTCTTTTTCTTTTTTCTATTTTTAGAGTGGGGAGGAGTGTATTTCTGGATTGTTTAAATATTTACAATGAGCATGCATTTCCTTTGCAATTAAAAGAAAACCAGATTTTTTTTTTTTTTTTTTTGAGGCAGAATGTTGCTCTGTCCCCAGGCTGGAGTGCAGTGGCGCGATCTCGGCTCACTGCAACCTCTGCCTCCCGTGTTCAAGCAATTCTCCTGCCTCAGCCTCCTGAGTAGCTGGGACTACAAGTGCCCGCCACCACGCCCAGCTAATTTTTGTATTTTTAGTAGAGACGGGGTTTCACCATGTTAGCCAGGATAGTCTCAATCTCTTGAACTGGTGATCTGCCTGCCTCGGCTTCCCAAAGTGCTGGGATTACAGGCATGAGGACCGCACCCGGCCGAAAACCAGATTTTTAAAAATTGAAGTTTGCTGTAGAAAAATACTGTGGGAGAAAGTTGTGGGTGGTGTTTTGTAGAGTCGCAGAAGGACATGGGAAAAAAAAATTGAGTGTGTTTCTGTAATCATCATAACAATCACACTCATTGTGCCGTAGGCTCCAAGGGAGGGCTCTGAGCTGTGGTTACCAGATAAAATACAAGATTCTCAGGTAAAATGTGAAAAAAAAAATATTTTTGTGATCTTAACTCACTGCAGTCTTGATCTCCTGGGCTGAAGTGATCCTCCTGCCTCAGCCTCCCAGGTAGCTGGGACCACAGGCACGTGCCACCATGCCCAGCTAATTTTTAATTTATTTTGTTGAGATGGGATCTCACTATGTTGCCCAGGCTGCTCTCAAACTCCTGGCCTCAAGCGATCTTTCCTCGGTGTCCCCATGCCCTGGGATTACAGGTATGAAGCACCAGGCCCAACCCTGAAATTTAAAGTTAACTGGGCAGTCTGTAATGTGTTTTTGTTTGTGTAGGTGTGTGTGCTAAATCAGGCAACCCCCTATTCTGAGCAGAGGAGTGCTTTGATCTGACTTAGATTTTAATAGGCTCCCTCTGGTTGCTGGTGGAGATGAGACTACGGAGGGGGGGCAGTGAAGATCCCAGAGAGGAGGCTGCTGTAATGGTCCAAGCAGAAGGTGATAGTGATTTGGATCAGGGTAACAGAGCCGAGGTGGTGAGAGGTTGACAGGTCATGCATCTATTTCGAAGGAAAGGCCATGTCCAGGCTCCTTAGCTCGGCATTCAAGGCTTCTCTCCACCACTGGACACACTTACTCTCTAGCTTCTCAGACCCTGTTGCAGATAGAATCATGATCCCCAATGATGTCCACATCTTAATCCCCTGAACCTGTGAACAGGTGACCTTCCATGGCAAAAGGGACTTTGCAGATAGGATGAAGTTAAAGATCTTTAGATGGGGGAGCGATTATCCTGGATTGGGTCTGGGTGGGCTCAGTGGAATCACAAGAGTCCTTATATGAGGAAGATAGAAATTTGAGACATACGGTAGAGGAGGAGGTGATGAGACCACAGAGGCAGGGACGGGCGTGGTGCAACCACAAGCCAAGGAATTTCAGGAGCCACCTGAAGGTGGGAGAGGCAAGGAACAGATTCTCCCCTGGAACCTCTGGAGGGAGTGGTGACATCTTGATTTTGGACTTCTGGCCTGCAGAACCATGCCAAAATAATTGTCTGGCTTTTTTTTTCTTTTTTTTTCCTTGAGGTGGAGTCTTGCTTTGTCGCCCAGGCTGGAGTGCAGTGGTGCCATCTTGGCTCACTGCAACCTCCACCTCCCGGGTTCAAGTAATTCTTGTGCCTCAGCCTCCCGAGTAGCTGGGACTACAGGCATGCACCACCACACCCAGGTAATTTATGTATTTTTAGTAGAGATGGGGTTTTGCCATGTTGGCCAGGCTGGTCTTGAACTCTTGACCTCAATGATCTGCCCGCCTCAGCCTCCCAAAGTGCTGGGATTGCAGGCATGAGCCACTGCGCCCGGTCCTGGTGTTAAGCCCGCAGTTTGTGCTAATTGGTTACAGCAGCCTCGGGAAGGTAATCTAGGCTCCTTCCTTGCCCCAGGCTCTAGGAAGTATCTTAGCCCCCAGCCCTGGGCTGCAGACCTGTACCAGTCCATGGCCTGCTAGGAACCATGCAGCATCGCAGGAGGTGAGTGGCAGGTGAGTAAGTGAAGCTTCATCTGTATTTATAGCCACGCCCCTTCGCTCATATTACCGCCTGATCTGTCAGATCAGGGGCGGAATTACATTCTCATAAGAGCGTGAACCCAGGCCGGGCGCAGTGGCTCAAGCCTGTAATCCCAGCATTTTGGGAGGCTGAGGCGGGTGGATCACGAGGTCAGGAGTTCGAGATCAGCCTGGCCAAGATGGTGAAACCACGTCTCTACTAAAAATACAAAAATTAGCCGGGTGCAGTGGTAGGCACCTGTAGTCCCAGCTACTCGGGAGGCTGAGGCAGGAGAATCGCTTGAACCTGGGAGGCGGAGGTTGCAGTGTGCCGAGATCGTGCCACTGCACTCTAGCCTGGGTGAGAGAGTGAGACTCCATCTCAAAAAAAAAAAAAAAAAAAAAAAGAGCATGAACCCTGTTGTGAACAGCGCATGTGAGGGATCTGGGTTGCAAGCTCCTTATGAGAATCTAATGCCTGATGATCTGTCACTGTATCCCATCACCCCCAGATAGGACCATCTCGTTACAGGAAAACAAGCTCAGGGATTCCACTGATTCTACATTATGTTGAATTGTATAATTATTTCATTATATATTACAATGTAACAATAATAGATGGAGATGGTTGTGGCTTGTGTAGTTGGGGGACAGGGTAGCTCCATTTTCTATTGCCAACTTTATAACCCTAGAAGGATGATTTTTTTCTTTTCTTTTCTTTTTCTTTTCTTTTTTTTTTTTTTGAGATTGAGTCTTGGTGTTGTCAGCCTGGGCTGGAGTGCAATGGTGCAATCTCTGCTCACTGCAACCTCCGCCTCCTGGGTTCCAGCAATTCTCCTGCCTCAGCCTTCTGAGTAGCTGAGATTACAGGCACCCACCACCACGCCTGGCTAATTTTTGTATTTTTAGTAGAGATGGGGTTTCACCATATTGGCCAGGCTGGTGACGATGGTTTTTTTTTTTTGAGACAGAGTCTTGCTTTGTTGCCCAGGCTGGAGTGCAGTGGCGCAATCTTGGCTCACTGCAACCTCTGCCTCCCAGGTTTAAGCAATTCTCCTGCCTCAGCTTCCCAAGTAGCTGGGATTACAGGCACCTGCCACCACACCTGGGTAATTTTTGTATTTTTAGTAGAGACAGGGTTTCACCATGTTGGCCAGACTCGTCTTGAACTCCTGACCTCAAGTGATTCATTTGCCTCAGCCTCCCAAAGTGCTGGGATTATAGGTGTGAGCCATTGCACCTGGCCCTAGAAGGAAGATTTAACAGTAAAATATACTTAAATGCTGGGCTACCTCCGCAGACTAGCTCAGCCTCTTTGGGTCTCAAATCAGCCTGGCCGGGAGGCTGAGTGGAGGTTACAGTCTCTGCTTTCTTGAATCCCAAGGGAGGGGTTTAAGCCAACTGCATTCCTGAGCTTTTGCCCAGAAGGCTGGCGTCTTAGGAGGAAAGAGATAGATGGCTCCAGGCCGGGCGCAGTGGCTCACACTTGTAATTCTAGCACTTTGGGAGGTTGAGGTGGGTGATTGCCTGAGCTCAGGAGTTTGAGTCCAGCCTGGCCAACATGGCGAAACCCCGTCTTTACTAAAAATACAAAAAATTAGCCGGGGGTGGTGACACACACGTGTAATCCCAGCTACTCGGGAGGCTGAGGCAGGAGAAGTGCTTGAACCCAGGAGGCAGAGGTTACAGAGAGCCGAGATTGCACCACTCCACTGCAGCCTGGGCGACACAGCAAGACTCTATCAAAAAAAAAAAAAAAAAAATGAGAGAGAAGAGATGGCCCCAAATAGGGAAACCAAGGCCAGGAGAGGGGCCGAGCCTGCACAGGAGCTTCCTCGGTTTTCCGAGCGCCGGCCCCCCTTCTCTGCCTGGGAGGAGGTGGTTAGAGTCCCCTGGGTGTGTGCCCCGCAGAGGGAGCTCTGGCCTCAGTGCCCAGTGTGCAGACCAATGAGAGCCCCAGAGAGAAAGACGGTCATTTCCTCCCTGCATCTTCCCTTGGGGCTTTAAAAACCACAGCCCTTGGGCAGGAGGGACCTTCGATCCTCGGGGAGCCCAGGAGACCAGAACATGGTGAGTCTCGAAGGGGAATGGGAGCAGGAAACTTTGTCCTGGGTCCCTCCCATCTTTGCTCCAGTGGGTCCTTCTCTCTCCCCAACTCTCGCCGTCAACTCTGTCTGTCTCTCCCTTTCCTTCTCTCTCCCTGTCTTCCACCTCCCACCTTCCCTCTCTCCTGCATCCCAGGCTCTCACACTCCAGGGCTGGGATGTGGCCATGGGAATAAGATTGTCAAGATTGTGGGAGCAACAGCAACCTCGTGGGGCTGGGGCCCGAGAAGATTCCCCAGGGGAGGGGACCCTTGAGTTGGGTCTAGTAAGGTGACTAAGAATTCCACAAGCAGCCGAGCGCAGTGGGTCACACCTGTGATCCCAGCACATTGGGGATTGTGCCAAGGCGGGAGGATTGCTTGAGGCCAGGAGTTCAAGACCAGCCTGGCCAACATAGTGAGACCCTGTCTGTATTTTTTTTTTTATTTAAAGAATTCCACAAGTGAAGAAATCTAGAACAGGCCTTCCAGGCAGTGGGAATGGCAGAGAAAATGTTGGGAGGCTGGAAAGAACCAGTTTGGAGGAATGGTCAAGTTACTCAGATGCTCTTGCAGATAGATGTTCTTTTCTTTTTCGACTTGGGGTCTTGCACTGTTGCCCAGGCTGGAGTGCAGTGGCACCATCATAGCTCACTGCAGTCTTGAACTCTTGGGCTCAAGTGATCCTCCCTCTTTAGCCTCCTGAGTATCTGGGACCACAGGCATGCACCACTATGTCCGGCTAATTTTTAAAATTTTTATTCTTGTAGAGATGGGTTCTTGCTATGTTGTCAGGGCTGGTCTCAAATTCCTGGCCTCAAGCCATCCTCCCACCTTGGTCTCCCAAAGCTCTGGGATTACTGGCATGAGGCCATTATGCCTGGTCGTTTGAGATGTTCTGCATGACAGAGATGGGGAAACTGAGGCCCAGGCAGGAGCAGAGATGGATGGGGACCCTCCATGGTTGGTGGCAGAAGCAGGTTATGCCATGGATTCTGTGAGTGTCAGAAGGAATGCACCCCAGGCTAAATGAGGGTCCCTGTCATCCCTGCGTCTGGAGGCCTGGGCACTGAGCCAGCAGAGCTGCGATTCAGCACCTGCTGTAACACAGGCATTGCCTTGCTTCATCTGTGTCAAAGAGGAAACGGAAGATGGTTTGGATGGACCAGGGAGGGGTCTGATGTTGCTTCATTCCTGCATTCCACCCTTGAGATCCGACTTGGGCAAACGGGACTCTCTGATTCTTCTTCTTCTTTTTTTTTTTCTTTCCAAAACATTTTCCAAAGTACCAAATGATACTTGGTAAAAACTCATTCTCGGCCAGGCGCGGTGGCTCATGCGTGTAATCCCAGCACTTTGGGAGACTGAGGCGGGCGGATCACAAGGTCAGGAGATTGAGACCATCCTGGCCAACATGGTGAAACTCCGTCTCTACCAAAACTACAAAAATTAGCTGGGCATATAAGCGGGCGCCTGTAGTCCCAGCACTTGAGAGGCTGAGGCACGACAATCGCTTGAACCCATGAGGCAGAGGTTGCAGTGAGCCGAGATTGCTCTACTGCACTCCAGCCTGGCAACAGGGCCATCTCAAAAAACAAACATAGAAAAAAAAAAACTCATTCTCCCTGCCTACCCCAGAGCCTCTGACTCCTTTTCTTTCCTTTTATTTTGAGACAGAGTTTCACTCTTGTCGCCCAGGCTGGAGTGCAATGGCACGATCTTGGCTCACCACAACCTCTGCCTCGCGGCTTCAAGCAATTCTCCTGCCTCAGCCTCCCGACTAGGTGGGATTACAGGCATGCGCCACCACGCCTGGCTAATTTTTTGTCTTTTTAGTAGAGACGGAGTTTCACCATGTTGGCCAGGCTGGTCTTGAACTCCTGACCTCACGTGATCCACCCACATTGGTCTCCCAAAGTGCTGGGATTACAGGTATGAGCCACCCTACCTGGCCCTCTGACTCCTTTTCATTGCCTCCTACCCTACCTGGGGCAACCATGGGATGCCAGTTTGTGGTGGATCCTTCCAGAAACAGTTTACAGATGCCTGAGAGCACAGATGCTTAGGGAACAAAGTAAGGACTAGTGTGATGCGGGGAACCCCAAAACCGAGCTCAGCTTCTGTCTCTACTATGAAATAGTTGCGGAGATCTGTCCTCTCCGTGCTTCTGTCTCCTTATCTTTTTGTTTTTTGAGACAGTGTCTTGCTCTGTTGCCCAGGCTAGAGTGCAGTGGTGTGATCTCAGCTCACTGTAACCTCCACCTCCTGGGTTCAAGTGATTCTCCTGCCTCAGCCTCCCAGGTAGCTGGGACTACAGGTGCCTGCCACCATGCCTGGCTAATTTTTGTATTTTTAGTAGAGACGGGGTTTCACCGTGTTGGCCAGGCTGGTCTTGAACTCCTGGCCCCAAGCAATCTTCCCGCCTTGGCCTCCCAAAGTGCTGGGATTACAGGCGTGAGCCATCGCACCCAGCCTCCTTCTCCTTATCTTTAAGGTGAAGATAATACTAGAATCTACATCATAGGCTAGTTGAGAGAATTGACTGAGTGAATGCATGAAAAGTTCTTGTAGCAGTGCCTGGTATACAGTTGGCGCTCAATGTGGGTGACATTTCTATCCTTTCCCAGCCTTATAAATGGCAGTATGTTTTGTACAGTACTCTACATCTGGCTTTTTTAAATGAATAACATATAGTATTATTAACTAGCATTTATTGAGTGCTTACTGCATACCAGGCGTTGTATTAGGCATTCATTAATTTCCCCTTAACCTTGAGGAAGGTACTTCATTCCCGTGTAGTTCAAGGGAGTTGCCTCCTCCTCCTCCTCCTTTTTTTCTTTTTTCTAGACAGGGTCTACTGAGGTCTTCCACCTCAGCCTCCTGAGTAGGTGGGACTACAGGTGCATGCCACCACACCCAGCTAGATTTAAAATTTTTTGTAGAGGTGGGGTCTTGCTATGTTGCCCAGCCTGGTGCTTCTTTCTTTCTTTTATCAGCTGAGTAATATGCTAGTAGGAGGTTTCATCCCCTTCAATGGAAATTTAGTTTGCTTCTAATATTTGGTCTGTTTTGTTTTGTTTTGAGACAGAGTCTCGCTCTGTCACCCAGCCTGGAGGGCAGTGGTGCAGTCTTGGCTCACTGCACCTCTGCCTCCTGGATTCTGGTGATTCTCCTGCCTCGGCCTCCCAAGTAGCTGGTATCACAGGTGCGTGCCACCACACACGGCTAATTTTTGTATTTTATTTTAGTAGAGACGGGATTTCACCATGTTGGCCAGGCTGGTCTCGAACTCCTGACCTCGTGATCCACCCGCCTCAGCCTCCCAAAGTGCTGGGATTATAGGCGTGAGCCACCGCGCCTGGCGTCCAGCCACATTCTTTAACTCAGCATCTGCAGACCTTCCAGTCCTATCTTGGCCGCCTGCCAGCCATGCTGACCTTTCGTTTCTGCTGTGCACCACCTGCCCTTCCTCTCTCCTTTCTGCCTAGAATGCATGCCCCCCCACTCCCAATGCACTTTAGGCCTGCCTGGTAGCCACTCAAACAGAGGGCTCTGGGCTGGGCGCGGTGGCTCATGCCTGTAATCCCAGCACTTTGGGAGGCTGAGGTGGGTGGATCACGAGGTCAGGAGATCAAGACTATCCTGGCTAACACGGTGAAACCCTGTCTCTACTAAAAATAAAATTAGCCAGGCATGGTGGCGGGCACCTGTAGTCCCAGCTACTCGGGAGGCTGAGGCTAGCAAATGGTGTGAATCCAGGAGGCGGAGCTTGCAGTGAGCTGAGATCGCGCCACTGCACTCCAGCCTGGGGACAGAGCGAGATTCCGTCTCATAAAAAAAAAAAAGAGAGAGAGGGCTCTGGGGCTCAGCTCTCAGGAGTTTCTCTCCTGTCTCTGTTCTTGCTAACCGAGAAGACTTGGAGAGGTCTGTTCATTTCTCTGTAGCCTCATTTTTCTCTTCTGGAAAATGAGTGTTGCTGTTGCAACAAGTAAGTCTCCTAGGGTTGCTTTGTGGGTTCAATGAGATAATACACGAGAAAGGCTCAGGACAGCCTGGCAATGATTATGGCTGTTCTTGTAGGTACTGCGCCTTCTCCTTCACCCTGTTCTCATCCGATCGTTCACATCTTGCGGCCAGCACCCTTGTCTAAGCCACCGTCATGCCTCACGTCACCTGGACAGTTCCAATCTCCGTTTCCTCCCAGCTTCTGCTCTCTGCCCCTTTCTCCATGCAACAGACAAGGGTTGTTCCTCTAATGAGCATGTGAATTTAGGAAGAATAATAGTACCCTGCCCTTTGTGCTATTGTCACATAGATATGCACTGTGATTAGGAAATTACTAAGCCAACACCTGGGAAGCACATGGAATAGTGCCGGGCAATTAGAACCCCCAGAGTGGCCCTGGACCTGCACTGCCCAATATGTGGGCCACGTGCCACAATGCAGCTACCTACGTTTATTTTTCACTATTTTATTTTATTTTACTTTATTTATTTTATTTTTGAGATGGAGTTTTGCTCTTGTTGCCCAGGCTGGAGTATAGTGAAGCGATCTCGGCTCACTGTAGCCTCCACCTCCCGGGTTCCAGTGATTCTTCTGCCTCAGCCTCCCAGATAGCTGGGATTACAGGCGCACGCCACCACTCCTGGCTAATTTTTGTATTTTTAGTAGAGACAGGGTTTCACCATGTTGGTCAGGCTGGTCTTGAACTGCTGACCTCAGGTGATCCACCCGCCTGGGCCTCCCAAATTGCTGGAATTACAGGCGTGAACCACCGTGTCCAGCCTATTTTATTTTTTAGAGATGGAGTCTCGCTATGTTGCCCAGGCTGGAGTGCAGTGGCACGATCTCGGCTCACTACAACCTCCACCTCCTGGGTTCAAGTGTTTTTCCTGCCTCAGTCTACTGAGTAGCTGGAATTACAGGTGCCTGCCATCACACCCAGCTAATTTTTGTATTTTTAGTAGAGACGGGGTTTCACTATGTTGGCCAGTCTGGGCTTGAACTCCTGACTTCAAGTGATCCACCTTCCTTGGCCTCCCAAAGTGCTGGGATTACAGGCGTGAGCCACCACGCCTGGCCTCACCCTAGATCTTGGAGGTCTTTCCACATCATTATATAAACATTCTTTTTGTCTGTTTTTTTCCTTTTTGTAGGGATAGGGTCTTGCTAGGTTACCCAGGCTGATCTTGAACTCCTGGGCTCAAGCAATCCCCCTGCTTCAGCCTCCCAAAGTGCTAGGATTACAGGCATGAGCCACTGCACCTGGCCAACTTTTCCATTCTTTTTGATAGCTGTGTAGTATTCTGTTGCCTGGATGTACCATCATTAATTTAGCCAGTCCCCTCTTGCTGGACATGTCAGTTATTTCCAGTCTTTGGAGAGGTGCTGCAGTGGCAAACTTTGCAAGCCGTTTGCGTCTGAAGATCCCGGAAACCACAGGACGTTGGAATCAGCGTATTTTTTCTGCCTTTCTGAAGTCAACCAGAGGAAAGGACTGAGTGAGCTCATGGCAGGAACGGAGCTTTGTCAGCTGATGAGGGAGTGACAAGGCGATGTCAGAGCAGAGGGTGGGGAGGCTCCCCTTACGAGGGTCTGAGTCATTCTGCAGTCAAGGATTGCTGGGAGCTTGCGAAACCAGCAGAGGCAAAATTTACCTTCATGCGTCACAGCCAAAGGGAACATTCAAAATATTTAACAATGTGCTAAAGTGCAGAGGTCCCCTGGGCAGGGTCTAGGGCCTCCTGCTGCACCTAGCATTAACTCTTTAGTGACATGAACATGGCGACCTGGAGTGGGGGTGTCCCAGAGTAGGAAACAGGAACTTAGGGTGCTGGGAGCGGGCAATAGAAGAAGTGGGTGGCTGAGGGCAGGGGCTGTTTACCAGTGAAAATATTTTTAAAAATGTTAACCTTCTATTTGGAAATATTTTCAAACTTACGGAAAAATGACAAGAATGGAACAGGCTCATATACATATACATTTTACCTAGACTCTCCAAATTTACTGTATCTGTCTCTCCATTATCCATCCATCCATCCATCCATCTGTCCATCGATTCATCCATCCATCCATCCATCCATCCATCCGTTATCTAGCTATTTTTTTTTTTTAGACAGAGTCTTGTTCTGTTGCCCAGGCTGGAGGGCAGTGGCGCAATCTTGACTCACTGCAACCTCCACCTCCCAGGTTCAAGCGATTCTCCTGCCTCAGCCTCCCAAGTAGCTGGGACTACAGGCACACACCACTGGGCCCAGCTAATTTTTTTGTACTTTTAGTGGAGATGGGGTTTCACTATGTTGGCCAGGCTGGTCTTGATCTTCTGGCCTCAAGTGATTACAGGCATGAGCCACCATGCCCAGCCCATTATCTATGTATCTATCATCTATCTATCTATCATCTATCTCTCAATCATATCTCCATGTATCCATTGTCTGTCCATCAGTCATCTATCTGTCCATCATCCATGCATCCACTCATTCACCCATTCGTTATCTATCCATCCGTTTATTTATATCCATCCATCTTTCTATCACCTTTTTTTTTTTTTGAGACAGAGTCTTGCTCAGTCAAGGCTGGAGTGCATTGGCATGATCTCAGCTTACTGCAACCTCCGCCTCCCAGGTTCAAGTGATTCTCCTGCCTCAGTCTCTGGAGTAGCTGGGATTACAGGTGCGCGCCAACACTCTGGCTAATTTTTGTATTTTTAATGGCCTTTTGTGACTGGCTTCTTTCACTTAGCATCATGTTTTCAAGATTCATCCACATTGCAGCATGTGTCAGCACTTCCTTTTCATAGCTGAGTAATATTCCACCACGTGGCTAAACCCCACCTTTTTCATTCACTCATTAGCAGATACTGACATCTTATCTTTCAATAATTTACTCATGGATATGATTCCACCAGTAAATGCCCACTGCCCATAGCCTGGCTAACCTTGGGCAGGTGCAATGTAAGGGAACTAGAAAAAAAAAAACAAAACTATCCAGGCATGGTGGCTTACATCTGTAATCTCAGCACTTTGGGAGTTCAAGGCAGGAGGGTTGCTTGAAGTTAGGAGTTTGAGACCAGCCTGTGCAACAAAGCGAGACCCATCTCTACCAAAAAAAAAAAAGAAAAAAAATACAAAAATTAGCTGGGTGTGGTGGTGCACAATTGTAGTCCTAGCTACTCAAGAGGCTGAGGCAGG
The DNA here is from genome assembly GCF_000001405.40 of Homo sapiens. Classification (NCBI taxonomy): domain Eukaryota; kingdom Metazoa; phylum Chordata; class Mammalia; order Primates; family Hominidae; genus Homo; species Homo sapiens. The sequence continues at coordinate 47,317,102 of NC_000019.10, forward strand.
AGGATTGCTTGAGCCAGAGGGGCTGGGGTGACAGTGATCCATGATTGCACCACTGCACATAAGCCTGGGTGACAGATCAAGACCCCGTCTCAAAAAAAAAAAAAAAAAAAAAATATAAAACGGGGCTGGGCGTGGTGGTTCATGCCTGTAATCCCAGCACTTTGGGAGACCAAGGCCGGAGGATTGCTTGAACCCAGGAGTTCGAGACCAGCCTGGGCAATACAGTGAGACCCTCCTCTTTAAAAAAACATTAAAAATTAGCTGGGCACAGTAGTATGCACCTGTAGTCCCAGCTGCTTGGGAGGCTGAGGCAAGAGGATCACTTGAGCCTGAGAAGTCAAGGCTGCAGTGAGCCAAGATCACACCCCTGAGCTACAGCCTGGGTGACAGAGTGAGACTCAGTCTCAAAAAAAAAAAAATATATATATATATATAGTGGTTCAGGGATGTGGATCTGAGCTCTTCAATAACTGACAAATAATAATACCAATGGCTGCCACTTCTTGTCCTCTTCTCTGTGTCAGGCGCTGTGCTAGGTGCTTAGGCATTTTTCATCTTATTTAATCTTTGAGGTGAGTGTTTTAAAGGTAGAAAAACCAGGCCGGGTGTGGTGGCTCATGCCTGTAATCCCAGCATTTTGGGAGGCCAAGGCAGGCAGATCACGAGGTCAGGAGTTCGAGACCAGCCTGACCAACATGGTGGAACCCTGTCTCTACTAAAAATACAAAAATTAGCAGGGTGTGGTGGCAGGTGCCTTTAGTCCCAGCTACTCAGGAGGCTGAGGCAGGAGAATCGCTTGAACCTGGGAGGCAGAGGTTGCAGTGACCCGAGATCGTGCCACTGCAGTCCAGCGTGGCGACAGAGTGAGACTCCATCTCAAAAAAAAAAAAAAAATGTACAAAACTCCATCTGCAAATTCAAATATTTAGAGCTGCAAATACAGCTCTCAGTATTTCCAGAATGATTTCTATTTCTTGCTGTCCCCTTTTCTCTGGGTTGGTGTCAAAGTGGCCTTCAGGACTGGGCTAGCTCCATAGGTCACAAAACTCACCTCTTGGAAATGGTCAGGGGCAGCCTGTCTGGTTTGCATTCCAGCCCGTATGGGTTCACATCCTCTCTGAGTGACCTGGAACAGCCTACTTCACCTTCTGGTGCCTCGTGCTTCTTCATCAGCGAAATGGGCATTTTTTTTTCTTTCTTTTTTTTTTTTGAGGTGGAGTCTCACTCTGTCGCCCAGGCTGGAGTGCAGTGTCGCTATCTCAGCTCATTGCAACTTCCACCTCCCAGGTTCAAGTGATTCTCCTGCCTCAGCCTCCCGAGTAGCTGGGATTACAGGTGCCCGCCACCACGCCTGGCTAATTTTTGTATTTTTAGTAGAGACGGGGTTTCACCATGTTGGCCAGGCTGGTCTCGAACCCCTGACCTCAGGTGATCTGCCCACCTTGGCTTCCCAAAGTGCTTGGGTTATAGGTGTGCACCACCACACCTGGCCTGAAATGGGCATATTAACAGAACCTCCTTGTAGGTTGTGGTCAGGATGGAAAGAGCAAATTCCATGCCGCATGCATAGTAGGTGCTCAGTAAGTACTGGCTGCTTTCGGGTGATCACTCAGTGCCCTGATGGGTGCTTTACTGCAGTGTCTGGTGCCTCTGGACACAGATTTCACCTACAAGGCTTTCTCCAGTCCAGCTGCCATGGACTGCAGCCTTTCTTTCTTGGGTGCATGACAGCTTCCTTCAGCTCTGTCTGGGAAGAAGTGATCAGGACCTTTTTGTTCTATTTTTTTTTTTTTTTTTTTTTTTAGATGGAGTCTCACTCTGTTACCCAGGCTGGAGTGCAATGGGGCTGTTTCGGCTCACTGCAACCTCTGCCTCCTGGGTTCAAGCAAGTCTTCTGCCTCAGCCTCCCAAGTAGCTGGGATTACAGGCGCCCACTACCACGCCTGGCTAATTTTTGTATTTTTAGTAGAGGCGGGGTTTCACTACATTGGTCAGGCTGATCTTCAACTCCTGACCTCGTGATCCACCCACCTCGGCCTCCCAAAGTGCTGGATTACAGGTGTGAGCCACCGTGCCCGGCCAGTAGGGCTAGACTTTGACGTTAGGCTGCTGGATCGTGGGGAAGCCCAGGGGCTTCGCAGGATGGGACTGAGGGGAGAGGTGGCAGACTGGCAAGGGGTCCAACTAGCATGGAATCATTTCATTTTTTTTTTTTTTTTTTTTTTGAGACAGGGTCTCACTCTGTCACCTAAGCTGGAGTGCAATGGTATGATCTCGGCTCACTCTAACCTCTGCCTCCTGGGGTCAGGTGATCCTCCTACCTCAGCCTCCGGAGTAGCTGGGACTACAGGCAAGTGCAACCACGCCTGGCTAATTTTTGTATTTTCAGTAGAGACGGGGTTTTGCCATGTTGCCCAGGCTATTCTCAAACTCCTGGGCTCAAGCAGTCCGCCCGCCTCGGCCTCCCAAAGTGCTGGGATGACAGGCGTGAGCTACGGCATCTGCCTCAATATTTTAATAAGTGGTGTGACACCCTAGTTGACTCTCAGCCCTCAGCATCCCCATTTCCTAGTGAGAAAAAGCCACACAGGGGAAAAGCCACATGCCTGAGCCAGGATGCCCCCTACCCGGGCACATGTCTGCAGACTCATCCTCTCTGCTCTCTCCGATTCCCCTTAGGACTCCTTCAATTATACCACCCCTGATTATGGGCACTATGATGACAAGGATACCCTGGACCTCAACACCCCTGTGGATAAAACTTCTAACACGCTGCGTGTTCCAGACATCCTGGCCTTGGTCATCTTTGCAGTCGTCTTCCTGGTGGGAGTGCTGGGCAATGCCCTGGTGGTCTGGGTGACGGCATTCGAGGCCAAGCGGACCATCAATGCCATCTGGTTCCTCAACTTGGCGGTAGCCGACTTCCTCTCCTGCCTGGCGCTGCCCATCTTGTTCACGTCCATTGTACAGCATCACCACTGGCCCTTTGGCGGGGCCGCCTGCAGCATCCTGCCCTCCCTCATCCTGCTCAACATGTACGCCAGCATCCTGCTCCTGGCCACCATCAGCGCCGACCGCTTTCTGCTGGTGTTTAAACCCATCTGGTGCCAGAACTTCCGAGGGGCTGGCTTGGCCTGGATCGCCTGTGCCGTGGCTTGGGGTTTAGCCCTGCTGCTGACCATACCCTCCTTCCTGTACCGGGTGGTCCGGGAGGAGTACTTTCCACCAAAGGTGTTGTGTGGCGTGGACTACAGCCACGACAAACGGCGGGAGCGAGCCGTGGCCATCGTCCGGCTGGTCCTGGGCTTCCTGTGGCCTCTACTCACGCTCACGATTTGTTACACTTTCATCCTGCTCCGGACGTGGAGCCGCAGGGCCACGCGGTCCACCAAGACACTCAAGGTGGTGGTGGCAGTGGTGGCCAGTTTCTTTATCTTCTGGTTGCCCTACCAGGTGACGGGGATAATGATGTCCTTCCTGGAGCCATCGTCACCCACCTTCCTGCTGCTGAAGAAGCTGGACTCCCTGTGTGTCTCCTTTGCCTACATCAACTGCTGCATCAACCCCATCATCTACGTGGTGGCCGGCCAGGGCTTCCAGGGCCGACTGCGGAAATCCCTCCCCAGCCTCCTCCGGAACGTGTTGACTGAAGAGTCCGTGGTTAGGGAGAGCAAGTCATTCACGCGCTCCACAGTGGACACTATGGCCCAGAAGACCCAGGCAGTGTAGGCGACAGCCTCATGGGCCACTGTGGCCCGATGTCCCCTTCCTTCCCGGCCATTCTCCCTCTTGTTTTCACTTCACTTTTCGTGGGATGGTGTTACCTTAGCTAACTAACTCTCCTCCATGTTGCCTGTCTTTCCCAGACTTGTCCCTCCTTTTCCAGCGGGACTCTTCTCATCCTTCCTCATTTGCAAGGTGAACACTTCCTTCTAGGGAGCACCCTCCCACCCCCCACCCCCCCCACACACACCATCTTTCCATCCCAGGCTTTTGAAAAACAAACAGAAACCCGTGTATCTGGGATATTTCCATATGGCAATAGGTGTGAACAGGGAACTCAGAATACAGACAAGTAGAAAGATTCTCGCTTAAAAAAAATGTATTTATTTTATGGCAAGTTGGAAAATATGTAACTGGAATCTCAAAAGTTCTTTGGGACAAAACAGAAGTCCATGGAGTTATCTAAGCTCTTGTAAGTGAGTTAATTTAAAAAAGAAAATTAGGCTGAGAGCAGTGGCTCACGCCTGTAATCCCAGAACTTTGGGAGGCTAAGGTGGGTGGATCACCTGAGGTCAAGAGTTCCAGACCAGGCTGGCCAGCATGGTGAAACCCCGTCTGTACTAAAAATACAAAAAATTAACTGGGCATGGTAGTGGGTGCCTGTAATCCCAGCTACTTGGGAGGCTGAGGTGGGAGAATTGCTCGAACTTGGAGGTGGAGGTTGTGGTGAGCCATGATCGCACCACTGCACTCTAGCCTGGGTGACCGAGGGAGGCTCTGTCTCAAAAGCAAAGCAAAAACAAAAACAAAAACACCTAAAAAACCTGCAGTTTTGTTTGTACTTTGTTTTTAAATTATGCTTTCTATTTTGAGATCATTGCAAACTCAACACAATTGTAAGTAATGATACAGAGGGATCTTGTGTACCCTTCACCCAGCCTCCCCCAATGGCAACATCTTGCAAAACTACAATGTAGTCTCATAACCAGGATATTGACATTGATACAGTGAAGATACAGGACATTCTCATCACCACAGGGATCCCCAGGATGCCCACTTCCCTCCACCCCCACACCCCAGCCGTGTCCCTAACCCCTGGCAACCAGGAATCCACTCTCCATTTCTATAATGTTGTCATTTCAAGAATGTTATTCAATGGAATCATATAGTATGTAACCTGTTTTGAGCTTAAAAAAAAAGTATACATGACTTTAATGAGGAAAATAAAAATGAATATTGAAATGTTGTGTTATTTCTAGTGAATAATTGACTTTGCAGTAGGTATTAGTCGATTTTCACACTGCTGATAAAGACATACCCAAGACTGGGAAGAAAAAAGAGATTTAATTGGACTTACAGTTCCACATTGCTGGGGAGGTCTCACAGTCATGGCAGGAGGCAAAGGCACTACTTACATGGTAGTGGCAAGAGAAAATGAGGAAGAAGCAAAAGTGGAAACTACTGTGAAACCCATCAGATCTTGTGAGACTTATTAACTATCACAAGAATAGCAAGGGAAAGACCGGACCCCATGATTCAATTATCTCCCCCTGGGTCCCTCCCACAACACATGGGAATTCTGAGAGATACAATTCAAATTGAGATTTGGGTGGGGAGACAGCCAAACCATATCACAATATTTCTGCTTTGATTGTGTAGTGTGCATGTGCATGGATTATCTAGAAATAGCGTGCAGACCAGCCAGCTGTGGTGGCTCATGCCTGTAATCCCAGCACTTTGGGAGGCTGAGGCAGGCAGATCACCTGAGGTCAGGAGTTTGAGACCAGCCTGGCCAACATGGTGAAACCCCGTCTCTACTAAAAATACCAAAATTAGCTGGTGTGTTGGTGCACACCTGTAATCTAAGCTACTTAGGAGGCTGAGGCAGGAGAATTGCTTGAACCCGGGAGGTGGAGGTTGCAGTGAGCCAAGATCATGCCACTGCACTCCAGCCTAGAGTGAGACTCTGTCTCAAAAAAAAAAAAAAAAATTAAATTTAGAACTAGTGTACAGACCCAATGTCGTCCAACAGAAATATGATGTGGGCCACATGTATATCTTTGTTTTCTAGTAGCCACATTAAATAAGTAAAAAGAAATAGATGAAATACTTAATAATATAATACAATCATATGTTATATTAAGAACAATGAGGCTTATGTCTGTAATCCCAGCACTTTGGGAGGCCAGCCTGGGCAACATAGTGAGGCTCCATCTTCAAAAAAATTAGTCTGAGCATGGGGGCTCATGCTTGAAATCCCAGCACTTTGGGAGGCTGAGCTGGGCAGATCACAAAGCCAGGAGTTCGAAATCAGCTTGGCCAACATGGCGAAACCCCATCTCTACTAAAAACACAAAAATTAGCCGGACATGATGATGCACGTCTGTAATCCCAGGTACTCAGGAAGCTAAGGCATGAGAATCACTTGAACCCGGGAGGCAGAGGTTGCAGTGAGCTATGATTGTGGCTCGGCACTCTAGCCTGGGCGACAGAGTGAGACTCTCTCAGAAAAAAAAAAATTTTTTTTTTTAACGAAAAAATTAGCCGGTGTGGTTGGTAGTGCCTGTGGTCCCAGCTACTCGGGATGCCGAGGCTGGAGGATCGCTTGAGCATAGGAGTTTGAGGCTGCAGTGAGTTGTGATGCTGCACTCCAGCTTGGGTGACAGAGCAAGACCCTGTCTCCAAACAAACAAACAAACAAACAAAAAATTGCCTGAGTGTCTCGATGGACAGATGCTGCAGTCTCTTGAGCTTGCAGAAGTGGCTGTGAGTGGTGTCTGTGCCTGCTTGAGAGTAGACGTTGGTACCTGGGACAAGATCCTCTCTGTAACTTGTGCTCATTAGTGCAGATTCCCCAGGCATCGAGGTCACGGGGAAGGACCTGAGCCCCAGCCGCCTTCAGCTCCTGGGGGTGGGCTCCCGGCAGCTCCCTCCTCAAGAAGACAACACCAGCCTCCTGGCCTCCTGGCCTTCTCCCACCTGCTCCGGTCTCTTCCATGGCTGCCCCTGACCTGGATAGTTTCCCTCTGCCTCTTTGCTGGACCTTTCTCCGCGTCCTTTGCAGAGTTTTTTCCTCTTCGACGTTGGCGTTCCTCAGCTGTGTGTCCACCTCATTTGGTGCGCTCACTCCTGCAGCTTCATCCAATATCTTCAGCATCTCTCTTCCACACTGGGCCTCCCCACCCCCTTGCCACAGCCAGACTGACCTCAGCAGTCTCCCCGGAACCTCTTCCTCCCCTTCCCTCCCGACTCCAGAGACAACCCCGCGGTGCACCCAGTCACCCAGGCCTGAGCCTGGGGCCCATCCTGGATGCTACCTCCTTCCCGCCCCACGCCCTGCCTGGCCCATGCCCTCCATCCTCTCCCATTTGGCTCTCTGCCTTGCCCCTTCCCTGATTTCCTGGCTGTCCAGTCTGTTTTTCCCAGACCATCCCTGCCTCTATTCTGCCTTCCTTCAGGGGTTACCTCCTCCAGGAATACCTCCCTGACTTCCTCCTCTGCCTCCCCAACCCCTACATTCTATCTCTATTCCCAGTCATCCTGTAGCTTTCCTGGCTTCGGGAGTTGCAGGCAGTGGGTATTTTCTACCCACCCTGATTTGGGAAGGAGATAGTGTCCCAAAAGCTGGGAGGCCAAAGAGTAGGAGTCGGAGGCCAAGGAGTGGGATCCAGGTAGTCTTTCCAAGGCAGCCCCCATCTGGTGTTGACCTGCTCTGCCCAGTATGGAAGTGGGCTGAAGGGGCAGACAATTGCCAAATCTGTAGCTTGGAGAATCTGCTGGGTCAACAAGTTCCGAAGGGGAAGTGGTAGGGAAGGGAAGTGGATGATGGGCTTGGCTGAGTCAGGCTGTGTGCCCTTTCCGGCACCCACCCCCACTCCCTGCAGCCCTGGGATCTTATTCACGCATCTACTCTGCAGACCGGGATGCCTCTAAGTCCTGGAGCCAAAGCCTTCTCCTCTTTATCTGTGCCACGTGACCGTCCTGAACCCCACACCTCTCAGAGCCAGGAAGGCATTTCTCTAGATGAGCACAGTCCCATAGAAATAGACTGTGAGTGGCCGGGCGCGGTGGCTCACACCTGTAATCCCAGGGCTTTGGGAGGCCGAGGTGGGTGGATCACCTGAGGTCAGGAGTTCGAGACCAGCCTGGCCAACATGGCAAAACCTCGTCTCTACTAAAAATACAAAAACTAGCCAGGTGTGGTGGCGCATGACTGTAGTCTCAGCTACTCGGGAGGCTGAGGCAGGGGAATTACTTGAACCCGGGAGGCGGGAGTTGCGGCGAGCTGGGATCGTACCACTGCACTCCAGCCTGGGTGACAGAGCAAGACTCTGTCTCTAAATAAATAAATAAATAAAATAAAATAAAAGAGAAAGTAATAGACTGTGAGCCAGGAGGCAGGAGGATCGCTTGAGCCCAGGAGTTTAAGACCAGCCTGGGCAACATAGGGAGACCCTGTCTCTACAAAAATTAAAAACAAACAAATGAAATAACTGGGTGTGCAGGTATGCACCTGTAGTCCCAGTTACTCAGGAGGCTCAGGTGGGAGAATTGTTTGAGCTCAGGAGAGACTGAGGCTGTAGTGAGCCAAGATCGCACCACTGCACTCCAGCCTCGGTGACAGAGTAAGACCCTGTCTCAAAAAAAAAAAAAAAAAGAAATAGAATGATATTTATATTTTCCCACAGGCAAGCAACAGACAAAAAGAAACAAAAAGAATCAGGTAAAATTAATTTTGATAATACATTTTATTTAACACAATATATTTAAGGAGTATCATTTTAACATGTGTTCAATAGAAACAAATTCTTGAGACTTCATATTCTGTTTTTTTTGGTACTGTGTTTTCAAAATCTGGTGTGTATTTTCCACTCACAGCACTTCTTATCTCGGACCCGAAGACATTTCAAGTGGTCCGTAGTCTCTTGTGGCTGGTGGCTGCAGTGTTGGACTGCTCAGGGCCAGACTTCCTTGACTAATGTATAGAGCATCTACAGAATTTGAACATCTAACTGTTGGAGCCGTGCTTCTAACCCTCCGAGGTTCTGGTGTGATATTCTAGGATCCTGTGATTCAAATAGCCTGTAACTCACATTGTAGGATCTATTAGGTTCAATAGTCTATGATTCCAACATTTTAAGAGTCTGTGATTCCAATATTCTAGTCTCCAGAGTCTTTGATTGATTGATTGATTTTGAGACAGAGTCTTGCTCTGTCACCCAGGCTGTAGTGCAGTGGTGCGATCTTGGCTTACTGCAACCTCTGCCTCCCAGGTTCAAGCGATTCTCCTGCCTCAGCCATCCGAGTAGCTGGGATTACAGGCACCTGCCATCATGCCTGGCTAATTTTTTTTTTTTTTTTTGAGACAGAGTTTTGCTCTTGTCACCCAGCTGGAGTGCAATGGCACAGTCTCGGCTCACTGCAACCTCCGCCTCCCGGGTTCAAGTGATTCTCCTGCCTCAGCCTCCTGAGTAGCTGGGATTACAGGTGACCGCCCCACGCCCAGCTAATTTTGTATTTTTAGTAGATACGGGGTTTCACCATGTTGGCCAGGATGGTCTCAATCTCTTGACCTCGTGATCCACCCACCTCGGCCTTCCAAAGTGTTGAGATTACAGGCGTGAGCCACCGTGCCCGGCCGTGACTGTGTTTTATGACTCTCATATATGTTAAGACATTCTCTCCTATGCATCAAATATCACATAAATATTGTTTCATATTATATTGTTCAAAAGAGAAAAAGTCTATGGTCCTCCCCATCTTAGTCACTCATCCTTTTAAGCCCTGTAATTCCATTAGATTGAACCCTATGAAATTGCCAAGATTCAGTCCTTTTGGGGTGGGATGTGTGTGTAACAATTTATTTATTTGTTGTTTTTGAAAAATTGTGGTGCCATGGCACAGTGGCTCATGTCTGTAATCCCAACACTTTGAGAGGCTGAGGTGGGAGGATCACGTGAGCCCAAGAATTCGAGACCAGCCTGGGCAACATAGTGATACCCTATCTCTACAAAAAAAAAAAAAAAAAAATTAGCCAGGTGTGGTGACATGTACCTGTAGTCCCAGGTACTTGGGAGGCTGAGGCAGGAGGATCGCTTGAGCCCAGGAGGCAGAGGTTGCAGTGAGCTGAGATCACACCACTGCATTCCAGCCTGGGTGACAGAGTGATCCGAGGTGGGTGGATCACTAGGTCAAGAGATCAAGACCATCCTGGCCAACATGGTGAAACCCCGAGTCTACCAAAAATACAAAATTAGCTGGGCGTAGTGGCACGTGCCTGTAGTCCCAGCTACTCAGGAGGCTGAGGCAGGAGAATCGCTTGGACACAGCAGGCAGGTGGAGGTTGCAATGAGCCAAGATGGAGCCACTGCCCTCCAGCCTGGTGACAGAGCAAGACTCTGTCTAAAAACAAAAACAAAAACAAAAACAAAAAAAACGAGTAAAAGAAAAATTGTAGTAAAATGCACATAACATAAAATTTACCATTAGTGGCATTTCATGCATTTGCAGTGTTGTGCATCCATCACCGCTATCTTGTTCCAGAACATTCTCATCACCCCAAAAGGAAACCCAGTACCCATTAAGCAGTCACTCCCCCCCCATTCTTTGCCTTCAACCCCTGGCGACCACCCAGGTACATTCTAACTCTACAGATTTGCTGAAATTTGACCTTGTGGCCTGACATGGTATCTCATGTCTGTAATCTCAGCACTTTTGGAGGCCAAAGTGGGAGGACTGTTTGAGGCCAGGAGTTCAAGACCAGCCTGGGCAACATAGTGAGACCCCTGTCTCTTTTGGAAAAAAAAAAAAAAAGAAAGAAAAATAAAAAGAAATTCAACCTTTTTGACCTAGAAAAATGAAAATTTCTTTTTTTTTTTTTTTTTTTGAGACGGAGTCTTGCTCTGTCGCCCCGGCTGGAGTGCAGTGGCACGATCTCGGCTCGCCGCAAGCTCCGCCTCCCAGGTTCACGCCATTCTCCCGCCTCAGCCTCCTGAGTAGCTGGGACTGCAGGTGCCCGCCACCATGCCCAGCTAATTTTCTGTATTTTTAGTGGAGACGGGGTTTCACCATGTTAGCCAGGATGGTCTCGATCTCCTGACCTCGTAATCCACCTGCCTCGGCCTCCCAAAGTGCTGGGATTACAGGCGTGAGCCACCGCGCCCGGCTGAAAAATGATAATTTCATATGGATTGACTTAAGAACCTTTTAGGATGGTTGGGTGTGGTGGCTAATACCTGTAATCCCAGCACTTTCGGAGGCTGAAGCAGGTGGATTATTTGAGGTCAGGAGTTTGAGACAACCCTGGCCAACATGGTGAAACCCCGTTTCTACTAAAAATACAAAAATTAGCTGGGTATGGTGGCAGGTGCCTGTAATCCCAGCTACTTAGGAGGCTGAGGCTGGAGAATTGCTTGAACCTGGGAGGCAGAGGGTATAGTGAGCCAAGATCACACCACTGCACTCGAGCCTGGGCGACATAGCAAGACTCTGTCTCAAAAAAAAAAAAAAAGAAAAGAGAAAGAAAAAGAAAAAAAGAAGCAAAAAAAATCCTTGTAGGATGTTCTCATTCAAAATTTCTCCCAGGAGGAAATGGCTGGTGAGTTGAGGGGGTAGTGCTCGGCTTTTCACAGGGTGGCTGAGAGAGAATCCCCTGCACGTACACACTGGCCCCCCTCCTGCCTTCCGAGGCCTGTAGAGACCCTGTTCTTGGCCCATAGCAACCCCCAGACCTCCAAGTGACAGCCCTCAGCTCCAGGGACACCAGAAAATCTTTGCCTTCCCAAATCTAAGATTTTTGTTTTGTTTTTGTTTTTTTGGAAACGGAGTCCTGCTCTGTCGCCCAGGCTGGAGTGCAGTGGTGCCATCTTGGCTCATTGCAACCTCCACCTCCCAGGTTCAAACAATTCTCCTGCCTCAGCCTCCTGAGTAGCTGGGATTACAGGTACTCCCCAACCAAGCCTGACTAATTTTTTTTTTTTTTTGTATTTTCAGTAGAGACAGGGTTTCACAATGTTGGCCAGGTGGGTCTGGAACTCCTGACCTCAAATGATCCACTGGCCTTGGCTTCCCAAAGTGCTGGGATTACAGAAGTAAGCCACTGCGCCCAGCCTCAAATCTAAGACACTTAAAAATTTGTTTTTTTGGTTTTTTTTTTTTGAGACGCAGTTTCGCTCTTGTTGCCCAGGCTACAGTGCAATGGCGCGATCTCGGCTCACCGCAACCTCCGCCTCCCAGGTTCAAGCGATTCTCCTGCCTTAGCCTCCCGAGTAGCTGGGATTACAGGCGCCCACCACCTAGGCTAATTTTGTATTTTTAGTAGAGACGGGGTTTCTCCATGTTGGTCAGGCTGGTCTTGAACTCCCGACCTCAGGTGATCCACCCACCTTGGCATCCCAAAGTGCTGGGATTACAGGCATGAGCCACCGTGACTGGCAATTTTTTTAAAATTTTAAATTATTTTTTCGAGTCAGGGCCTTTCTCTGTTGCTCAGGCTGGAGTGCAGTGGTGCATTCACAGTTCACTGCAGCCTTGAGCTCTTGGGCTCAAGCGATCCTCCCTCCTCAGCCTCCACCTCCCACTTCAGCCTCCAGAGTAGCAGGACTACAGGCTCGCTCCAACACGCCTGGCTAATTAAAACAAATTCTAGGGGGGCAGATGCTGTGGCTAGCACACGTAATCACGGCACTTTGGAAGGCCAGTGTGGGAGGATTGCTCGAGCCTAGGAATTGGAGGCAAGACTAGGCAACAGAGACAGACCCCATCTCTACAAAAAGTTTTTTAAAAAATTAGCTGGGTGTGGTGGCTTGAGCCTGTAGTCCCAACTACTTTGGGGGCTGAGGTGGGAGGATTGCTTGAACCCAGGAGGTCAAGGCTGCGGTGAGCTGTGATCACACCACTGCACTCCAATCTGGGTGAAGAGTCAGACCCTGGATTAAAAAAATATATATTTTTCCCCCAGAGACAGCATCTCACTATGTTGGTCAGGCTGGTCTCAAAATCCTAGCCTCAAGCAGTCCTCACACCTCGGCCTCCTAAAGTGTGGAGATTAGAGGTGTAAGCCATCCTGCCTGGCTGCAATTCTAAGAAATGTATGTTGAAAAACTTAGTGGATGTATCAGGAGTTTATCAAGATGAAGCATCTGAGGAACAGACCATCGTTAACTTTTCAAGTTAAAGCAAGTTTGAGCTCCCGGGCGTGGTGGCTCATGCCTGTAATCCCAGCACTTTGGGAGGCCGAGGTGGGCAGATCATGAGGTCAGGAGATCGAGACCATCCTGGCTAACACGGCGAAACCCCGTCTCTACTAAAAATACAAAAAAAATTAGCCGGGCGTGGTGGCGGGTGCCTGTAGTCCCAGCTACTCGGGGGGGCTGAGGCAGGAGAATGGTGTGAACCCGGGAGGTGGAGCTTGCAGTGAGCCGAGATCGCGCCACTGCACTCCAGCCTGGGCAACAGAGACAGACTCCGTCTCAAAAAAAAAAAAAAAAAGAAAGAAAAAAAGAAAGTTTGAGCTGATAAAGGGAAGGTTCCACCTCGGTTTCTTTCCTCTTAATCTCTTCTTCAGGCCAGGGCAGATTCCCACAGGAGATTGGGGCTGGCAGGATGTCCCTCCTCTCCCAAGGAGGGGGCTTCCCGGGACAGAAGAGGAGGGGAGGGGACTTGGGGGATGTTTTCCTCTCTGAGGGTCCGGGGTGAGGGTCAGCCAACGCAGGGTCACCTAGTCAGGGAAACAGAGTGGAGGAAGCCCTGGGTCAAACAGTGAGTCCCAGCTCCTTGTCTCACGAACAACTTCCTCTAGCAAAGTGATTTCATTCTCTAAAACAATAACAAAAGAAGTGTGTAAATATATCCCTTGAATCCCTAAAGCACGCACAAAAAAAGCACAAACAGAAAGAACTGCTGAATAAAGAGGTTCCAAAGTTGGGGTTGGAGCCACTTCCTCTTGCTAAGCCTGCGTGGTATGTGTACTTTAAGAATTCACGTTACAGTCTTGTTGCTGTTGCGTGAGCCTAGCGTATACTATGTGCCAGGCACTGCTCCGGTTTTTTTGTTTTTGTTTTTTTGAGACAGAGTCTCACTCTGTCGCCCAGGCTGGAGTGCAATGGTGAGATCTCGGCTCACTGGAACCTCCGCCTCCTCGGTTCAAATGATTCTCCTGCCTCGGCCTCCCGAGTAGCTGGGATTACAGGCACGCACCACCACGCCCAGCTAATTTTTGTATTTTTAGTAGAGATGGTGTTCTGCCATGTTGGCCAGGCTGGTCTTGAACACTTGACTTCAAGTGATCCACCTGCCTCGGCCTCCCAAAGTGCTGGGATTACAGATGTGAGCTACCGCGCCCAGCCAGTTCTGTGCGTTTTAAATGTATCCAACGCTCATAGCAAACATCCACTGCACAGATGAGGAAGTTGAGGTTCAGAGGGGCTGAGGCCCTGAACTTTGATGAGGGTGTGTCGACCTGGAATATGAATCTCATCATTCTGGCCCTTGAGTTCTTGTTCTCAGCCACTGTGATATGCTGGAAGAGGTTAAGAATTGCTATCACGGCTGTGGCTCACTTCTGTAATCCCAGCCCTTTGGGAGGTCGAGGTGTGAGGATGGCTTGAGGCTGGGCAACACAGCAAGGCCGCACCTCTACAGAAAATTTTAAAAAATTAGCCAGGTATGTTGGTGCATGCCTGTAGTCCTAGCTACTCAGGAGGCTGAGGTGGGAGGATCACTTGAGCCTAGGAGTTTGAGGCTGCAGTGAGGCATAATGTTTTCACTGCACGCCAGTCTGAGCGACAGAGCAAGACTCCATCTCTAAAAAAAGTAAAGCATCGCTATGGCCAACAACATCTTCCCATTCTACAGATGGAAAATTGAGGCCCAAGAAAGGAGTTGTTTGTGCTTTTTCTACCACTGAGGCGTTGGGCCCTGCGCTCAGCTGCTGTGGTCTTTTTGTGGAGAATGTGACCCCAGGCTGTCTTCCTCAGAGCCGAGGAGGAGGGAGGGATGTTTGTCTGTCCTGAGGCTGCAGAAGGGAGGGGTTGAACACAGTTAGAGGCCTGGAGGTGGCTGGGGGCAGCTGGCATGTTGTGGGCAAACAGAATCCAGGCCAAGACCTCTAAGGCGTTAAAGAGCAAACCGCATGCAGGTCTGGCTTCCAGGAAGGTGGGACTTCGAGACTAGGGTTGGGGACTTGGGATCAGCCCTCCACCCAACCGAGCCCTCTCCTGCCCTGCCAGCCACCCCGTAATTTTGGGTTCTGTGAGTCACGGGAAGAAGACAGGACAAACACACCCTGAGAGCGAGACAAGGCCACTCCTATTTTGTACTGCTTATAAAGATTCACTGGGACTGGTGAGGTGGCAGTGCTCAGCAGCATCCGACAGGAGCCCTGGCAAACAGGACGGATTTCCAGGACTCTACCAGCTGCCAGACACGGCAGGGAGAGACCCCAGACCTCCTGGGTCCTGGCTGTGGGCCCGGATTGGGCTCCCAAGTGGCGTTTGACTCACGTGGGGACACTCTTGGAAGAGACGGTAAGGATGGAGGCTACAAGGGCGGGAAGGAGGGAGAGAGAGATTGCATGATCTTGGCTTCTCGGAATCATTACTTTCAGAATCTGGGAAGCAGAACTAGAGTTTGAGAAGTGCAGTCTTATTACAGCCACACTGGAACGCACGTCACAGTCCTGGGCTCTTGAATTAACTTGGGCAGCCCAGCAGCAAAGCTCTTGTCAAAGGATCTAAGCATTTTTTTTCTTTCTCTTTTTGGAGACAGGTTTTCATTCTTGTTGCCCAGGCTGGAGTGCAATGGTGCCATCTTGGCTCACCGCAACCTCCACCTCCCAGGTTCAAGGGATTCTCTTGTCTCAGCTGGGATTACAAGCGCATGCCACCATGCCTGGCTAATTTTGTATTTTTAGTAGAGATGGGGTTTCTCCATGTTGGTCAGGCTGGTCTCGAACTCCCGACCTCAGGTGATCTGTCCGCCTTGGCCTCCCAAAGTGCTGGGATTACAGGCGTGAGCCACTGTGCCCTGCCCAAATGGTTTTTCACACACAGATGTATGGGAAACAGCCTCTCTCAAACCTGCAGGAATTCCTGCAGCTTTCGGCAGATCCACCAAACTGTAGCATGTGTAGCAAGCAAGCCCTTTAACTCAGCGATTCCAATTCTTTTCTCTTTCTTTCCTTTTCTCTCTTTCTTTCTTTTGACAGGGTCTCACTCTGTCTCCCAGGCTGGAGTGCAGTGGTGCGATCTTGGCTCACTGCAACCTCCGCCTCCCAGGTTCAAGTGATTCTCCTGCCCCAGCCTGCTGAGTAGCTGGGATTACAGGTGCACGCCACCACACCTAGCTAATTTTTGTATTTTTAGTAGAGATGGGGTTTCACCATGTTGGCCAGGCTGGTCTCCAACTTTTGACCTCAGGTGATCCACCTACCTTGGCCTCCCAAAGTGCTGGGATTACAGGCGTGAATCACCGTGCCTGGCCCCCTCAATGTTCTATCACAAAATCTGTCCACATTCTTGTGTGGTGTTTGTTCATTCTCATCGTGTAGAATATTCCACAGGGTGAACACCCCATGATGTGTTTATCCATTCTGCTGTGGGTGGCTATTTGGACGGTTTCTCATCTTGGGCTGCTGTGAACATTCTGGCACATGTATTCTGGTGAGCATATGTGTTCTTTTGCGGAAAGGAGGCTGATTGCTGGGTCGTGAGGGAGGAATCCTAGAAGATGGATGTTCAGGAATAAAGAATGTTCAGACTCCTTTTTTTTTTTTTTTTTTTTGAGATGGAGTCTTGCTCAGGCTGGAGTGCAGTGGTGCGATCTCGGCTCACTGCAACCTCCGCCTCCTGGGTTCACGCCATTCTCCTGCCTCAGCCTCCTGAGTAGCTGGGACTACAGGCGCCCGCCACCGCGCCCAGCTAATTTTTTGTATTTTTTAGTAGAGATGGGGTTTCACCATGTTAGCCAGGATGGTCTCGATCTCCTGACCTCGTGATCCACCTGCCTGGGCCTCCCAAAGTGCCGGGGATTACAGGTGTGAGCCACTGCGCCCGGCCAGCCTTCTTTGATTCTGCTCCAGGGTTTTCCAGAGCAGAGAACCCAGCAAGACTGGATGCACAGACAGGCGTGCACCAAGAGGCACATGTGAGGGTGCTTGCAATCACAACAAAAGAAACCTAAGTGACCACTTAGTCTCTCTGTGCCTCAGTTTACTCTTTTATCCTTTCACTTACCAAATATCGACCATGCCTGTGCTGTGTGCCAGGTTCTGTCCCAGATGCCAGGGACACAGCGGCACCCGAGGCTGGAAGGAGCTGATGTTGTGGGATATGAGGATGATAATATTGACCTCAAGGGTTTGTGTTGAGGGTTATATCTTGTAGGTCATAGGTGCTCAATAAAAGCCATCTATTATTTTAATTATTATGAAATAATAAGAAGGGTACCTATGATTTAAAAGCTAGATATAAGTACAGACGCTCTTTGACTTACAATGGGGTCCCATCTCTATCAACCCATCGTAAGGCTGGGCACAGTGGCTCACGCCTGTAATGGCAGCACTTTTGGGAGGCTGAGGTGGGAGGATTTCTTGAGCCCAGGAGTTTGAGATCAGCCTGGGCAACAGAGTAAGGGCTGTCCATACAGAAAAAAAAAAAAAAATTAGCTGGGCATGATGGCGTGCACCCGTAGTCCCAGCTACTCCAGAGGCTGAGGCAGGAGGATCAGTTGAGCCTAGGAGGTAGAGGCTGTGGTGAGCCGAGGTTGAACCACTGAACTCAGCTTGGGTGACTGAACAAGACGAAAACACAAAACAAAAGCCCCCAACATTTTCAACATAAGTTGAAAATATTGTAAATCAAATTGGATTTAATACACCTAGCTTACTGAACATCATAGCCTACTTTTTTTTTTTGAGACAGGGTCTCACTCTGTTGTCCAGGCTGGAGTGCAGTGGCGCGATCTTGGCTCACTGCAGCCTTGACCTCACGGGCGTAGCCTACCTCAAATGTGTTCAGAACATTTACATTACCCAACAGCAAGACAAAATCATCTAAGCCAAATCCAATTTTTTTTTTTTTGAGATGGAGTCTCACTCTGTCACCCATGCTGGAGTGCAGTGGTGTGATCTCAGCTGACTGCAACCTCCACCTCCCAGCTTCAAGGGATTCTCCTGCCTCGGCCTTCTGAGTAGCTGAGATTACAGGCACTCGCCCCCACGCCCAGCTAATTTTTTTTTTTTTTTAAATCTTTAGCAGAGATGAGATTTTATCATGTTGGCCAGGCTGGTCTCAAACTCCTGACCTCAAGTGATCCGTCTGCCTAGGACTCCCAAAGCGTTGGGATTACAGGTGTGAGCTTCTGCACCTGGCCCTGTTTCTCATTATTCTCCTTACCATTGTTATTGAATGGCCTTTAGTTAATAAGCACCACTTGGGCAGACAGTGGACTGTTTTTGATGCTTTGAGGACGAATGGGGTTGATATCTGTACAGATAGACAGGAAAACAGATATCGGGCACGTTAAGTGGAAAAGATGAAGAAATGGAACAACGTATGTTGAAAGCTCCCATTTCTGGTTAAGACGTTACAAAGGAAATGCCATCTACGATACCATTGCTTTGGGCTTACAGCTGGGCAAATTATATGCACAGAAAGTTTCCTGGATTGGGCTGGGCATGTTGACTCACGCCTGTAATCCCAGCACTTTGGGAGGCCGAGGTGGGCGGATCATGAGGTCAGGAGATTGAGACCATCCTGGCTAACACGGTGAAACCCTGTCTCTACTAAAAATACAAAAAATTAGCCGGAAGTGGTAGCGGGCGCCTGTAGTCCCAGCTACTCGGGAGACTGAGGCAGGAGAATCATGCGAACCCGGGAGGTGGAGCTTGCAGTGAGCCGAGATCGCACCACTGCACTCCAGCCTGGGCGACAGAGTGATACTCCGTCTCAAAAAAAAAAAAAAAAAAAAAAAAAAAAAAAGAAAGTTTTCGTTTTCTGGATTGTAATCAACAAGGGCCAGGAAGGGTGGAGTCTTTGCGGGGTGAGAGGATGCGTGTGGACAGTGATAACAGCAGCTAGCCTACGTATGACACCCACTGAAAACCAGCGCTATACACTCAGCTCTACCCTTCTAACTTGTTGAATTCTTACAACACCCCCTAAGGCAGGAATATTATTATTCCCATTTTACTGAGGCACAGATAGTTTAGGTGACTTGCCCAAGGCCACACAGCTGGTAGGAATTTGAGGGTTTTTGTTGTTGTTGTTTGTTTGTTTGTTTTTTATGATGCAGTCTCGCTGTTGTCGCCCAGGCTGGAGTGCAGTGGCATGATCTTGGCTCACTGCAACCTCTGCCTCCCGGGTTCCAGCGATTCTCTTGCCTCAGTCTCCCGAGTAGCTGGAATTACAGGAGCCCACAACCATGCCTGGCTGATTTTTGTATTTTTAGTAGAGACCAGGTTTCACCATGTTGCTCAGGCTGGTCTTGAACTCCTGGCCTCAAGTGATCCGCCCACCTCGGCCTCCCAAAGTGCTGGGATTACAGGTGTGAGCCACTGTGCCCGGCTAGGGGGGGTTCAGTTTTTAAATGCTGTACTCTTTCTTTCTTTCTTTCCTTCCTTCCTTCCTTCCTTCCTTCCTTCCTTCCTTCCTTCCTTCCTTCCTTCCTTTCTTTCTTTCTTTCTTTCTTTTTCTTTCTTTCTTGGGACAGGGTCTCACTCTGTTGCTCAGGCTGGAGTGCAGTGGCGCGATCATGGCTAACTGCAGCCTCAAACTCCTGGGCTCATGTGATCTTCCACCCCAGTCTTAGAAAAGGTTGGGATTGCAGGCACGAACCACTATGCCTGGCTAATTTTTAAATTTTTTGTAGAGACAGAGGGTCTCACTGTGTTGCCTAGGCTGGTCTTGAACTCTTGGCCTCAAGCGATCCTTCCTCCTCAACTCAGCCTCCCAATGTACTGGGATTACAGGTGTGAGCCACTGCACCTGGCTAAATTCTGCACACCTTTTACTCTAGGGATAAAAATAATACGAAAGTGGAATGCCAGACTCCGAATACACACACCAAGTGGCCTGGACTCTTCACTGCTACCTGGCATGGGGGAGGGGAGTGCCCCAACTTCCTCTCTGTCCTTCCTGTTGCCTCAACACCAGCTGGAGTGCTGAGCAGTGCCAGCCAACCCATAATAGTCAGCAGAGAGCCTCAGGGCCAGGTCACTCTGACATTGTGGGGGTGGGGGGGTGGGGACTCCTGCCTGGGTCCTGTGCTACCCACAGCTTTGTCTACCGGAGCCTGTGTGCCACGTGCTGGACAAATCTTAACTCCTCAAGGACTCCCAAAACCAGAGGTAGGTTCACCTCAATGACTCTTGTTTCCCCGATGAGGAAATAGGCACAGCCAGCTGCAACTGACACCCACAGTCATGGAGGCCGGGGCTGCTCAGGACCACTTGCTGTGCTGCCTGCCAGCTCTCCAGAGCCCAAGATTTGGAGATGGTAATATTCTAGGGCATGGGGTTCTGCAGCGGGGACTAACACACTTTGAAATTTACCTACTTAGGGCTGGGCGCGGTGGCTCATGCCTGCAATCCCAGCACTTTGGGAGGCTGAGGTGGGCGGATCACAAGGTCAGGAGTTCGAGACCAGCCTGGCCAATATGATGAAACCCCGTATCTACTAAAAATACACAAATTAGTTGGGCATGGTGGCGGGTGCCTGTAGTCCCAGCTACTCAGGAGGCTGAGGCGGGAGAATTGCTTGAACCCTGGAGGCGGAGGTTGCAGTGAGCCGAGATTGCGTCACTGCACTCCAGCCTGGATGACAGAGCGAGACTCTGTCTCAAAAAAAAAAATTTTACCTACTTAGCTGAGTGATCTTAGGTAAATTACTTAACTTCTCTGTGCCTTATCTGTAGAATAAATATAACAATAGTGTCAAATTCAGACAGTTATTATAAGGTTTCAGTGAGGTCAGGCACGGTGGCTCATGCCTGTAATCCTAGCACTTTGGGAGGCCGTGGCAGGCAGACCACTTGAGGTCAGGAATTCCAAACCAGCCTGACCAACATGGTGAAACCCCGTCTCTACTAAAAATACAAAAAATTAGCCCCGGGCATGGTGGTGCACGCCTGTAATCCCAGCTACTCGGGAGGCTTGTGGCAGGAGTAATGCTTGAACCCAGGAAGCAGAGGTTGCAGTGAGCCAAAATAGCGCCACTGCACTCCAGCCTGGGTAGCAGAGTGAGACTCCGTCTCAAAAAAAAAAATAAATAAAATAAAATAAAACAAGGTTTCAGTGATACAGTGTTTAAAGCTGCGTGGTGGCCACTGCCTGTAGTCCCAGCTACTCAGGGGGCAGAGGTGGGAGGATCACTTGAGCACAGAGTTTGAGGCTGCAGTGAGCCGTGATTGCACCACTGCACTCCAGCGTTGGCAAGATGGCGAGACCCTGTCTCTAAAAAAAATATATATATATAAATTTGCCAGGTGTGGTGGTGCACACCTGTAGTCCCACGTACTCAGGAGGCTGAGGTGGGAGGACCACTTGAGCCCAGGAGTTCGAGGCTGCAGTGAGCCAAGATAGTGCCATTGCATTCCAGCCTGAGTGACAGAGCAATATCTGTCCCTAAAAAAAAAAAAAAAGTTGACACAAAACACAAAATGTTCAAGAAACAGTGGCTTCCAATAATAATAATTTTATTATTATTATTATTGTCAGGCACAGTGGCAATCATGCCTGTAATCCCAGCAGTTT
Source organism: Homo sapiens (assembly GCF_000001405.40). Lineage (NCBI taxonomy): Eukaryota > Metazoa > Chordata > Mammalia > Primates > Hominidae > Homo > Homo sapiens. Next base: position 47,338,574 of record NC_000019.10, read on the forward strand.
GAGAGGCTGAGACAAGGCAGGTTGCTTAAGCCCCAGAATTCAAGACCAGCATGGGCAACATGGTGAAACCAGATGACCTCCAAAATAATAATAATAATAATAATAATAATAATAATTAATCAGGCATGATGGTGTGCACCTGTAGTCCTAGCTACTTGGGAGGGTGAGGTGGAGGGTTGCTTGAGCCCAGGAGATGGAGGCTGCAGTGAGCTGGGAAAGTGCCGCTGCAGTCCAGTCTGGGCTACAGAGCCAGACCCTGTCTCAAAAAATAGTAATAATATAGTAATAATATTATTGTGGCCCGACATGGTGGCTCACGCCTGTAATCCCAGCACTTTGGGAGGCTGAGGCAGGTGGATCACCTGAGGTCAGGAGTTCGACACCAGCCTGGCTAACATGGTGAAACCCCATCTCTACTAAAAATACAAAAATTAGCCAGGTGTGGTGGCATGTACCTGTAATCTCAGCTACTTGGGAGGCTGAGGCAGGAGAATTGCTTGAACCCAGGAGGCGGAGGTTGCAGTGAGCCGAGATCATGCCACCACACTCCAGCCTGGGCAACAGAGCAAAACTCTGTCTCAAAAAAAATAAATTATTGCTATGATAGATTATGTCGCTTCCTTGCTCAGCACCCTCCTATAGCACCTGTCTCATTTGGAATAAATGATGATGTCCTTGCGTTGCCCACGTGGCCCTACATGCCGTGGCCCCTGATAACTGTTTTTCATTTGTTTTGTTTTGTTTTGTTTTTTTCTTTTTTTGAGATGGAGTCTTGCTCTGTTGCCCAGGCTGGAGTGCACTGGCATGATCTCAGCTCACAGCAACCTCCGCCTCCCTGGTTCAAGTGATCCCTCCTGCCTCAGCCTCCTGAGTAGCTGGGATTACAGGCGTCCACCATCACTCCAGGTTATTTTTGTGTTTTTAGGAGAGATGGGGTTTCACCATGTTGGCCAGGCTGGTCTCAAACTCCTGACCTCAGGTGATCCACCCACCTTGGCCTCCCAAATTCCCGTGATTACTGGCATGAGCCACTGTGCCCGGCCCCTGATGACTCTGCTATTGCCTCTCACCCTCTCCCTCTGGCAGATTCCACTCCAGCCACACTGGGCTCCTTGCTGTTCTTGGACATGACCGTCATGTTCCCACCTCAGGGCCTTTGCACTGGCTGTTCTCGATGCCTGAAACACTCTTCCCCCAGATCTCGATGCATCTCTCCCACTGTTCCTTCAGATTTTTATGCAAATGTCACCTTCTCAAGAAGCCTTCCCTGACCATGCCTGTACAACTCCAACATAGCCAGCTTCCCTGTGTGATATTTTTCCCATAGTATTTATTATCTTCTAAAATACTGTGGATTTTGGATTTTGCTCATTTCTTTCTTTCTTTTCCTATTTTTTTTTATTTTTTGAGACAGAGTCTCTCTCTGTCATCCTGGCTGGAGTGCAGGGGTATGATCAAGCTCACTCAATCTCCTGGGCTCAAATGATTCTCCCACTTCAGCCTTTTCGGCAGCTAGGATCACAGGCACGCATGACCATGCCTGGCTATGTTTTAAAAAATTTTCGTAGAGATGGGGTCTCCCTATGTTGCCCAGGCTGGTCTAGAACTCCTGACCTCAAGTGATCTTCCCACCTTGGCCTCTCAAATCGTTGGGATTACAGGCCTGAACCACCGTGCCCAGCCCCAATATTCCAATGTACTAGGGTTCTGGCATTGTAATATTCTAGAATTCCAAGATGCCACTTCTAACAACACTAAGTTCTAGAATTCCAATTTTTTTTTTTTTTTTTTGAGATGGAGTCTCACTCTGTCTCCCAGGCTGGAGTGCAGTGGTGTGAGCTCAGCTCACTGCCACCTCCACCTTCTGGGTTCAAGAAATTCTCAGCCTCCCAAGTAGCTGGGATTACAGGTGCCCGCCACCACACCCAGCTAATTTTTGTATTTTTAGTAGAGACGGTGTTTCACCATGTTGGCCTGTCTTGAATTCCTGACCTCAAGTGATCCACCTGTCTTGGCCTCCCAAAGTGTTAAGATTACAGGTGTGAGCCACCACACCCGGCCTAGAATTCCAATATTCTAAAGCACTGGAGTCCTTATGACGCAATATTCCAGTTTGCAAGGTGCTGGTGGGCCGGGCTGATGGACACCCTAGATCTCCAGGGCCATGGAGTTTCCTCCTCTGAGTTTTCATCGTCTTTCTCTCCTGCCCAGACACCAGGAGCCTGAATGGGGAACGATTCTGTCAGCTACGAGTATGGGGATTACAGCGACCTCTCGGACCGCCCTGTGGACTGCCTGGATGGCGCCTGCCTGGCCATCGACCCGCTGCGCGTGGCCCCGCTCCCACTGTATGCCGCCATCTTCCTGGTGGGGGTGCCGGGCAATGCCATGGTGGCCTGGGTGGCTGGGAAGGTGGCCCGCCGGAGGGTGGGTGCCACCTGGTTGCTCCACCTGGCCGTGGCGGATTTGCTGTGCTGTTTGTCTCTGCCCATCCTGGCAGTGCCCATTGCCCGTGGAGGCCACTGGCCGTATGGTGCAGTGGGCTGTCGGGCGCTGCCCTCCATCATCCTGCTGACCATGTATGCCAGCGTCCTGCTCCTGGCAGCTCTCAGTGCCGACCTCTGCTTCCTGGCTCTCGGGCCTGCCTGGTGGTCTACGGTTCAGCGGGCGTGCGGGGTGCAGGTGGCCTGTGGGGCAGCCTGGACACTGGCCTTGCTGCTCACCGTGCCCTCCGCCATCTACCGCCGGCTGCACCAGGAGCACTTCCCAGCCCGGCTGCAGTGTGTGGTGGACTACGGCGGCTCCTCCAGCACCGAGAATGCGGTGACTGCCATCCGGTTTCTTTTTGGCTTCCTGGGGCCCCTGGTGGCCGTGGCCAGCTGCCACAGTGCCCTCCTGTGCTGGGCAGCCCGACGCTGCCGGCCGCTGGGCACAGCCATTGTGGTGGGGTTTTTTGTCTGCTGGGCACCCTACCACCTGCTGGGGCTGGTGCTCACTGTGGCGGCCCCGAACTCCGCACTCCTGGCCAGGGCCCTGCGGGCTGAACCCCTCATCGTGGGCCTTGCCCTCGCTCACAGCTGCCTCAATCCCATGCTCTTCCTGTATTTTGGGAGGGCTCAACTCCGCCGGTCACTGCCAGCTGCCTGTCACTGGGCCCTGAGGGAGTCCCAGGGCCAGGACGAAAGTGTGGACAGCAAGAAATCCACCAGCCATGACCTGGTCTCGGAGATGGAGGTGTAGGCTGGAGAGACATTGTGGGTGTGTATCTTCTTATCTCATTTCACAAGACTGGCTTCAGGCATAGCTGGATCCAGGAGCTCAATGATGTCTTCATTTTATTCCTTCCTTCATTCAACAGATATCCATCATGCACTTGCTATGTGCAAGGCCTTTTTAGGCACTAGAGATATAGCAGTGACCAAAACAGACACAAATCCTGCCCTCAGGGAGCTGATATTCTTCTAGTGGAGGAAGACAGACTATAAACAAAGATATATAGGGCCATTTGCGGTGGCTCACGCCTGTAATTCCAGGGCTTTGGGAGGCTGAGGCAGGTAGATCACTTGAGGTCAGGACTTCAAGACCAGCCTAGCCAATATGGTGAAACCCTGTCTCTACTAAAAATACAAAAATTAGCCGGGCATGGTGGCGCATGCCTGTAGTCCCAGCTACTTGGGAGGCTGAGGCAGAAGAATCGTTTTGAACCCGGGAGGCAGAGGTGACAGTGAGCCAAGATTGAGCCCCTGCACTCCAGCCTGGGCGACAGAGCGAGACTCCGTCTCAAAAAATAAATAAATAAAAGATTCTATTTATTTATTTATTTTTTTGAGATGGAGTCTCGCTCTGTCGCCCAGGCTGGAGTGCAGTGGCACAATCTCGGCTCACTGCAAGCTCCGCCTCCTGAGTTCACGCCATTCTCCTGCCTCAGCCTCCTGAGTAGCTGGGACTACAGGCGCCCGCCACCATGCCCAGCTAATTTTTGTATTTTTAGTAGAGAAGGGGTTTCACCTTGTTAGCCAGGATGGTCTTGATCTCCTGACCTGGTGATCCACCCGCCTCAGCCTCCCAAAGTGCTGGGATTACAGGCGTGAGCCACCGCACCCGGCCAAAAGATTTTAATAGGATCCCTCTGGTTGCTGGTGGAGGTGAGAGTATGGTGTAGGGGCAGTGAAGATCCCAGAGAGGAGGCTACTGTAATGGTCCAAGCAGGAGGTGATAGCGATTTGGATCAGGGTAACAGAGCTGAGGTGGTGAGAGGCTGACAGGTCATGCATCTATTTTGAAGGAAAGGCCAAGTCCAGGCTCCTTAGCTCGGCATTCAAGGCTTCTCTCCACCACTGGACACACTTACTCTCTAGCTTCTCAGACCCTGTAGCAATCAGAATCATGACCCCCGGTGATGTCCACATCTTAATCCCCTGAACCTGTGAAGAGGTGACCTTCCATGGCAAAAGGGACTTTGCAGGTGAGATTAAGTAAAGGATCTTGAGAAGGGGTGGTTATCCTGGATTGTCTGGGTGGGCTCAATGGAGTCACGAGGGTCCTTTTAAGAGGGAGGCAGGAGGGTCAGGGTCAGTCACAGGAGGTGACAACGGAAGCAGATGTCATAGTGACGTGAGGAGGTGCCAAGAAATGCAGGCAGCTTCCAGAAGCTGAAACAGACAAGGAAACAGATTCTCTCTGAAGCTCCCAGAAGGAACACAGACCTCCTGACACTTTTAGACCTCTGATCCGCAGACCTTTAAGAAAATACATTTGTATTGTTTTAAGTCACTATGTTTGGGGTGATTTGTTATAGCAGCCGTGGGAAGCTAATACACACCCTTCGGGCTATATTCACGCTTCTGCATCTTTCCTGAAGCTGTGCCACTGGCTGGAATGTCCTTCTGATCTATGTTGTGCAGTTCAACAATCAAGAGCCATCTGTGGCTATTCAAATTCGAATCAATTGGCCAGGCCTGGTGGCTCCTGCCTATAATCTCAGCACTTTGGGAGGCCGAGGTGGGAGGATTGCATGAGCCCAGGAGTTTGAGACCAGCCTGGGCGACATAGCAAGACCCCATCTCTACAAAAAATACAAAAATTAGCCAGACGTGGTGGGGCGTGCCTGTAGTTCCAGCTACTGAGGAGGGAGTTGCTTGAATCCTTCTGCTTCAATCCTCCTTAAAGCAGGTAGATTGCTTGAGCCCGGGAAGTGGAGTTTGCAGTGAGCTTAGATCACACCGCTGCACTCCAGCCTGGATGTCAGAATGAGACTCCATCTCAAAAAAAAAAAGAAAGAAAGAATAAATTTTCATTTCAAATTTAGTTCCTCGGGCACACTGGCCATAGTTCAAGTGCTCAGTAGCCACATATGGCTGGTGACTGCCATATTCGACAGCACAGCTATAGAACATTGCCATCATAACAGAGATTTCTGTTACAAAATGCTGTTCTAGAATTTACTTTTGAACTCTACCTGCTCAGATCTTTTAAATTACATGGTAGGCCAGGCATGGTGGCTCACGCCTGTGATCCCAGCACTTTCGGAGGCCCAGTCGGGAGGATCCCTTGAGCCCAGAAGCTGGAGACCTGCCTGGGCAACAGAGCAAGACCCCATCTCTACAAAAATAAAAAAAAGAAAATTAGCCTGGTTTGGTGGCACATGCCTGTAGTGCCAGCTACTAGGGAGACTGAAGTGGGAGGATTGCTTCAGCCTGGGAGGTTGAGGCTGCAGTGAGCCGTGATCTCATCACTGCACTCTAGCCTAGGTGACGGAGCGGGACCCTGCCGCTAAATAAATAAATAAATAAATAACATAGTAGTGATACCTGTGTCTGCGGTCATTACTCCAGAACAGCACTTCACATATAGTTTCTCCTTTAAGGTCATTCTCACAACAGCCCAGGGAGATAGGGTGGCATGCTTCATTTTATAAGCTGAGGTCCTGGGAGGGGAGGTCATTTACCCAAGATCACACAGCAAGAACACCAGACAGCTGGAATTTGATCCCAGTTTTGACTCCAATGCTCTTGCTCTTCATCATCAATAATTTCCTTCAAGGCGTCCCTCAAATGTCACTTCCTCCAGGAAGCCCTCCCTGATTTATGCTCCTTCCAGAAAGAATGGGCTCTTCCTTTCTCTGAGTCTCTGGAACACAAGGTCCCAGCTAAACTGTAAATTCCCCAAGGGTAACAACTGGACTAATTTTTTTTAATTTAATTTAATTTTATTTTTTTGAGATGAAGTCTTGCTCTGTCACCCAGGCTGGATTGTAGTGGCACGATCTCGGCTGACCGCAACCTCCACCTCCCGGGTTCAAGCGATTCTTATGCCTCAGCCTCCCGAGTAGCTGGGATTACAGGCGCTGCCACCACACTTGGCTAATTTTTGTATTTTTAGTAGAGACAGGGTTTCACCATGTTGGCCAGGCTGGTCTCGAACTCCTGACCTCAGGTGATCCACCCACCTTGGCCTCCCAAAGTGCTGGGAATACAGGCATGAGCCACCGTTCCCGGCCTTATCCTTGACTTAGAATACCTAACCTCCTGGGAATGCAGCCCATAGGTCTCAGCCTTATTTCACCCAGCTCCTGTTCAAGATGGAGTCACTCTGGTTCACATGCCTCTGACATTTCCCCGCTCCCTTTTATAAGAGAACCTTTAATCCTAAGGGTTGTAGAGGGAGGAAGATACAACTTCTGTGACTTCTTCAGGCTGGACAGGGGTGACGATATACCTGCCTAACTCTTAGGATCTATTGGATTCAGGGTAGACAGGAGCTCAGTCAGAAAGCACTGGTATCACTTTTTTTTTTTTTTTTTTTTTTTGAGACGGAGTTTCACTCTTGTTGCCCAGGCTGGAGTGCAATGGCACGATCTCAGCTCACCACAGCCTCCGCCTCCCAGGTTCAAGCGATTCTCCTGCCTCAGCCTCCCCAGTAGCTGGGACTACAGGCGTGTGCCACCAAACCCAGCTAATGTTTTTTTTTTTTTATTTTTAGTAGAGACGGGGTTTCTCCATGTTGGCCAGGCTGGTCTCGAACTCCCGACCTCAGGTGATCCACCCGCCTCGGCCTCCCAAAGTGCTGGGATTACAGACATGAGCCACCACGCCCGGCCTGATATTTTATTACTTAGTATTTTACTCTGAATTATCATGCGTGAATTAAGACCAAGGCTGTCTTGTAAAATAAAATTTGTTGTGGAACAATTTATACAGCTCCTTTGAGGTAGGAGGCAGGACTCAACTCTGGAGATGGGGCTCGGCTCGAATATTGGACCAAATTGAGGACCAGCTAAAACAGGGAGGAGGCTGAAGCAACTTATTATTTTTATTTATTTTTATTTTTTGGAGAAGGAGTCTTGCTCTGTTACCCAGGCTGGAGTGCAGTGACACGATCTCGGCTCACTGCAACCTCCACCTTCCGGATTCAAGTGATTCTCCTGCCGCAGCCTCCCGAGTAGCTGGGACTACAGGCGCATGCCACCATGCCCAGCTAATATTTTTGTATTTTTTAGTAGAGATGGGGTTTCGCCATATTAGCCAGGCTGGTCTTGAACTCCTGACTCAGGTGATCTGCCCACCTCGGCCTCCCAAAGTGCTGGGATTACAGGTGTGGGCCACCACGCCTGGCCCGAAGCAACTTTCTATGACACGCCTACCAGTGTGCCATGTCAGTTTGCCATTGCCATGGCAACACACCCAGGAGTTACTGCCCCTTCCCATGGCAATGACCCCATGACCCAGAAGTTACTGCCCCTTCCCTAGATATTTCTGCATAAACTGCCCCTTAATCTACATGTAATTAAAAATAGGTATAGGCTATTTTTATACCTATATAAATAGGTATAGGCTAAAAATAGGTATAGGCTGGGCGTGGTGGCTCATGTCTGTAATCCCAGTACTTTGGGAGGCCAATGCAGGTGGATCACCTGAGGTCAGGAGATCAAGACCATCCTGGCTAACATAGTGAAACCCTGTCTCTACTAAAAATACAAAAAATTAGCCAGGCGTGTTGGCGGGAGCCTGTAGACTCAGCTACTCGGGAGGTTGAGGCAGGAGAATGGCGTGAACCCAGGAGGCGGAGCTTGCAGTGAGCCGAGATCACACCACTGCACTCCAGCCTGGGTGACAGAGCAAGACTCCGTCTAAAAAAAAAAAATAGTAAGAAAGAAGGAAAGACACAAAGACAGAAAGAAGGAAGGAAAGAAAGCAAGCTGTTTTCCCCTGCCTTGCCCCTGCTCACCTTTGAATTCTTTTCTGGGCAAAGCCAAGAACCCTCGTGGGCTAAAACCCCGCTTTGGGGCTTAAAGTTTGCAAAATCCTCCCATTAATCTATTGGGACCAGTTGCCACTTAGGAGCATTCTTTGATAACTTTTACAAAACATCTTTTGTGGTTTTTGAAATGTTTTCATTTTGTAGATCATTAGCCCTTCTTTTTTGAACTGGAATACATTTCACGGGAATTTTCAAATTTAAGTCTGTGCAATGTTACATAAAATACCTTTGATTATTAAAAGCCATCTGTTTTGCTATAACTTCCCTTTTTTGTTCTAAAGTTTGTCTATTTCTGCTATTTGTTTTTTTACCATAGAAATATTGATTTCCTTAAGTTTTCAAAGAACCAAGTTATTAATAATTTCTCTAAGAACTAGTCTCAAGCTTGCTATACAATCCTATGGTTGATAGACTGTGGCTTTCTTGTTGATTTCCATTTGTTGTTCATTTCCTCCAATTTTCCTTTTTTAAAAATTATAATTATTGTTTGGATTATTTATTTATTTATTTATTTGTTTGTTTGTTTATTTGAGACAGAGTTTCTCCTTGTCGCCCAGGCTAGAGTGCAATGATGCGATGTTGGCTCACTGCAACCTCCACCTCCTGGGTTCAAGCGATTCTCTTGCCTCAGCCTCCCGAGAAGCTGGGATTACAGGTGTCCGTCATCATGCCTGGCTAATTTTTTATATTTTTAGTAGAGACGGGATTTCATCATGTTGGCTTAGCTGGTCTCGAACTCCTGACCTCAGGTAATCCACCTGCCTCGGCCTCCCAAAGTGCTGGGATTACAGGCGTGAGCCACCGCACCTGGCCTTGTTTGGAAATTTTAAGCAGAATGCTTAGTCCATTTATTCTTCTTCTTTTGATAATAATGTATGAATTGGCTTCTCTATCTCTAAGTTGTTTTCCAGAGGCTTGATAATTATATCCAACGTTCCACTTGACATCCCCAGTTGATGTCCAATGCATAACTCAAACAATATGCTGAAAACAGATCTTCGGATTTTCTCTCTAGCCTCTCTCCCACGTCTTCCTGATGGTAGTAGATGGTGACTCCATATTTCCAAATGCTCAGGCCAAAAACTTTAGAGTCCTTCTTTTTTTTAGACATAGAACTTTTTTCTGGCCAGGCACGGTGGCTCATGCCTGTAATCCCAGCACTTTGGGAGGCCGAGGTGGGCGGATCACGAGGTCAGGAGATCGAGACCATCCTGGCTAACACAGTGAAACCCCGTCTCTACTAAAAATACAAAAAATTAGCCGGGCGTGGTGGCGGGCGCCTGTAGTCCCAGCTATGCGGGAGGCTCAGGCAGGAGAATGGCGGGAACCTGGGAGGCGGAGCCTGCAGTGGGCCGAGATCGCGCCACCGCACTCCAACCTGGGCGACAGCGAGACTCCGTCTCAGAAAAAAAAAACAACAACACTTTTTTCTTTTTTTGAGACAGTCTGGCTCTGTCACCCAGGCTGGAGTGCGGTGGTACCATCATGGCTCACTGCAGCCTCAGTCTCTCAGCCTCCTAGGTTCAATCGATCCTCCCACCTCAGCCTCTTGAGTAGCTGGGACTACAGGCACACACTACCATATCCGACTAACTTTTGTATTTTTTTGTAGAAACAGGGGTTGGCCATATTGCCCAGGCTGGTGTGGAACGCCTGACCTCAGGTGATCCACCTACCCCGGCCTCTCAAACTGTTGGGATTACAGGCGTGAGCCGCCGTGCCCAGCTGTTTCTTCTTTCAGTTAATAAAAGAGAGGGTGCATTGCTGGCTAATGAGATTGTTTCTATACTTGGGGGTCTTCCTGAATGTGTGTGATTGAGTTTATTGCAGAGAAAGGTAACAGAAAATGGGGTTGTAGAAAGAAAAGAGGTAGAGGCTGAGTGAGATGCCCCACATCTGTAATCTCAGTGCTTTGGGAGGCCAAGGCGGGCGGATCACTTGAGATCAGGAGCTGGAGACCAGCCTGGCCCAAATCGTGAAACCTCGTCTCTACTAAAAATACAAAAATCAGCCAGGTGTAGTGGTGTGCGCCTGTAATCCCAGCTACTCGAGAGGCTGAGGCAGGAGAATGGTTTGAACTTGGGAGGCGGAGATTGCAATGAGGTGAGATAACGCCACTGCACTCTAGCCTGGGAGACAGTGAGACTATGTCTCAAAAGAAAAAAAAAAGTTCCTGGGCCCCAGACCAGCTCTCTCTTTGGGTTAAAACCCCGGCGTCCCGGAGCTGAGGCGCACGTGGCTATGCTTGGGGAGGAGAGGGCGGGGCCGGGGAGGAGGCGCTTGCAAGTCTGTACCGCAATGCCTCTACTGGCCTCTAGAGGGCGCAATCACTCGAGGCTCCGCCCCAAGCGAGGCGGGGCGGAAGCGTGCTGTGCACAGGCGCAAGATGGGTCTTGGGCAGCCCAGAGCTTCCGATTGGCTCTTCTGTGGTGGCGGGGCGGGGTCAGAACGAGATGGCTGTGTGCGCAGGCGCAAGACTAGCGCTCTTGGGACCGGAAGTTAAGGCGTTCGCGGCGTGTGGTAAGTGAGGGGGGCGGGACGGGTGTACCGGGTTGTGGCGGCGATGGCTGTCGGAGTTGGGCCGCTTGGGGGTAGTTTGGGGTGCGAGTCCAGGGGCGAGGGAAGTCTCGAGATGAGGAGAAATGTAGGAGGCAGCCGAAGGGCCGGCAAACGCGGACAGAGATGGCACCTGAGCGTCCCTGGGAGAACCTGGGCGACAGGCCAGAGACCGAAAGAAATGGAGGCACGAAAAGAAGCTTCGAGAAACTGAGGGACTGAAAGACGAGGGTGTTGGGAGAGGAGGGAAGCTGAAAACTAGAGAGCGTGGGCGAGAGTGCCGATGGGTTCCAGCGAGAGTCTTAGAGCCCACGAGGCCGAGAGGCGTGGTCGCCCATGAACTTGGGGAGTGGAGGGAAAAGTCGGAAACTGATCGTGGACACTAGAAACAGAAAAAATGGAATTTAGATGGAGAAACGAGACACTGAATCACGGGGGAGACCGAGAGATACGGAAGGATGGAGACAGTTGAAATAGGAAGAACCCCACAAAAGCTGGAGATAATGGAGAACGATGCTGAGAAATGGAAAAGCGAGGGAGTGGAGCCCGAACCCCTGGATTTGAGTGGCTCATGTAACACTCGGCTACTCACTTAGCCTCTCTATTGCTCAGTAAAATAGGGGGTGATCATAGTGCCTGACAGTCGTGAGAAAAGTGTGTGTGTGTATGTACATAGGTGTGGGATAGGAATAGATCATGCAGATAGGATAGGTCTGTGTGTTAATGTGAGTAAGTAAGCATGAGCTATTACTAAAGCTTCTGATATTGGGAGATAAAGTATTAGATGGGGAAATGGAGAGAGGTGGTGATGGAGAGTGAATACTGGAAGGACAAAAGGGAGGAAAAAAAGATTCAAACAGAAAATGAGAAAGGGCGTGGTGACTCACTCCTGTCATCCACAGCACTTTGGGAGGCTGCGGTGGGAGGATCACTTGAGCTTGGGAGGTCGAGGCTGCTGTACGCCGTGATTGTGCCACTGCACTTCAGGCTGGGTGACAGAGTGAGACCCTGTTTCAAAAAAACAAAAATGAATTTTTTTTTTTTTTTTTTGAGATGGAGTTTCGCTCTTGTTGCCCAGGCTGGAGTGCAGTGGTGCGATCTTGGCTCACTGCAACCTCTGCCTCCTGGGTTCAAGCGAGTCTCCTGCCTCAGCCTCCAGAGTAGCTGGGATTACAGGCAGGTGCCACCACCCTGGCTAATTTTGTATTTTTAGTAGAGACGGGATTTTTCCATGTTCGTCAGGCTGGTCTCGCACTCCCGACCTCAGGTGATCTGCCTGCCTCAGCCTCCCAAAGTGCTGGGATTATAGGCGTGAGCCACCATGCCCGGCCTGAAAAAGCATTTTTTTTTTAATGAGAAAGATGGAGAAAGTCAAATGGAGAACTGAAGAGAGATGGAGAAAGGAAGAGTTGGATTACAGAGAAAAATCAGACTACAGAATGACTCATAAGTGAAGAGAGATGCGAGCTGACTAGGACAGGGAAGAGAGATGAGGGTGATGATGAACAAGACGGACTGAAAAAGAGACAGAGGCCTGAAGATGGAGTGGAGAGAGATGGAGGGGACAGAGGGGGAAACAAACCCACTGAAGGCCATGAGCCCAGGGCAAATAGGCCAAGAGACCAAAAGATGGTCAGAGACACAGTTATACAGAAACTAGAAGATGCAGACAATCTAGAAGCCAAAAAAGATAGATACCTTGAGAGGAGCGGGATGCTGTCAGTGGGGCCCAGCATGCATAAGCAGTTTCTAGCCTCAGAAGAATGCTCTCATTTTCTTTTTCTTTTTTTTTTTTTTTTTTTTTTTTTGAGACAGAGTCTCGCTCTGTTGCCCAGGCTGGAGTGCAGTGGCTCAGTCTTGGCTTCCTGCAAGCTCTGCCTCCAGGGTTCGAGTGATTCTCCTGCCTCAGCCTCCCGAGTCGCTGGGACTACCCGAGTAGCCAGGTGCCCGCCACCACACCTGGCTAATTTTTTTTCTCCAGCCTGGGTGACAGAGCAAGACTCCATCTCAAAACAAAAAAGACTCCAACTGTAAGCAAAAAGGCATTTTCTGGTGTAGCTGAGAAGTGGGGGGTTGAAGGGAACTAAGCTTCAAGACCTAAATGATGTTGCCAAGCTTCTCTTCCTCTCCCTCTTTCACCTCTCCCTGTGGTGCAGTGACCATTCTTGTGCCTGTATCTAGTTATTTCTCTAGGATAGATTTTAGGAAAGACTCTGTCATGTTCCAGAGCTACCACAAAGAGCTCCAGGCTTATATCAAACTTGCCTGATTATGATGGATAAAATGAGAGCTTTTCTGTCCTAGCAACCGAGTGTAAATTCCACAAAAGGGCCCTGATTGGCCCTTCTTGGATCATGTGTCCGCTTCTCAGGCCAATCCTTGGTTAGAGGGGGAGTAGACTACTAAGACTGGCCAGGTCTTTGTTACTTGCCTACCCAATAGGGGTTCTTTGTCTTAAAGGCCCTCAGAACCATGTAGAATCGAGGAAGGGCTGTTGTCCAAAGGAAGGTGGATACTGTCCTCAGAAAAGAAGTAAAGGGTTGTGCCAGGCAGGCAAAAATTACATATAACACTTGCAAAATTTTGCCTTTTATCTCAATGTTCTGAATCTCACTGGACCCCGGGTGAAGAACCCTTGCCTTATTCTTTTCATTATATCACACCTCTCTCCTATTACTGCCTGTGGAGACAAGGTTCTGCTGTTGGTTGGCCATGTGACCTACATCTCTCCTTTAGGTCTCAGGTGAAACATCCCCTCCTCCCAGGATCCTTCCCTGATTCCCAAGCATGGGAAGGAGGAGGAACCTCCTTTGGTGTCCCACAGCTCCCTAGGATTCTGTTATCACAGTCCCCATCACTGGATTGTCACAGTCTGATGACGTGTGTGTCACATGAGAGATCATGTGATCATGGCCGTCTGTGAGGACTCTGGTAGTCATATTCATTACCTCCTTTTTCTAGTTCAGTGCTTAAGAAACAGGCTGTTAGAAATGTTTCTAAAAATGGGCTGGGCATGGTGGCTCACACTGGTAATCCCAACACTTTGGGAGGCTAAGGTGGGGGAATTGCTTGAGCCCAGAAGTTTGATATCAACCTGGGCAACATAGTGAGATCTCATCTCTACAAACAGTAAAAAATTAGCTGGGTGTGGTGGCATGTGCCTGTAGTCCCAGCTGCTCGGGAGGCTGAGGCGGGAGGATCGCTTGAGTCCAGGAGGTCGAGGCTGTGGTGAGCCATGATTACGGCACTGCACTCCAGCCTGGGAAACAGAGTGAGACCCTGCCTCAAAAAGAAAAAAACAAAACAAAACCAAAAAAAGCAATGTTCCCAAAAGAGAATTAATGTCTTCTGTTCTCTCTCTTAAGAATCCAGGGCCTGAAAACCCAGAATGAACTTGTGTCCATCCCAGAGATCACTGCAGATGTCATGAGGTACCCTTTGTGTCACCAGCTCAAGCAGGCCTCTGGCCACTTTATCATCTGTGGTGGTCCTGTGCCGTGACCAGGAGGAAAAATTAGCTCTTTGAAGAGAAAGTAGTTCTCTATTGCAGGCACTGGCCTCTTAAATTGTTGCAGGTGGGGAATGGATGAGAATATTTGTTTTGGGTGATCAGAACTGAGACTCCTATTGTGGATTAGTAACATGCCTCCTCCTAGAACAAGGGAGGGCAGGGATCGCCGAGACCACCACCGGGCTCCCAGCGAGGAAGAGGCCTTGGAGAAATGGGACTGGAATTGTCCAGAGACGCGTCGCCTCTTGGAAGATGCCTTCTTCCGTGAAGAGGATTACATCCGTCAGGGTTCTGAGGAATGTCAGAAGTTTTGGACCTTCTTTGAACGCCTGCAGAGATTCCAGAATCTCAAGACCTCCAGGAAGGAGGAGAAAGACCCTGGACAGCCCAAGCACAGCATCCCAGCGCTGGCCGACCTACCTCGCACTTACGACCCACGTTACCGCATCAACCTCTCTGTTCTTGGCCCTGCCACGCGGGGCTCTCAGGGACTGGGCAGGCACTTGCCCGCGGAGAGAGTGGCTGAGTTCCGCCGAGCCCTGTTGCACTACCTGGACTTTGGCCAGAAGCAGGCATTTGGGCGTCTGGCCAAGCTGCAGCGTGAGCGGGCAGCCCTCCCCATCGCCCAGTATGGGAACCGCATCCTGCAGACGCTGAAGGAGCACCAGGTGGTGGTAGTGGCCGGTGACACCGGCTGTGGCAAGTCCACTCAGGTGCCCCAGTACCTGCTGGCTGCTGGCTTCAGTCATGTGGCGTGCACCCAGCCCCGGCGGATCGCCTGCATCTCACTGGCCAAGCGTGTGGGCTTTGAGAGCCTCAGTCAGTATGGCTCACAGGTGAGTGGGACGCACCAGGTTTCCGATTTTTCCAGCGTGACCTTGGGGGAATAGGTTGCTTGTCCATATGGCAGTATCAATAAAAATGAAGCACTTACCCTTGGACCCAGCGATGATTCTTCTAGAACTTTATCCACAGAGTGGCTTGTCTGTGGTCTACATGACAAAGGAGCTAGCATTAACCAGTGTAGCACTTTAACAGCAAAACAATGGGAAATGTCCTAAAGGCTCATCACTTTTTTTTTGAGACGGAGTCTCACTCTGTGGCCCAGGCTGGAGTGCATTGGTGCGATCTTGGCTGACTGCAACCTCTGCCTCCCGGGTTCAAGCAATTCTCCTGCCTCAGCCTCCTGAGTAGCTGGGATTACAGGCACCCGCCACCATGCCCAGCTAATTTTTGTAATTTTAGTAGAGACGGGGTTTCACCATGTTGGTCAGGCTGGGCTCAAACTCCTGACCTCAGGTGATCCACCCACTTCGGCCTCCCAAAGTTTTGGGATTACAGGTGTGAGCCACCACGTTGGGCTGCGAGGGTAATTCTTGACGATCACTGCAATGCAAACTGCCATCTTGGAAGGCCAATAATAGTCCTTCTGTCTCATGGTGGTCATGAGGATGAAATGGGTTGATATACATAAAGCACTTAGAGTGGCATATAATGTCCTGGCACATAGCAGGGACTCAAGAAAAGGTTATTGCTATATAGTTAATATTATATATACATGAGGCACAGTGCTAGATACTTTCTGTGCATTGTCACATGGAATTCTCACAGCATCTAGGAGGAGAACTATAAGGGATGGCATTGCCTGCCCAAGGTCAGTTGGCACTAAGTGGCAGAGGTGAGATTCAAACCCAAGCTGTTGGACTCCAGAGTCTGATGGGTAGGCATGGTATTTGCTTAGATTTTCTTTTTGCTTTTTCTTTTTTTTGAGATGGAGTTTCACTCTTGTTGCCCAGGCTGGAGTGCAATGGTGCGATCTTGGCTCACTGCAACCTCCGCCTCCCGGGTTTAGGTGATTCTCCTGCCTCAGCCTCCCAAGTAGCTGGGATTACAGGCATGCGCCACCACGCCCGGCTAATTTTGTTTGTATTTTTAGTAGAGATGGGGTTTCTCTATGTTAGTCAGGCGGATCTCGAACTCCCTACCTCAGGTGATCCGCCCGCCTCTGCCTCCCAAAGTGCTGGGATTACAGGCGTGAGCCACCGCACCCGGCCTGCTTAGATTTTCAATTTGGGCAGGGCCAGGGGCTGGTACCCAGGCTCAGGGTCCTCTCCTGATCCTTTCTTTCTCCCACCCCAGGTCGGCTACCAGATCCGCTTTGAGAGCACACGTTCGGCGGCCACCAAGATTGTATTCCTGACAGTGGGGCTGCTCCTGCGACAAATCCAGCGGGAACCCAGCCTGCCCCAGTATGAGGTCCTGATTGTGGATGAAGTCCATGAGCGGCATCTCCACAACGATTTCCTCCTGGGCGTCCTCCAGCGCCTGTTGCCCACGCGGCCTGACCTCAAGGTCATCCTCATGTCGGCCACCATCAACATCTCGCTCTTCTCCAGCTATTTCAGCAATGCCCCTGTGGTACAGGTGCCTGGGAGGCTGTTCCCCATCACGGTGAGTACTTCCCCCTCCTCCCACATCCCCAGACCTCCAACCTGGTCTCTGTCCAAACCTGGACATGCCTCTTCTCTCTGCTGCTGTATCTCCCATCTCTTTCATTTAAAGATGTTCTCTTTTTTTAAAGCTACCATTTTCTGAGCATTCATAATCAGCTGGTTAGAGTGCTAAGTGCTTGTTAGAGTAAAAGCTGTTACAAGAAGACCCAAAAATGGCTGGGCGCCGTGGCTCATGCCTGTAATCCCAGCACTTTGGGAGGCCGAGGTGGGTGGATCACGAGGTCAGGAGATTGAGACCATCCTGGCTAACATGGTGAAACCCCATCTCTACTAAAAACACAAAAACAAAATTACCCAGGCATGGTGGTGGGTGCCTGTAGTCCCAGCTACTCGGGAGGCTGAGGCAGGAGAGTGGCGTGAACCTGGGAGGCGGAGCTTGCAGTGAGCCGAGATCGCGCCACTGCACTCCAGCCTAGGTGACAGAGTGAGACTTTGTCTCAAAAAAAAAAAAGACCCAAAAATGTAAAGTCTCAAATAAGAGAAGTTTATTTCTCTCATATAACAGTGTGGCTGGTCCAGGCTGTTGGGCAACTCTGTTCCATGTGGTCATTCAGGGATCCGGGCTCCTCCTTTGTCATTACTCTGCCATCTCACTGGGCAGGATTTCTCAAAGTCAGCAAGATTGACATTTCAGTCTGGATAATTCCTTGTCGTGGGGGCTGTCCTGTGCATTGTAGGATATCTAGCAGCATCCCTGGCCCTACCCACTAGATGCTAGTAGTCTTCTCCTCTGGTTGTGACTATTAAAAATGTCTCCAGACATTGCCATATGTTCCCTCTGGGGCAAAACCACCCCTAATTGAGAAACACTGTCCTAGTGAGTTATCCTTGTCTGTATAGTCAAGACTTACAGGAAGAACTTCATTGTCTCTTGTGATTTCTGGTTCCGGATGCCCATCAATTTGCCTTCTAAGCAGCCATAAAAAAAGAAAGAATGGGTCGGGCACGGTGGCTGGTGCCTGTAATCCCAGCACTTTGGGAGGCTAAGGCAGAAAGATCACGAGGTCAGGAGCCCAAGACCATCCTGGCCAACATGGTGAAATCCCATCTCCACTAAAAATACAAAAATTAGCTGGGCATGGTGACGCACGCCTGTAATCCCAGCTACTTGGAAGGCTGAGGCAGGAGAATTGCTTGAACCCGGAGGTCGAGGTTGCAGTGAGCCAAGATGGCTCCACTGCACTCCACCCTGGGAACAGAGCAAGATCCCATCTCAAAAAAAAAAAAAAGAAAGAAAAGAAAGAGAGAGAGAGAGTGCGAGCCGAGTGTGGTGGCTCATGCCTATAATCCCAGCACTTTAGGAGGCCGAGGCGGGTGGATCACCTAAGGTCAGGAGTTCGAGACCAGCCTGGCCAACAAGGTAAAACCCCGTCTCTACTAAAAATGCAAAAATTAGCTCGAGTGGTGGTGCGCCCCTGTTATCCCAGTTACTCAGGAGGCTGAGGTGGGAGAATTGCTTGAACCTGGGAGGTGGAGGCTGCAGTGAGCCGAGATCATGCCACTGGGTGACAGAGCGAGACCCTGTCTCAAAAAGAATGAGGCTGCTTCCTGAGAAATGTTTTCTAGGGTTTTTGTTTTTTGTTTTTTGTTTTTTTTAGTAGAGACGACGTGTTGCTATGTTGTCTGCCTGGTCACGCATACCTGAGCTCAAGCAATCCTCCCGCCTTGGCCTCCCAAAGAGCTAGGATTACAGGTGTGAGCCAACTATGCTGGGAAATCAGCCAACCAACCTGGCTCAGGCTCAGGGTCCTCTCCTGGTCAGCCAACCAACCTGATTTCTAGGTTTTTAATCCTGGTTTCATCACCTAGAATATTTTTCTTGTTGAAGCTACTCTAAACATAAGATAATGCATGCATTGTAAGTATATAGCTTAATTAGTTTTCACCAGTTACATACATCTGTGTAGCTAGCACCCAGGTTTAGAAAAGTCAAACATTGCCAGCACCCCACAAGCCTTGCAGTTGCTTTGTTACTTTGTCTTTTTATTACATCCTTCAGAAATTATCTAGCTGGAGTGTGCTGTCTGTCACCTGACTGTTTCTCAATTAGGGGTGGTTTTGCCCCAGAGGGAACATATGGCAATGTCTGGAGACATTTTTAATAGTCACAAGCAGTGGAGAAGACTACTAGCATCTAGTGGGTAGGGCCAGGGATGCTGCTAGATATCCTACGATGCACAGGACAGCCCCCACGACAAGGAATTATCCAGACTGAAATGTCAATCTTGCTGACTTTGAGAAATCCTGCCCAATGAGATGGTGGCATAATGAGAAAGGAGAAGCCTGGATCCCTGAATGACCACATGGAACAGAGTTGCCCACCAGCCTGGACCCGTTGCACTGTGTCTTCTCCGTTAGCCTGTGGTCTCCCCCGTCAGCCTGCAGCCTCCCCAGCCCATTGCTCTGAGCTGGAGGGACAGGGTGTGCTTCTACCTGGGGCTGTCTCCTCTCAGGTTGTGTACCAGCCGCAGGAGGCGGAGCCGACCACGTCCAAGTCAGAGAAGCTGGACCCGCGGCCTTTCCTGAGGGTGCTGGAGTCCATTGACCACAAGTACCCGCCTGAGGAGCGGGGTGACCTCCTCGTCTTCCTCAGCGGCATGGCGGAGATCAGCGCCGTGCTGGAGGCTGCCCAGACCTATGCCAGCCACACCCAGCGCTGGGTGGTACTGCCACTGCACAGCGCCCTGTCTGTGGCCGACCAGGACAAGGTATCACAGGAAGCCCGAGTGGGGCAGGCGGGGGGTCTGCATGAGTCAGGGGTGGCTGCGCACAGGACTTGTGTAACTCCACAAACACAGGGCTCGGGGGCTGTACTTGTGCAAAGTCGTAGCCACCTAGTGGCAGAGCCAGGCTGCGAACCCAGGTAGTCTGGCCCCGGAGCCCATGCTCTAAACCAGAGGTCGGCAAACTTTCTATAAAGGGTCGGAGTAGATGATGTCAGTCCTATCGACCATGGGCTCTCTGTCTGTCACAGCTACTCAGCCCCACTGTTGCAGCATGAAAGCAGCCATAAACTGAGTGGGTGAGGCTGTGTTCCAAAACAGTTTTTTTTTTTTTTTGAAACAGGGTCTTGCTCTGTTGTCCAGGCTGGAGTGCAGTGGCACGATCAGGGCTCACTGCAGCCTTGACTTCTTGGGCTCAAGTGATCCTCTCTCCTTAGTCTCCCAAGTAGCAACTATAGGTGTGTGTCACTAAACTCCATTAATTTTTTTTTCTTTTTGGGACAGAGTCTCACTCTGTCGTCCAGGCTGGAGTGCAGTGGCATGATCGTGGCTTACTGCAATCTCCACCTCCCGGGTTCAAGCGATTCTCCTGCCTCAGCCTCCTGAGTAGCTGGGACTACAGGCACCCGCCACCACGTCCGGCTAATCTTTTGTATATTGAGTAGAGACGGGGTTTCGCCATGTTGGCCAGGCTGGTCTCGAACTCCTGACCTCAAGTGATCTGCCTGCCTCAGCCTCCCAAAGTGCTGGGGTTACAGGTGTGAGCCACTGTGTCCGGCCTCCGTTAATTTTTTTTTGAATTTTAGTAGCAAAGAGGTCTCACTGTGTTGCGCAGGCTGGTTTCAAACTCCTGAGCTCAAGCGATCCTCCCCTAGTGGGGGCAGTGCCAGTTTATGCTTCAGCAGATCCCTCTGGCTGCCATGTGAGTCTACAGGCCAGAGATCTGAGGGGAAGCTGGAGTAGGATCAGAGTGGGCGAGGAGAGGCCTGGACCAGGGCAGGGGCTGGGCTGTCGGAGGAGGGAAGGATTTCAAGAAAAGTTCCAGATGGCCTGGTACATTGGCTCATGCCTATAATCCCAGCACAGGAAGCTGAGACAGGAGGATCACTCGAGCTCAGGAGTTAGAGACCATCCTAGGCAACACAGTGAGACCTTGTCTCTACAAAACGGAAGAAAACTAGCTGGGCATGGTGGCATGTGCCTATAATCCCAGCTACTTGGGAGGCTGATGCAGGAGGATCGCATGAGCTCAGGAGGTCAGGGCTGCAGTGAGCTGTGATCACGCCACTGCACTCCATTGTAGGCCACAGAGTGGGATCCTGTCTCAAAAAAAAAAAAAAAAGTTCAAGATGTTCAGGTCGGGGGAGCAGGTGTGGTGGCTCATGCCTGTAATCCCAGCACATTGGGAGGCCAAGGCAGGCGGATCACCTGAGGTCAAGAGTTCAAGACCAGCCTGGCCGACATGGTGAGACCCCGTCTCTACTTAAAATACAAAAATTAGCCGGGCATGGTGGCGGGCACCTGTAATCCCAGCTGCTCGGGAGGCTGAGGCAAGATAATTGCTTGAACCCGGGAGGCAGAGGTTGCAGTGAGCCGAGATCACGCCACTGCACTCCAGCCTGGGCGACAGAGCAAGACTCCGTCTGAGGGTGGGGGAGGGCCCAGGATGGCCCAGGTGATGGGGTGGACGGTGAGCCATCTCCAAAAGGGAGGTCTCTGAAGGAGGAAAGGGTTCCAGGGAAGCTGCTGACACGGGGGTGGGCAAGAAATTGGACACATAGGTTAGTCGGGGCTGAGTTAGTTCCTGACACCACCCCCTCCCTTCCTCCCAGGTATTTGATGTGGCACCCCCTGGAGTCCGGAAATGCATCCTCTCCACCAACATTGCTGAGACCTCAGTCACCATTGACGGGATCCGCTTCGTAGTAGATTCCGGTAAGGACCACCATGAGCCCCTACCCACCACCCCCAAGGACTTAGGAGCATGGGGTCCGGAGGTGTGCGTGTGTGGCAGGGGCGCACCAGCTTGGATTGGGAAGTACAGTTGACTTTCCCATATCCAAAATGCTTGCTTGCAACCAGAAGTGTTTGGAATTTCGGGTTTTTTTGAATTTGGAATATTTGTATCAATTTTATTATTTGAGTATGTCAAATCCAGAAATCTGAAATCCTCCAGTGAGCATTTCATTGGAGGGTCACGTTAGTGCTGAAAACATTTCAGATTTTCGAGCATTTCAGACTTTGGATTTCCAGAATTGGGATGCTGGAAGACGATGTGTGGGGCCATGGACCAATGGCAACATCTTAGTTTTTCTCACACCTTCCAAGCCTGCTTCTGCCCTGGGGCCTTTGTACTGTTCTCTCTGCCGAGAGCTGTCTTTCTCCAGGTATCCACACAGGTGACGCCCTCACCTCATTTCAGGGCCCGCATAAATGTCCACCCGTCAGAGAGGCCCATACTGTCCACTCTGTCTAAGAGATATCCCCTCCTCCATCCGCTGTTGCTTGTCATATGAGGGGGATTGACATTCTGTTTGTTGTTGTTGTTGTTGTTGTTGTTGTTGTTGTTTTGAGACGGAGTCTTGCTCTGTTGCCAGACTGGAGTGCAATGGTGCAAGCTCCGCCTCCCGGGTTCAAGTGATTCTCCTGCTTCAGCCTCCCAAGTAGCTGGGATTACAGACATGCATCACCACGCCCGGCTAATTTTTGTATGTTTAGGAGAGATGGGGTTTCACCATGTTGGCCAGGCTGGTCTCGAACTCCTGACCTCAAGTGCTGCCTGCCTCAGCCTCCCAAAGTGCTGGGATTACGGGCATGAGCCACCACGCCCAGCCCGACATTCTATTTTATGTGCTGCTCTGTTTGCTCACTTTCTGTCTTCCTGACTGGAATGTTCTCTGGGAAGTCAGCATAGCATAGTGTTTGGAGACACTGGAGCCTGCCTGGCCAGGTTTAGTGCTGGCTGTGTGGCTGGGGTCATGTGACTGACACTTCATGTATCGGTTGGCTCATCTGAAAAATGACAATGGCAGGCCGTCCCGGCTGGGCGCGGTGGCTCACACATGTAATACCAGCACTTTGGGAGGCCAAGGCAGGCAGGTCACTTGAAGTTAGGAGTTTGAGACCAGCCTGGACAACATGGTGAAACTCCGCCCCTACTAAAAATACAAAAATTAGCCAGGCATGGTAGTGCGTGCTTGTAGTCCCAGCTGCTCAGGAGGCTGAAGTGGGAGAATCACCTGAGCCCAGGAAATCGAGGCTGCAGTGACCTGTGATTGTGCCACTGCACTCAAGCCTGGGCAACAGAGCGAGACCCTGTTTAAAAAAAAAAGAGAGAGAGAGAAATTAAAAAAATAATGTCTGCCAGGTGCTGTGGCTCATGCCTGTAATCCCAGCACTTTGGGAGGCTGAGGCAGGTGGATCACCTGAAGTCAGGAGTTCAAGACCAGCCTGGCCAACATGGTGAAACCCCATCTCTACTAAAAATACAAAAATGACCCGGGCATGGTGGCGGGTTCCTGTAATCCCAGCTACTCAGGAGGCTGAGGCAGGAGAATCGCTTGAACTCAGGAGGCAGAGTGAGCCGAGATTGTGCCATTGCACTCCAGCCTGGGCAATAAGAGTGAAACTCCATCTCAAAAAAAGAAAAGAAAGAAAATGTAAAAAAAGGTTGTTCTGACACTGGAGGAAATATGGTGCTCTGTTCAGTCCTGTGAGACTAGGACCTTTGTTTAGCTCACTGCTGTTCCCCTAGTGCCTAGTGCAGTGCCTGGTATATAGTAGGTGCTTAATAAGTATTTATTGGATAAGTGAACCTCTGAAGAAACAAAGACTTGGGAAAATAAATGAAAAGATGTGTGAGTGAAAGGCTGGGTGCAGTGGCCCACGCTTGTAACCCCATCACTTTGGGAGCCTGAGGCAGGCAGATTGCTTGAGCCCAGGAGTTTGAGATCAGCCTGTGAAACCCCGTCACTGCAAAAAATTAGCCGGGTGTGTTGGTGTGCACCTTTAGTCCCAGCTACTCGGGAGGCTGAGCTAGTAGGATCATCGCTTGAGCCTGGGAGGTTGAGACTGCAGTGAGCTCTGACTGAGCCACTGCACTCCAGCCTGGGAGACAGTGAGACCCTGTCTCAAAAAAAAAAAAAAAAAAAAAAAGATGTGTGAGGAAATGAAAGAATAAATGAACAAAATGTCAGAGTTGGGCCCAGAATAAGCCCTCAGTTAGCATTAACAGAATAAAGGAGTAAGTGAGGGTGTTGGCGAGTGACAAGAGCCAGGCGCGTGGCCAGCTGCACGTGGCTGCCACACACAGACTCCCTTTCCTCATTGCTCCCATCCAGGAAAGGTGAAGGAGATGAGCTACGATCCGCAGGCCAAGCTGCAACGGCTGCAGGAGTTCTGGATTAGTCAGGCCAGCGCAGAGCAGCGGAAGGGCCGGGCGGGCCGCACGGGCCCCGGAGTCTGCTTCCGCCTCTATGCCGAATCGGACTATGATGCCTTCGCCCCCTACCCCGTCCCAGAAATTCGGAGGGTGGCCCTGGACTCGTTGGTGCTGCAGGTGAGGCATGGGCAGAAAGGGGACTATATCCTAACTGCTGGCACAGGGAGGAACCTGGGAGGCCTTTTTTATTTTATTTTATTTTATTTTATTTTGAGATAGCGTCTTGCTCTGTCACTCAGGCTAGAGTGCAGTGCTGTGATCATGGC
Source organism: Homo sapiens (assembly GCF_000001405.40). Taxonomy (NCBI): domain Eukaryota; kingdom Metazoa; phylum Chordata; class Mammalia; order Primates; family Hominidae; genus Homo; species Homo sapiens. Next base: position 47,362,843 of record NC_000019.10, read on the forward strand.
TCACTGCAGCCTCCATATTACAGGCTCAAATGATCCTCCTACCTCCACCTGCCAAGTAGCTGGGACCACAGGCACACACCACCACGCTTGGCTAACTTTTAAATTTTTATTTATTTATTTATTTTTGAGACGGAGTCTCCCTCTGTCGCCCATGCTGGAGTGCAGTGGTGCGATCTCGGCTCACTGAAACCTCCGCCTCCCAGGTTTAAGTGATTCTCCTGCCTCAGCCTTCCTAGTAGCTGGGACTACAGGTGTGCACCACCAAGCCCAGTTAATTTTTTGTATTTTTTTTTAGTAGAGATGGGGTTACACCATGTTAGCCAGGATGGTCTTGATTTCCTGACCTTGTAATCCACCCTCCTCGGCCTCCCAAAGTGCTGGGATTACAGGCATGAGCCACCGCGCCCGGCCTAACTTTTTTTATTTTTAGTAGAGATCAGGTCTTGCTATGTTGCCCAGGCTGGTCTCAAACTCCTGAGCTCAAGTGATCTTCCCACCTTGGCCTTCCAAAGTACTGGGATTACAGCCATGAGCCATTGTGCCCAGCCAGCCAGGAAGCATTTACATAGGACCCAACCCCAGAGTGTCAGGGTCAGGAAGGATAGGGCTAGCCAAGCCACTGAGGGGAACCCATCCCTTCCAAATGTCAAAACCCTTGTTGAGGGGAGAATTGTTCCTTAAATCCATAGGGTCAGCTGGGCATGGTGGCTCACACCTGTAATCCCAGCACTTTGGGAGGCCAAGGCAGGTGGATCACTTGATACCAGGAGTTTGAGACCAGCATGACCAACATGGTGAAACCAGTCTCTATTAAAAATACAAAAAATTAGCCGGGTGTGGTGGTGTGCACCTGTAAGCCCGGCTATTTGGGAGGCTGAGGCAGGAGAATTGCTTGAACCCAGGAGGTGGAGGTTGCGGTGAGCCGAGATCACACCACTGCACTCCAGCCTGGGCGATAGAACAAGACTCCATCTCAAAAAAAAAAAAAAAAAAAATGTCCATAGGGTCAAAGGAAGAACCAGTGACTCAATCAGAATGCTTTCAGCTGTAACAGGAAACCTAGCAGGAAAGGGCTTTTAAAACCAGGGTTTCTCAATACATTTTATGTCATGATTTGTATCTCATTTGTTAATTTAGCATAGGTTAGACTGCCATGACAAATACACATGGTCACGAATGGCCAACAGCGGAATGGTGGTTTACAGGTTGGCAGGCAATTTTCTTTATTCAGGGACCCAGGGTCCTTCACTCTTGTGGCTCTATAATCTCCCCAGGGGCTTTTCCTGCATATGTGTCCAGCCAGCCAAAGGGTCAAGGGCATGGGAAGTGAGTACAGGAGGGTTTGCGGGTCGAGCCTGCAAATGGTGCACTTGCCTTGCACTCACCACTCCTGGTCAGTCCTCAGTCTCGTGGCCACGCCCAACCGTGAAGGAGGCTGGGAAGTGTAGTCCTTGTGCTCAGGAACAAAAGGAAAAGGAAAGTTGGGAGCAGCTGATGGTGTCTGCCACAGGCTCACGTGCGGGTGTAGCACAAACCAGTGGCCTTCCTGCAGGAGGTGCACACTATTTTCTATTCTGTTTGATTTCATCTTTTAAAAAAAAAAATACTAGTGCTGCCGGGCACAATGAGTGACTCATGCCTGTTATCCCAGCACTTTGGGAGGCTGAGGCAGGAGGATTGCTTGAGGCCAGGAAGTCGAGACCAGCCTAGGCAACACGGTGAGGCCCTGACTCTAGAAAAAATTTAAAAATTAGCCCAGTGTGATGGCACACACCTGTGGTCCCACGCAGGAGGCTGAGGCAGGAGGATCGCTAGAGCCCAGGAGTTCGAGGCTGCAGTGAGCCTTGATTGCATCACTGCACTCCAGCCTGAGTGATAGAGCAAGACCCTGTCTCATAAAAAAACAAAGTCCATGGGGTAGGTAGTCTTACCCTAATTTTTGGACCAGAAGAAGGATGCAGAGAGAGAGAAAATATTGCCCCAGGTCACACAGCTGGCAAGTAGTAGAGTCAGGGCTCCATCCGAGGCCACCAGGCGTCAGAGCCTGCTTCGTGAGTGGCCGCTGGCTCCAGGCACAGTGGGCGTCACCTCCTCCTCCTTTACCATCCGGAGGCAGAAGCAAGGAACTGCCCTTCTCTGTGGGTCTAATTTTTAAGGCCACAGGAACATTTTCTAGACTCCTCTGGCCAGTCTCTCATCCTCTCTTGTCAGCAGAACCGGGTCATATGTGTTCACCCTATGCCCCGCAATTGTCTAGGGTTGTGGCATTGCCTGAGTTGATCAGAGCAGTGTCTCAGCCCCAGCTGCATACTAGAAACACCTGGAGAATTTAAAAAAACCCCAGGCCCTGCCCCCTGCCTCTTTAAATTGAGCTTCTAATGTAAAGGTTATTTATTTATTTATTTATTTATTTATTTATTTATTTTTGGGACAGAGTCTCACTCTGTCGCCCAGGCTGGAGTGCAGTGGTGTTATCTCGGCTCACTGCAACCTCCACCTCCCAGGCTCAAGTGGTTCTCCTGCCTTGGCCTCCCGAGTAGCTGGGACCACAGATGGGTGCCACCAGGCCCAGCTAATTTTTGTAATTTTAGTAGAGAGGGAGTTTCACCATGTTGATCAGGCTGGTCTTGAACTTCTGACCTCAGGTGATCTGCCTGCCTTAGCCTCCCAAAGTGTTGGGATTACAGGCATGAGCCACCGCGCCCGGCCTATAAAGGTTTTTAAATGAGTATTGGGTGAACTCATAGACGGCATCAAGGCTTGGTCAGCAGGGAGGAAGGAGCAGCAGCTGCTTGCAGGTGGACGCCAGAACTTCTAGTGCCCTCGGATCAAAGCCAGGCAAACAGACTTCTCTGAGCTTCCTTCTCGCTCTCTGGCTGTCACATGAGCTGCCTTGCCAGCCTCTCCTTCTTCCAGTCACCAGAGAGGTGCTGTTTGCTTACGTATGCCACGCCAGACCCCGGGGTGGACATATGCTGTCACTTAATTCTCCCACCATCTACTGCCTGCCTGGACTGCTGCATTAATTGGGATTCTTTTGGTTGTAAGTGAGAGAAATACAACTGAAACTATTGTAGGCAGAAAGGGGGATCTTACCATTTTGTGCATTCATGAGGCGGCATGTCTAACTTAGGAACAATCCAAGAATTTCTCCATCTGCTGTAGGTGGGCCCATTTCCAAAAAATGGACAAAGTCAAAGGTCACAGCAGTTCTGGGTTAATAAGATAGCCTTCCATCCTGGCCACAACCAGAGAGGATGCTGGGAATGCTCTTCCTGGCTCCAGTCTCATGGAAGGATTCTGATTGGTCCAGCTCAGGTCACGTGCCTCTCCTCCATGGTCTGGGGCAAGATGTGCTAGGCAGACAGATACAGAGACAGCAGCCCTCCTTGCCTGCCTCTGCACAGTGGATCTTGACATTGGGAATTTTATTTTATTTTATTTTATTTTATTTTTGAGATAGAATCTCACTCTGTGGCCCAGGCTGGAGTGCAGTGGTGCAATCTCGGCTCACTGCAACCTCCGCCTTCCAGGTTCAAGCAATTCTCCTGCCTCAGCCTCCCAAGTAGTTGAGATTACAGGCACTCGCCACCACACCTGGCTAATTTTTGTATTTTTAGTAGAGATGGGGTTTCACCATGTTGGCCAGTCTGGTCTCAAACTCCTGACCTCAAGTGATCCACCTGCTGTGGCCTCCCAAAGTGCTAGGATTACAGGCATGAGCCACTGTGCCTGGCTGACACTGGGAATTTGAGATGGAGTCTCGGTGTATTGCCAGGCTGGAGTGCAGTGCAGAGGCGCGATCTCGGCTTACTGCGATCTCCACCTCCTGGGTTCAAGCGATTCTCCTGCCTCAGCCTCCCGAGTAGCTGGGATTACAGTCATGCACCACCACTAATTTTTGTATTTTTAGTAGAGACGGGGTTTCACCATGTTGGCCAGGATGGTCTTGAACTCCTGACCTCAAGTGATCCGCTTGCCTTGGCCTTTCAAAGTGCTGGGATTACAGGCATGAGCCACAACGCCCGGCCAACACTAGGAATTTTAAAACGTCATGAATTTGTGATCTCTGAGCCCCGCTGTGCTGCACAGTGGCTCTTGTGTTCCCCAATCTTGGGGGTTTTGCTTCTCATTCTAGATGAAGAGCATGAGTGTGGGGGACCCCCGAACCTTCCCCTTCATCGAGCCCCCACCACCAGCCAGCCTGGAAACCGCCATCCTCTACCTCCGGGACCAGGGGGCCCTGGACAGCTCAGAGGCCCTCACACCCATTGGGTCCCTGCTAGCCCAGCTGCCTGTGGACGTTGTGATTGGTGAGTACCCACCCCCCTCCTGATCACTCAGGGCCCCAGGAGCGGGTATGGGCACAGCTCACTCTCTGAGTGGCCTGGGGGCAAGTCTGTTTCTTCCCTGGGTCCAGTTCATTTATTCACTCTTCACTGGGCCAGGCACTGTTCTAGGTGCTGGGCATATAGCAGTGGACAGAACAGACACAAATCTCTGGCCTCAGGGAGCTGACATTTTGGTGAAGAAGACCAGCAATACATTAGGACAATAAGGAAAAGGCATAGTAGATCAGATGGTGCCTAGTGTTCTGGAGAGAAGAAACAACGGGGTTGGGGAATGGGGAGTTGCAGTTTGTAATACAGGCCTCATGTATAAGGCAGACCTCATGGGGAAGGTAACATCTGTGCAGAGAAATGGAGATGAGGGCTAGGAGCCATGCAAATACTAGAACATGCTTGCCAGCAGAAGTCGAGAAACATGGCCGGCACAGTGGCCCACACCTGTAATCCCAGCACTTTGGGAGGCTGAGGCAGGTAGATCACGAGGTCAGCAGTTCGAGACCAGCCTGGCCAACATGGTGAAACCCTGTCTCTACTAAAAATACAAAAATTAGCTGGGTGTGGTGGCACACGCCTGTAATCCCAGCCACTTGGGAGGGTGAGGTAGGAGAATCGCTTGAACCTGGGAGGTAGAGGTTGCAGTGATGCAGTGAGCCGAGACCATGCCATTGTACTCTAGCCTGGGCGACAGAGCGAGACTCCATCTCAAAAAAAAAAAAAAAAAAAAGCAAAAACAAACAGGTGAGATTCATTTTGATAAAATAGCTGATTCAACCTAATATACCTAAAACATCACAATTTTAACATAATCAATAGAAACATTTTTGCAAGATTTTATGTTATTTTTTACCATACGACGTCTTGGAAATCTTGGTTTGGACCAGCCATGTTCAACTGCTCAGTAGCCATGTGTGGCCAGAGGCGGCCGTATTGGACAGTGCAGATGGTGCATGAGGGTGTTCGGGCAGTGGGAACAGCCAGTACAGAGGCCCTGTGGGGGCACATGCCTGCTGCTACAGGAACAGTGAGGAGCCCCGTGTGGCTGCAGTGGAGTGAGAGGGAGAAGGTGGGAGATGTAACCAACAGTCTCATCATTCATTCATTAAATCCTTTTTTTTTTTTTTTTTTTTTTTTTGAGACTGAGTTTCGCTCTTGTTGCCCAGGCTGGAGTGCAATGGTGCCATCTCGGCTCACCACAACCTCCACCTCTTGAGTTCAAGCGATTCTCCTGCCTCAGCCTCCCGAGTAGCTGGGATTACAGGCATGCGCCACCATGCCCGGCTAATTTTGTATTTTTAGTAGAGCTGGGGTTTCTCTATGTTGGTCAGGCTGGTCTTGAACTCCCGACCTCAGGTGATCTGCCCGCCTTGACCTCCCAAAGTGCTGTGATTACAGGCTTGAGCCACTGCTCCCGGTCCATTGAATGTGTGTGTGTGTGTGTGTATATATATACACACACACACACACACACACATACACACACATATATATACATACACACATATATATACACACACATATATATATGTTTTTTTTTCTTTTTGAGATGGAGTCTCGCTCTGTTGCCCAGGCTGAAGTGCAGTGGTGCAATCCCAGCTCATTGGAACTTCTGCCTCCTGGATTCAAGCAATTCTCCTGCCTCAGCCTCCTGAGTAGCTGAGACTGTAGGTGCCCGCCATCATACCTGGCTAATTTTTGTTTTGTTTTGTTTTGAGACAGTGTTTTTGCTCTGTTGCCTAGGCTGGAGTGCAGTGGTGTGATCTCAGCTAACTGCCACCTCCTGTGTTCAAGCAATTCTCCTGCCTCAGCTTCATGAGTAGCTAAAATTACAGGCTCACGCCACCACGCCTGGCTAATTTTTGTATTTTTAGTAGAGACGGGGTTTCATCATGTTGGCCAGGCTGGTCTCGAAGTCCTGACCTCAAGTGATCTGCCCACCTCAGCCTCCCAAAGTGCTGGGATTGCAGACTTGAGCCACCGTGCCCGGCCAGTATTTGTTTTTTCAGTAGAGAAGGAGTTTCACCATGTTGGTCAGGCTGATCTCAAACTACTGACCTCAAGTGTTCTGCCTGCCTCCCAAAGTGCTGGGATTACAGGCATGAGCCACTGCGCCCGGCCAATATTTGTTTTTTTAGTAGTGTCAAGGTTTCACCATGTCGGCCGTGCTGGTCTTGAACTCCTGACTTTAAGTGATCTGCCCACTTCGGCCTTTCAAACTGCTGGGATTACAGGTGTGAGCCACAGCTCCTGGCCCATTCATTAAATAATTTTTGAGCACCTGCTCTGTGCCAGGTCCTAGTCTAGATGCCAGAGATACAACAGTGAATAAAACAAAACTCCTGCCCTCACGGAGCTCACATGTAACAGGGGAGATGGACAGGGGCAGATAAATGAGTGAAAACACGGAATGTCAGCCGCTGATTGCTGCTCAGGTGGATGCAGGGCACGGTGGGCACAGTGGGGGCTGGGAGCAGTGTTAATTGGCTGTCCTGGGAGGCCAATTAACAGTGACATCTGGGCAGAGGCCTGAAGGAGGGGAGGGGACAGCTGTCCCTCTGGCCCTGGGTCAGGTGAGGAGCTTTGAATTAAATGGGAAGTGTTTAAGTGGAACTGGGTCCTAAGTGGCTGAAGGTGGCCAGAAAATTGATCAGTTGACCTGGCGGTTCTGTGAGGATCTGGAAAGGGCGGGTCCACAGAGGTCGACGGAGACCATTTTCAGTTCCCAGCCCTCCTGATCTCAGGTCTTCAGTAGCCAGTCACAAGCAGATGTGGTGCTCCTCGTCCCCACGCTGTGTCATCAGGAATAGGGCGTTAATCTTGAGGGATTTGGGGCCAGCAGACCCTCTGACCCTGTCGTTCTTGTGTGCACCGTCAGTGTCTCAGGCACTCACCTGACGCTGCAGATGCCACCACCAGAGGCTGGGTGTGGCCTGTGGTGTCTGGCTTGCAAGGCTGTTTCAGAGAATGTGACGCAAAGTGCCCTGGTTGTGCGTGAGTGACAGGAAAGACAGGCTCTCTCGCTTGGATTCCCCAGCACTTGGGGTCATGACAGGGCCTCCCTTGGGAGGCACAGGCAGGTGGAGTACCCAAGATCCCCCAAACGCAGAAAGAAGTCTTGGCTTTTCCACAGCTCAGACCCCTCCCACCTCTCTCCTCTGCACAGCGTGTCCCCAGCTCTGCCCCGCACCCCTCTCTTGCGGGCTCAAGGATGTCAAAACTCTTCCTCTCCCTCATTCCTGAGTCATGCTCACCCCTCCCGGGGAGCTCACTGACTGAGGCTTGTTCATCTTGCCTGATTCTCCTGACTCAAGACTTTCTATTTCCAGCAGCCTGAGGCCCACCATGGCAGGACCACCCATGTATGTGTGTTAACACCATTAAAGCCCCCATCCTTGCAGCACAGCAGGGCTTCAGTGTGGGCAGGAGGCTGGATCCGCTGGACTTGGAGGGCTGCCCAGGCTAAGAAGATGGTTCATTTTTGTTTTATTTATTTATTTATTTATTTAGAGATGGAGTTTCACTCTGTCCTCCAGGCTGGAGTGCAGTGGCATGATCTTGGCTCACTGCAACCTCCACCTCCCGGGTTCAAGTGATCCTCCCACCTCAGCCTCCTGAGTAGCTGGGATTATAGGCATGTGCCACCACACTCAGTTTTTGTATTTTTTAGTAGAAACAGGGTTTCACCACATTGGCCAGGCTAGTCTTGAACTCCTGACCTCAAGTGATCCGCCAGCCTCGGCATCCCTAAGTGCTGGGATTACAGGCGTGAGCCCCTGCGCCCGGCTTCATTTTTGTTTTGGAAGGAAACAGGGCTAGAGCAGGGAGAATCTGAACTGAGAAGCAGAAGAATGTTCTGTGAGCTCTTGCTGTGTGCCGGCGAAAGGCTCTGTGGACTTTCCGTTATTTCATCCTTACCTGCTGAGGGCAGGGCCTCTGATCGCCCCCAGTGTGTAGATGGGGAAACTGAGGCTGGGCCCAGGAGGCTCCTGAGGGCATGGGGAAGCCTGGCTTTGATCGGAGGTGATGGTAAATGCCTCACTCACATTATCTCCCTGAGGGCTGGGGGCAGGTGCCCCCACTTGCCCTGTGGGGAAAACGAGGCTCAGAGAACTGCTGCTCAGGGTCACAGTGGGAACTGAGAGGCACGGATGACCCTGTGCTGGGCGTCCTCTGTGCCAGGTGGAGTTCTGAACGCTTCACAGGGTGAAACACAAAGCATCCTCTTGGCAGCCTGAGGAGAGGCCAATGCTGTTGTTCCCCCGTTTACAGATGGGGAAGCAGCGTCACGGCGAGGTGGGGCCACTTTTCCCTGGTGACAGAGCTGGGGTGTCCTGGAATAGGACAGGGGCCTGCACAGTACAGCCCCAAGCCCTGCTTTACTGCCACCTTTGTTTTATGAGGCCAGCTTTTTTTGTTTGTTTGGTTTTTGAGACGAAGTCTTGCTCTGTTCACTCAGGCTAGAGTGTAATGGCAAGATCTCAGCTCACTGCAGCCTCCGCCTCCAGGGTTCAAGTGATTCTTCTGCCTCAGCCTCCCAAGTAGCTGGGATTACAGGCGCCTGCCACCACACCCAGCTAATTTTTGTATTTTTAGTAGAGATGGAGTTTCACCAGGTTTGCCAGGCTGGTCTCGAACTCCTGACCTCAGGTGATCTGCTTGAGTCCAGTTTTGTGACAGGCACTATGGAAAGTCAGTGAAGGTCAACGGTGGGGGCGGGTCAGACACATGACACAGACCACTAGTTACTGGACAGGTGGGCAAGGGAGCCCCCAGAAGTCCAGCGTCAGCTCGGGCGCCCAGAACCAGGGGATGTCTAGATGCCCGCTGTGGAGCGCTCACAGATGGAGACAGGGTTCACCTGTCTCCAGGTGAGACTCGGCCACCCTGGGAGACGGTTCCTGCCACTTTTCCTCTCTGTGGCCTCCCCTCTGTCCTTCCTCCCCTTTCCCTACCTCTCCCAGCCCCTGCCCCATCTTTCTCCATGTCTTCGCCTTCTGTCCCCTCTTCCTCTTCCACTTCCACCTTGACCTAAACAAAGGCTGCAGGAGAAGATTCATCCTGTGATAAGCACAGGAGTCAGTGCCTGCCTGTGCCAGGGCAGAGCTAGAGGGACTCACTTACAGGTGACACTCTAGCGCGGAGGAGAGACGTCCACCGTGATGGGTCAAAATGAGCTCCTAGAGCAAAGACCAAGCCAGGGAAGCATCAGAGCGCTGGGGGAGTGGGTTGTAAATAGCAAAGTGGGGAACTTGGTGACAGGAGTAGTCAGCGCTTAGACAGTATCTCCTGTGTGTCCAAGGAGGCAGGGACTGGCCATCTCCAATCTACAAATGGGGAAACTGAGGCCCTTGCCCATGGCCACGTGACCAGAAAGCACAGCGCGTGGGTTTGAATCTCCATCTGGGTCACAAGACCCTTAGTGGGCAAGATGGAGGGGGTGGGAGCAGGAGGGCAGGCGGGAGGGCAGGCTGGGGCCCCGAGGGGTGAGGGCTGCGCCTGTCCTGGCACCCAGGAGCCTCAACCCCGTGTCCGCCGCTGCAGGGAAGATGCTGATCCTGGGCTCCATGTTCAGCCTGGTGGAGCCTGTGCTCACCATCGCAGCCGCACTTAGCGTCCAGTCGCCCTTCACCCGCAGCGCCCAGAGCAGCCCAGAGTGCGCGGCAGCACGGCGGCCGCTGGAGAGCGACCAGGGTGACCCCTTCACGCTCTTCAACGTCTTCAACGCCTGGGTGCAGGTGAGGCTGGTGGTGGGGGCCCTCTGTCTGTCACCCTGCTCAGGGCCAAGGCCTTCTGTGGCTGTGGCTCCTCCTCGTGTCCCACCCTCAGCCCCACCCTGGGAGGACCACTGAGCCCCCCACAGACTGGGCCTGCCTGGGGAGGGCCATGTCTCCATCATCCATGCTTTCGGCTCAGGACAGCATGTGCCCAGGCCCGGGGCTGAGAGGAGCCTGGGGTTTCTGAAGCACTGATGAAAACCTGTGCCACCTGGAGAAAGTCCAGGCTCCTTGGGAGGCATCTGGAGATCCAGTATATGTCCCTTGAGTCCTCACCCTAACCCTGGCCCTGTAGTGTAGTGCTGGGGGCCCATCAGTGCCAAAACTACCCTGGCCCTGCCCTCCCGGGGTTCACAGCCCAGTGCAGGGAGACAGACCACTGATGTGACAGTGACAACCCAGAGAGGGCTGGAATGGGGAGTCCAGGGGGCTGGGACAACCCAGCGGGGCATCTAACCCAGTTTGTGGGTAGTCTGGGAGGGCTTCCCATAGGAGGGGGCACTGGGGCTGAGACCTGGAAGCAGGAGAGCAGGTGTCCCTGAGGGATGCCCATTTTGGGGCTCTGGGTGCTCGGTCAGCCCCTCCCTCCCCGCACTGGCCAGGCCCTGACACCCTGGCGTCTGCTCCTCCACCCAGGTGAAATCTGAACGGAGCAGAAACTCTCGCAAGTGGTGCCGCCGCCGGGGCATAGAGGAGCATCGACTGTACGAAATGGCCAACCTTCGGCGCCAGTTCAAGGTGAGGCTCGGGAGGAGGGGTAAGGCCGGCCCCACTCAGGCAGACGTGTGTAAGCACACTCCAGAACACTGCTTCCCCTTCCCAGACAGTGGTCAGACCAGAATCCCACCCTGCACCCACCTCCCCCACCACCCGGTGACCAGGTGTTGGGGCAGCTGGGCAGAGCAAAGGGAGCAGAAATCCAGGAGGGCTTCCTGGAGGGGTGGACCGAGTCAGTGGACATGCAGCATCCTCGGGAAGAGCTCGCCCTCCGGACTGGGGATGCTGAGCTGGCTGCATGGGCATGGTGTTGGAGGCAGCCTACGGTTGTGGTTGGCCGGCACATCTGGAGCCAGACACCTCAGCCACAGATCCCAGCTCTGCCATTTCTGACAGCGTGGCCCCGGGTGTGTTACTGCTTGTCTCTGGGCCTCAGCTTCCCCTCGATAAAAAGAGAGGATAAAAATAGCACTTGCCAGCCGGGCGTGGTGGCTCACGCCTATAATCCTAGCACTTTGGGAGGGCGAGGTGGGTGGATCACGAGGTCAGGAGATCGTGACCATCCTGGACAACATGGTAAAACTCCGTCTCTTCTAAAAATACAAAAATTAGCCAGGCATGGTGGCACGTGCCTGTAATCCCAGCTACTTGGGAGGCTGAAGCAGGAGAGTCGTTTGAACCCAGGAGGTGGAGGTTGTGGTGAGCCGAGATTGAGCCATTGCACTCCAGCCTGGGCAACAAGAGCGAAACTCCACTCAAAAAAAAAAAAAAAAAAAGATTTGGGTTTCTCCTGCGCCCACACAGTTCTGCAGCTTGTTTCATAGATACTGTTCTCCATCTGAGTGCAGACAGACCTGCTGTTAGGTCCTTTTCCATGGTTGTATCCATGGATTGAGAATAGAATAAAAGGGTTCCTGGTGTAATCCATTCTGTTTGGTTGGAGATGGGCAAGCTGAGGCCCAGAGGGGGCAGTCACCCAGCCGACACCTCCGGTACCATTTCTGGGGTCCCGGTGTTGGGGACCACAGATGCCCCGATTGCTCTGAGCATGGGTCCCGAGTTCTCTCTGGCTGCTAGAGCAGTGTTCAGGCTTCATTGGTCCCCAGATGCTTTGAGAATCTAATGGAAAGTGTGAGCCCTTTGCACCCACATGCACACATACAGACACACATGCACGCACAATCTCCTGTGTCCTCCATCGGTCAGGGCTCAGCAGGAAACAGAAGGTCCAACCAAATTGGGTCACTTGAGGAATGTTGACAAGATGTGGGCACGGGGAGGGCAGGGGTCTCAGATTTTATGGGTCACAGGCAGCTGGAGGGTCTGTTGGGTCCAGATGGCCAACCCCGCCGAGCCCCCTCCTCTCTCCACTTGGTCGTTCTGGGATGAGGCCCAGGACTTGGCATTCCCAGCATGTGCCTAGATGCCCCAGGGCTACACTCAGAAGCACTAGTGCAGGACGCCCACCAGGGCTGTGTGGGAAAGCAGGGCCCCCCAGACCCAAGGGGCAGGTGGGGCAGTCAGCAGAGCCTGGAGCCAGCTGTGGGAAAAGGCACTGGACGCCCGCACCTGCCTCCTCTTGCCCCTGGCCCCGGTGTTCCCTCCACTGACCAGCGAGGACAGCTCTCTCTCTGGAGCAGCGATCCATGCCCAGCACCATGCGAGGGGCTGTTTTCAGCCCCCTTTGGGCACTAGCAGCCCTGCCACTGGGAGGGTCCCCATTTCCATGAGTCCAGAGCCCACTGAGTCTGCCCTGAGGCCCTCACCCCTACCCACCTGCCCCTAGGAGCTGTTGGAGGACCACGGGCTGCTGGCTGGGGCCCAGGCCGCGCAGGTAGGGGACAGCTACAGTCGGTTGCAGCAGCGCCGGGAGCGCCGGGCCCTGCACCAGCTGAAACGCCAGCACGAGGAGGGCGCGGGGCGCAGGCGCAAGGTGCTGCGGCTGCAGGAGGAGCAGGACGGCGGCTCCAGTGACGAGGACAGGGCTGGCCCAGCCCCCCCAGGGGCCAGTGATGGCGTGGACATCCAGGTGGGCGCCATGGGCTGTGGGGTGTGGGGGTTTACCAAGGTGGGCCTTGGCCTCTCCTGGGGGGGTCCCAGGGGACATGGCCCTGTCCTCATTTCAGGAGCCGGGTTTCCATGGACGGTGCTTGGTCCCAGGTATCTGCAGAGCCTGGGGGTCTGCGGATCATGGTAGGAGCCCCTCAGGTCCCCTAAGACTCTGCCTCCCCGTGCTCCCCCCAGGATGTGAAGTTCAAGCTTCGGCATGACCTGGCGCAGCTGCAGGCCGCTGCCAGCTCAGCCCAGGACCTGAGCCGCGAGCAGCTGGCTCTGCTGAAGCTGGTGCTGGGCCGGGGCCTGTACCCACAGCTGGCCGTCCCCGACGCCTTCAACAGCAGCCGAAAGGACTCAGACCAGGTGGGGCCTGTTCTGCCCCATCCTATGTTTTGTCCTCCAACACACGAACCCTGAGTGCCTGTCCTGTGCCGGGAATGCAGTGGTGACTGAAACAACCCTGGTTCTGTCCCCATGGGGCTCACAACCCAGTGGGAGGACAGACCCATCCCCAGACAACCCAGAGTGGGCAGGGCTTGGGGAGTCAAGAGCACTATAGGAGCCCACAGGGGGCATCTGCCCCAGATTTGGAGGAGTCAGGGAGGGCTTCCTGGAGGAGGGAACCTGGGCCAGAGGGTGGAGGAGAGGCATCCTGGGCAGAGGAGAGAGCAGATAGGAGGGCTTGTGCTTTCTCTCTGTCCTCCGCAGATTTTCCACACGCAGGCCAAGCAGGGCGCCGTGCTGCACCCCACCTGCGTCTTCGCTGGCAGCCCCGAGGTGCTGCACGCACAGGAGCTGGAGGCCAGCAACTGCGACGGAAGCCGAGGTACAGTGAGCCCAGGCGGAAGGAACCCCCATCCGGGATGTGAGGGGCAGGGATACCGTGAACTCCCAGGCCCCTCTGGCTGGGGCTCCCACACCGGCCCAGGCTGGTATTGACGGGGGCCCACAGGAGGGGAAGTTCCAGGGCCAGGCCTCCCTGGGTAGCCTTGGGTGACTCACCCCTGCTGGGCCTCACCTTCCGCATGGTGGTGATAGTCAACCTAAGCCAGTGTGGCTGTGCCCAGAGAGTGAGCACCGGTCAGGGGGCCTGTCCTATGGACTCTGTGAGCTCCCAGGTGGGTCCTGCAGAGGGAGGCCCCCCTGGCACCCGTGTGCATGGAAGGGTGTCTCGCTGCAGGCATGGCTGCGTGCTGGGAGTCACATTCAGATTTGGCTGACCTTCTTGTCTGAGCCAGGCCACCAAAGCCATGCCGTAAGCATACTCTTTCTATCGATGTGTACTTTGACCGGGTGGGACAGGCGGGCTTCTGATGGGCCTGGGTGGGCCAGGGTGGGCCTGAGCGGTCCTCCTCAACCTTTCAGACGACAAGGACAAGATGAGCAGCAAACACCAGCTCCTCAGCTTCGTGTCCCTGCTGGAGACCAACAAGCCGTACCTGGTGAACTGCGTCCGCATCCCTGCCCTCCAGGTGGGCCTCTGCCCCACCCCGCCCCCATGCCCAGATATGAGAGCTGCGTTGCCCAGGGTGGTGGGTGGGGGCACCGCGTGGGCTTGGAGGGGCCACCTGGCACCTGGGCTGGCCGCAGGCGTCAGCCTTGGGCCGTTGCTGTGGCTGCTTTTTCTCTCATTCATGGACTTGCTCAACAGTTAACCTGCCAAGTGCCTGCTGGGTGCCAGGCGCTGTGCCAGGTGCCAAGGGCGCAGCAGGGAACCAGGCATGAAGCCCAGCCCCTGCCCTCTCGGGCTCTAGTGGCAGGGGACAGTGACAGCAGTAGCACAGTGATGCCCTGAGCGACGTGTGGGAGGGTGGACACAGGGTGTGGTACAAGATAAGGCCACCTGGTGTCCCCAGGCAGAGACCCAAAGAGGAGAGCGTGTGGATCTCGGGGCAGAGTGTTCCAGGCAGTGGGGTGGCCTGCACAGAGGCTCCGAGGCAGACATGTGCCTGGCGTGCAGTCAGCAAGGGAGAGCGTGTGGAGATGAGGCCAGAGAGGCGAGGGAGACAGGACCCTGGGGACTTCTCAGAGCTGGGACAGGGTCCCAGCCAGGAGGGCTGGCAGCTGCCAGGAGGGAGAGGAGGGTGCTGCCCCGGTGGAGGCTGAGGCCGAACTCAGATCATGGATGCCCTTGCATGGGCACCGGCAGCAGAGCCATGGGCCCCATGGCAGCCACTGCCCTGCCCCTAGTGCTCCTCGAGCGTCTTTGTGATCCTAGGCCTGGCCTCGGAGTCCTCACGCAGCCCTGTGGGTCTCCCTTTATAGAGGGGACTGAAGCTCAGGCAGGGGCGGGGATACGTCACCTAAGTCACACACCGAGCAGGTGGCCAAGCCAGAGCTCCTGGGTCACACTGCCCCCTCCTGCCTCCTGGCTCACTACCAGCACTCCCCGGCTTGGGTCCCAGGGAACGTGGAGGGGAGAGAGGAACCTGCAGGCTCCTAGAGCCTCAGGGTTTTGTTGACACTGCGATTGCCACCAACACCACAAAAGCCAGCTCAGCTCAGTCACTTCTGTGTGTGTCCACACCTCCCTCGAGCCCGTCTGGTGGGCCAGGCACTGTTAGTGTTCAGTGTTCTGGGGCCGGGGGTGCAGCTGTGGTCAATGTCAACCAAACTCCCCACCCTCATGGGGCTCAGATAGGATGGTAGAGGCAGACGGCAAACCAAAAGGGTGATGCCAGGTGCTCATGTGAGCATGGGAAAGCAGGCAGCACGCAGGCCGAGGGACAGAGGATTGGCGACCAGCCGGGCCGCAGGAAGCGGAACAGACCTGCTACCTGAGGCGCTCTCTCCCTGCACTGGACTGCTTGTTGAGAGAATCTGGCCAGCTCACACCTGGAATCCCAGCACCTTGGGAGGCTGAGGTGGGAGGATTGTTTGAGCCCAGGAGTTCAAAGGCAGCCTGGGCAACATAGGGAGACTCTATCTATCTCTACAAAAAATTTTAAAAAGTTAGCTGGGCGTGGTGTTGTGTGCCTGTAATCCCAGCTACTCGGGAGGCTGAGGCAGGAGGATTGCTTGAGCCTGGGAGATTGAGGCTGCAGTGAGCTGTGATTGTTGACACTGCACTCCAGCCTGGGTGACAGAGTGAGACACTGTCTCAAAAAATAATAAGCCGGGCATGGTGGCTCACGCCTATAATCCCGGCACTTTGGGAGGCCGAGGTGTGTGGATCAGTTGAGGCCAGGAGTTTGGGACCAGCCTAGCCAATGTGGTGAAACCCCATCTCTACTAAAAATACAAAAATTAGCCGGGTGGGTGGCGCGTGCCTGTAATCCCAGCTACTAGGGAGGCTGAGGCAGGAAAATCGCTTGAACCTGGGAGGTGGAGGTTGCAGTGAGCCAAGATTGCGCCATTGCATTCCAGCCTGGGCAACAGAGTGAGACTCATCTCAAATAAATAAATAAATTAATAATAATAATAATAAGAAGAAGAAGATGGAGAAACTTCACATTCACATAAGCAGGCAGAACAGTATATGGAGCCCTCCTGTACCATCCCCGGTCCCCAAACCATCCACGCATGGCCAGTCCTGCCCTTTCCTCTGCCCTGGCCCCAGCCCTGAGGATTTTCCCCAACATCTTATGAGCCACAGCACTGGTAATTACAGCGCTGACTTCCGTCCTCACAGAGGAGCGTGTGCTCAGGGTCTGGGCTCTCCCTGCACGTCGTGTGTGTCTGAGTGCCTGCTGTCCCTCTGCCACCCTGCCTGAGAATGCAGCTGTCTCTCTCCCAGCACGCTCCCATCTGCCGCCCCGCCACCCCAGCCCCCTTCCCTGACTCAGCGGCTGCCTTGTTCATGCCGTATCCCCAGCACCCGAAGGGGTGCCTGGTACAGCGGGTAGATGGCGGGTAGGTGGATGCCTCACATAGACAGGGCTGGTGGGTGGGCAGGAGCCCAGCCGGGCAGGGCCTGTCTCCAATAGCGCCCTGCCCCTCCCACCTACTCCCTGTCTTCTGCCCCCTCTCTTTCAGTCCCTCCTGCTTTTTAGCCGGTCTTTGGACACCAATGGTGACTGCTCCCGCCTGGTGGCCGATGGCTGGCTGGAGCTGCAGCTAGCAGACAGTGAAAGTGCCATCCGACTCCTGGCGGCTTCCCTGCGGCTCCGTGCCCGCTGGGAAAGTGCCCTGGACCGGCAGCTGGCGCACCAGGCCCAGCAGCAGCTGGAGGAGGAGGAGGAGGATACGCCAGTCAGCCCCAAGGAGGTGGCCACCCTGAGCAAGGAACTCCTGCAATTCACGGCATCCAAGGTACCCTCCACCAGGGTGCCCGTGCCTCCCTATGGCCAGAAGGGGCATCCGTCACTGGGCTTGAGCCTCGGGAAGGCCTGGCTTCCCATTCACTCCACATGGGCACATTTGGGGGTTTTCAGGCCACAGAGGTTCAGTCACTTACACAAGGTCACTCCACTGGTCTGGGTGGAGCTAGGATTTGATCCCAGGAGCCTGGTTCCAGAGGCCACACTACCCACTGCTGCCTTGTTTACTAAGCACCTTCTGCAAGCGTGGCTGATCCCCTCTTGCTAACAGTAAAGGACAGGCAGGGTGTGAGAGGGAAGCCGTAGACGTCTGCTTGTGGATGGGAAGAACTGAACTGAGCAGACTTGAAACCAGCCCCTGACTCTTAGGTGGGGAGTGGAAATTGCTCGTGGTTCTACTTCATGTGGGTGGGGTGGGGAGAAGGGTACAATCCAGGCTGACTTCCTGGAGTAGAAGGGCTTGAGGACAAAGGAGCAGGAACCCAGTGAGCCATGGAGAGGGGACCAAGGCTGACATGCTAGGAGGAGGAGGGGGGAGGTGGCCAGACTTGAAGGTTAGACTCAAGGTCTGAATGGGGTCCCACCAGTGACAGGGGCAGAAGAGGGGCCTGGGGAGGGCAATTTAGATGGGGGTGGGTTATCAGGTATATTCTAGACAGACCCCTGGTCATGTGTGTCTGCAGCCAAATTGTGATTGGTGTAAGCACTTGGCTCCCGTAACTGCAAAGCCCGAGGGAGGGCTTCAGGCACAGCTGGATCCAGGTGCTTTGGCGGCATCTCCCTGAGTCTGTCTCTCTCCATTTCCTGTCTCTCCTTCCTTAGATTCCTTACAGCCTCCGGCGGCTCACAGGGCTAGAAGTCCAGAACATGTATGTGGGACCCCAGACCATCCCAGCCACCCCCCATCTTCCTGGCCTCTTTGGCAGCTCCACCCTGTCCCCCCACCCCACAAAGGGGGGCTACGCAGTCACTGACTTCCTCACCTACAACTGCCTCACGGTAAGCATGAACCCTCCTTCCCTGAAGGTGGGATTTCAGGAAGACCCCACCACCCCGTTTCACCTTAGTCCAGGGACATAGTTCCCAAGTGGGGCCCGTGGCCCTGAGGGCTTCTGGGAAGGGTCCCGGGGGGGCACTTGGGTGGTGGGTGGCACTTGGCGGGGGCCCAGCCCTGACAGCTGGCCTGCCACAGAATGACACAGACCTGTACAGCGACTGTCTCCGAACCTTCTGGACCTGCCCCCACTGTGGCCTGCATGCGCCCCTCACGCCCCTGGAGCGCATCGCCCATGAGAACACCTGCCCCCAGGCCCCACAGGATGGGCCCCCAGGTAAGCACAGGACTGTGGGGACCCGGCCACCTCTGCCCAGCCGTCTGCCCATCCCATGATGGTCTCCTGTGCGTGTGAGCACTTGCTAGAGCTTCGAGGACTGACGACCTCCACCCGCTGGCCCTGGCTGGTGCCACACACAGGCCTTGTCCTGAAGATCAGGAGCCCAAGGCAGGGAGAGCCTGGAGCGCCACCTCTTTCTGTCTGCCTGTCCCCTGTGGTGTCTCTGTGTTGCTGTCTTTGTCTCTGTTTCTGTCTCTCTGTGGCTATGTCTCTTGTTATTTTTCTCTGTCCTGCAGCTATCTCTGCCTTGGTCACCTCCACCCTGTTGTCACCCAGGGATGCCACACACTGGGGTTCAGTGGGGGAGATAGCACTGGGGCCACATGCCTCCATCCCCGGCTGGCTGTGTCTGCCTCTCAGTCTCCATGTCTCTCCTTGTGTCTTTCTCTCTGTCTCTCTCACTGGCAGGGATGCGGAGTAAAGACAGACCTGTGTATTTTTATTAATCTGGGAGGGCTTCCTGGAGGAGGCAAAACTGGGTTCTCCAAAGGCCAGGAGAGAACCTGAGCCCCACAGGTGCCTGGCATTTGGGTGCAGGTAGACCTGTGCACTGGAACACGCCCCTCACAGCCTCCTCCTTTTCCTCCCTTAGGGGCTGAGGAAGCTGCCCTCGAAACCCTCCAGAAGACATCTGTCCTGCAGAGGCCCTACCACTGCGAGGCCTGCGGGAAGGACTTCCTCTTTACACCCACAGAGGTGCTGCGCCACCGGAAGCAGCACGTGTGAGCTGGGCCAGGAGCCCTGCCCACCTCCGTGCAGCTGACCTGCCCTCCAGCCCAGGACTAGGGGCAGGACTCTTGCCTGAACCCCCAGCCTGGGCTTAGCCCTGTGGTCCTGTCCCAGTGCAGAGGGCCTGGAGCACGGATTGTGAATAAAGCCTCACATGCTGATACACACTGTTAGGCCTGCACCTGCCCATCCAGAAAGCAGCAGCTGCCTTGTTAGTCCTCCCCAGGGTCTAGCTTTCCTTCTTCCTGCTGCAGGGTGCTGCCTGAGGGGTCCTGGGTAGGAGGGGCGTTAGAGCCAGCAGGGACCTCCCATGTCTCCAGATTCCAGGTGCAGGTTCTTAGCACCTCCGCAGCCGCTCTCTCTTGAGTCCATCCTCAGTCTCTCCTACCCCTTGAAGTAGGGGGACCCTGAATTTGCCCATCCACCTGGGTCACTTTGAGAGTTGTGCAGGGGGGCTGGGAGCACTGGTGTTCACGTGGGACCACAGGCTGCACCATAAGACCCACTCACAATAAAAAAATAAAAGGCCGAGCCGGGCATGGTTGCTCACTCCCGTAATAAAAAAATAAAAGAACAGGCTGAGCCGGGCATGGTTGCTCACTCCCGTAATCCCAGCACTTTGGGAGGCTGAGGCGGGTGGATCGCCTGAGGTCAGGAGTTCGAGACCAGCCTGGCCAACATAGTGAAACCCTGTCTCTACTAGAAATACAAAAACTTAGCTGGGTGTGGTGGTGGGCATCTTTAATCCCAGCTACTGGGGAGGCTGAGGCAGGGGAATCACTTGAACCTGGGAGGCAGAGGTTGCAATGAGCTGAGATCATGCCATTGCACTCCAGCCTGGGCGACAAGAGTGAAACTCCATCTCAAAAAAAAAAAAAAAAAAATCAGGCTGAGGCAGGTGGTTTGCCTGAGCTCAGGAGTTTGAGACCAGCCTGGGCAACACGGTGAAACCCCATCTCTATTAAAATACAAAAAATTAGCTGGGCGTGGCAGCGTGTGCCTGTAATCCCAGCTATTCAGGAGGCTGAGACAGGAGAATTGCTAGAACCCAGGAGGCGGAGGTTGCTTGTGAGCCGAGATCGTGCCACTGCACTCCAGCCTGGGTGACAGAGCGAGACTCCATCTCTAAAAGAAAAAAAGAAAATGAAAAGAACAATAAAATCACTCAGGAGAAAAAGAAGGCACGGCATAGGAATGGAAGGAGGACAACCTGTAGGTCCTACAGATGCGAAAAGGAGAAGAGAATACGATAAACAACGTGCCACACAGAAATTCACTCATTTGAAATGGAAAAAATTATTGAAAGACACTAGCTACCCAAAGCTCATTCAGGAAGAAATAGATAACCGGAACAACTCTATTAAGGAAATGTAATTCATAGTTAACAAAGAGAACAGGCTCAGATGGGCTCCCTGGTGACGTCTACCAAACATGGAAATGATACTCGCCCACACCCACTTGGCCACAGCATAGGGGAGGACGCCTCCTGACTGATGTTATGAGGTCAGCATTATCCTGCTGCTAAAAGCAGGCTATGACAATGCAAGAAAAGAAAACTCTAAGCCTTATGAACATAGACAAAAACCCTAAATAGGAGTTCAGCACATCATATTTAGCAATATATAAATACAGTACATCATGGCCAACTGGGGCTTATTCTAGGAATGGAAGGTTGATTTAACATTTGAAAATCAATCTGATTCACCATATTAGAAACAGAAAAAAAAAAAAAGGTTGGGCATGGTGGTTCATGCCTGTAATTCCAGCACTTTGGGAGGCCGATAAGGGTGGATCAGTTGAGTCCAGGAGTTCCAGACTGGGATGGGGAACATAGCAAGACCCTGTCTCTATTAAAAAACACAAAAATTAGCCAGGTGTGGTGGTGCACGCCTATAGTCCCAGCTGCTCGGGAGGCTGAGGTGGGAAGATCACTTGGTGTCAGAAGGCAGACATTGCAGTGAGCTGAGATTGTGCCACTGCACTCCAGCCTGGGCAACAGAGCAAGACCCCATCTCAAAGAAAAAAAGTATATAAACCCCTAGTCTTAGTCAGGGAGATGGATTTGAGAGTCATTTCCCATCTCCTTGGCTGCACATCTCATTAAAGCCTTCTTCTTGGCAATACTCGCTTTAGTGATTGGCTTTCTGTGCGACCAGCAGCAGGACCTGGACTGAACCCCTGATTTTTGGTAACAGATTCCATTCAACAGTTTTTTTTTTTTTTTTTTTTTTTTTTTTTTTTTTTTTTTTTTTGAGGCAGGGTCTCGTTCTGTTGCCCGGGCTGGAGTGCAGTGGTGCAATCTCAGCTTACTGCAGCCTCCACCTCCTGGGCTCAAGTGATCCTCCCAAATCAGTCTCCCAAGTACCTGGGATTACAGGCATGTGCCACCATGCCCAGCTAATTTTTGGGTGTGAATAGGTTTTTTTGTTTGTTTTTTGTAGAGAGTTTCACCATGATGCCCAGGTTGGTCTGGAACCATGGGCTTCCTTTCTTTCCAAGGAAGAAGGCTTTAATCAGATGCGTGGCTGAGGAGATGGGAAATCAGTCTCAAATCCGTCTCCCTAACTAAAACTAGGGGTTTATATACTTTTTTTCTTTGAGATGGGGTCTTGCTCTGTTGCCCAGGCTGGAGTGCAGTGGCACAATCTCAGCTCACTGCAATGTCTGCCTTCTGACACCAAGTGATCTTCCCACCTCAGCCTCCCGAGTAGCTGGGACTATAAGCGTGCACCACCACACCTGGCTAAATTTTGTGTTTGGTGATCTGCCCACCTCAGCTTCCCAAAATGCTGAGATTACAGGTGTGAGCCACTGCACCCGGCTCATTCAACAGTATTTATTTAATTTATTTATTTTTGAGGCGGAGTTTCGCTCTTGTTGCTGAGGCTGGAGTGCAATGGCTCAATCTCGGCTCACTGCAACCTCCGCCTCCCGGGTTCAAGTGGTTCTCCTGCCTCAGCCTCCCAAGTACCTGGGATTACAGGCGAGTGTCACCACACCCAGCTAATTTTGTATTTTTAGTAGAGACGGGGGTTTCTCTATGTTGGTCAGGCTGGTCTCGAACTCCCGACCTCAGGTGATCTGCCCGCCTCAGCCTCCTAAAAATGTTGAGATTACAGGCATGAGCCACCACGCTCAGCCTCAACAGTCTTTTAAAATGTTCCTCTTGAAGGCTAACATGCACAAATTATAAGTAAACAGCTTGGTGAATTTTCCCAGATGAAACATACCTGTGCCAGCAGCACCCAGATAAAAAAATAAAACACCAGCAGCCCTCCACCCGCTGCAGCCCAGCTCCTCCGTCTCCCAGGAGTGTCCAATATTCTTTTTTTTTGAGATGGAGTTTTGCTCTTGTCGCCCAGGCTGGAGTGCAACGGTGCAATCTCGGCTCCCTGCAACCTCTGCTTCTGGGATTCAAGCAATTCTCCTGCCTCAGCCTTCCGAGTATGTGGGATTACAGGCACCCGCCACCATGCCCAGCTAATTTTGCATTTTTAGTAGAGACGGGTTTTCACCATGTTGGCCAAGTTGGTCTTGAACTACTGACCTCAGGTGATCCTCCCGCCTCAGCCTCCCAAAGTGCTGGGATTACAGGCGTGAGCCACTGCACCCGGCCGTGACCAACATTCTTAATCTGTCCTCTAGTGCTGGCCACTCTAAAACTTCACAAGAATGTGCTGTCTGTGTCTAGCTTCTTTTACCCAACATGAGGTTGCATGGGCTTGGTTCATTCATTCTGTTCCATGAATTCATCACAATATATCCATTCTTTTGTCCAGGGACATTTGGCTTCCAGAAACCTACCCCTAACACCAGCCCTTCCCTCCCTCTGCAGAACAAAGGCCCCATCAGAGGGGACGTGCTGGGTGTCAGCGTCAGCTTCTGGGAGGAGGAAGGTCAGAGCTAAGGCCTGAAGGATGATGAGGTATCAGGTGGGTGGAGGGGAGACGCTCAGGAGGTGGGAAAGGCGGAGGTGCACAGGCTTGGTTCCAGGTACAAATAACGTTACTAGGAGCACACAGTACCTGGATTTTGATGAATACATTGTACATTTCTGTCCTGTATGTATCCAGGGTTATAGGACGTGATTATAGGACACGCATATATGTTTGGTTTTAGTGGACTCTTAAAAATTGTTTTCCAGGGGCCGGGCACAGTGGCTTACGCCTGTAATCCCAGCACTTTGGGAGGCCTAGGCGGGCAGATCACCTGAGGTCAGGAGTTCAAGATCAGCCTGACCAACATGGAGAAACCCCGTCTCTATTGGGAGGCCGAGGCGGGAGGATCACAAAGTCAGGAGATCGAGACCATCCTGGCTAACACGGTGAAACCCCGTCTCTACTAAAAATACAAAAAAATTAGCTGGGCGTGGTGGCGGGCGCCTGTAGTCCCAGCTACTCGGGAGGCTGAGGCAGGAGAATGGAGTGAACCCGGGAGGCAGAGCTTGCAGTGAGCCAAGATCGTGCCACTGCACTCCAGCCTGGTTGACAGAGCAAGACTCCGTCTCAAAAAAGAAAAAAAAAAAAAAAAAGAAAACCCGTCTCTACTAAAAATACAAAATTTAGCCAGGCATGGTGGCGCATGCCTGTAATCCCAGCTACTCCAGAGGCTGAGGCAGGAGAATTGCTTGAACCCGGGAGGCGGAGGTTGTGGTGAGCTGAGGTTGCGGTGAGCTGAGATTGCGCCATTGCACTCCAGCCTGGGCAACAAGAGCAAAACTCCGCCTCAAAAAAAAAAAGAAATTGTTTTCCAGGCCAGGTGCAGTAGCTCACACCTGTAATCCCAGCACTTTAGGAGGCTGAGGCGGGCGGATCACGAGGTCAGGAGTTTGAGATCAGCCTGGCCAACACGGTGAAACCTTGTCTCTATGAAAAATTCAAAAATTAGCCAGGTGTGGTGGCGGGCACCTGTAATCCCAGCTACTTGGGAGGCTGAGGCAGGAGAATCGCTTGAACCCAGGAGGTGGAGGTTGCAGTGAGCCAAGATTGCACTACTGCACTCCAGCATTGATGACAGATCTAGACTCCATCTCAAAAAAAAAAAAGAAAAAAAAAAAGAGTTGTTTACATATTCCTGAAACAAGTCGTTTGTTAGATATGCATATTGTAAATATTTTCTCCAAGTCTATACTTGCCTTTTCATTTCATTATTTCTATTTTTTGTAGAGACAGGCAGGGTCTTGCTGTGTTACCCAGGCTGGTCTCAAACTCCTGGCCTCAAGTGATCCTTCCGCCTCAGCCTCCCAAAATGCTGGGATTACAGGTGTGAAACAGTGCGCCTGACCCATCTTTATCATTTTCTTAACAGTATCTTTTGCAGAGCAGAATTTGTTTTTTTGAGACAGGGTCTCACTGTGTTGCCCAGGCTGGAATGCAGTGGTGTGATCATGGCTCACTGCAGCCTCGACCTGCCCGGGCTCAGGTGATCCTCTCACCTCAGCCTCCTGAGTAGCTGGGACTAGACGCACATGCTACCACACCTGGCTAATTTTTGTTTTTTTTTGTAGAGATGAGGTTTTGCCATATTGCCCAGCCTGGTCTTGACTTCCTGGGGCTCAAGTGATCCTCTCACCTTGGCATCCCAAAGTGCTGGGATTACAGGCATGAACTACTGCACCTGACCCACGTTTATCATTTTCTTAACAGTGTCTTTTGCGGAGCAGAAGTTGTTGTTGTTGTTGTTGTTTTGAGATAGGGTCTCACTGTGTTGCCCAGGCTGGAGTGCAGTGGCATAATCACAGCTCACTGCAGCCTCAGCCTCCTTGGGCTCAGGTGATTCTCCCAGTTCAGCCTCCTGAGTAGCTGGGACTACAGGCAGGTGCCACCACACCCAACTAATTTTTGTATTTTTTGTAGAGATGGCATCTGGCCATGTTGCCCAGGCTGGTCTCGAACTGGGCTTAAGCAATCCTCCCACGTTGGCCTTCCAAAGTGCTGGGATTACAGGTGTGAGTTGCTGCTCCTGGACAAGAGAAGTTTTGTATTTTGATGGAATTTCAAATTATCATTTTCTTTTGTCATTTCTACTTTTTCTGTTCTACCTAACAAATCTTTGCCTACCCTCAAGATCATGAAGTTTTTTCTTATGTTTTCTTCTAGTTTAATAGTTTTAGATTTTTAATATAAACCGTTAGGTCTGTGGTCCATTTCCAGTTAGGCATTGTGTATGATGTGAGTTAACGCTCATGGCTCATTTTTCTGCATATGGATGTCTAATGGTTCCAGAACCATTTTTTGAAAAAAGTATTCATTTCCCCATTGAATTAATTTAATACCTTTACTGAAAATCAGTAGACTAGGCTGGGCGCAGTGGCTCACGCCAGTAATCCCAGCACTTTGGGAGGCTGAAGCGGGCAGATCACTTGAGGTCAGGAGTTCAAGACCAGCCTGGCCAACATGGTGAAACCCTGTCTGTATGAAAAATCCAAAAATTAGCTGGGTGTGGTGGCATGCGCCTGTAGTCCCAGCTACTTGGGAGGCTGAGGCGGGAGGATCGCTTGAACCTGGGAGCAGAGGTTACAGTGAGCTGAGATCGCACCATTGCACTCCAGCCTGGGCGACAGAGCGAAACTCCGTCTCAGAGTAAATAAATAAGCAAAAATTAGCCTGGCATGGTGGTGGGCACCTGTAATCCCAGCTACTCAGGAGGCTGAGGCAGGAGAATCACTTGAACTTGGGAGGCAGAGGTTGCAGTGAGCTGAGCCGAGATCACGCCACTGCCCTCCAGCCTGGGCAACACAGTGAGACTCTGTCTCAAAAAAAAAAAGAGACAGATTCTCGCTTTCGCTTTGTCATCTGGGGTGGAGTGCAATAGAGCAATGGCTCAATCTCAGCTCACTGCAACCTCCACTTCCTGGATTCAAGTGATTCTCATGCTGCAGCCTCCAAAGTAGCTGGAATTACAGGCAAGCACCACCACGCCCAGCTAATTTTTTATTTTTATTATTTTTTATTTTTTTATTTTTTGTAGGGACAGGTTTTCACTCTGTTGGCCAGGCTGGTCTCAAACTCCTGGCTTCAAGTGATCTGCCTGCCTCAGCCTCCCAAAGTGTTGGGATTACAGGCGTGAGCTACCGCGCCTGGTCGGTTCTTCTTTAATTTAGCAATATTTCATAATTTTCAGAATACAGATCTTGCACAAACATAGTGCAGGCGCCCAGGCCACAGTTTCCCCTCACCAGGGGCCAACCATTGCTGAATCACAGAGAGCCCTGTGGGCCGGGAGTAGGCAAGGAGAATGTTGTCATCCTCATTTTGTATGGCTGCTTTATCATTTGTAAAAGGAAGTTAAGGATCGTTCCCACCTCACAAGTTGTTGTTGAGAGTTGATGCATTAGTCCACGTGCTTAGAGCAGGGATTGGCACATAAACGGTTCTCAGCAAACATCAGCTACAGTGATCACTAAGGCAACAGGAAAAGTAACCAACATTTGACTGTCACTCTTCTTCTGTGACATCAGAGACAAATAGGGCTACTTCCCAAGTCAGCAATATGGGTATAGGTTTTCTCTCTTACCTGCTGCACCCAATGAGTCCGTAGGCCCTGTCCTTCCTCCCTCCATCTTCTGCTGTGTGTGTGTGCGCACGTGTGTTTGAGACAGAGTCTTTTACTGTCACCCAGGATGGAGTGCAGTAGTGCAATCTCGGCTCACTGCAACCTCCGCCTCCCAGATTCAAACAATTCTTGTGCCTCAGCCTCCCAAGTAGCTGAGACTACAGGCATGCACCACCACGCCTGGCTAAACTTTTTGTATTTTTAGTAGAGGTGGGGTTTCACTATGTTGGCCAGGCTGGTCTTGAATTCCTGGGCTCAAGCGATCCTCCCACCTCTGCCTCCCAAAGTGCTGGGATTACAGGCGTGAGCCACTGCACCCAGCCATGTTTTGCTGTTTACCCCCTGCCAGTTGCTGTAGCAGCCACACACTGACCATCCCTGGAAGGTGACACATGCTCATTTTGGTGACACCCTCATCTCCAAAATGCCTGGCTCTGTTTCCCAATATCCTTTCTCTCTTTTTTTTTTTTAGATGGAGTCTTGCTCTGTCATGCAGGCTGGAGTGCAGTGGCACCATCTCAGCTCACTGCAGGCTCTGCCTCCTGGGTTCAAATGATTGTCCTGCCTCAGCCTCCTGAGTAGCTGGGATTATAAATGCCCGCCACCACGCCTGGCTAATTTTTGTATTTTTAGTAGAGACAGGGATTCACCATGTTGGCCAGGCTGGTCTCGAACTCCTGACCTCAAGTGATCCTCCCACCTCGGCCTCCCAAAGTACTGGGATTACAGGCATGAGCCACCATGCTGGGCCCCAATATCCTTTATGCACCTTCCTGCAGTCCCTGGATGAGCCCCTCCCTCCCTGTGCTCCTCCCCTCCTCGCCACCCTCTCGCCTCCACTCTGCCTCCCTGTGTACCAAAACCCCACAGACTGGATGACTTGAAACAACAGATCTCTCACATTCTTGGGGGCCAGAAATTGGAAGTCAAGGTGTTGGCTGGGCTGAGCTCCCTCGGGAACCTGCCAGGAGTCTTCCCTGCCTCTCTCTAGCTTCTGTCACACTGCCGGCAGTCCCCTTTTATAGAAGGGCATGTGTCATATTGGACCAGAGCCCACCCTATGACCTCATCTGAAAAGACCCTTTTTCCAAATAAGGTCACATGCACAGGCGCTGGGAAGAGGAATTAGCATACCCTCTGGCGGGACACAATTCAACCCATCCTACCCCGTCTAATCCACTGGAGGGATAAAGCGCTAGCCCGACTCTGTCCCTTCTCTGCTCAGAGTTCTTCCAGGACAATGAAATATCATTCAGCAATGAAAAGGAATGACAGGCTGGGCGTGGTGACTCACGCCTTTAATCCTAGCTCTTTGGGAGGCTGAGGCTTAAGCCCAGGAGATCGAGACCAGCCTGGACAACATAGTGAGACCCCATCTCTACAAAAGATACAAAAAATAGCTGGGCGTGGTGGTATATGCCTGTAGTCCTAGCTATTTGAGAGGCTGAGGTGGGAAGATCGCTTGAGCCTGGGTGATCCAGGTTGCAGTGAGCCGAGATCACACCACTGCACTCAGCCTGGGCAACGGAGCGAGACCCTGTCTCTAAAAAAGAAACAAAACAAAAAATACACACAAAAAAATGGAATGACTGACAGACACTACAGCAGTGCTGCAGCTGGAAGACATGCTACTGAAAGAAGCCAGTCACAAAGGGCAGTGTAGCGTGATTCCACTTACGTGAAATGTCCAGAATAGGCAAACCCATGGAGACAGAAAGGGGATTAGTGGTTGCCGAGGACTGGGGGCCGGCGATCACTGTTAGGAGGTTCAGAGTTTCTTTTGGGGATGTTGAAAATATTCTAGAATTGATTGTGGTGACAGGTGCACAACCCTATAAATACACTAAAAGCCATTGAACTGTACGCTTTAAATGGGTGAATTTTATGTATGAATCAGGTCTCAATGAAGCTGTTAACAAAAAGAACTCTATGGCTCTCCAGCGCCCCCTGGAGGGATGCAGGATCATTGCCTTCCCTCAAGGTTCCACCAGGCCGGCCTCCCTTCCGCGGCTCCCTCTATCCTGTCAGGGCCTGTGCACCTCCGCCTTCCCCATCTCCTGAGCTTCTCCCCTCCACCCACATCACGCCTCATCATCCTTCAGGTCTTAGCTCCCACCTTCCTCCTCCCGGAAGCCGACCCTGACGCCCAGCATGTCCCCTCTGATGGGGCCTTTGTTCTGCAGAGGGAGGGGAGGGGCTGGTGTTAGGGGTGGATTCCTGGAATTCTTTTTAAAAATGTATTATCTTTAGAGATAGAGTCTCATTCTGTTGCCCAGGCTGGAGTGCAGTGGCACAATCACAGCTCACTGCAGCCTCGACCTCCTGGGCTCAAGTGATCCTCCTGCCTCAGCCTCCCGAGTAGCTGGGACCACAGGCCTGCACCACCACATCTGGCTAATTGTTTAAACTTTTTGTAGAGACAGGTCTCACTATGTTGCCCAGGCTAGTCTCGAACTCCTGGCCTTAAGAGATTCTCCCACCTGGGCCTCCCAATGTGTTGGGATTACTGGCATGAACCACCGCCCGGCCAAGTCATAGCACTCTGGTGGCTGCTCTGACTCTGCTGTCCAAGCGGTAACCACCCACCTTGCCTTTGGTCATTAAGTTCTGTCACTTGGTCCCTGCCACCCTGAGATCCAATTATCCCCATTGGAGTCAGGCTTTCCGATTCTTGCTCTGTCCACCCAGGCTGGAGTGCAGTGGCGTAATCTCAGCTCACTGCAACCTCCGCCTCCCAGGTTCAAGCAATTCTCCTGCCTCAGCCTCCTGAGTAGCCAGGGATTACAGGCACCCGCCACCACACCCAGCTAATTGTTTTGTATTTTTAGTAGAGATGGGGTTTCATCTTGTTGGCCAGGCTGGTCTCGAACCCCTGACCTCAGTGATCCGCCTGCCTTGGCCTCCCAAAGTGCAGAGATTACAGGCGAGAGCCACCGTGCCCACCATAATTTTTGTATTTGTAAAGAGCCAGGATTTCACCATGTTGGCCAGGCTGGTCTTGAACTCCTGATTTCAGGTGATCCACCCACTTCGGCCTCCCAAACTCCCACTGTAAGTTCTGACCTAGGAGGAGCGCGATCGCAACACAACAATGCCGTGGACACAGACACGGTTGATAGAGACCAGCTTGTCACACAATCCCAACCCTAGTTCAGTCTTGTCAGGCCTCTGAGCCCAAGTCAAGCCATCACATCCCCTGTGACTTGCACGTATACGCCCAGGTGGCCTGAAGTAACTGAAGAATCACACAACAAGTGAATATGCCCTGCCCCACCTTAACTGATGACATTCCACCACAAAAGAATTGAAAATAGCTTGTTCCTGCCTTAACTGATGACACTATCTTGTGAAATTCCTTCTCCTGGCTCATCCTGGCTCAAAAGCTCCCCTACTGAGCACCTTGTGACCCCCCACTCCTGC
The DNA here is from genome assembly GCF_000001405.40 of Homo sapiens. Classification (NCBI taxonomy): domain Eukaryota; kingdom Metazoa; phylum Chordata; class Mammalia; order Primates; family Hominidae; genus Homo; species Homo sapiens. The sequence continues at coordinate 47,393,091 of NC_000019.10, forward strand.
CCGCCAGAGAACAACCCCCCTTTTTCCTTTACCTACCCAAATCCTATAAAACGGCCCCACCCTTATCTCCCTTCACTGACTCTCTTTTCCGACTCAGCCCTCCTGCACCCAGGTGAAATAAACATCTTTATTGCTCACACAAAGCCTGTTTGGTGGTCTCTTCACATGGACGCGCATAAAATTTGGTACCATGACTCGGATCAGGGGACCTCCCTTGGGAGATCAATCCCCTGTCTTCCTGCTCTTTGCTCCGTGAGAAAAGATCCACCTGTGACCTCAGGTCCTCAGACCCACCAGCCCAAGAAACATTTCACCAATTTCAAATCCGGTAAGCGGCCTCTTTTTACTCTCTTCTCCAACCTCCCTCACTATCCCTCAACCTCTTTCTCCTTTCAATCTTGGCACCACACTTCAATCTCTCCCTTCTCTTAATTTCAATTCCTTTCATTTTCTGGTAGAGACAAAGGAGACACGTTTTATCTGTGGACCCAAAACTCCGGTGCCGGTCACGGACTGGGAAGGCAGCCTTCCCTTGGTGTTTAATCATTGCAGGGACACCTCTCTGATTATTCACCCAGGTTTCAGAGGTGTCAGACCGCGCAGGGATGCCTGCCTTGGTCTTTCACCCTTAGCGGCAAGTCCCGCTTTTCTGGGGGAGGGGCAAGTACCCCAACCCCTTCTGTGTCTCTACCCCTTCTCCACCTTTTCTAGGGGGCAAGAACCCCCAATCCCTTATTTCCACATCCCGACCCCTTTCCCACTTTTCTGGAGGGTAAGAACCCCCGAACCCCTTCCCTCCGTGTCTCTATGCTCTCTTTTCTCTGGGCTTGCCTCCTTCACTATGGGCAACCTTCCACCCTCCATTCCTCCTTCTTCTCCCTTAGCCTGTGTTCTCAAGAACTTAAAACCTCTTCAACTCACACCTGACCTAAAACCTAAACCCCTTGTTTTCTTCTGCAACACCGCTTGGCCCCAATACAAACTGGGCAATGGCTCTAAATGGCCAGAAAACAGCACTTTCGATTTCTCCATCCTACAAGACCTAAATATTTTTTGTCAAAAAATGGGCAAATGGTCTGAGGTGCCTGACGTCCAGGTATTCTTTTACACATCGGTCCCTTTCTAGTCTCTGTTCCCAATGCAACTCGTCCCAAATCCTCCTTCTTTCCCTCCCGCCTGTCCCCTCAGTCCCAACCCCAAGCGTCGCTGAGTCTTTCCAGTCTTCCTTTTCTACAGACCCATCTGACCTCTCCCCTCCTCGCCAGGCCGAGCTAAGTCCCAATTCTTCCTCAGCCTCCGCTCCTCCACCCGATAATCCTTCTGTCGTCCTCACACCCAGGGTGTCCTCACACCCTGTCCAGCTTACAGTTTAGTTCCACGACTAGCTCTTCCCCACCTGCCCAACAATTTCCTCTTAGAGAGGTGGCTGGAGCTGAAGGCACAGTCAGGGTACATGTACGTTTTTCTCTATCAGACCTCTCTCAGGTGAGTCAGCGTTTAGGCTCTTTCTCATCAGACCCCACTAAACATATACAGGAATTCCGATATCTAACTCTGTCCTACAACTTAACCTGGAGTGACTTAATATCATCCTGACTTCTGCCCTCTCCCCAGATGAGTGGGAAAGAGTTTTTCTCTAGCCCAATCTCACGCTGATAACCGCCGGCTTCATGAGCCAGACCTCCAGGAAGGCAGTAGAGCAGTTCCCCGAGAGGGTCCCCAATGGAACTATCAGGCAAATTCCCCAGGTATAGCTAGGTGAGATTACATGGTTTCCTACCTAGTTGAAGGGCTTAAAAAGGCAGCTTACAAAGCTGTTAATTATGACAAACTTAAAGAAACTACCCAAGGTAAAGAGGAAAACCCAGCCCAGTTCGTGGCCCACTTAGCAGCAACACTTAGACGCTATACCGCCCTAGACCCAGAAGGGCCAGAAGGCCGCCTTATTCTTAATATGCATTTTATCACTCAGTCCACTCCTGACATTAGGAAAAAACTTCAAAAATTAGAATCTGGCCCTCAAACCCCACAACAGGAATTAAGCAACCTCGCCTTCAAGGTGTACAATAATAGAGAGGAAGCAGCCAGATGGCAACGCATTTCTGAGTTACAATTACTTGTCTCTGCTGTGAGACAAAACCCAGCCATACCTCCAGCTACAAGAACTTCAAAATGCCTAAGCAGCAGCAGTCAAGCATTCCTACAAGACTTCCTCCATCAGGATCTTGCTTCAAGTGCCAGAAATCTGGCCACTGGGCCAAGGAATGCCCACAGCCCAGGATTCCTTCCAAGCCATGTCCCATCTGTGCAGGGACCCACTGGAAGGCAGACTGCCCAGCTCACCCAGGAGCCACTCCTAGAGCCCCTAAAGCTCTGGCCCAAGGCTCTCTGACTGCTTCCCAGATCTTCTCGGCTTAGCGGCTGAAGACTGATGCTGCCCGATCGCCTCGGAAGCCCCCTAGACCATCACAGACGCCAAGCTTCATGCAACTCTCACAGTGGAAGGTAAGTCCGTCCCCTTCTTAATCAATATGGAGGCCACCCACTCCACATTACCTTATTTTCAAGGGCCTGTTTCCCTGCCACCATAACTGTTGTGGGTATTGACAGCCAGGCTTCTAAACCTTTTAAAACTCCCCAACTCTGGTGCCAACTTAGACGATACTCTTTAAAGCACTCCTTTTAGTTATCCCCACCTGCCCAGTTCCCTTATTAGGCCGAGATATTTTAACCAAATTATCTGCTTCCCTGACTGTTCCTGGACTACAGCTGCATCTCATTGCCGCCCTTCTTCCCAACCCAAAGCCTCCTTCGCGTCTTCCTCTTGTGTCCCACCTTAACCCACAAGTATAAGATACCTCTACTCCTTCCCTGGCAACCGATCACATGCCCATCACCATCCCATTAAAACCTAATCACCCTTACCCCGCTCAACGCCAATATCCCATCCCACAGCACGCTTTAAAAGGATTAAAACTTGTTATCACTCTCCTGCTACAGCATGGCCTTTTAAAGCCTACAAACTCCCCTTACAATTCCCCCATTTCACCTGTCCTAAAACCAGACAAGCCTTACAGGTTAGTTCAGGATCTGTGCCTTATCAACCAAATTGTTTTGCCTATCCACCCCATGGTGCCAAACCCATATACTCTCCTATCCTCAATACCTCCCTCCTCAACCCATTATTCTGTTCTGGATCTCAAACATGCTTTCTTTACTCTTCCTTTGCACCCATCATCCCAGCCTCTCTTCGCTTTCACTTGGACTGACCCTGACACCCATCAGGCTCAGCAAACTACCTGGGCTGTACTGCCGCAAGGCTTCACAGACAGCCCCCATTACTTCAGTCAAGCCCAAATTTCATCCTCATCTGTTACCTATCTCAGCATAATTATCATAAAAACACAGGTGCTCTCCCTGCTGATCGTGTCCAATTAATCTCCCAAACCTCAATCCCTTATAAAACAACTCCTTTCCTTCCTAGGCATGGTTAGTGTGGTCAGAATTCTTACACAAGAGCCAGGACCGCACCCTGTAGCCTTTCTGTCCAAACAACTTGACCTTACTGTTTTAGCCTAGCCCTCATGTCTGCGTGCAGCGGCTGCCGCTGCTTTAATACTTTTAGAGGCCCTAAAAATCACAAACTATGCTCAACTCACTCTCTACATTTCTCATAACTTCCAAAATCTATTTTCTTCCTCATACCTGACGCATGTACTTTCTGCTCCCCGGCTCCTTCAGCTGCACTCACTCTTAAGTCCCACAATTACCATTGTTCCTGGCCCGGACTTCAATCTGGCCTCCCACATTATTCCTGATACCACACCTGACCCCCATGACTGTATCTCTCTGATCCACCTGATATTCACCCCATTTCCCCATATTTCCTTCTTTCCTGTTCCTCACTCTGATCACGCTTGATTTACTGATGGCAGTTCCACCAGGCCTAATCGCCACACACCAGCAAAGGCAGGCTATGCTATAGTACAAGCCACTAGCCCGCCTCTTAGAACCTCTCATTTTCTTTCCATCGTGGAAATCTGTCCTCAAGGAAATCACTTCTCAGTGTTCCATCTGCTGTTCTACTACTCCTCAGGGATTATTCAGGCCCCCTCCCTTCCCTACACATCAAGCTCAGGGATTTGCCCCCACCCAGGACTGGCAAATTAGCTTTACTCAACATGCCCCGAGTCAGGAAACCAAAATACCTCTTAGTCTAGGCAGACACTTTCACTGGATAGGTACAGGCCTTTTCTACAAGGTCTGAGAAGGCCACCGCAGTCATTTCTTCCCTTCTGTCAGACATAATTCCTCAGTTTAGCCTTCCCACCTCTATACAGTCTGATAACAGACCAGCCTTTATTAGTCAAATCAGCCAAGCAGTTTTTCAGGCTCTTAGTATTCAGTGAAACCTTTATATCCCTTACGGTCCTCCGTCTTCAGGAAAAGTAGAACAGACTAAAGGTCTTTTAAAAACACACCTCACCAAGCTCAGCCGCCAACTTAAAAAGGACTGGACAATACTTTTACCTCTTTCGCTTCTCAGAATGCTGCAGGGTACAGCCTATTTGAGCTCCTGTATGGACAATCCTTTTTATTAGGCCCCAGTCTCATTCCAGACACCGGACCAACTTAGACTGTGCCCCCAAAAAACTTGTCATCCCTACTATCTTCTGTCTAGTCATACTCCTATTCTCCGTTCTCAACTACTCATACGTGCCCTGCTCTTGTTCACACTGCCGGTTTACACTGTTTCTCCAAGCCATCACAGCTGATATCTCCTCGTGCTATCCCCAAACTGCCACTCTTAACTCCTGAAGTAAACAAATAATCTTTGCTGGCAGGACTATGCTGAATCTCCTTAGGCACTCTCTAATCAGATGTCCTGAGTCGTCCCAATTCTTAGACATTTTATACCTGTTTTTCTCCTTCTCTTATTCCATTTAGTTTTTCAATTCATACAAAACTGTACCCAGGCCATCACCAATAATTCTAAATGACAAATGTTTCTTCTAACAACCCCACAATATCACCCCTTACCACAAAATCTTCCTTCAGCTTAATCTCTCCCACTCTAGGTTCCCACGCCGCCCCTAATCCCGCTTGAAGCAGCCCCGAGAAATCGCCCATTCTCTCTCCATACCACCCCCCAAAAAAATTTTCGCCGCCCCAACACTTCAACACTATTTTGTTTTATTTTTCTTATTAATATAAGAAGGCATGAATGTCAGGCCTCTGAGCCCAAGCCAAGCCATCGCATCCCCTGTGACTTGCACGTATACGCCCAGGTGGCCTGAAGTAACTGAAGAATCACAAAACAAGTGAATATGCCCTACCCGGCCTTAACTGATGACATTCCACCACAAAAGAAGTGAAAATAGCCTGTTCCTGCCTTAACTGATGTCACTGTCTTGTGAAATTCCTTCTCCTGGCTCATCCTGGCTCAAAAGCTCCCCCACTGAGTACCTTGTGACCCCCCACTCCTGCCCACCAGAGAACAACCCCCCTTTTTCCTTTACCTACCCAAATCCTGTAAAACAGCCCCGCCCTTATCTCCCTTCACTGACTCTCTTTTTGGACTCAGCCCTCCTGCCCCCAGGTGAAATAAACAGCTTTATTGCTCACACAAAGCCTGTTTGGTGGTCTCTTCACACGGACGCGCATGAAAAGTCTCATCGTCACAGTCAGGAACCTACACAGAGACACACAACCTATACCAAGGCACGTGTGACGGACACCGCCACTCAGCGACAGACACACACACCACATTCAGCAACAGGACACGGGCGGTGCCTCCAGCCACACCGACATCCCTCAACCACTGCCCTCGACCACCACATTCCAAGTCCACAGGCCCAGAGGACACACAGGGGTCAGACACACACCAACTGCAGCCCCCGAGCCCCGCCTGCCTATCCCCTGGGTCCTCACCCCACGACCCAGGATGCCCCTGAACCAGGGGCCCCTCCTGCTCTGAGATGCCAACCTACCATACACGCAGGTCCAGTGGCTGCTTCCTCCTCTCAGGAAGTGGGGGAGATATTTTTAGTTACAATTAACCTCCCACCCAATTTCCCTTCTCCCCAGGCACATCCAATTGGTTTAATTAGAGATGATTAAGTTAATGAGAGGCATTTCCAGATTCTGGGAAAAGGGGGAGGAGGGGAAGAGGAGAGCTGTCCCCTCCCCAACTTCCCAGTGTACCAGCCGCTGGGACCCCTTCCCAGCACCAGGCAGGGGATACACTAAGCAACTGCCTCCCCTCTCAGCCGACCTCAAAGTCTTGGCCTGGCCCTGCCCCTCCCCCATATTCCTTCCCCCACCTGCCATCAAGGGAGGGTGATTGTTTGAAGTCCTTCCTGCTGTCCACCCATCACCCATCCCACCTGAGTCCCGGGGAGTTTTGGGAGAGAGAAACTCTCATCATAGTCACGAAAACAATATCAGGCCAGGTGCGGTAGCTCACGCCAGTATTCCCAGCATCTTGGGAGGCCGAGGCGGCTGGACGGCTTGAACCCAGGAGTTCAAGACCAGCCTGGGAACACCATGAAAAGCCATCTCTACCAACAAATATAAATAATTAGCCAGGCATGGTGGTTTGTGCCTGTAGTCTCGGCTGCTGAGGAGGCTAAGGAAGGAGGATTGCTGGAGTGTTGGAGTTTGAGGCTGCAATGAGCTGTGATTACAGAGGGAGACCCTATCTCAAAAACAAAAGCAATTTAAAAAATTAAAAATCAGGCCAGGCACGGTGGCTCACATCTGTAATCCCAGCACTTTGGGAGGCCGAGGCAGGTGGATCACTTGAGGTCAGGAGTTCGAGACCAGCCTGGCCAACACAGCAAAACCCCGTCTCCACTAAAAATTACAAAAATTAGCCAGGCCTGGTGGTGCATGCCTGTAGTCCAAGCTACTTGGGAGGCTGAGGCAGCAGAATTGCTTGAACCTGGAAGGAGGAGGTTGTGGTGAGCTGAAATCACACCCCTGCATTCCAGCCTGGGCGACAGAGTGAGACTCTTGTCTCAAAAAAATTAAATAAATAAATAAATAAAAATTAGAATTTCAGAGAATTCTATTTTAAGAAAAAGAGGCTGGGGCCGGGCGTGGCAGCTCACGCCTGTAATCCCAGCACTTTGGGAGGCCGAGGCGGCGGATCACCTGAGGTCAGGAGTTCGAGACTAGCCTGGCCAACATGGCGAAACCCCATCTCTACAAAAGTACAAAAATTAGCCGGGCATGATGGTGGGTGTCTGTAATTCCAGCTACTCGGGAGGCTGATGTGGAAGAATCACTTGAACCTGGGAGGTGGAGGTTGCAATGAGCTGAGATCACACCATTGCACTCCAGCCTGGGTGAGAGAGACAGTGAGACTCCATCTCAAAAAAAAAAAAAGAAAAGAGAGGCTGGAAGCACAGTGGTTAGTGTCCAGGCCCTGGAGCCAGGCTGCCTGGGTTCAAATGGAGCCCAGCCTCACAATCTCCAGCTGTGTGACCTTGGATGAGCCACTTCACCTCTCTGGTCCTGCTTCCTCACCTGGGAAATGGGGACCGTGATGGCACCCACCTCCTGGGGCTGCCATAGGGTTTAACAGATTCCCAGGTATACGGCTCCTAGAACAGAGCCTGGGACACAGCACTTACTGAAGGGCTCCATAAGGTCATAAAAGTGGCAGCCCATGCTCTCATCCTGTGCCTGTTCTGCTTTTTGTGACACTCATCCCTTTCTTCCTTTTTTGAGATGGAGTCTCGCTCTGTCACCCAGGCTGGAGTGCAGTGGCATGATCTCAGCTCACTGCAACCTCCACCTTTTGGGTTCAAGGGATTCTCCTGCTTCAGTTTGCCAAGTAGCTGGGACTACAGGCGCCCGCCACCATGCCCGGCTAATTTTTATATTTCAGTAGAGATGGGGTTTCACCATGTTGCCCAGGCTGTGTCCTCAAGTGATTTGCCTCCCAAAATGCTGGGATCACAGGCGTGAGCCACCACTCCTGGCCTATCCTAAGATTTTGTTCATTCACTCGTCTGCTCAGCGGATATTTTCTTTCTTTTTTTCGGGGGGCAGAGGGGGACGGAATCTCGCTCTGTTGTCCAGGCTGGAGTGCAGTGGTATGATCTCAGCTCACTGCAACCTCTACCACCTCCTGGGTTCAAGTGATTCTCCTGCCTCAGCCTGCTGAGTAGCTGGGATTACAGGCATGTGCCACCACACCTGGCTAATTTTTTGTATTTTAGTAGAGACGGGGTTTCGCTATGTTGGCCAGGCTGGTCTTGAACTCCTGACCTCAAGTGATCCTCCCACCTCGGCCTCTCAAAGTGCTGGGATTACAGGCGTGAGCCACCGCGCCCGGCTGAGTGTGGCATATCTTCTGTGCATCCTTTATGTGTGTGTATGTTTCCGAGTGTGCATGTGCGTATTTGCATGTGTGTCTGTTTGTAGCGATGTGTGTCTCTGTGCAAATCTCTCCATCCAGGCCCACCCCAAAGGGACTCCGGGGGTCCAGGAACACATTTTTCACGGGGTCCTTCAAAAACCCACACACGTGCCCCTTGGGCCTTGAGCACAGAGCAGCAGTGTACGTGGTTGGGGGTGCCCGAGAGACTCAGAGGTCCAAGGATGGCTCTGGGGAGAGGATGGCAAAGGGGGCGCTTGGATGGCGGAGGGGCTGAGGGGCACTTGGGAGAGGGGACTGGAAGGCAGTGAGCCAAGACGAAGCAGCCCGGGTCTGAAGGAAAGAGCTCACCTGGCCTCTGAAGGAGAAGGGAGGGGGAGGCCCCGAAGATGTGGGTTTCCAGTGGGGAAGGGGACAGAGAGAGACAAGGTCTGAACAAGACAGAGACAGAAAGAATGGCTGGGCGCGGTGGCTCATACCTGTAACCCCAGCACTTTGGGAAGTGGAGGTGGGTGGATCACCTGAGGTCAGGAGTTCAAGACCAGCCAGGCCAACATGGTGAAACTCCGTCTCTACTAAAAATACAAAAAGTAGCCGGGCGTGGTAGCGCATGCCTGTAATCCCAGCTACTCAGGGGGCTGAGGCAGGAGAATCGCTTGAACCCAGGAGGTGGAGGTTGCAGTGAGCTGAGATCCCAGCATTGCACTCCAGCCTGGTGTGGGCAAGAAAGTGAGACTCCCTCTCAAAAAAAAAAAAAAAAAAAAAAAAAAAAGGTACCAGAGGGAGAGAGACAGAGCCAAACAGGGGAGCGATCCACACTCTGCCTTGGTGGTCTCTCTCTCTGGGGGGTGGAGGGGACAGAGATCTGGAAAACTGAGAACCCCAAGGGACTCACACTGGTTTCTGAGCCTCAGTTTTCCTAGTTACAAAGGACAGCCTCTGCCTGTGATGGGCGCTGACACACGTGGCACAGTTCCCCATGTGTCCCTCGAAATACCTCCACCATCAGCACAATCATCCTACGAGACAGGCACGGCCGCTCTCCCCATTCTCCAGATGTGGAAACCGGGGCCCAGCCAGGTGAAGTCGTAACCCGAGGTGCCATAGCTGTTGCGTTCCAGAGGCGAGATTCAAACCCACGTCCGTCCGGAAGCCTTGGAAGTGAGGGTGTGCCTGCCTAACCTGCTCATTTCCCATGGGACAGAGGACGTGATTGGACAGCCACAGCTGGTGAAGTGACGCAGGCGTGGCCCTGAGTCTTCATTCTCCCCTGCACACACATCTCTTGCAGGAATTCTGCAGCTCCCTCTAGTTAAGAGGTGGAGTCTTGGCCAGGCCTGGTGGCTCGTTTGTAATCCCAGCACTCTGGGAGGCTCCCAAGTAGCTGAAACTGCAGGCGTGCACCACCATGCCCAAGCAATTCGTTTGCTTGCTTCGTAGAGATGGGGTCTCACTATGTTGCCAGGCTGGTCTTGAACTCCTGGCCTTAAGTGATCCACTCGCCTTGGCCTCCCAAAGGGTTGGGATTATAGGCGTGAGCCATCGTGCTTGCAGCCGGCCAATCAGTATTCTTATTCGTGATTTACGAGCTTCAAATTGGTAAGAATTTGAAATCTTGGGATAGACACAAGAACTCCAGTTGGTGGCTCCGTGTTTTTAAGACTTTATCATTAAAAAAAAGAAGAAATTAGAGAAGGGAGGTAGGGGGGACAGGAGAGTGAAGGAATCTCTCCAAAATGTCGGATCCGGGCGACCCTCCTTCCCTGACTGCCCAGCCACCCCGTCCCTTCTCTGTCCTGGCGGCGAGGCCCTAGCCGCCATCTTCTGGGGACCAAGGCCCAGGAGCCCAGCTCGGGTCCCAGGCAGAGGTGAAGGCAGAAGTGGGGCTCAGGGCCTGGAGGCCTTGCCGGTGTCCTTGAGAGCCCTTGGATGGGCACTCAGGCCCCCATGTCCCAGCAGGGCCCTAGGGAGGTAGGCATTGAGCAGAGGGGCCTTTGGAGGTGGGGTCCTGAAGCTGGAGGACCAGGCGGGAACCAGAGGCAGGTGTGAGGCTGGGGGTCACAGCCGGAGGCTGGGTCTGTGGAGAGGGGAGGAGAGGCCAAGTCAGGAGCGGGCAGGGGGCCTGGCCCCACCCCAGCCCATCTGTGCAGGCCTCATCAGCCCCAATGTGAGGGGGACACAGAGAGAGTGGCTGGCGGGGAATGGCACAGGGATGTGGGAGGGTCACAGAGAGAAGAGACGCAGTGACGAGAAAGAGGGAGACAGAGAATCAGAGTGGAGGTGAGGGAGGGAGAGACCTACAGACAGAGACAGAGAACAAGGAGAGAGACAGGCAGAGTAGGACAGAGACAGACCTGGAGGGAGTCAGAGAGAACGACATGGGAAGAGAGAGAAGAAGTCATGAAGAAATAGACGAAATGGAGAGAGAGAAAGAGAGACAGGAGGCTGGGCGCGGTGACTCATGCCTGTAACCCCAACACTTTGGGAGGCAGAGGCAGGGGGATCGCTTGAGCCCAGGAGTTCGAGACCAGCCTGGGGAACAAAGCGAGACCCGTCTCTACAAAAATAAAAATAAAAATTAGCCAGGTATGGTGGCGCACGCCTGTAGTCTCAGCCACTTGGGAGGCTGAGGCCAGAGGATCGCTTAACCTGGGGAGGTCGAGGCTACAGTGAGCCATGATCAGGAGTGGAGAGACAGAAAAGGAGACAGAAAGGAGCAGAGAAAAGAGCCCACTGGGCAGCCAGGCAGTGGGATGAGAAGACCCCTCCATCACTACTGACCCCAAAGGTCCCCTGACACTCACCCCAGACCATCCCTACCCACACTTGGCCATGAAAGAGCTGAGTCGCCCACTGCCCTACCTGGCCTGGATACGCCTGCCCATCTCTCTCCCAGGCTCGGCCTCCAGCACCCGCCTCCATGCATAAGCCCTGTGCAGGCCTCCACTCTCATCCCCAGGGCTTTTCTGCTGGCCCTGAATTCATTAGCCACCTGTCCGGCCGCCTGCCTCAACCCAGTCCAAAGAGAACTTCCTCCTTGTGTGTAGGGGGCTGGGGCTGTCTCACAGCCACGAGATTTCCAAGCTCTCCTGGCCTTGGCACGTGCTATTCCCTCTGCAGATGCTCCTCTCCTGCTTCACTCCTCCCATTCTGCTGGTCTCACCTCCAAAGTCCTCTCCTCCAGGCAGCCCTCCTTGAATCCTCTAGTCTGGGTCAGATGCCCCCTCCTCCAGGAAGCCCTCTCTAAACACCTCCCCCCATCCCAGGTCCAACACCCGCCCCCTGTGAGCTCCTCCAGTTCCTTGGCTTCACCATCCCAGCCCTGCCCGTTCTGGGGCATCACCATCTGGGGATGGGTCTGTCCCCTTCACTAGACTTTGTGCCCCATGAGGGCAGGGCTGAGGCTGTCATGGTCACTGTTGTGTCCCCAACATTACCCAGCACAGGGCTGGGCACAGAGGGGCTCAGGGGATGGATGGACAGATGGATGCTAAACTAAGGAGTTAGGACTTTGTCCAGATGGCACTAGGGAGCCACAAATGGTTTAATCCAGAGAGAGTCAAACTCTGATCTGGGCTTTGGAAACTCTAGGCTGCCTCCCTACCCTGGGCCTTTGCACATGCTGTTCCCTCTGCTTTTGTGAGCAGGGTAGACCTGTGCAAGTGACCTCTTCTCTCTGAACCTCAGTCTTCTTATCTATGAAATTAAAATTGTTAATAGTCTCCCCTTTCGGGATCGTTGTAAGGACTAAATGAGAAGATGCTCTAAAGTGCCGCCATCATACCAGGCCACAGAAGACTCAAGGCCTGGGAAAGTCAAATAATGCCCCCCTTCCACATTACTCCCTACTCTGCCCAGTGGACTCCTATTCATCCTTCAGTGCCCCATCCAGAGGCCACTTCCTCTAGGAAATCTTCCCTGATACCCCAGAGATAGCTGATGACTCCCTCCTATGGGGAAACTACGTTTTATTGTTTGAACTGTTACACTGGATTGTCACTGGGGTTGCCAACTTCCCCACAAGACCAGAATCTTCTCAAGATCCAGACCCTACCTGAGGCATGTCAGGATGGAGTGAGGGCTCAATTTTTTTTTTTTTTTTTTTTTAGATGGAGTCTCACTTTATTGCCCAGGTTGATCTTGGCTCACTGTAACCTCCGCCTCCTGGGTTCAAGTGATTCTCCTGCCTCAGCCTCCAGAGTAGCTGGGACTATGGGTACATGCCACCACACCTGGCTAATTTTTGTATTTTTAGTAGAGACAGGGTTTTACCATGTTGGCCAGGCTGGTCTCGAACTTCTGACCTCAGGTGATCCACCTGCCTCAGCCTCCTAAAGTGCTGGGATTACAGGCGTGAGCTACCGTGCCCAGCCAAGGGCTCAGTTTATGTTTGGAGATGTATCATAGATGAATGGGTGTATGTAGGTATGGATGGATGGATGGATAGTGGGTGGTGGGTGGGTGGATATATGGATAATGGGATGTGTGGGTGGATGGATGGGTGAGTTGATGGGTAGGTGGGTGGAAGCCTGGGTAGGGAGGTGGGTGAATGCACAGATAAATGGGTAGATGTGTGGGTGGTTGGTCAGTGTGGAGGTAGATGGATGAGTGGGTTGGCGAGTGGAGAGATGAATGGAGTGAGTGGGTGAATGTGTGGTCAGATGGGTAATGAGTGGGTAGGTGGGTGGACTAGGTTTGGATGGATGGATTGCGGGTGAATGAGTAATTGAGTAACGGATGGATAAAGATATGGATGGGTGAGTGAGTGGGTAGATGGATGGATACATGGAGGAGGAGGATGGATGGATGGATGGATGGATGGACGGACGGACAGATGGATGAATATCTTCCCATCAAGCCTCAGAGAACCCACAGTACAGGGACCCAGGCTGACCCACTACTCTGGAAGTGCCCACTCTTGGAGTCCTGAGGTCTAATGGAGGTTTGAGAATTGCACAATCCCCAGCCCTTAGACCCTCACACCTCTCCTGCATCAGCCTCTATAGATAATGCCATTCTCCTTCCAAGTTCAAACTCATCCCCACTGATCCTGGAAGACAAAAAAAAAGGAGGGTAAGTGCGTCTTTCAGAGACACCCCCAGATGCCTCTAAGTCTCCCTCACCCCTTCCTACACCAGGGGATCCCTCTACCAGGATAGACTGAGTCATAAGAAGGTGCTGGCCCTTTAAGAAAAAGTGGAGCCTTCCGAGGTATTGGGCTTGAAGTCTGGAAGAAATGAGGTTGTAAGGAAAAGATGGGGGACCAGGAAATCTGCCTTGGCATCACCTGCTTCTCACTAGGCAAGTGACACACTGTATTCCGCTTGAATTGAATCTCAGGTGGGCATCTTTGTTTTACAGGTGGGTCATGGTGCGCAGGGGCGGGGCCTAGCTAAGGGGGCGAGGCTTACCCGGAGGCCGGACGGCCACGTGTGGCTGCGTCTCGGTATAGCCCCCGATGGGCTGGCCCTCTGGGCTGAAGGCTGCACCCTGCCCTGCGAAGGGGGTTCAGAGGTGCAGGCTGAGCCCCAGGAAGCCCGGGACCCGGCTTTGACGCCCTCCTAAGAACCCCAGGCTCTCCGTCCCCGCCTTCCCCCTGTACCTGTGCGGTTGGATTGATCGATCATAGGTTGCACGATGCGTCTCCGGGCGTTAATGAACCTGGGAGGCGGTCATGGAAACGGAGGGGAATGAAAAGAGGGAGTGGGAGAGAGGCCAAGACGAACACAGAGCGGGCCGGAGGACAGCGGCGGGGGAGGCAGAGCGGGGCGAGCAGGGGCAGTGGCTCTGCGGGGCTCGGGGCCTCCGTCAGCACCGCGGACAGCGCCCGGGCTCTCGCCCCGGGCCGGCCCGCGGGCCCTCCTGGGCCACTCACCAGTTGTTGACTTGCAGGATGGTGAGCCCCGTGTCCTGCGCCAGCTGTTTCTTCTGCTCCTCCGAGGGGTACGGGTGCTGCAGCCACCAGCAAGAGTCACTCTGCCTGCCTGGCCGGCCGCAGTCTGAACCCCAAGGTCTGGCCCACCGGGGTCCGGGGGATGGGGAGCCCAGGCCCAGGCAGACGTCTGGGAGAACCGGCGCTTCTGAGCGTCTCTGCGCTCCCCAGGATGGAGACCAAGGGAGCCTCAGGCTTGGGGCAATTACATGCCTGCCAGCCCCCGCCTGTTCCAGCAATTAGAGGTTAACTGGCCAGCTCTGATTAGAGAGACTGTGTTGGGGGAGGGGGCTCCTGTGGCGTGGGGGAGGGGCTTCACTGGCGTCGGGGAGGGAAGCAAAGCCCAGGCCCTCCCTCTCTGAATCTGTCAGAGTCTCTGTGTGGCCCTCTCCCTATCCATTTATTTATTTATTTATTTGAGATGGAGTCTTGCTCTGTCGCCAGGCTGGAATGCAGTGGCGCGATCTCTGCTCACCGCAAACTCCGCCTCCGGGGTTCAAGGGATTCCCCGCCTCAGCCTCCCCAGTAGCTGGGACTACAGGTGCGCGCCACCATGCCCGACTAATTTTTTGTATTTTAGTAGAGATAGGGTTTTACCATGTTGGCCAGGATGGTCTCGATCTCCTGACCTCGTGATCCGCCCGCCTCGGCCTCCCAAAGTGTTGGGATTACAGGCATAAGCCACCGCACCCAGCCCTCCCTATCCATTTCTTTCTTTCTCTTTCTCTCTTTTTTTTAAACAGGGTCTCACTCTGTCACTCAGGCTGGAGTGCAGTGGCGCCTTCATGGCTCACTGCAGCCTCAATCTCCCTGGCTCAAGCAATCCTCCGGCCTCAGCCTCCTGAGTAGCTGGGATCACAGGTGTGTGCCACCATGCCTGGCTAATTTTTTTTTTTAGAGATGGGGTCTTGCTATGTTGCCCAGGCTGGTCTCGAACTCCTGGGCTCAAGTGATCCTCCTGCCATGGCCTCCGAAAGTGCTGGGATTACAGGCATGAGCCACTGTGTCTGGCCCTCCATTTCTCTCTTTGTGGCTCTCACATTCTCTCTCTGACTCACTATCTCTGTGTGTGTGTGTTTCTGTCTGTATCTCTCTCTCTCTCTGGGATTCAGTCCGTCCCTGCCTCCGAGTTTCTGTCTGTCTCTGTCCCTCTGTGACTCGGCCTCTCCCTGTCTCCATCTTGCTCTGACTTGGTCCTCCCCGAATCTCTGTGTCTCTCTGTTTTAGCCTCTTCCTGGCTCTATTTTTCTCCTCTGTCCTTGAAGCAGTATGGTGCGGTGGTTAAGGCCAGACTGCCTGCATTTGAATCCACTTCTGGCTGTGTGACCTTAGGCAAGTCTCCTAACCTCTCTGTTCCTCAGTCTCCTCCTCACCTGTTAAATGGAGATAATAGTAGCCCCTCCCTCCGAGGGTACACTGGGTGGATGGTGGGCAGGTGGATGATTGATGCGCGGGTTAATGGACAGTTTTCGGGGAGGACTTAGTGAGTTAAGTGTCCTGAGCGGCACCTGCACTCAGGTGACACTCAGTGCTGCTGGCTCCTGTCACAATTCTCCACCTCCATGAGAGTCTCGAAAAATTTCCTGCCGTCTTTCTCCCACTTCTGGGTTTCTCTGGGGTTTCGGTCTCTGTGGTCCACCCTTCTCCCTCTCTCCATTCCCACCCTGCACCTGGGCAGCAGGGCTCTCACCGAGAGGTGCTGGAACAACCAGGCTCGCATGATGTTGGTGGCCACCTTGGGGAAGATCCCCCTCTTCTTGTTTCGCCGTCGCTCCTGGTCCAAGTCCTCATCTTCTCCACCAGAACTGGGAGAGGCCACGCTGGTGTCCAGCCCGTCTCCTGAGGGAAGGCAGGCATGCTGTGTGTGTGGGTAGTGAAGAGTGGAGGACCAGAGGGCCCCAGAACTCTCCCCCAAGACAACACTCCACACCCCAGCCATCTCTGCCCCTCTACAAGTCTTACTTGCGATCTAACTTCAATCCTCTGGTTGACTCCCATGTTTCCCTTCCACCTCCCAAGATTCTCACCTTGGTCACTGGAGTTGTCCCCACTCTGGGAGGCCAGGCCCCCACTGGATGGACCTGGGGTCCCCAAATGTACAGACCCACTATCCTCATGGTCTCGAATCCACATATTATTCTAGAAAACAAGAGTTAGAAGTTAGTGCCAAGGCGGCCGGGCGCAGTGGCTCACGCCTGTAATCCCAGCACTTTGGGAGGCCAAGGCAGGCAGATCACAAGGTCAAGAGATCAAGACCATCATGGCTAACATGGTGAAACCCCGTCTCTACTAAAAATACAAAAAATTAGCCGGGTGTGGTGGCATGCACCTGTAGTCCTAGCTACTCAGGAGGCTGAGGCAGGAGAATCGCTTGAACCCGGGAGGCAGAGGTTGCAGTGAGCCGAGATTGCGCCACTGCACTCCAGCCTGGGTGACAGAGCAAGACTCCGTGTCAAAAAAAAAAAAAAAGTTAGTGCCAAGGCTTTGGGCATGGACTCTGGAGCTAGGACTCCTGGATGGGAAGCCAGTCCCTGCCTCCTTCCTAGCTGTGTGATCTTGGGCAGGTCACTTCCCCACTCTGAGCCTCCGTTTCCTTAACTGGAAAATGAAGGACAGGACCAGGCACGGTGGCTCACGCCTGTAATGCCAGCACTTTTGGAGGCTGAGGCAGGCAGATCACCTGAGGTCGGGCATTTGAGACCAGCCTGGCCAACATGGTGAAACCCCATCTCTACTAAAAATACAAAAACCAGGCTGGCTTGGGCACAGTGGCTCACACCTATAATCCCAGCACTTTGGGAGGCCGAGGCAGGCGGATCACCTGAGGTCAGGAGTTGAAGACCAGCCTGGCCGACATGGTGAAACTTTGTCTCTACCAAAAATACAAAAATTAGCTGGGCATGATGGTGGGTTCCTGTAATCCCAGCTACTCGGGAGGCTGAGGCGGGAGAATCGCTTGAACCCGGGAGGGGGAGGTTGCAGTGAGCCAAGATTGTGCCACTGCACTCCAGCCTGGCCGGGGTGACAAAGTGAGACTACGTCTCAAAAAAAAAAAAAAAAGAAAAAGGAAAAGAAGGGCCGGGCGCGATGGCTCATGCCTGTAATCCCATCACTGTGGGAGGCCCAGGCGGGTAGATCACAAGGTCAGGAGATCGAGACCATCCTGGCTAACATGGTGAAACCCCGTCTCTACTAAAAATACAAAAAATTAGCTGGGCGTGGTGGTGGGCGCCTGTAGTCCCAGCTACTCGGGAGGCTGAGGCAGGAGAATGGCATGAACCTGGGAGGCAGAACTTGCAGTGAGCCGAGATCACACCAATGCACTCCAGCCTGGGTGACAGAGTGAGACTCCGTCTCAAAAAAAAGAAAAGGAAAATGAAGGACAATAATAGTCCTGACAGTGTGTGGCCAGTATTCAATGATGAGTTTGTCTACACAGGGGCTCAAACAAGATGACCTTACACAGGTCTATGGCATCTTATCTAAAATCCTTGGGGCAAGAAGTGTCTCAGGATTCCGAACATTTCACATTTTTATCTTTATTTTTAGTCAGTGTCTCACTCTGTCGCCCAGGCTGGAGTGTAGTTGCATGATCTAGGCTCAATGCAGCCTCTGCCTCCCAGGTTCACGTGATTCTCATGCCTCAGTCTCCCGAGTAGCTGGGATTACAGGTGCCTGCCACCACACCTGGCTAATTTTTGTATTTTTAGTAGAGACGGCGTTTCACCACATTGGCCAGGCTGGTCTCGAACTCCTGGGCTCAAGTGATCCACCCACTTCTGCCTCCCAAAGTCTTGGATAACAGGCGTGAGCCACTGCGCCAGGCCCATTTCACATTTCTAGGCAATAAATCAGCGCATACACCATGCAGTTCGCAACCATCCTAGGCAGGGTCTGGGGCACAACCTCGTCATCAAACTCATGAACATTTCCATAGCAACATGGATGAGTATTTAACTAAGTGGAATAAATAAAGGCTATAAATAGCCCCTCATTAGTTCAGGTCAGCTTTTGCTGCCAAATGAGTTTGCACTAAATTTATGGGACAAAATCCAAAACTTTGAAGTTTCAGAGATTCTGGGGTCTCAGAATTGTAGCTAAGGGGGTCTGGGGCTGTATTATCTTTTTCTTTTCTTTTTTTTTTTTTTTTGAGACGGAGTCTCGCCCTGTCCCCCAGGCTGGAGTGCAATGGCATGATCTCAGCTCACTGAAACCTATACCTCCTGGGTTCAGGCGATTCTCCTGCCTCAGCCTCCCGAGTAGCTGGGATTACAGGTGTGTGCCACCATGCCCGGCTAATTTTTTGTATCTCTAGTAGAGATGGGGTTTCACCATGTTGGCCAGGTTGGTCTCAAACTCCTGACCTTGTGATCCACCCCCCTCAGACTCACAAATCGCTGGGATTACAGGTGTGAGCCACCGTGCCCGGCCTTATCTTTTTTTTTTCTTTGAAGAGACAGAGTCTTGCTCTGTCACCTAGGCTGGAGTGCAGTGGTGCAATCTTAGCTCTCTGCAGCTTCAAACTCCTGGGCTTAAGCAATCCTCCCGCCTCAGCCTCCCAAGTAGCTGGAACTACAGTTGCGCCTGGCTAATTTTTCTTATTTTTTGTCGAGATGGGATTTCACAGTTTGTCCAGACTGCTCTCGAACTCCTGGGCTCAAGCAATCCTCCTGCCTCGACTTCCCAAAGTGCTGGGATTACAGCCATGAAGCCACTGCAGCCAGCCTCACAGTTTCTTTATGCAAACTCCAACACACTTTGAGGAACTCAACAATCGGGTAGGATTTACCCTCTACCCAGATCTGTGCCCCAGGAGGTCAGCTCACCCATATGGACTGCAGTAACAGTTCTTTGTTTTTCAGTTTAACGTTGGGTTAAATCTGCCAAGTGGTTTTAGATTAACTGTATTCTTCTACCAAAAATCTTAGCCGCTGTCAAGCAATCTGCTCCTCTCTCCAGTTCTGGTGACCACGCCTCCTCCCACCCTTCTTTTTTTTGAGACAGAGTATCACTCTGTCGCCCAGGCTAGAGTGCAGTGGCGAGATCTCGGCTCACTGCAGCTTCCGCCTCCCGGGTTCAAGTGATTCTCCTGCCTCAGCCTCCCAAGTAGATGGGACTACAGGCGCACGACATAACACCCAGCTAATTTGTTGTTGTTTGTTTGTTTTTTTGAGACAGAGTCTTGCCCTGTCACCCAGGCTGAAGTGCAATAGCGCGATCTTGGCTCACTGCAACCTTCGCCTCCCGGGTTCAAGCAATTCTCCTGCCTCAGCCTCCTGAGTAGCTGGGATCAGAGGTGCGTGCCACCACGCCTGTCTAATTTTTTGTTTTTTTTATGTTTAGTAGAGACGGGGTTTCACCATGTTGGCCTGGCTGGTCTCAAACTCCTGACCTCGTGATCTGCCCACCTCAGCCTCCCAAAGTGCTGGGATTACAGTCGTGAGCCACTGCACCTGGCCTAAGTTTTGTATTTTTAGTAGAGCCGGGTTTTTGCCATGTTGGCCAGGCTGGTCTTGAACTCCTGACCTCAGATGATCTGCTCACCTCGGCCTCCCAAAGTACTGGGATTACAGGCATGAGCCACTGCGCCCAGCCATCACCAGTCTACATTTTCCTTTCTGTGACTGCAGTTTGAAGGTTTGGTTGTCCTGTTTGTGACACTGTTGTTGCGATTCCTGTGCGAGTGGGTATAAGGCTCCAGGACTTGGCCGGCTGCAGTGGCTCATGCCTGTAATCCCAGCACTTTGGGAGGCCGAGGCGGGAGGATCACTTGAAGTCAGGAGTTCGAGGCCAGCCTGGCCAACATGGTGAAACCCCGTCTCTACTGAACAAAAATTAGCCCGGTGTGGTCGTGGGCACCTGTAGTCCCAGCTACCCGGGAGGCTGAGGCAGGGGAATAGCTTGAACCCAGGAGGCAGAGCTTGCAGTGAGCCGAGATCGTGCCACTGCACTCCATTCCGGTCTGGGTGACAAAACAAGACTCCATCTCAAAAAAAAAAAAAAATGTCTCCGGGACTGTGTCTGGGTGGGTCTGGCTGTGGCGTGGTCGTCATAGGAGTGTATCTGAGGTGGTGTGGAGTGGGTGTGCGTGTGCTGTGAAGATGTCATTGCCAGGTGTGTTCACAGTAGGATTGCCTGAGTGTGGCTCTCATGCGACTTCTCAAGGCTTTGCCCCTGTACTCTGTATGGAGCTGTGGCAAGTCGGGATCCACACGGCTGTGCTGTGTGTGTTTTCCGTCTGGTGTCCTAAGTGGATAAAACTGTAGTGAGGCTGCGTCTGAGATGGTGCCACCTTACTGAGTTGCTTTGCTGGGTTTGATTCTTTTTTTTTTTTTTTGAGATGGAGTCTTGCTCTGTCGCCCAGGCTGGAGTGCAGTGGTGCGATCCTGGCTGACTGCAAGCTCCACCTCCCGGGTTCATGCCATTCTCCTGCCTCAGCCTCCTGAGTAGCTGGGACTACAGGCACCCGCCACCACACCCAGCTAATTTTTTTTTTTTTTGTATTTTTAGTAGAGACGGGGTTTCACCGTGTTAGCCAGAATGGTCTTGATCTCCTGACCTCATGATCCACCCACCTCAGCCTCCCAAAGTGCTGGGATTACAGGTGAGAGCCACCGCACCCGGCCTGGGTTTGATTCTTTGTGGCCGCATCTGAGCCTGTGAGTCTATTTCCAAGTCTGCGTAGATGAGTCTGGGGCCATGTGGCTGTGAGTGGTGTGTGCGTGTGATCTCGGCTGCAGCCCGACTGTGATGTGGCCAGGGTCACGTGTGTGCAAGAGGGCACCGTGGTCAGTCCGGGCCCAAGTGTGGTTATATCTGAGTTTGCCGGGCAGTACCTGGGGCTGTTTGGCTCTATGTCCATCTGTGTGGCTGGAGCGGGTGTGTGTATGCAGTGGACACATACTCAATTGAGAACGGCGTGCGGAACCCGGCTGTGTGTTCTATGCTGCTGTCGTATGGCTGGGCTGGGGGGCGTGTGTGAGTACCCGGTGGACGCTACTGTCTGGCTGTGAGCAGAAATGGCTGTTGCTGAGTTGGTGTGGCTGTATGTGGACCTGTGTGGGTGTAGCTGAATCTGTGGGTGGCATCTGCAGCCGCTGGTGTGCGTGTGTCTGTGCACTGTTGCCCAGCCGCATCCGAGTCTGCGTAGCTGTTGTGTAGTGGGTGTGTGGCTGTGTGCATATGCGTGCCCTGTGATCAGGCTGACTGTGGCTTCGTCTGAGGCTGTGTAGTGCACATGCGCCCTCATGCGGTGTCCAGGCACAGCTGTGGCTGCAGGACGATGCCTGGTGCCCGTCCCGGGCCCACCTGGTCTGGGAGGCTGGGGCAGGAGGCTGGGTAGTCCTCGAAGTCCTCCCTGCAGCCGCCGTCCCGATCCTCGATGACCAGGTCGATGGGCATCTTTCCCTTGAGGCAGGTGATGTAGCGGTGACAGAAGTTGTCGCACAGGTCGTGGACCTGGGGGGGCACCGGGGTACTGGGGGGGGCCACCCACGGGGGCAGGGCGGGGGTGCTCAGGGACGGGGGCGGCATTCTGCTTCAACTCCGGTGGGGAGAGAGCTGGAAGGTGGGGGGCAGAGGCGACGAGAGGGGGTGGGATGACAGGGGCAAGTGAGGGTGTGGGGAGGTGAGACGCGCTCACCTTCTCCAGCTCCAGCAGGTGGAACCGCAGCACCTGGATGGCCTGGATCATCTGAAAACGTGGGCGGGAGGTGGGGGGAGACAGAGGGAATTGGGGGAGGGAGCAGGGAGGAAGAAGGAAGAGGAAGAGAAGGAGGAAGAGGAGACACAGAGAAACAGAAAGAGTGAGACAAAATGACAGGGACAGGGAGATGCAGCAAAGAGAGACAAAGACACCAGGTGCAAGGGGGAAAGAGAGAACAGAGATGCAGCCCAGAATTAAGGAAAGAGCAGATGTTAGATTGAGAGAAGCAAGAGACGAAAAAGGACCCATCACAAGCGGGGAGAGCTAAGGTGAGCCATGCTGACTGGCATTCCCATCCTCTGCCTGTTGGCCCCCAGCTCCAGGCCCCACCCACCTGCAAGCTACATTTCCCAGAACACTTGCCAAAGGGTTTGGCCAATAGGAAGCCCTGGCAAGAGCTTGGGGAGCAAAGGATGGGAGAAGCTGGGTATTCCTCCCTCCTTTCTTCTCTCTCTCTCTCTTTTTTTTTTTTTTTTTTGATATGGAGTCTTGCTCTGTTGCCCAGGCTGGAATGCAGTGGTGTGATCTTGGCTCACTGCAACCTCTGCCTCCCAGGTTCAAGCGATTCTCCTGCCTCAGCCTCCTGAGTAGCTGGGACTACAGGCGTGCACCACTGTGCCCAGCTAATTTTTGTATTTTTAGTAGAGACAGGGTTTCATCATTTGGTCAGGCTGGTCTCGAACTCCTGACCTCAGGTGATCTGCTTGCCTCAGCCTCCCAAAGTGCTGGGATTACAAGCATGAGCCACCGCACCCGGCCCTCTTTTTCTTTCTTTCTTTCTCTTTCTCTAGCTCTCTATGAGAGACAGGGTCTTGCCCTGTTGCCTGGGCTGGTATGCAGTGGAGCTGATCAAGGGTCACTACAGCCTCGACCTCTTGGGGCTCAAGCGATCCTCCCGCCTCAGCCTCCAAAGTAGCTGAGACCACAGGTGCATGCCACCACACCCCGCTAATTAAATGTTTTTGTAGAGGTGGGGTCTCGCTACGTTGCCCAGGCTGGTCTCGATCCCTGGCCTCAAGCTATCTCCTGGCCTTGGCCTCCCAAAGTGCTGGCATTACAGGCGTGAGCTGCCGCACCCAGCCTCCTCTCCTTGGGCAGCAGTCCCTGCGCTCACTTTGGCATAGGTGCTGATCTTCTGACGGATGGAACATCAGACACTTTTTGAGCCCTATTCTGTGCCAGGTGCTGTTCCACGCACTTGAATCGCATTCACTCATTAAACCCCCACAGCAGCCCTCCAAGACAGACATTACTACCAGCCACACTTCACAGACGGGACACCAAGGCACGGAGATGCAGAGTGACTTGCCCTGGGTCACAGAGCTGGTGAGTGGCAGAGCTGGGATTTGAACTCGGGCCATGGGTCCCGTTCTCAGACTCTAGGCTGTACCACACGGCACGTGGGCAACAATCATGACGGTTTGGGGACATGGACCAGGTGGCCTTCTCTCTGCACCCCCCCCACCAACCCCAGGGATGGGGCGTCAGGGAAGGAGACCCATTGGAGGAGGGGGTGTGGGGGAGGGCTCGGGTCTCACCAGATTGTCCAGTTCTGGGTTGGAGGAGAAGAGGGGCCTCTCAGAGCGAACCTGGGAGGGAAGAGAGAGGCCGGCAGGGGGATGTCCCGCCTTCCACCCACCCCTCCTCGCTGGCTCTCTGACTCGGTGTGTGGTGGGTGGGAGGTGCCCACCTGCTTGGCAAAGGCAGCGATGTCCTCGTTGAAGGAATCAGAGGAGCAGACGTCACCTCCAGGGGGTGTCCCCAGCCCAGCTCCGGCCCCGTCACGGGGAGAGCATGTAGCCAGTTCACATTTCTCAAAGACCAGGGCCAAGAGGGGGAAGAGCGGGTGTCTGGGGAGGCAGGAAAGGAGAGAGGTTGAGGGAGAGGCTGGGAGGTGGATGGAGGGGCTGCCAAGATGCAGAACAGCTGGGGAGGGGACAAGAGACCCAGAGAGGGAAGGAGACAGAGACTCGTACACAGAGAGAGACAGAAGCAGACCCAGGGAGCAAAGAAGCAGAAAGACAGAGAGAGAGAGACAGGAGCCTGAGACCCGGCCCCACTCACCCATAGATCTCATCCTTCTCCCTCTTCAGGCCGTCGCTGTCCAAGCCTGGGGGCAGGGGCTGGGGAGGCCGGTGCGGGCCATAGGGCCCTGGTACTGCGGGCACTGTCTCTGGGAAGCTAGCCAGGGCTGCGGGGCCATCCACGATGCCTGGGTAGTGCGGCAGCTCATCATACTGGGGGAAGGTGAGAAGAGAAGGGCGGAGCCCCAGGGAGGGGTCAGCACCCCGAGACTCGGCTGAGGAGCTTCTCTATCCTGGAACCCAGGAGATGCCCTTCTGTGTCCCAGAAACCTGCCTGTGGTCCCCAGGTGTCTGAGCCCCCAAGCTTGAAGCCCTCCAGGTCCCCTGGAGCTGCCTCGGTGGGGAGTGAGGACCCCGTCCAGGCAGAGATTCCTGACATGTGGGCAGGAGGACCCAGAGGGAGAGACGGCAGGGTCTGGCTGGGAGGGAAAAGAGATGGAGAAAGTGGCGTGAGAAGACAGTGACAGAGACAGAGAGAGAGACAGACAGAGAGGGAGATCCATGGACACCTCCTGTAGGAACCGCGCATTGTTGTACACAAAGTACACATACGAAGCCTCCCTGTCTTCTATTTCATTTCACAGTTGGCAGATAAGCGCATCAGAGTAAGTCTCAACAACATGTCACACTCCACTCGCCACGTGAATCTACCACACATGTAGACACAGCCATACACACCAACCCACGTGCACACTCATGTGTCAGTCACACCCAAATCCCCCCCCCCACACACACATGCACACACACATGCACACAGCCCAACACCAGGCACAAGAATGAATGCATGATTGAGACATTTGGCACATGGATGAATGAATGAATGAGGCATTTAGCACAGGGCCTGGCTCATGCTGTGAGCACTTGTTGCCGGAGAGGGTCACTCCGCACCACCATACAGACACGATTGCGCACCCAAGAGAAACACCATTATGGGGTAGGACGACCGCGTCCTGTCGTCACAGAACCATGCACCTGGGAAGCCAGGGGCACCTTCCTCTCATCAGGTCAAATCCCTTCCTCAGTGATGAAGACACGGAGGCTCAAAGAGGCAGCAGGACTCGCACGGGAAGAGGCTAGAACGTTCCTGCCTCGGACCCTCGCCTGGCTGGGCACCCTGGTTCTGTGTGTCCCACTCTTTCCCTCTCCCTCTTCTCCTAACTTCTCCTGTGCCCTGAAGTTGAATCCAACTGCTCCCCGCTGCTCAAGGCACTCTCACCAAAAGCGGTCCTCACAGCCTACCCGGAACCCCCAAAACGGGCGCGCGCCTCCTCCCCTGTCTTCTATCCCCGTTCCCATCCCCAGGGAGACAGGCTCCGTGGGGCCAGCAGCCTGGTGAGACCACCTCTCCCACCCCTGTCCCACTCCTAGCCCTGGAGAGGCAGGGGCGGCTTGGAACAAAAGTAGAGCGAAGGGAAGGACGGAGGAGAGCAGAAAAAAGGGGGGACGGTGAGGTGCGGGCGGCTGAGATGGAGGAGGAAGCCCAGGAACAGAGGAGAGAGACTGCGGGTGGGGGAGGGCAGAGAGAGGGGGATAGAGAGGCAGAAAGAGGGGGGAGACCAGGGACAGAGAGAGGGGGACAGAGAGGCAGAAAGGAGGAGGAGAGTGGGGCAGACAGAGGGGGACAGAGGGGCAGGGAGAAGGAGAAGCTAAACGATGGGGAGGAGGCGAGGCCGAGGGCCAGGAAGAGACACTTGGGGGCAGAGAGGGGGCACACAGGGACTGGGAGACCCAGGGGCGGAGGGAGGGGCAGAGAGAGAGCGAGGTGGTGTAGAGGACGGATGGGCTAATGGGGGCCAGCGCCGGAGAGTGGGGGATGCAGGGACAGGGGGTGCGGAAGCGGCCGGGACGCGGGGTCCCCGCCCCGAGACCTACCCTCCGGGCCATGGGCTGAGGCCGGCGGCAGCTCCTGGGTCCCTCCAGAGCCTGGCCGCGGGGGAGGGCGCAGCCCGGGGCCGCAGCCCCTGACGGCCCGCGGTGTTGACGCCAGGGGGTGGGCAGGAGGCCAGGCGCGCGCCCCCCCACCCCCGCCGCCGTCAGCGGCAGGCGCCGGGCCGGGTGGGGACTCCGCGCATGGACCCCGGCCCCCGCCCCCAGCGGGGGTCACGGCCAGGAGCGCATCGCCGCCGGGGCGGGGGCAGCAGGCGCAGGCGGGGCGCCCGAGGCCCCCTCCTCTGGGCCCCCCCCGTCCCTTCCCCGGCTCTGGAGGGAATCGAACCGTCCCGAGACGGACACACCGGGGACCGCAGGGGGCGGGGGGCGGCCCGGGGCGACGGAGGGTCCGGCGGCGGCTCAGGGGTGCTGGCAGCCGCGCTCCCCGTTCCCGGTCTCTCCCTTGTCTTGTGGAAATTAAACAGAACCACCAAGGAGCGGGATAGGGGATGAGCCAGAGTGAGCCTGCAGAGCTACAGCACGAGGGATTGGGGTTAGGGCAGCAGCAGCACTTCCGGTGGGAGTCGGGGAGGGGCAGGCTGTGGGGGGAGGAGAGGAAGAGACCGCGGCCCTGGTGCCCCCAGGCCCCTCCTCTCCTACCCAGGGCTGGGGTTCCTGCTCCGGGTTTCTCAGTCTCCCTCTTTCCCAGTCTCTCTCTCCTTGTCTCTCTCTGTCTCCGCTTCTCCCGTCCTTTCTCTCCTCTGGCTCTCTGTTCTCCGAGCCCCCTGGACACACCACGGACCCCCTCCCTGGCCATCTCCAGGGGTCACGTGGGAATCTGGAGTCTGGTCCCACCGTAGGCTCTCCCCTCTCTGAGGCTCGATTCCCCCTCTGCAGGATGGGCAGTGCGCTGGGGGCGGCGGGGGTGGGCTGTGGATAACGGAGAAACAGTTAAGCTAGAGGGTGCCAGGACTCAGGGTCTTGGCTGAGTCTGGGGGTCCCCATGCCGGCGGGCTCTGCCCCCGTGGCTGTCCTGCGGTGAGGCTGGCCGTTTAAGGCAGTCCGAGGGGAAGGGTCTGGAGGCCTTGCCTTTCCTCAAGGCCGGCGCACCCCAGATAGGGGTTTTGGAGCAGAAAATTAATTTAAATCACTTTTTAATTAAAGACACAAGGCCCTTTGGTCTGCTCCACCCCCACCTCACCCTCAGCCAAGACTTGGGGTGAGGGATGCAAGGGTTAGGAGTCTCTGGCTCTATTTGCTTTTTTGGGGGGTGGTGCATGCTAAGGTCCCCTTAGCCCAGGCTGATTCTGAAACCTAGAGGAGCAAGTGCGGCCTCATCTGACGGCCAGTGGTGGGGGGCGTGGACAGAGCAGGAAGGGAGGGAGGGGGCACCTGGGATGGGGATGGGGCCTAACTGGAGTGGGGAGGGAGGTAACTCCAGTGACGGTGTGATTCAGAGAGAGAGAGAGACAGAGACAGACGCGGGTGGGAGGAGAGAGAGAGAGAGGTGCAGACAGAGTGAGACAGACAGGAGGGGGAGGGAGTGGGGGACAGGAGCTCCAATAGAGACCCTGGAGTCGTCCCTGCCACCCCCAAAACAAGAGCAGGGGGCTTGGACTCTGAAGCATAAATCTTTCTAATTAAAGAAAGAGACGAGCTGTTGGGAAGGGAGAAATAAGTGTGTGGGAGAGAAATTGATTGGGGGAGGATGGAGGATGCCGGCGGGGGACGGAGGGAGCAGGGGGGAGGCTCCGGCTTTCTGAGGCTCTTCCTCCAGTCTTTCCCTCTGTCTGTCCATCCGTCTGTCTGTCCGTCTCTGTCTCTCGCTCTCTCTCTCTCTCTCTCACACACACACACACACACACACACACACACTCTCTCTCTCTCTCTCTCTCTCTCTCTCTCTCTTCCTGGCTGTCTCCCTTAAATAGTCCTGGGACCCTTCTGTTCCCAGGGGGAGGGAGCAGGTGGCGGCCAGGCCTGGTGCTGGAGCGGGGGTGCCTGTGTCACTGCGTCGCGGCTGCCTGTCGGCTCTTCGAGGGTGTGCTTGGGCCTCCCTGTGACAGTGTCTGGAAGCGTCTTCCCTGCCCGGCTGAGTGGCTCCCTGGGTGGCATCAGAGTGACCCCAGCTCCCAGTCTGCAGGGGTCTCCGCCCTCTAGCCCTGTCCTGCACCTGTTTTACAGACGGGAAGCGTGGAGCCCTCTATGAGTAGATCTGGGGGACCTCATGGGTCTCCCCAGCACGGGCTGGGCGATCTCTCAGCGGACTGGCCCTTCAGTGCCCCAACCTGAGCACCGACCACTGGGGCTATGCCCACCAGGCAGCCACGTCCCCCGGGGATCCGCAGTGGTCCCCAGGATCCCCTCTGAAAGCCTACAGGAGCAGACCGAATGAACGAGGATCCACCTTGGGTTCCTCCTGTCCTCTCTCTCGGGCCTGCTAGCCTCCTGCCTCGGTTTCCCCTCTTTATCAACCGCTCTGTGTCTGTCTCTCTCCTTCTGGGGGCCCAGGTTTGCTTCCTCCTCCTCATTCCAGGCTCTCTCTGAGAATCTGTGTCTCTGCTCAGGAGGGTGGGGGAAGAAGGGACCCTAAAAGACAGGCCGTCTCTGTCTCCATCTCCGCCTGGGCTATGTCTGTCTGTCTGTCACCTGGGCTGTGTCTGTCTGTCTGTCTCCTGGCTTTTTTTTTTTTTCTTGTATCTCTGTGTCTCTTTGTCTGGATGTCTTCTCTGCCTCATCTTTCTTATCTCTCTTTCTCTCCATCTTTCTCGGTCTCTCTCTCCAGGGGCCTCTGTCTCTTCTCCCTCCTTCCTCTCCCTCTCTCCGCCTCCCTGTCCCCCCCACCGTATCCTCCCTGGGCTTCTGTCTCCCTGGCTCTCTCCCCTCTCCTCCACCCGGGCCCTTCATAAATACATCGCCCCCTTCCCGTCCTCCCGCTGCCTGGCCCAGCTCCAGGAGAAGGAAACATTTATCTTGGTGGGGGCGCCCACCCCTGCGCCCGCCCCTCCGCCCGCTGGCCACGCCATCCATCACCCGAGCCCAGACTCCTGTGGCTCATTCGTCACCGGCCCTGACAAATGCCTGCCGCCCCCTTCCCCTCCCGCCCCACCAAGCAATCATACCATTAGCCACGGCTCAGCGGTGGCGGGAAGGACCCGGCCTGACCCGGGCG
Organism: Homo sapiens; assembly: GCF_000001405.40. Classification (NCBI taxonomy): domain Eukaryota; kingdom Metazoa; phylum Chordata; class Mammalia; order Primates; family Hominidae; genus Homo; species Homo sapiens. Next base: position 47,422,239 of record NC_000019.10, read on the forward strand.
GGGGGCGGGGCACAGGCTGCGGCTCCCACCGAGACCCCTCTCTCCCTCTTTTCCTTCCCTTTCTATCTCTCCTCGCCCTCTCCGTCTTTTTTGTTGGAATCTGCTTTCCTCTGCCAGTTTCTCGCTGTGCCTCTGGGTCCTGTCTCCGGTCCGTCCTCCTCCTCATCCTCCTTTTCCTCACCCTCTCTCCTTCTCTCCTTCTGTCTCTGTCTCTCTCTTACTGAGTCTCTTTCCAGTTCTGACTCTGTCTCTGTGTCTCTCTATAACTGTATCTCTCTGTCTCTGCCCGTCTGTCTCTCCCTCTCTGTCTCTCATCTCTCTCTGTCTCTCCCTCTCTGCCTCTCCATCTCTCTCTCTGTCTCTCCACTCTGTCTCTCCCTCTGTCTCTCCCTCTCTGTGTCTCTTCATCTCTCTGTTGCTCCCTCTCTCTCTGTCTCTCCATCTCTGTCTCTCCCTCTCTCTCTGTCTCTCCATCTCTCTGTCTCTCCATCTCTCTCTGTCTCTCCATCTCTGTCTCTCTATCTCTCTCTGTCTCTCCTTCTCTCTCTGTCTCTTCATCTCTGTCTCTCCCTCTCTGTCTCTCCATTTCTTTCTCTGTCTCTCCATCTCTCTGTCTCTACCTCTCTCTCCATCTGTCTCTCCCTCTTGCTCTCTGTCTCTCCATTTCTCTCTGTGTCTCTCCTTCTCTGTCTCTTCATCTCTATCTCTCCCTCTCTGTCTCTCCATTTCTCTCTGTCTCTCTCTTTCTGTCTCTCCCTCTCTCTCCCTCTCTCTCTGTCTCTCCCTCTCTCTCCATCTCTCTCTGTCTCTCCCTCTTGGGGTCTGTCTCTCCATTTCTGTCTGTCTCACCATCTCTCTGTCTCTCCATTTCTCTCTGTCTCTGTCTCTCTCTGTCTCTCCATTTCTCTCTCTGTCCCTCCCTCTCTCTCTGTCTCTCCATCTCTCTCTGTCTCTCCATCTCTCTCTGTCTCTCCCTCTGTCTCTGTGTGTCTCTCTCCCTGTCTCTCCATGTCCCTCTGTCTGCCATGGGCTCTGTCGGCCCAGCCGTGCCTTTTAAATCTCTGGTCTCTGAGAGTACCCTCGGCGTTGGCCTCACTGGCTTTGTGTGCTGGGAATGGGGTGAGGGTCTTGCCCTGGCGCCCTGGGACGCCCGCCCCGCCCCGCTCCCCACCTCGCTCTCCTCCCTGGTGCTGTGTTCTGAGTCTCTGGGCTTCCTCCGTCTGCATCTTCTCTGCATCCTGTCTGTATCTCTGTCTCTGCTGCCTCTCCGGCCCCTGTGTTTTGTTCTTGGCTCTCTGCTCCCTCTCCAACTTCCCCTCCTCTTTTTGTGTCCCTTCTCCACCTCCTCCACCGTCTGTGTTCCCCCTCTACTGACCCCACCTACCCCTTTCAATCCACCACCCATGACATTCCCTTCCCCGCACTTCCCCAGGGAGAGAATTGCAGGGAGCAGGCAGGGAACGGGAGGCAAAGGTGGCGAGAAGGAGAGAGTGAGGAGGTACCTTGGGAGGCACTGAAGCCTGGAGCCTCATCCCTCTCTCCTTTGGCCATGTGTGCCTGGAAGTCCTCCCTAGTGTCTGATTTCAATCCTCAGGGGGACGGCAGAACGTGGAGGAGATGCCAGGTACCAACCCTTCCCGATTCCCTGGGAGAGGCCGAGGAGGGAGCTGGGGGCATCAGACCAGGAGAGAGGGCAACCTGGGCACAGTCAGTGCTGTGCTGGTGGCCACCCATTGCCTTACTGGAAGAGGGAGGTAGTGAGACCCCCGTTCTGGGAAGTAATCATAGCAGAGGCTGTCTCTGACCCACTCATACCACCTAGGACCCAACAGCATCTCTCACGCTGGCACCTGCGACCCTTCCCTGAATGCTTTCCAGACCAGGGTAGGAGGCGCTAGAAGTCAGCACCCCTAAAGAGGTCCTGGGCCACCATCAGACAGGAGTTAGTGGATACATAACCCAAAGTCTTCAGGTGGGGAACTCCAGAGTTCCCTGAGAGGTCCCCAGCAGGATGGAGACCTCATTGTCCACAGGGTGACCTGCTCATTCAACACTGCCTTTATTATTTATTTATTTATTTATTTGAGATGGAGTCTCGGTCTGTCACCCAGGCTGGAGTGCAGTGGTGTGATCTCGGCTCACTGCAGACTCTGCCTCCTGGGTTCAAGTGATCCTCCTGCCTCAGCCTCCCGAGTAGCTGGGATTATAGCCACCTGCCACCGTGCCCGGCTAATTTTTGTATTTTTAGTAGAGATGGGGTTTCACCATGTTGGCCAGGCTGGTCTTGAACTCCTGACCTCAGGTGATCCGCCCACCTTGGCCTCCCAAAGTGCTGGGATTACAGGCGTGAGCCACCGCGCCCAGCCTTCAACACCACCTTTAATGGTTTTCTTTCCCATCTCCCTCCAGTGCCTCCTGGGATCACCTCACAAATAAACTATTTCCCTCCCATCCTTGCTGTGGGCTGGCTTCTGTTGGTGCTCAGCCTAAGACGGTGGCCAGCGGGGGCATGATGGATGGGCAGAGAGGAAACAAAGGGAAAAGAGGGACCTCTCGTGGTGGTGAATCATATGTGTCTACGTGGCTAGGCTGTGCTGCCCTCATGTTCAGGCATCAGCCTAGATGTTGCTGTGAAGGGGTGTGTGTGTGTTTGAGACAGGGTCTTGCTCTGTTGCCCGGGTTGGAGTGCAGTGGTGCAATCTTGGCTCACTGCAACCTCTGCCTCCCGGGTTCAAGCGATTCTCCCACCTCAGCCTCCTGAATAGCTGGGACTACAGGTGTGAGCTACCACGCCCAGCCATTGTAAAGGTATTTTAAAAATGAGATTAATAGCCGGGCGCGGTGGCTCACTTTGGGAGGCCGAGGTGGGTGGATCACAAGGTCAGGAGATCGAGACCATTCTGGCTAATGCGGTGAAGCCCCGTCTGTACTAAAAATACAAAAAATTAGCCGGGCGTGGTGGCCGGCGCCTGTAGTCCCAGCTACTCATAGTCCCAGCCACTCGGGAGGCTGAGCCAGGAGAATGGCGTGAACCTGGGAGGCGGAGCTTGCAGTGAGCTGAGATCGCACCACTGCACTGCAGCCTGGGCGACAGAGCCAGACTCCATCTCAAAAATAAAAAAAATGAGATTAACATTTAATATCGATTGACTTTGAGTGAAGCAGATTGTATGGGTGGGCCTTATCCAATCAGTTGAAGGCCTTAAGACTGAGGTCCCTCCAGGAAGAAGGAGTTCTGCCTCCAGATGACTTTTAGGTTTTGCTTGGGTTTTGTTCATTTGTTTGTTTTTTGAGACAGGGTCTCACTCTGTCACCTAGGCTGCAGTGCAGTGGCATGATCATGACTCACTGCAGCCTCAACCTTGTGGGCTCAAGTGATCCTCCCACCCCAGCCTCTGGAGCAGCTAGGACTACAGGTGTGCACCACGATGCCTAGATAATTTTTATTTTTAGTAGAGATGGGGTCTCACTGTGTTGCCCAGGCTGGTGTCGAACTTCTGGGCTCAAACAATCCTCCCACCTTGGCCTCCCAAAGTGCTGGGATAACAGACATGAGCCACCACACCCGGCCTGGGAGGCTAATATATATTCATTTAATCCCCACGACAACCCTGTGACATAGGTACTGTTAGCATCATCATCACGCATTTTCCAGATGAGGGAACTGAGGCACAGAGAAAGTCAGCCGCTACACTATGCTGCCTCCCAGGACAATGTTAATCACTCCCAAGCTGACCCCATAGAGCTCTTTGCATCCAGGTGAGAATCATGACCTTCGGGGTGAGGTGACGGGACAGGTGTGAAAGTCCTCATGTTTTCCAAGCCTCAAGCTCTCAATGTGTCTCTCTTTGCAGCTGAGACCTTACTCATCTTCCTGCACCAAGACTCTACACCCCCTTTGTTTGCATTTGTTAAGATGAAGGTGTCCCAGACCTGGCACGATGGTTCACGCCTGTAATCCTTTGGGATTACAGTAGTTCACTTTGGGAGGCTGAGGTGGGTGGATGACCTGAGGTAAGGAGTTCAAAGGAGTTTGAGAACAGCCTGGGCAACATGGTAAAACCTGTCTCTACTAAAAATACAACAATTGGCCAGGTGTGGTGGCGGGCGCCTGTAATCCCAGCTACTTGGGAGGCTGAGGCAGGAAAATCGTTTGAACCCGGGAGGTGGAGGTTGCAGTGAGCCGAGATCGCGCCATTGCACTCCAGCCTAGGCAAAAGGAGTGAAACTCCATCTAAAAAAAAAAAAATTTGAAGGTGTCCCTTGTCCCATTCTACATCGTGGAACTCATCCTGTCCCATCTTTGCCCTTCTACCTGTGAAACTTTGGGCACATTGCTTCACCTCTCTGAGCCTTAGTTTCCTCTTCCGTGGAATGGGGTGATGTATAGAACTGGCAATAGGTTTAAGCAGATCATGCTTGGGGGGGTCCCCATCACTGCCAGCTGCTGTTAGCACAGGCCTCCCTTGCTTTCCTGTGCCCCTGTAGTCAATGCCCTCTACTGCTCCTCCAGCAACCTCCCCTCCTCACATCAGGACTCTCCAGAGAGTGATCTACATGCCCTGACTCAATTTCCCCACCTCCCACTGCAGATCAGTGCACCGTCTGCCCCTACACCTTCCACAAACCTGTTCTCATCAAGGCCTAAAGCCAAAGGTCGATTTTTTTTTTTTTTTGGTAGTGGGGAGACAGGGTTTTTCTCTGTCACTCAGGCTGGAGTGCAGTGGTGCAGTCCTAGCTCACGGCAGCCTCGACCTCCTGGGCTCAAGCAATCCTCCTGCTTCAGCCTCCTGAGTATCTGGGACTACAGGCACATGCCACCACGCTTGGCTAACTTTTAAAGTTTGTGGAGACACGAGGACTCGCTATGTTGTCCAGGCTGGTCTTGAATTCCTAGGCTCAAGCGACCCTTCTGCTTTGGCTTCCCAAAGTGCTGGGATTACAGGCGTGAGCCACCATGCCGTGGGCCTATTGTCTTACCTTGGACTTCAGGTTGGGTGCGGCCGGTGGGAGGAAGTGGCAGGAGACTAGCAGGTGGGAGCAGAATGAGGTCGAGGTGCTTACTCTCCCGGCGCCCCGCTATCCCCAGTGCAGGTTGGTGATGCCTGTACTCTTCTACTCTACAGACTCAGGTCCCCAGGTCTCTGCAGCCTCGGGTGCCTCTGCTCACCCCTTCTAGCCCAGGTATGGCAACTGCTCCCTCTGCTGCTAGCCCTGGGGTACTACACCTTCCCTCGTTTTCCCCAACCCTGCCCACTCCTCAGTAGCCCTTTCACCCAACTCTCCCTGGCTACTCCGTTTGAATGAACACACCACCTCTCTCCTGCCAAGATGCACTCCCTGAACTCCCTCACGCAGCCCCATCCATTCTCTCTCTCAACCACTCCCTTCTCACCATCGCCCTCCCACCCTCCTACTCCCCTCTCCCCTCGTCTGCTGCCTCTGTCCCTGCTCCAGCCTTGTCCCTGGTCTCCCAGCCCCCAGTAGCCAGGAGGAACGTCTCATAAAATAAATCAGGTGATATCAACCGCCTGCCTCCTTCCCCCACTTAAATCCCTTGCAAAGCTCCCCTTTACTCTTAGGATATATTCCAAGCTCCCTAGAGTGGCTGATAAAGTCTCTTATGATTTGTCCTCAAGTTCACTCCCCACGCACCCCATACCTCGTTCATGATAACCATTTCCAGGGCTCTGAAAAAGCCATTATCTCCCAACTCTGCACACCTTTACACAGGCTGTGTCCTTTGGCACAACACACACACACACACCCCTCCTCCTGTAGGATCTGAGAAAATTACTTGCTTTATTTAGGAAACCCCATCAACCCCAGCTCTTTGGCTCAGGCAAATGAACGTCTCTCTTTTGTGTTCCCAGGATGCCCATAAAGAGAAACAGTTTGTGGCTCATGCATGGGGGCGTGGCTAGTGGAAGCCCCTGACTGAAGCAGGAAGGCGTGGCTGAAGCACGACTGATAAGTGGGGGTGTGATTAGTGGAAGAGCTAGGCTGATGAATGGGGGCGTGGTTAGTGGAAACCCGTAATTGACGGATGCGGGCGTAGCAAGTGGAGGAGCTTGGCTGATGAATGGGGGCGTGGTTAGTGGAAACCCACGACTGACGAATGGGGGCATGGAGAGTGGAGGTGCGTGGCTTGTGGAAGCCCATGACTGATGGATGGGGGTGTGGCTAGTGGAAGAGCTAGGCTGACGGATGGGGGCGTGGCTAGTGGAAGCTCATTACTGATGGGGGCGTGGCGAGTGGAAGAGCTTGGCGGCTGGACCCCGGCGCTGCTGCTATATGTGGGTGTGTCCCGCAGACGACCGCGGGCCGCAAAAACCCAGATTACTTGGTTTAACAGTTGCCCAAATCTCAGTCAGAGACCTTATTAGCCCCCTCCTCCTGAATCCCAGCTTCCCACGGGACTGTTTTTCAGGCAGAATTTCAAAGTTTTATGGCAACTTTTACAGAAATCACAGAAAAGAGACAGCGACTGATGATGAGCTGGGGGAGAGAAGGGTAGTGGGTAACGGGTCTGGGATGTTGGGGCTGAGCACAACAGGACGATAGAATGCTGAAAACCTGTGGGAAGCAGAAAGTTATGGGGGTAGTTGGGTCATCCTAGGGGCCCAAGGAGTGGGTGGCACTGCCCAAATGTGTCCTTTGGGCAGGAAACATCAACAGTAAGAAAATGCAGATGGCCTACCGACAGATGGAAGGCCTCCAAAGTTAAAAATGCCCACCCAGATCCCTTGGCCCAGTCCCATCCCCCCACCCATCCCCACCCCCCATCAGGCAGAGATGTGGCAGCATTTGCTGGCTTGTAGCATTGGTCCTCTGGGACCCTCGGTCTCCTCTTCGAGGGTCCTGCCCGGATTGGCTGGCACTGAGGGCAAAAGGAACCTTCCAGATTGTCAGGGGAGATCAACTGGACTCGCTTTGATTCCCGGCCTCCTCCCCAAAGCTGGTTCTCATGGCTGAGGGAGTCTGCTGCCCTCTCAAAAGTTGTCTGTCACCCCCTTTTCCCAAGACATGCACCCTCCCGCGTCCCCCCTCCCCCAAACACACTATATACACACACAAGCCCCTCCCTCCAAGGCGTGGCTGGGCTCTCAGAGGTAGTGGAGGGCGAGTGGGGGAGCTGGAATGTCTGAAGTTGCAGGTTCAAAATGTGCTTCCTCCGGCTAAGCCCTGGGACTGAAACCCCAAACTTCTCCCCTCGTCTCCGAGCCTGGAGAATGAGTGTCCTCCCAAGAACCCGAGTGGAGGGATTGGAAGGAACGGTGTGCGGCCTCCTTGCGCGCACACCCACCCGCTCCTCCCCGCCGGGGCTGAGCGGAGCTCCCTGAGGGCTGGGGGGAAGGGCTGGGAGCTGAGACGGCCTCTGACAGCCTCCTTCGAGGGTCCCCCAGGGAGGGTGGGTTCTGAGGCTCTGGGACATGGGGTGAAGTGGGGGGGGGGTCACTAGGGGAAGGGAGACTTTGGGGGCAAAGCCAGGCTGGGTGACCAAGGAGAGAGACCTTAAACTCCCCAGGATGGTTACTGGGGGTGGTTCCCTGGGGAGGGGACTGGGGTGGAAATTTCCCCAGGGATATAGACGGTCACCAACAGGATGGGCTGGAGTTGGGGTCACCGCAGGGGAGGAACCGGGGAGGCTCCCGAGAGGAAGAGGGAAGGCTGAGCTACTGGGGACACAGAACAGGGCAATCAAAGCCAGGGGAGGGGGCGGAGAAGGGAGGCCGAGTCCCAGGAGAGGAGGCCGAGTCTGGGGGGAAAAGGAGACCAGGGTCCAAGAGCAGGTGCAGCCGAGTCCCTAGCCCCGGGCGGGCGGTGGGGACGAGTCTCTGCGCGAGGCCCTAGAAGCCCCGGATGTGGCAGTACGCCTCCAGGCTGGCGAAGAGGATGTACAGGAGCCAGAGGCCCAGGAAGAGCGCGGTGGTGGCGAGCTTGGGTCCGCGCGGGCCGCCCAGCTCGCCGCCGATGTGCGGCCGGCGCCGGTACAGCAGCACGGCAATGCCCACGAAGGCGAAGACGGTGAAGAGCGTGACGGAGAAGGCCAGCGTGCCAGTGCGCACCTCGAAGGGGCGGCCCTGCACCGCCCAGTACACGGCGGCCACAGACCAGGCGACGCCCAGGCCAAGGAACACGTTCACCGCGTTGGAGCCGGTCACGTTGCCGATGGACGCGTCGGCGCACTGGTCCTGCAGCGCCGCCACCTTGCTGGCGAACGTGTCTGCGAGGCAGAGACATACAGGTCGGAGGGGCTTTGCGCCGCCACCCACAGGGGCGGGCATCCGCCTGCCCCCTCCCAGCCTTTCCCGGTCGCCTGCTTTCTGCGGGCAGTGTGGGCTCAAGACCCCTGACCCCCACCCAAGAGGCAAAGTCCATCACCACCTTTAGGCCTGCTCGCCACTGGAACCGCTGCCGGCTTTCTATGGGACCTGCCGCCTGCTTTCTGTGGGATTCATTCTCTTCTATGGGACTCACTGCGTGATTTCTTTTTTTTTCCTCCGAGACGGAGTTTTGCTCTGTCACCCAGGCTGGAGTGCAGTGGCGTGATCTCAGCTCACTGCAACTTCCGCCTCCCAGGTTCAAGCGATTCTCTTGCCGGAGCCTCTGAGTAGCTGGGATTACAGGCGCCCACCACGCCCTGCTAAGATTTTGTGTTTTTAGTAGAGACGGGGTTTCACCATGTTGGCCAGGCTGGTCTCGAACTCCTGATCTGAGGTGATCCACTCGCCTCGGTCTCCCAAAGTGCTGGGATTACAGGTATGAGCCACCGCGCCTAGCTGTATTTTTTGTTTGTTTTGTTTTGAGACAGGGTCTTGCTCTGTTGCCCAGGCTGGAGTACAGTGGTGCGATCATGGCTCACTGCAGCCTCATTTTCCCCAGCTCAGGTGATCCTCCCACCTCAGCCTCCCGAGCAGCTGGGATCACAGGCATGCGCCACCACGTCCAGCTAATTTTTGTATATTTTGTAGATACGGGGTTTCACCATGTTGCCCAGGCTGGTCTCAAACTCCTGGGCCCAAGCAATCCTACCCCTGCCTTGGCCCCCCGCCTTTGCCTCCCAAAGTGCTGGCGTGAGCCACCACACCCCACCTGCCCCCTCATCTTAGTTAAAACTCTGAGGTTTGGCCAGGCGTGGTGGCTCACGCCTGTAATCCCAGCACTTTGGGAGGCAGAGGTGGGCGGATCACGAGGTCAGGAGTTCGAGACCAGCCTGGCCAATATGGTGAAACCCCGTCTCTACTAAAAACGTAAAAATTAGCTGGATGTGGTGGCGCACGCCTGTAGTCTCAGCTGCTCAGGAGGCTGAGACAGAAGAATCGCTTGAACCTGGGAGGCAGAGGTTGCAGTGAGCCGAGATCACAAGATCACTGCACTCCAGCCTGGGTGACAGAGCGAGACTCTGTCCCCACACCAAAAAAAAAAAAAAAAAAAAAAACAAAACCCAAAAAAACCAACTTTGAGGTTCACTGGCCTGGTTTCTGTCATGTCCCCCAACATAGTTCCATGGACTCTTCTGTCTGGTTTCTTGCGGGATGGGACATCAACAGCTTGTTTCTATGGAACCCACTGATTGGCTTCTCTGACAATCCCCACCGTCTTCCTAGGAACCCCTCTCCCCACAGCTGTCTCTTCCCCACCCTGCCACCTTCTCTCTATGAAATCCATTGTCTGGTTTCTAGCATTTCCTGCTACCTTAGTTTTATGGGACCTTCTACCTGGGTGCTTTTGGGGAGGATTCAATTCACATCTTGCACCTAGGGGACCCGCTGCCTGGCTTCTATTATGCCCCACCTCCGTATTTCTCTGAGACCCACCACATGGGCGCTGTGTGACTCCACCCACCTCATTTTGGCAGGATCCTGTGTTGCCCCTGCCTGGCTCATCTGAGATCCTACCCCACCAAAGTCTCCCAGGGTGTTACCAGGGATGGAGGTGCCCAGGGCAACGAAGACAACAGCATTGACAGAGTCCTTGAGGCCAACGGTGCAGCCGAAGTGGGAGGCGAGGTCCCCAATGAGGGCGGTGAGCAGGCCGATGACCAGGATGGAGACACCAAAGCAGGCCCAGCCGTGGCAGTACTCGGTGGGGGGCACACAGGCGAAGAGCACCTTCCAGAACACCGTCAGGAAGTGCATCACGTAGTCAAAGCACGACGGCAGCCGCTCCTCCCGGGACCCGTCCTCCTCCTCCTCCTCGTCCCCTGTGGGCACACGACCCAGCTGGGGCATACACTCAGACTTCCTTCCTTGCCTACAGAGGCCCCATTTTGTCTAACTTCCTGACAGCAAGTCCCATTGAATGAACTTCTTTCCCAGAATCCCTTGCACCTACCTGTGGCCAAGTCAACTGCTAAAAACAGTTACTTTCCCAGAATCCCTTGAAGCTAGGAGCTTGATTGGGCCCAGGTGAAAAATATTTACTTTCCCAGAATCCTTTGGATCTAAATATGGCTAAGTCAGCAGTAAAAACAGTTACTTCCATAGAATCCCTTGGAGCTAGGGGCATGACTGAGTCCAGGTAAAAAAATTTTACTTTCCCAGAATCCCTTGCACCTAAGTGTGGCCATGTCAGCAGCTAAAAACAGTTACTTTCCCTGCATCCTTTGAAGCTAGGAGTGTGAATGGGCCCAGGTGACAAATATTTATTTTCCCAGAATCCCTTGCACCTAAATGTGGCCAAGTCAGCAGCTAAAACCCATTACTTTCCCAGAATCCCTTGAAGCTAGGAGCATGAATGGACCCAGGTGAAAAATATTTAGTTTCCCGGAACTGCTTGCACCTAAATGTGGCCAAGTCAATGCTAAAAACAGTTACTTTCCCAGAATCCCTTGAAGCTAGAGGAAGCCACATCTGCCCAGCTAAAAACATCCAGTTCCCCAAGACCGTTTGCTGCCAGGGACAGCCATACCCCTAGCTAAAATTATTCATTTTCCCAGAAGCCTTCACAGCTGCTGAAAGCCAGTCCACAGCTAGAAGTATTCACTTCCTCAGATTCACTGCAGCTAACCAGAGCCACAGTCTCCACTAAATGTACTCACTTTCCCAGAATCCCTTGCAGCTAGAGGGCTATATACCCAGCCAAAATTAATCACTTTCCTAGAATCCCTTGAGACTAGCAACAGCTATGGCCTCAGATAAAAATATGGTATTCACTTTCCCAGAATCCCTTGCAGTTGGCAGTTGCCATGTCCCTGGCTAAATACTTGTTTTGCCAGAATTCCTCCTGTGAGTGACTATCTGACCCAGTCTGCCAATGAGATATAAACAGAGGGTTTCTGGAAAGCCCTGGCTTTCCTGATGTGGGCATTGGGTTACAGATGTGTTTTCTGAGCTTTGTAAATGATGCCTCATGCTTAGAGCTGTATCACCTATTGTGACCTAATTTGACCAGCTTTTGACCTGCAGTGACTTTTTTTTTTTTTTGAGACAGAGCCTCCCTCCGTTACCAAGGCAGTAGTGTGATCTCAGCTTACTGTAACCTCCGCCTCCTGAGTTCGAGTGATTCTCATGCCTCAGTCTACTGAGTAGCTGGAATCACAGGTGTGCACCACCCCACCTGGCTGATTTTTTTGTATTTTTACTAGAGATGGGATTTCGCCATGTTGGCCAGGCTGGTCTTAAACTCCTGGCCTCAACTGATCTGCCCTCCTAGGCCTCCCAAAGTTTTGGGATTACAGGTGTCGGCCACCGTGCCCAGCCGACCTGCAGTGGCTTTTATAACCTGAAAGCCCTAAGGCAGTGTTTTGTTTACCTCACCCTAAGCTGATTAGTATAAAGCAATGAATGAGAATCAATGAGCACACTTGTGTGTGGCACGCATTACATCTGGAAGGATGCTCATGAGAACGAACGTAGCTCCTGACCAGTCACTGCTGAACGCATCCCTAACTGATGTAAGACATGGCTGAGGTCAGAGCAGGGAGGCCACGCTCTTTGGGAGAGAGGTGGCTGCTATTACCGCATCACTATGTCAGTTGAGGCTTCTGCCTGCCCTGCTTCAAATCCTTCCTTGGTTCTTGTACTACCTTCAAACCCAGGCCCACATGCCTAGGCTTGGCATTCTGCGGACTCTGGCCTCAGCTGACTTCCCCAGCTGCTCCCCTCTACAGGGAGGCTCGTGGTTATGCCTGTCACTCTGAAGTCACCTCTCTGGTGTCCAACCCTGGATCCACTGTGTGATCCTGAATCAGTGTCCTCACCTCTCTGGGCTTCTGGGTGCCTATCTGTGATAAATAATTGGACCTGCTTCATGGGAAACTTGTGATGACAGAATGAGTTGGTTCATGTAAAGTGCTGTCAACGGTCTCGGACACCTCCAGCGTTATTACTGTTGTTTCGATTGTTATGATTGAAGGCCTTTTTTGGTGCCTGGGGGAAATTCAAAGATGCTCCATGCCAAGTCCAGCCCACAAGGAGCTTACAGTAGGAAGGGAGGTAAAGGAAGTACAAAAGCTCTGCGACAAGATGGGACCCGACTCATCTCCTAAGGGAGTGAGGACTACCCTTCTCCCTCACCCCTCCAGCAGCTCTGTGCTCGCACAGCAAAGAACCAAAAGGCACGTGCTGAACAAAGTGCAAAGTGACCAAGCTCTGATCCAGACACTGAGGATACATTAATTAAAATGAGTTCACACAGGAAATAAATTTCCAACCATGCCTGGCACTCAAGACACGATAGGGTCAGCTGGGCACAGTAGCTTACACCTGTAATCCCAGCACTTTGGGAGGCGGATGTGGGCAGATCACTTGAGGTCAGGAGTTCAAGACCAGTCCGGCCAACATGGTGAAATCCCATCTCTACTAAAAATACAAAACTTAGCCAGACATGGTGGTGGGTGCCTGTAATCCCAGCTACTCAGGAGGCTGAGTCAGGAGGATCGCTTGAACCCAGGAGGAGGAGGCTGAGGAGGCTGCAGTGAGCCGAGATCACACCACTACACTCCAGCCTGGATGACAGAGACTACATATCTCAAAAAAAAAAGACATGATAGGGTCACCGTTGTCATAATCAGGATTATTATTACAGTTATTATTATTGTTATGTTGTTATTCTTCCTCCACCCCGATCTAATCACCTGATCTAACCACCTGGTTTCTATAAACCCACAGCACGATGTACGCTGGGTCTCTACGACCGCCACCTCCCACCTCGTTTCAGTTCCGCCTCATCCTCCGTCTCCACTAAGTCCCCAGAGGAAGGAAATGCTCCGAAGCTCAAAGAGCCCCTTGCCATCTCCCCGTTGTTCGTGGAATGAACCTCAAAGGAGCCTCTGCAGGGCCCGTCTCCTGCTAGTTTCTTTTCTTCGTTTTTTTTTTTTTTTTTAGACGGAGTTTCGCTTTGTTGCCCAGGCTGGAGTGCAATGGTGCTATCTCGGCTCACCGCAACCTCTGCCTCCCAGGTTCAAGCGATTCTCCTGCCTCAGCCTCCTGAGTACCTAGGATTACAGGCGCAGGCCACCATGCCCGGCTAATTTTGTATTTTTAGTAGAGACGGGGTTTCTCCATGTTGGTCAGGCTGGTCTCGAACTCCTGACCTCAGGTGATCCACCTGCCTCGGCCTCCCAAAGTGCTAGGATTACAGGCGTGAGCCACCGCACCCAGCCTCTACTGCTAGTTTCTACAGCCTCTACCCACACCCTCTCCACTTTCCTCCCACAAGCTCTCTCTAGCCCCAGGGGCTTCCCCCATTCAAAACCCTCCATGGCTCCCCAGTGTGTTCAAATGCCACCCAAGCTCCCTACTGTGGTCCACAAGGAGCAGTGTAGAAATGTGCCGATTTCCAGCCTCATCCTGGTACCTCTTCCTCCCGCCCAACACCAGGCACCCACCCAAAAAATGTGCCATAATCTCGCACACTCCAGGGCTTCTGTGCTTGGCTCTCCCTCTGCCTGAAACACTCTCCCTGTCTTCTCCCTCCTCCTGGCTGACATCTTTACCCATTTGAAGACTCAGCTGGGAAGCCACCCCCTCCAGGAAGCCCTCCCTGACTTTCAGGCTGGGTTAGGAACCGCATCAGGGCTTTCCTCCGGGTCTCCCATCCCAGCCCTGCCTACTCTGGGTTGTCTGTGTCTTGTGACATGTCTGTCTCCTGCACTGGGCTGTAAGCTCCATGACAGGGCCAGAAATCACTTCTGTGTCCCTGGCAATGTCTCACATAGGGTCGGGCCCAGAAGATCCCTCAGAAGTATGTCAGAAGAATGTGGCTTCAGAGGGAGATGCCACTTTGTTTCTACTGGGCAAACAGTCTGGTGTTTCTAGGACTGCTGCCTTGTATTTTCCCATCCCCTTAAGCCTGGTTTCTTTGGATCCTGCTCGCCCAGTTTCTTTGCAACCACAATTCCATGTACGCCTTCAGTCCCCAAGAGCTGGGGCCTTAACCCTGATGTTATGTAAGAGATTGAAGCCCTGAGCTCCGACCTCGGGCCTTTTCTGGACTCCCTGTGGGACTTCAGGCCACTCCCTCCTCTGTCTCTGAGCCTCAGTCTCCCCAGTCCATATCACAAAGGGCCAGTGTTGGCTTCCAAGACCGTCAGTGGGTACAAGTGTCGTAGTGTCTCTAGCCACAAGGGGGCAGTGTGGGCCTGTCTGAGGCCAAGGAGGGTGGTGACCCGCGCAGGTAGGAAAGAGCTCGGTGCCCTGGTGACTGTCTCCAGGGCAACGGAGGAACCCAGGCTCTCTCTGGGGTGGCCACACCATTTAATCTGTTCCCACCCTCCTGATGCCTGATGCTGGGAGAAAGCCCAGGCTGGGAACCCTCCCGGTTCAGCCCAGAGCCAAACACAAACCCTCCCAGCCGCTCCAGCCACCACCTCTCCCTTCTCTGCCCTTTCTGTATCCTCATCTACCTGCCTCTCCCTCTCCCCGGCCCATTTCAGTTTGCACCGTTCATTCTGTCTCATGTCTTCTCCATGTCTCTCTGATTCTCCCTGTGTATTTCTGTGTGTCTCTCTCTCCTGCTTGTATTTTTTTTAGAGACAGCGTCTTGCTCTGTTGCCCAGGCTGGAGTGCAGAGGCACGATCATGGCTCATTGCAGCCTCAAACTCCTGGCCTCAAGCAATCCTCCCGCCTCACCCTCCCAAAGCGCCAGGATTCCAGGCATGAGCCACCGCGCCCGGCCTGTTTATCTTTGTGCCTGTCTCTCCATTCATTTCTCCCCCTTTCCCTGTGTCTCTGTCTCTCCATCTTTCTCTCTTCTCTCTCCTCCCTCCCCACTTACCTGCGCTCACCGTAATTGCCTCTAAAAACTGCTCCCTCCATGAATGGGTCCCAATTACCAAGGCCAAGTTCGTTTTCTTGATGAGTTTATCCACCGTGTTCTGGGGATGAGAGGGTGGGGGAGAGGTCACTGCCCCTGAGCGAACCAGGGAAGCTCCATGTTGGGTCCTGGGTCGGGGGCTCACAGCCTGTGCCCAGGGGTCCTCAACTTTCCACACCCCCGTTCTGAAGGCAAGCAAGGAAAAGGGAGGCATGTGCTGTCCGTGGTCCTGACGTGGGACCCTTCTTTGGCTTGATCTTAGGAACCTTGTGGCTCCCCGCTTTCCGGACCCTCCCCAAGGAAATGAACCAGGCTGGACTCCAGGAAGGTGAGGCCCCGGAAAATCACCTTAAAATCATATGACTCCTCGATGATGACCTCCAGCCGGCAGTTCTCCCCAAGAACTGGCTTGCCCATCTCTGCTATCCTCCGAGCCTCCTCCTCCTCGGCTGTTAGCTTCCTGTCCCCATCCCCTGCAGCATGAGGGGTGGGGGTTAGACTCCTGGGAGACCTACCTAATTGGGCCTGTGACGCCTTTACTACCTGTCCCCATAGTTAGAGAAAGCCTATCTGTTCTCCTCTGGGAAGCTCCTTGGTGACTCCTCCCAGCCTCCCACCTGACCACCGTCTCCTTCAACCCTGAGGTCCAGCTCCCAAGGGTTGGTTCATGATCTTTAGTTGGTGGGCTCTGGGGTTCGTATGGTGGAGGCTGTGAGACTTTAGGCAATACCTGAGCCTCTCTGTGCCTTAGTTTTCATAACTGTTAAACGGGCACAATAATTAGTACCTACCTCATGGGGTGGTTGTGAGACTTAAATGAGTTAATTCGTGTGAAGTGCTTAGAACAGTGCCTGGCACACAATAAATATTCAATACATGTTACTATCTTTATTATTATCACCAACATTATCATCATCGTTGCCACCCTGATAGGGGAGGCCTGGTCTCTACATCCAGTTTCTGGAAACATCCTAGAGTGTGGCTGACATGGTAAGGAAAGGGGAGGACATCCGATTTTGGCACAAATCTTGGAACCAGACCCACCTACATCCTGGTCCTGAGCTCGCTTCTCTCCCCAAAGTATGCTGACCCCTGACTCCAAGCCCAGCAGCAGCCCAACCCTAATTCTGGTCCCTAACTCTGAGCTGGACTCTCACTGTGGCCCCAAATGGAAGCCTGTCATCAACACTGACTCCAAACCCCAACCCTCAGCCCTGGATCTGACCTCAGCACAACCCTAGCCCTAAACCCTAATCCCGACTCTAACATTCACCATAACCTGGAGCATCAATAACCCCAAGCCAAATCCCACACTCTATCTCCAGATCTAACTCCAGTCCTACACCTGACCTCAAACCTCAGTCCCAACTCCCAACTCTGACACCATCACTCATGAGGAGCTTGACCACACGGCAGAAGCTGAAGTGTGTTCACCTGAACCTGTTTCCTCTCCTTCCTGGGCAAAGAGCTGAACTACATTTCCCAGCCTCCCTTGCAGCTGGGCGTGGCCACGGCCTGAGTTATGGACACTAGAATGTGGGCAGAAGTGATGGTCAGTCCCTCCAGGCTTAGCCCCCGAAAACCTCCCATGTGAGCCTCGAAACTCTCTTGCCCTGTTCACCAGCAGCAAACCCAGCCACAATGCCAAAGCTCCCTGGCACAGTGGAGTCACAAGATGGAATGGCCACATGGCAGAAGAAAGCCACCCACCAACTAGGAACACTCTCGTAAAACTTTGCCTGAGAGGCCAGGTACAGTGGCTCATGTCTGTAATCCCAGCACTTTAGGAGGCCAAGGCAGGTGGATCACCTGAGGTCAGGAGTTCGAGACCAGCCTGGCCAACATGGTGAAACCCCATCTCTACTAAAAAATACAAAAAAAATTAGCTAGGTGTGGTGGCAGGTGCCTGTAATCCCAGCTACTCGGGAGGCTGAGGCAGGAGAATCTCTTGAACCCCGGGGGGTGGAGGTTGCCATGAGCCGAGATCGCACCATTGCACTCTAGCTTGGGCAACGAGAGCAAAACTCCGTCTCACAAAGACAAACAAAGAAACAAAAAACAACTTTGCCTGAGCAAGAAATAACTTTTTTTCTCTCTTCTCCCTCCTTCCTTCCTTTCTTCCTTCCTTCCTTCCTTCCTTCCTCCCCTCCCTCCCTCTCTCTCTCTCTTTCTTACTTTTCTGAGATGGAGTCTCGCTCTGTCACCCAGGCTGGAGTGCAGTGGCACGATCTCGGCTCACTGCAACCTCCACTTTCCAGGATCAAGTGATTCTCCTGCCTTAGGCTCCTGAGTAGGTGGGATCACAGGTGCCCACCACCATGCCCGGCTAATTTTTGTATTTTTAGTAGAGACAGGGTTTCACCATGTTGGTTAGGCTGGTCTTGAACTCCTGACCTTAAGTGATCCGCCCGCCTGGGCCTCTCAAAGTGCTGGGATTACAGACATGAGGCATTGTGCCCAGTAAAGAAATAACTTTTATTGTGTTAAGCCCCTGTGACTTGTCGGTCAGTTTGTTATAGCAGCTTGTATTGCTTCCTCCAACGAATACAATCTTTAATCTAACTCTAATCCTAACCACGGATCCCAATTCTGATCTTGACTCCAAAATGACTTTGTCCATCTCCAAGCCACTGACCTTAGCCCTAACTCTTACTCCAATCTCTGACCTTGGCCCCAATTCTAACCTAAATTCCTCAAACTCTATTACTCACCTCAAAGTCCAACTTTAGCTTTGACCTAAATCTGACTCTAATTCTAATCTGATCCCACCAGCAGGAAAGCACCTCCACTGTGACTCTCACCTTAACATGGTCCTAACCCCGATCTCCAATCCAAACCCCACCTCACTCCTAATCAACCCCAAACTGGATTCTCTCTGACCTCACTCTCACAAACCCAGATCTGATTGTATGACTTACAACCCTGATTACAGACATAATCTTTTGAGATGGAGTCTTGCTCTGTTGCCCAGGCTGGAGTGCAGTGGCACCATCTTGGCTCATTGCAACCTCTGCCTCCCGGGTTCAAGCGATTCTCCTGCCTCAGCCTCCCAAGCAGCTGGGATTCCAGATGCCTGTCATCACACTCAGCTAATTTTTTTTTTTATTTGAGGCAGAGTTTCGTTCTTGTTCCCCAGCGTGGAGTGCAATGGCGCGATCTCGGCTCACCG
Source organism: Homo sapiens (assembly GCF_000001405.40). Taxonomy (NCBI): domain Eukaryota; kingdom Metazoa; phylum Chordata; class Mammalia; order Primates; family Hominidae; genus Homo; species Homo sapiens. Next base: position 47,440,670 of record NC_000019.10, read on the forward strand.
CAACCTCCACCTCCCGGGTTCGAGCGATTCTCCTGCCTCAGCCTCCTGAGTAGCTGGAATTACAGTTGTGTGCCATCAGGCCCGGCTAATTTTGTATTTTTAATAGAGACGGAGTTTCACCATGTTGGTCAGGCTGCTCTCTAACTCCTGACCTCCGGTGATCCACTCTCCTCGGCCTCCCAAAGTGCTGGGATTATAGGTGTGAGCCACCGCACCTGGCCTCACCCAGGTAATTTTTGTATCTTTACAAGAGATGGGGTTTCACCATGTTACAGACATAATCTTGACCTCCAAAATGCTAACTGTAATCCCAAACTCATACAGGCACCACCAACTCTCAGGCCAGACCCCACTGTCCCCCAGCCCTGAATCTGCCTTTATCTCACCTCCAATCTGCCTCAAACCCAACCTGGAAGAGTAGCTTTGGGGCTGGGACCCTCCCCCAGGCCCTCTTCCAGTGGCTCCTCCCCACTCAGAGCCCAGAGGTGACTTCACTCACCTTGATTGAGTAGCAGAGCTGGGGAGAGACAGAGACAGGCAGACAGTGAGATCAGTTCCCCACGAAGCTCAGGTCCACGAGCTTTAAGGAGTGCCTGCAATTGAGCCCCTGAAAGTCCCCCGACCCTGGACCCCTTACTTCTCCCACAGCCCACTGGTCACCCCTCACCTGAAATCCCTCGCTTAAGCCACTGGGGCTGGCCCAGCTCAATGAAGAAATTATCCTTTTTCTCATATTCCTCGTCATCAACTATCTTCACCTGAAGAGTTTTCCTGTGCAGGGGGTAAGGGGGAGGCAGAACACTCAGTGTAAGGCCCCCTCCCCAGACTCACCAGGCAACCCTCCTGGCAGCCACCCAGTTTTCCAAGCACCTCCTCTGTCCCAGACTCCACAATCTCATTTACTTCTCACCACCACGCAGGGAGGAAGGCTCTATTATCATCCCCATTTGACAGAAACAAAACCAGGCACTGGTGAGGAAGCTGAGTCTGATTAAAGTAAAGCATTCTGGGTGCGGTGGCTCATGCCTCTTATCCCAGAACTTTAGGAGGCTGAGGAGGGAGGGTTGCTTGAGGCCAGGAGTTCAAGACCAGCCTGGGCAATATATTGAGAGCCCATCTCTATTTATATTAAATAATTTATTTTAAAAAATAGGCCGGGCACGGTGGCTCACGCCTGTAATCCCAGCACTTTGGGAGGCCGAGGCGGGCGGATCACGAGGTCAAGAGATTGAGACCATCCTGTCCAACATGGTGAAACTCTGTCTCTACTAAAAATACAAAAATTAGCTGGGTGTGGTGGCACATGCCTGTAGTCCCAGCTACCTGGGAGGCTGAGGCAGGAGAATTGCTTGAACCTGGGAGGTGGAGGTTGCAGTGAGCTGAGATCATGCCACTGCACTCCAGCCTGGCAACAGAGCGAGACACCATCTCAAAAAATAATAATAATAAAAAAATAAAGCAAAGCGGTATGAGCTCATGGTTGAGACAGGATTTGAACTTACAACTGTCAGAATCCAGACTGTTAACCCCTGCACTCCAGCCCAGCCACTATGGTCTCCTACCTAGATTACTAGTTGCCTGCTAAACAATCCCATGCTTCAGCCTCACCGCCCACAGTCTGTTCCTTCAAGAGCAGCCAGAGTGATCCTGATAGAACCAAAGTCAGACCGCATTCCTCCCCTGTGCAAAACATTTGCAAGGCTCCTATCTCTCACAGAATGAAAGTCAAAGTCCTTAGGATGGCCCACAAGACCCCCTGCAATCTAGCACTCATTCCCTTTCTGGCCTCCTTGCTATTCCTTGAACAAGCCAGGCCTGCTCATGCCTCAGGGCTTTTGCACTGGCTGTTCCCTCTGCCTAGAACACTCTTCCCCCAGGCTCCCTTCCTCAGTTCTTCATTCAAACTTCACCTTCTCAATGGGGCCCACTTCTTCCATCTTATTTAATAGTGAAATCCCTCACTGCTCCCCCTCCAGCACTCCCTTATACTGCTCTGTTGTCTTTCTTTTTAATGTATTTATTATTATTTTTGGAGACAAGATCTTGCTGTGTCACCCAGGTTGGAGTGCAGTGGTGCAATCATAGCTCAATGCAGCCTCAAAGTCCTGGGATCAAGCGATCCTCCTGCCTCAGCCTCTCATGTAGCTGGGACTACAGGTATACACTACCATGCTCAGTTAATTTTTTATTTTTTGTAGAGATGGGGTCTCACCACATTGCCCAGGCTGGTCTTGAACTCCTGCCCTCAAGTGATCCTCCCATCTTGGCCTCCCAAAGTGCTGGGATTACAGATGTGAGCCATGGCACCTGGCCTGTCTTCTTTAAATATCACCTTCTAACACCCTCTAACATTTATTTAGTTTATTGTTCGTCATTTACCATTTGCTTCCCCATCTTTAAATTTAAGTTCCCCCAGGTAAGTTCATTTATGTTTTTTGTTTTATCTCCAACACCCAGAACAGTCCCTGGCATAGAGCACACCCTCCATGCATATTTTGCTAACTCCAATCCTTCAGCACAGAAAACCCTCAGCTTCCTGCTCTCTGTCCCAACCAGATCTGGAGAGTTAACCAAGTGCTGATGCTAACTGATTTTCTCAGCATCTCTGCTCCTATGGTAACCAGGGGGTGGCAGGAAACAGCCAGAAGTTACCTGTCACCTTCAGGCACATAATCCACACCCCTCGACCCCAAAGACCCACAAACCCAGAATGCCCACAGCTTTGCCACTGGCAACTCTTTAGGCTGTAGGAACCATGTAGTCCCACAAGGCCTGGCCCCAGAACCCAAAAACACAAACACCCAGCCCACACAGTCACCCAATCGAGGAAGCACAGCCGATCACACCGCCCACACCCACACGCCATCACACCCTACAGCCATTCCCACTGCAGTGGCAAGACTGCATGGACCAGATGCCCGTCAGTTAGCACGACTCCCCCACCACAGCCTTGGCGACATCGCCACCCTGCAGCCCCTCACTGTGGTACCACGTAGACGCTCCTACCTTATATCTAACTCCTGACGCCTCTTGGTGTCTCTGTTTACTTCCTTCAGTGCCTCTCTGCATCTCTGTCCCTACATTTTCCATCTTCTTTTCTCTCTCTGCCTCTCTCAGCTTCTCTGGGTCTATCTCTCCATCTCTGACTCTGTCTCTCTGACTCTCCAGCAGTCTCTCTCTCTGACTCTGACTCTCTCCGTTCTCTGTCTCAGTCTCTTCTCATCTCTCTGCTCTCCCTTTTTTTGAAACAAAGTCTCGCTCTGTTGCCCAGGCTGGAGTGCAGTGGCATAATCATGGCTCACTGCAGCCTTGATCTCCAGGGCTCAAGCAATCCTCCCACCTCAGCCTCCTAAGTAGCTGGAAATATAAGCGTGTGCCACCACACCTGGCTACTTTTAAATTTTTTATAGAGACAGGATCTCACTATGTTGCCCAGGCTGGTCTTGAATTCCTGGCCTCAAGTGATCCTCCCACCTTGGCCTCCCCAGTGCTGGGGTTACAGGTGTGAGCCACAGCACCTGGCCCGCCCTTCTTTATCTGGATTCTTCTCTCCCTGTCTCTGTCTTTCAGAGTCTAAAGAATGGAGTAACAAAAGTCAACACACTTCAAGCAGAAGAGTTTCAATCAGGCAGTCATTCAAAAGACGCATCTCAACACACAAACACGCACAAGACACAGCGACACCCGCGCAAGGACAGGCGCACACAAGACGGCCATGTGGGGACATCCGCCCACCTCCACCCTCCTGGTTTCAGGATATTTTCAATTTTCTGTGGGTGGAAAGAAAGGGCCGCCCCCGACCTCGGCGTGGGCTGTGAGCTGTCCGCGGTGCTGAAATGCTGGGGCCGGCGAGGAGGGAGGGTCTCCCGAGACATGCTCCTCACACACCCTGACACACACAGACAGCTGCCGACACAGTGACATGCTGACAGGGTGACACACACACCTCTGTCGCTCACTCTCGCAGACATGCTGCGATCCGCTGACACACAGTGACTGACGTGCAGTGACAGGCACGTCAACTGCGCCTGGCAGGCGCACCCTCAGGGGACCCAAATGCAGGAGAAACCCAACGCGCAGGAAACAGCAAGAGGGACTCGAGCTAGACCAAGACAGGACTTCCTGAGATCAAAGGAAGCAGATTTCCTCCCCAGCCTGCCCCCTTGTTTCCTGAAAACTCCACTCTCCTGCCCTTCTCCCCTGCCAGTCTCTGATCTCAGACCCAGTCTCCTCATCCTGTCTCTCACTGACCCAAACTCCCTTTTCTCTCTGCAGCATCGTGAGAACCTCTCCTTCCCTGGGTCAGTCTCTCTCCTCCATGAATGTCTTTATCGCGTCTCCATCTCTCTGCCTTTCAGTCTCCCTCCATCTCAGCTTTCAATATCCACCTCTCTCCCTCCCTCAAAGCATCTCTGTCTCTGTGTCTCTTCCTTTTTTTCGGGGGTGGGGTGGGTGGGAGATGGAGTTTCGCTCTTGTTGCCCAGGCCAGAGTGCAATGGCGTGACCTCGGCTCACAGCAACCTTCGCCTGCTGGGTTCAAGCGATTCTCCTGTCTCAGCCTCCCGAGTAGCTGGGATTACAGGTGCATGCCACCAGGCCTGGCTAATTTTTGTATTTTTAGTAGAGACGGGGTTTCATCATATTGGTCAGGCTGGTCTCGAACTCCTGACCTCAGATGATCCACCCGTGTTGGCCTCCCAAAGTGCTGAGATTACAGGCATGAGCCACCGTGCCCGACCTCTAAGTTCCTGTCTTTCTGTGTCTCTGTCTCTCTGTTCTGTCTCTGTTTCTCTCTCCAGTTCTGTTATTCTGTCTTCAGCTCTCCCTGTGTCTATCTCTGTGTCTCTGTCTCTGTCTCTCATGCTCTCCCTGCCACCCCATCTCTGGGTGTCTCTCCTCCATCTCCAGCCCAGCTGCTTCAAAGCGCCTCTAATTAGTGCCTGCCCATCAGAGGAAGGAAGAGTTTCCCTAAACACTAATTAGCCTCCTGTTCTCTGTCTTCTGAAGCCACAGCTGGGAGCTTGTGGGGGTGGGGGACAGAGGGTGTCCCAGCCTGGGGAAGCCATGTGGGGGAGGACAGGGCCGTAAGGTTGCAGCAGCAGGAGGGAAGCAGGTTGGACTATAAGAAGGACCGGAAAAAGCAGAAAGAAAACTCTCCATTCCCCCATCTCTTGGTGTGAGAGAGGGGTCTGGGATGGTGCCTCTCGCAGCCCCCAACCCAAGTTCTCAACAACCCTCAGACAGAGACCAAGCCAGACAGAGAGAGAGAAGGAAAGGTGTGGAGTGTGCCTGAAATATAAGCTGAGTCAGAGAGCGAGGTGCTGGGGACAGACAGCTGCAGATGAACAGAGACGCAGAGACCCAGAGAGAGACAGCCCAGGGAGTGAGAGATGCAGAGATGCAGAGGGAGAGACGGAGAGACAGCGAGAGCAGTGAGAAGCTGAGTGCTGCCCGAGGCGGAAGCGCAGAGGCTGGGAGGAGGAGGGAGGGGGAGCGCGGTGGGGACTCCGCTTGAGTAGGAGGCGCGTGGGCGGCACGGAGGAGGGAGACAGACGGGCATGCGGGGGCGGAAGAGAGCGGGCAGAGGAGGGGCAGGCGCTGCCTGCATCCTGGGCAGGGGGGTGGGGGAATGTGAGGCTTCAGGCACACATTGGGGGACACTCGGTCACCTGTGTAAGGGGTGGCCAGGGATCTGGGCGTGAGAACAGCCCTGACTTAATAATTTAGTGTACGTGTCCGTGATTTTATGTGTGTCTGCGTGTTTTTTTTCTTTTTTTGAGACAGGGTCTCACTGTGTCGCCCAGGCTGGAGTGCAGTGGGTGATCACAGCTCACTACAGCACCTAACTCGTGGGCTCAAGCCATCTTCCTGCTTTGGCTTCCCAAGTAGCTGGGACTACAAGTGCACACCACCATGCCCAGCTAATTTTAAACAATTTTTAGCAGAGTAGAGGCTGATCTCCAACTCCAAGGCTCATGCCATCCTCCCGCCTCAGTTTCCTAAAGTGCTGGCACTACAGACATGCGCCACCACTAATTAGAAAAATTATTTTTAGAGTAGGAGTCTTGCTATGTTGCCCAGGTTGCTCTCAAACTCCTGGCCTCAAATGATCCTCCTGCTTCGTCCTCCCAAAGCGCTGGGATTACAGGTGTTGACCACCACGCCTGGCCCTGCCGTGTGTGTCTATGTGTGTGTGGTGCGTATAAATGGCTTTGTGTCCAATCTGTAAACGTCTGTCTACATGTGTGTGTCTGAGTGTATCCAGCCAGCCCACCTCCCCAGACCCCATTTTCCTAAATCCCAGCCCTCAGGCTCCCCAGTGTCTCCCCAGGCCCTGCCCTGCCTTCCCAGGCCCCCAGATTCCAGCACCATCTTTTCCCAAATCCTCGCCCAGATTCGCGTTAGGTGCCCCGCTATTTCCCCAGGTTCTTCCTCATACCCAGAAGCCCCACCCCTTCCCTAGCTCCGCGCGCCCAGGCCCCACCCATCTTGTTAGGCCCCGCCTTCTTCCGCAGCCCACATCCATTTTCCCATTTCCTGATGTCGTATGTCCAAACCCAGACCCCACCTATCGCCCTGGACCCGCCCCCTCTCCACAGCCACCGACAGCGTCTCATCTCCACAAGCCTCTCCCCACATCTCCCTGGGTACTCTTCAGCACACACTCCACGAGCTACCAATTAAGGCCCCACACCGCTCTCCCCAGGCCCCGTCCCATCTCTCCTCACCTCGTCCCCCCTTCCTCCTTGGGGCCCTCTTCTCACCTGTCCGGCCACCCTTCTAGGCCTCGCCTCTTCATTTCACAGTCACAACCCCACCAGGCCCCGCCCACGTGGTAGACACAGCACACCTAGGCCCCGCCCCTCCCGAGGCCAAGCCCACTTTGGAGAACGATTCACTCAGGCCCCTCTCCTCCTGAGGGCCCAGCTGTTCAGTGAAGCCCCGCCCACGTCGTGGGCATGGGTCACAGGCCCCGCCCACGTTGCGGGCACGGCCACGCAGGCCCCTCCCCTCCCGAGGCCCAACCAAGACCCGCCCACTATGTGGGCATGGCTCACCCAGGCCCCGCCCCTGAGCCACATCAGGCCTCGCCCATTCCGAAGCCCCGCCCCTCTCCGGGCCGCCTCGGGCGTGCTCACATGGTCTCGTCGTCGCCAAACTCCAGCTCTCCGCACGCGTCCTCGTAGTGCACGCCGCCGCCGCGCGCCGTGCCGTCCACCGTGCGGTAGGGAAGGCGCACGGTGCCGCGCGCGCCCGAGCTGCGCACGACGCGCACGTCCACGGTGCCCATGCACTCGCTCACGTGCAGCAGGCGGTCCTGGAAGGAGAAGATGCCTGCGTGGTCGTCGTCCAGGATGGTGACGGTGGCCAGCAGCGGCGCCACCAGCCGCCCCTTGGGCCGCCCGCCGCCGTCCGGCTCGAACATGCCCTGCGCGTCGCCCACGCGCAGGTTCAGCAGCCGCACGAAGAAATGCTCGTCCTCCTCGAAGATGTCGTCGTCGATGATGCCGATGCGCAGCTCCTTCTGCGTCTCGCCTGGTTTGAACACCAGCGTGCCCTCGCTGCGGCGGGGTGGGGAGGGGGAAGAGCGGGGTGAGGGTCGGTCATCGGCTGTGTGTTGTACGGGGGGAGTCTGGACGTGCTTCCCAGAGGAGACGTAGGTGCCATAGAAGAACTCCCAAGTATGAGGGTCGACAGGCATTAAACAAGTAATACTGAGGGTGAATCGGGGTGGGCGTCCTGGAGGAAGGGCTGCAGAGCGGGAACAAGACAGAGTGGGCCCCTCCCCGCGTGGAACTCGTGAAGAGCAGAAGGTGGGAATTAAACAGGTAATGATAAGGTTGAGATCAGGGCAGGCTTCCTGGAGGAGGCATTAGCAGGTGGGCATACTCCAGGCAGAAGGAACAGCACATGCAAAGTCCAAGAGTTGAGAGGGAGCCTGGGGTGTTCTACATCCCTGCTTCTCAAACCTTAATATGCATATGAATCCCCTGGTGGAGCTTGTGAAAATGCAGATTCTGGTTTAGAAGCTCCCGGGTTTCTAGAATCGCATTTCTAACGAGCTCCAGGGGATGTCCTGGTCACATTTTAAGTGGCAGGGATATAGGACCCAGAAAGGACTCTGTCATTCCTCTGATAAAAACCCTTCCCAGATGCCCCCAAGAGGAAGTCCATACACCTTAACTTGGCATCACTCATTCATTCAACAAACACTCCTAAGGGCACCCGTTGTGTGCCTTGTGCCGAGTGGTGCTGGGGACACAGCAGTAACCAGGCCCTGTCCTCACAGGGTTCACAGCCCCATGGGAGAGCCATATCACCATGACAATTGCACATTTAATGATTTAATTACGGTTCATTCATTCAACAGATAACTGACCGTTGTGTGCCAGGCATTGTTTTAAGTGTTGGGGGAACGGCACCAATAAGAAGCTTTGAGATTCTGTTTTAGTGCAGAAGAATGAACAATAAACAAACACAGGATGTCAGGTGGTGATGGTGCTATGGAGAGAAACAGGAGGGTAGGGAGTGAGGAGAGGGAGCTGTTGGCATGGTCAAGAAAGCCTTTTGGAGGAGGTAACATTTGAGCAGAGACCTGAAGGAGGGGAGGGAGTGAGCCATAGGGAGGATGCCTGGAAAAGAGTTTTTTGTTGTGTTTTGTTTTGTTTTTTTGAGACAGAGTCTCGCTGTCATCCAGACTGGAGTGCAGTGTCTCCATCTTGGCTCACTGCAACCTCCCCTCCCGGGTTCAAGGGATTCTCCCACCTCAGCCTCCCGAGCAGCTGGGACTACAGGCGCCTGCCACCATGCCTGGCTAATTTTGTGTACTTTTTTGTAGAGACAGGGTTTCATCATGTTGGCCAGGCCGGTCTCGAACTCCTGACCTCAAAAGATCCGCCTGTCTTGGCTTCCCAAAGTGCTGGGATTACAGGCGTGAGCAACCGTGCCTGGCCAAAAAGAGTATTTTTGGTAAAGGGAACAGGCAATGTGAATGCTCTGACCTGGGACTGGACAGCCGGACAGGGGACAGGATCTGACTTAGGGACGGGTCACCTCTTCGAGGAACTGCAGGGAGACCAGCATGATGACAGCAGAGGGAGCCAGGACGAGAGGGTGGAAGATGACATCACAGTGGGAACGGGGGCAGATCACCTAGGGCCTGGGTGGGCCACGGTGAAGACTTCTGCGTTTACCCTGAGTGAGGAAGGAGCCCTGTGAAGCTTCGTTCCGAGCAGAGGAGGGACACGAGCTGGCTTGGTGTTAAAAGAGTAACAGTTGTGGAAATCTCTGAAACACCCATAAGATACTCTGTAATGGGGGGAGCCGGGGAGGGAACAAGGCAGTGACATTAGATTACTCAGAGTGAAATTCTGAGGGGTCATGGAGTAAGTGGACTCTTCCTGGCAGGGCTGCAGACATCAGCGTGACTCTGGGATATTAAGAAATCTTGAAAATCTATCATTTCCCCCAATCCCTCCTACTGTGCATGTAAGGGGCTCAGCACCATCTCTGAACCCTGCTATGTGATCCATATGCATTCACTATCACTTTCATATTAAAGGGGTTCTGGGGCCGGGCGCGGTGGCTCACGCCTGTAATACCAACACTTTGGGAGGCTGAAGTGAATGGATGACTTGAGGTCAGGAGTTCAAGACCAGCCTGGCCAACACAGTGAAAACCCGTTTCTACTAAAAATACAAAAATTAGTGGGGTGTAGCAGCGCATGCCTGTAGTCCCAGCTACTCTGGAGGCTGAGGCATGAGAATTGTTTGAACTGGGGAGGTGGAGGTTGCAGTGAGCCAAGATCACGTCACTGCACTCCAGTCTGGGTGACAGAGCAAGACTCCGTCTCAAAAAGGTGGGGGCGGGGAGTCAGGCTCCAGTTTTCCAGCTCTGTGGGAGGAAGAGAGGGACCGCAAGGTTCTGGCAAGAGGTAGGGGGCATAGAACCTGGTGAAAAGACCTGCAGTGGAGGGATGAGGGAGTCCCTCAGCTCAGGATTCACTGTCCGTGGTGATGGAGCACCCAGGAGGGTGGGCTGACCTGCTTCAAGCCCAGTTTGGCCACCATGCCAGCTGTGTGATCTTGGGCGGTCAGGATTCTGCAGTCCTCTGAGCCTTGGTTTCCTTATCTGTGGAATGGGCTAATAATAGTGTTTACCTCCTGGCGCTGTGGTGAGGACTGAATTGATACAGGGGAAGCACCCAGAGGCACAGTTAGCTAGTGATATCCACATATTAATATCATAATCTTAGAGTCCTAAAAGTCATGGGATATGAGACATTTACATGTAAGGGATAAAGGGATCAGTAAAATATGGAGATTGTAGCACTATCTTTTTTTTTTTTTTTTTTTTTTTGAGACGGAGTCACCCTGTCGCCCAGGCTGGAGTGCAGTGGCACGATCTCAGCTCACTGCAACCTCCGCCTCTTGGGTTCAGGCGATTCTTCTGCCTCAGCCTTCCAAGTAGCTGGGATTACAGATGTGTGCCACCATGCCTGGCTAATTTTTTGTATCTTTAGTAGAGATGGGGTTTCACCATGTTGGCCAGGCTGGTCTCAAACTCCTGACCTCGTGATCTGCCAGCCTCGGCCTCCCAAAGTGCTGGGATTACAGGCATAAGCCACCGCGCCCAGACCTTTTTTTTGTTTTTGTTTGAGACAGGGTCTTGTTCTGTCATCCAAGCTGGAGTGCAGTTGCACAATCCCAGCTCACTGCAGCCTCGACTTCCTGGGCTTAAGCAGCCCTCCTGCCTCAGCCTCTCGAGCAGCTGGGACTACAGGCTCGTGCCACCACATCTGGCTAATTTTTATACTTTTGGTAGACATGGGGTTTTGCCATGTTGCCCAGGCTGGTCTTGAACTCCTGGGCTCAAGCAATCCGCTGGCCTTGGGCTCCCAAAGTGCTGGGATTGCAGGCATGATCCACTGCATACATCCTGTAGCATCATCTTTGCCAAACAATTAATCCAAAGATTTAGCAACATCTTTACCAAACAATTAAACTGGGCATCACAGTAATGGACGAGTGGACATCATGTTCCTCCTGATACAATGCACCCAGGGGGATAGAGCATCGCTTGCATGGGATTCCTGCCAAAAGTGCAGGACTCCAATCATCAGGAAGCATTAGACAAACCCAGATTGAGAATCATTCTAGTAACTGGCCTATCATCTTCAAAAGCATCAGGTCACAAAAGTCATGGGAAGGCTGAGAAACTGATCCAGACTGAAGGAGACTAAAGAGATTTGACAGGGAAATGCAATGTGTGGTTCTGGATCAAATGGGAAGAGAGGGCAGGAGTGAAAATACAGCCATCAAGGATATTACAGGGATGACTGGGGAAATGGAAACACGGGCTGTGCATCACTCAATTGACGTTGAGTTAACAGTATCAATTCAGTGTTAGATTTCTTGAGTGAGATCATAGTATTGTGATTAGGTAGGAGAATGCCATTATTCTCAAAAGATGCATGCTCAAGTATTTAGGCATGAAGGTCATGGTATTTGCAACTCGTGGTCACAGAGTGTCACAATTATTGTTATTATTTTATTATTATTTTGAGACAGATTCTGGCTCTGTCATCCAGGCTGGAGTGCAGTGGCACAATCTTGGCTCACTGCAACCTCTGCCTCCTGGGCTCAAGCGATTCCCCTACCTCTGCCTTCTGAGTAGCAGCGACTACAGGCACATGTTACCATGCCCAGCTTATATATATATATATATGGAGAGAGAGAGAGAGAGAGAGAGAGAGAGAGAGAGAGAGAGAGAGAGAGTGTGTGTGTGTGTGTGTGTGTGTGTGTGTGTGTGTGTGTGTGTGTCTTGGTCTGTCTCCCAGGCTGGAATGCAGTGGCGCGATCTTGGCTCACTGCAACCTCTGACTCCTGGGTTCAAGCAATTCTCCTGCCTCAGCCTCCCAAGTAGCTGGGATTGGACTTTAGAAGCCAGGCATCAGAATCATAGAAGGCTAGATTCACAGGACTTATGTTTCAGCACTGGACACAGAATCTGAGAAGATAAAAATCTTAAAGCCATCAAGTCAGAGACTGGATAGGGTTTGGATTAGAATACCAAAATGTTGGCTGGTCGTGGTAGCTCATGCCTGTAATCCCGGCACTTTGGGAGGCCGGGGTGGATGGGTCACCTGAGGTCAGGAGTTTGAGACCAGCCTGGCCAACATGGTGAAACCCCATCTCTACTAAAAATACAAAAATTAACCAGGTGTGGCGGTGCACACCTGTAATCCCAGCTACTCAAGACGCTGAGGCATGAGAATCACTTGAACGCGGGAGGCAGAGGTTGCAGTGAGCCGAGATCGTGCCACTGCACTCCAGCCTGGTCAACAGAGTGAGATGCAGTCTCAAAAAAATAAAGAATATCAAAATGTTAGAATTCTAGAATCTTAGAACTTCAGACCCTTAGTGTGTCAACATCATAGGGGATTAAATCTCAGAATCTTGGAAAAACTGTGCTGTTTAGGGTTCTCAGAGATCACGTTTAGTTTGGAGAAACTAAGGCTCACAGGTGTGAACCTGTGGGAAACTTAGAAAAAGAAAAAGGCTTTCCTTCTTCAAGACACTTATTTCCATAAGTCAGAAAACTCTTATAATAGAAATGCAAATCTACAATGTCCACTATGAAGAGAGCTTCCTCAGATATGGTGGTTTTATGCAGTGCACAGCTTCAACAACTGTACATGGCAGACCTGCCTGCTCAGACTGAGGCAGGAACTTGCCCAAGGAACAGGGTCCAGGGCTAAGCTCGGAGTGGAACCCAAGTCTCCTTCCTCCCAGTCTTTGGCCTAAGGTACCTTGATAAGGCAATGCCAGGCCTCGAATGTCTTCCAGGATAGGAAATCAAGGAAGGATAGGAAGATGTTGACTCTTCTTAGCCCTTTGGTTCCAGCACTGAACAGCATTTCCTCCTTCACTTCAAACATCTTGGTCCTGGCCAGGTGCAGTGGCTCACACCTGTAATCCCAGCATTTTGGGAGGCTAAGGCAGGTGGATTGCTTGAGCCCAGGAGTTAAAGACCAGCCTAGACAACATGGTGAAACCTTGTCTCTACAAAACATACCAAAACAACAACAACAACAACAAAAACAATTAGCCAGGCTTGGTGGCATGTGCCTGTAGTCCCAGCTATATTGGAGGCTGAGGTGGGAGGATTGCTTGAGCTTGGGAGGCGGAGGCTGCAGTGAGCCATGATTGCGCCACTGTGCTCCAGCGTGAGTGACAGAGTGAGACTCTGTCTCAGACAAAACAAAACAAAACCACACCAGCCTGGGCAACATGGCAAAAACCCATCTTTACAAAAAATATATAAATTAGCTGGGCGCTGTGGTGCACACCTGTAGTCCCAGCTACCTGGGAGGCTGAGATGGGAGGATCACTTGAGTCCAGGAGGTTGAGGCTGCAGTGAGCTGTGATTGTGCCACTGCACTCCAGTCTGGGTGATAGAGCAAGACCCTGTCTCAAAAAACAATAAAAAACAATCTTGGTCCTGAGGTCATTTGTAAGTGACAAAGTGGGCTGTTATCCCAGGAGGTGACACCTGTACTCACTTCCTTCTGCAAAGCCTCAGGGCTCTAGATGGGGACAGTGCGGACCAGGGGTGGGTAGGAGTGGAAAGGTGAAAAGATAGTTGAAAGCAGGCCCCAATATGGTGAATGCAGTTCCCTCAACTGAGGGCATGTGGATGATATGGTGCACTGGGAGAGGATGGACCGAGTGGCCAAAGGGATCCCATGCTGCAGGGTGATGGAACAAAGACCTGTGAACAGCTGCATTTTGTTTTGTTTTGTTTGAGACAGTGTCTCACTCTGTCACTCAGGCTGGAGCACAGCACACCATGCACCTGTAGTCCCAGCTACTTTGGAGGCTGAGGTGGGAGGATCAGTTTAGCCCAGGAGGTGGAGGCTGCAGTAAGCCAGGAAGGCTGGGGTGGGCAGGGTAGGAAAGGTGGATGGAGATGGGCAGACAAAAGGATCCTGGACTGACTGAGGTGGAGGGAAAGACCTGCAAATGTCCAAGCGCTGGAAAGAGAAGTGATGAGGGCAGAGAGGGAAGAAGACTGGCTACAAAAAGCAGCCAGGCACACAGTGGTGGAACTCAAGATCGATGAAACAGAGAACTGCCAGGTGCGGTGGCTCACGCCTGTAGTCCCAGCACTTTGGGAGGCCGAGGCGGGTGGATCACCTGAGGTCAGGAGTTCAAGACCAGCCTGGCCAACACGATGAAACCCCATCTCTACTAAAAATACAAAAGATTAGCTGGGTGTGGTGGTGGGCACCTGTAATCCCAGCTACTTGGAAGGCTGAGGCAGGAGAATCATTTGAACCTGGAAGGTGAAGGTTGCAGTGAGCCGAGATCGTACCACTGTACTCCAGTCTGGGCAACAAGTGCGAAACTCTGAGAAAAAGAAGAAAGGAAGAGAGGAGAGGAGAGAGTAGAGGAGAGAGAGGAGAGAGGGGAGAGAAGAGGTGAGAGGAGAGGAGAGAAGATGAGCGAACTGAGTCCCAGGAAGAGAAGGGTTAAAGGGATGAGGGATTGGCTGCTGCTTGATGGCAGAACCAAAGATCTGGGAACAGTTCAGCCTCAGCTGTACCCCAGGGAGAAGATTAAAGGGGGATGTGTCAGGCTACTGAGCAGGTAGAACCTCTGAAAAGCTCAGCCATTGGCCCTCTTTCTCCCTGTCTCCTGATTTATTTTTCTTCACAGCTCCTACCACTACCTGGCATTTTTATGTAATCAGTGTTTACTTCCTAACTGCCTGTCTTTCCCAGGAGAATGTCAGCTCCATTTGGGCCGGGACTTTATGAGTTTTGTTCACCACTAGTCGCCGGTGCCAGATCTGTTTGTTTCTTGCACATAGTAGACACATGATAAATGTCATTATGGGAAAGGGGAGACTTGTGCATGAATTAACAACACATACTGTTCAAAGCATGATGTAGGCTGGTGAAAATCATTGAAAAGAACATACTGTAAAGCTATAAGTCTTAAAATAGTGTGTCATGGACAGAAGAACTACAAATAGATGAATTTTGTGGGCCACATGAGGACAGAGATCTTATCTATCTTGGTTATTGTTCTAGGTTGATCCCCTAAATAAAGACATCTGGCACACAGTAGGTGCTCAGGAGGAACTGTTGAATGAGAGAATATCACAGATTTGCAAGGAGAGGGGTAAGGAGAGGGACTGGGGCTGTGAGATATGGTAGAGGGTGATGGGTGGGTTGCTTTATGGCACAACCAAAGACCTTTAGCCATCGTCTCTCTCCTCCACTCCTATTTTATTTTCCTCCATAGCACTTATTGCCACTTCAAGTTTTTATATGTTTAGTAGTTTATATCCTCATTGCAATTTGAGGGCAGGGACCTTAGCTGCTTGTTCCCATGGTACACCCATTGGCATACAGTGCATGCTCAATAAGCATTTTTACTTTAGTAATGGTGGGAGAAGGCTTGTTCTACCAGGTAGCAATACACATAATGGAGCTATAATAATTAAAACAGTGTGGCACCAGCACAAAACCACAGAAATATAAAGAATGCAGGAGGAGTGGTGTGAAGACTGAGAGTTTGTCTCATTCATCATGTGCACTGAATGCCTGGAGGCAGCACCTGGCACATGGTAGGTGCCCACTAAACATTAATGTTCCTATGCACATGAGGAGACAGCTGTTTTACCAGACAATAAAACACAGAACATGGCCGGATGATGGCTCATGCTTGTAATCCCAGCATTCTGGGAGGCCGAGGCAGGTGGATCACTTGAGGCCAGGAGTTCAAGACCAGCCTGGCCAACGTGGTGAAACCCCATCTCTCTACTAAAAGTACAAAAATAAGCCGGGTGTGGTGGCACACACCTATAATCCCAGCAACTCAAGAGGCTGAGGCACGAGAATCGCTTGAACCTGGAAGGCAGAGGTTGCAGTGAGCGGAGATCTTGCCACTCACTCCAGCCTGGGCAGCATAGTGAGACTCTATCTCAAACAAACAAAAACCCAGAGGTAGATAATGAAGGCGGGAGGTGTAGCCTTCGGATAGCCATGCTCTCTGCCTGGCCCAGAGGTGTGTGCCCCACGTCTAGAGCAGCGCCTGGCACAAAGCAGGCTCTCAGGAATGAATGAATGAACAAATGAACCAATGAATCCTGCAGGAGTCAGTTGGGAGGCGAAGAGCCTGGAGGCCGCCGGACGGCGGGACCCACGGCCTGCGCCAGCCCCCTGCACACCCCCCACCCCGGGGGACCCACCTGTACTCGTAGTCGGAGCCCGCCTTGGCAGAGCCGTCCTCAGTGCGGTAGTCCACGTAGAAGGTGCTGTTGCCCTCGCCGCCCTGGCACGTGACGGACAGCAGCACGGAGCCGCAGTTCTCCAGGCAGTGGTAGAGGCTAGGCTCGAAGAAGATGCGGCTGGCGCCGTCGTCTTCGTCCTCGCCCGCGCCCTCGGCCGGCGCCGCCCTGCGCGAGGCGTCCGCCGCGTGTCTGCGCAGCACGTTCCCGGCGCCGGTCATCAGCCGCGTGGCCTGGATGCGGTAGAAGGCGCGGCTCTTCTGCTGGTGCAGCAGCGCGTAGTAGTTGGCGATGCCCACCAGCTGCTCCAGATCCTTGTCCGGGTGCTTCTGCTTGAGGTCCTTGAGGATCTGGATGACCTCGCGGCGGCTGGCGTCCAGCTCGCGCGCCTCGGCGGGGCCCGGGCCCAGGCCGCCCAGCTCACCTGGGGCCTCGGCGCCCACGAACGTGCCGTCCAGCTCGATGCTCTTCGGGGGGTCGCCCTCGGCGCCTATGATGATGCCGCTGCGTGGGTCGGTGCGGTAGCGCTTGTACACGTACTTGTAGAAGAGCAGCCGCTTGTCGGCCATCCAGGCGAATACCACGCACACCGGGAAGAAGACCAGGGTCAGCAGCGCCTCCCACACCTGCGGGCGGCGGGCGTCAGGGCGAGGCCGGGCGGGCCGCCTTCTCCCTCCCCGCCTCTCTGTCTCAGTCTCTGTCCGCCTCTGCCACTCCTCATCTCTCTCCCCAACCCCCAACCCCGCCCCGTCGTCTCTCCCTATCCCTTTCTGTTTCTTTTCTTTCTTTCTTTCTTTCCTTTCTTTCTTTTTCTTTTCTTTTCTTTTCTCTTCCTTCCTTTCTTCCTTCTTTCTCTCTCTCTTTCTTTCTTTCTTTTTTTTTTTATTTGAGACAGAGTCTTTCTCTGTAGCCCAGGCTGGAGTGCAGTGGTGCAGCCTCGGCTCACTAAACCTTGAACCTTGGCCTCCCGGGTCCCGGTTCAAGCAGTTTTCCTGCCTCAGCCTCCCGAGTAGCTGGGATTACAGGCATGCGCCACCATGGCCAGCTAAGTTTTGTATTTTTTTTAGTAGAGACGGGGGTTCACCATGTTGGCCAGCCTGGTCTTGAAATCCTGACCTTGTGATCCTCCCACCTCGAGCTCCCAAAGTGCTGGGATTACAGGCGTGAGCCCTGTCTCTTTGTTCATCTCTGCCTCTCCCCATCTCTCTCTCCTCCCCACTCCCCGTCTCTCCCCACCTCTTTCTGACTGTTCATCTCTGCCTCCCCCCATGTCTCTCTCCCCTCTCCCCCAAGTTCTGTTCCCCCCATTTCTCTCTCTCCCTCTTCTTTCCCCATCTCTCTCCATCTCAATCTCTGTTCATCTCTGCCTCTCCCTGTCTCTCTTTCCTCCCCTCTCCCCGTCTCTCCCCACCTCTTTCTGTCTCTCTTCATGTCTGCCTTTCCCCATCTCTCTCCCCCGAGTTCTCCGTTTCCCCCCATTTCTCTCTTTCCCTCTCCATCTTGTTCTGTCTCTGTTCATCTCTGCCTCTCCCCCACTTCTCTCCTCCTCATTTCTCTCTCCTTTCCGTCCCTCTCTTAGTTTCTCTCAACCTCCCTCTTGTCTCTGTTCATCTCTGCCTCTCCCCATCTCTCTCCCCCCATTTCTCTCTCTCCTTCCCCCCATCTCTTTCTATCTCTGTCCCTCCCTTTTTGTCTCTGTTTGGCTCTTGCCTCTCCCCATGTCTGGACGTGTCTCCATGTCCTGTTATATCCTGGTAGATCTCCATCTCCCTCCCTTGTGAGTTTCTTTCTTTTTCTCTCTCAATACCTGTGTTTCTCCAGAGCTAATTTTTTCCCCTCTCCCGTCACCGTTTCTCTCTCTCCTTTCCCTTGTCCTTCTCTTAGTTTCTATTTCCCTCTTGTCTCTGTTCACCTCTCTCTCCCCATCTCTCTCTCTCCTTTCTCCCACCCCTTTCCATCTTGTTCTGTCTGTTCGCCCCCTCTGTCTCTGTCTCTGCTCATCTCTGCCTCTCCCTATCTCTCCCCACCCCCTTTTCTCTCTCTCTCCTTGCTCCCGTTCCTCTCCATCTCTGTCTCTCTGTTCCTCACTTATTCTCTATTTCCCTCTCATCTCTGTTCACCTCTGCCTCTCCCCATCTCTCTCCCTCCCCTTCCTCCCATCTCTTTTTAACTCTGTCCTCCCTTTTTGTCTGTGGCCTCTCCCCATCTCCCCCACATTTCTCTCTCTCCATCTCGTTCTCTCTCTCTCTGTCCCTGTTCGTCTCTGCCTCTCTCCATCGCTCTCTGCGTGTGCTGCTGTCTCTTTCCCTCCTTGCCTCTGTCTCAGCGGTTTTCTTAGCCTTTCCTCCTCCTCTGTCTCTCTCCCTGGCTCCCTCTCTTTTCTTGTTGCCTCGGTCTCC
The DNA here is from genome assembly GCF_000001405.40 of Homo sapiens. Classification (NCBI taxonomy): domain Eukaryota; kingdom Metazoa; phylum Chordata; class Mammalia; order Primates; family Hominidae; genus Homo; species Homo sapiens. The sequence goes on from NC_000019.10 coordinate 47,459,368, forward strand.
TTGGCTCCATCTCCTTCTTTTGTATCTATTGGTAGATATCTATTTCCCTCCCTTGTGAGTTTCTTTCTCTTTCTCAGTATCTGTGTTTCTCCAGAGCTACTTTTCTCTCTCTCCCTCCCTCTCTCTCTTGCTCCCCATCTCTGTGTGTGTGCACGTGCGTGCGCGTGTGTGCGCATGTGTGAGCGTATGTGCATGTGTATATGTGTATGTGCGTGTGTGTGTCCTGTGTGTGCGTGCTTGTGTGTGCATGTGTGTATGTGTATGTGCGTGTGTCCATCTGTGTGTGTGTCCTTCTGTGTGTGTGCATGTGTGTGTGTGCATGGGTGTGTCCTTCTGTGTGTGCGCGCATGTGTGTACGTCTGTGTGTGTATGTGTACGTGTGTGTCCATCTGTGTGCATGTGTGTGCATGTGTGTCCATCTGTGTGTGTGTGTGCGCACATGTGTGTATGTGTTCTCTTTCTCTCCTAGTCTCTTCATCCATCTATCCACCTTTTAGATGCTGAGAACCATGCCCAGCTGCCCAGGTGCCAGGAACCCGGACATCCTCATCCACTACCAAGCAACAGACAATCCCCACCCTGTGGTCCCAGCTGCTGTCAAGGGACAGAGCCTGTGTGTCTTCTGGCCTCTCTCTCCCTCCATCTTTTTTCTGCCTGCTCCATTTCTCCCCCATCACCTGGGGGTGCCTCCACTTCTCCAAACCTCGCCCATCATCCAGGGCCTGCTCTCTGTTCACCCAAACGCCCTCAGTGCCCCACCCATGACCCCTACCAGTGCCTCCTTAGCATTTGCCTGGCCCTCATGGACAGGCTGTGTCTCTAACAGAGACACACATCTGGCTCTTCTGCCTCATAAAACCAGTTCCCATGCACAGCCAGGGCAGCTCTGAGTTGGGAGCCTGGCTTTACCACAGGGATGGCTGTCTCATCTCTTGGTCTATACAATGGGGACATTTCCAAGACTGAATGAGCACCTGCATTCCTAGTGCACAGCATTCTCAGTTTCTGACACATGGAAAAGACTCAAGATGTGAAATTAACATTGCCTGGCCAAGCGTGGTGGCTCACGCCTGTAATCCCAGCACTTTGGGAGGCCAAAGTGGGTGGATCACCTGAGGCCAGGAGTTCGAGACCAGCCTGGCCAACATGGTGAAACCCCATCTCTACCAAAAATACAAAATTAGCCAGGCATGGTGGTGTGCATCTGTAGTCCCAGTTACTCGGGAGGCTGAGGCAGGAGAATTGCTTGAGCCCAGGAGGGGGAGGTTGCAGTGAGCCGAGATCACGCCACTGCACTCCAGCCTGGGTGACAGAATGAGACTCCATCTTAAAAAAAAAAAAGAAAGAAAAAGAAAAAAAAGAACATCGCCATCGTTATTATTTAGTACTATTATCTTGGGCTTGCAGAGGCCTAAGACTCAGTCTGCTGGTGGCCCAGCACAGGCCTGGCACATGGAAAGCATCCACCAAGACTCGAGGGTTTGCCTTGAAGATATTCATGGAAAGACTCAAATGTTACCTTTCTCATCAAAGATGAAGAAGAAAAGATAAAAGAGTATTTATGGGCCAGGCGTGGTGGCTCATGCCTGTAATCCCAGCACTTTGGGAGGCGGAAGTGGGTGGATCACGAGGGCCAACATGGTGAAACCCCGTCTCTACTAAAAATACAAAAATTAGCTGGGCGTGGTGGCAGGCGCCTGTAATCCCAGCTACTTGGGAAGCTGAGGCAGGAGAATCGCTTGAACCCGGGAGGCGGAGGTTGCAGTGAGCTGAGATCACCCCACTGCACTCCAGCCTGGCGACCGAGCGAGACTCTGTTTCAAAAAAAAAAGAGTATTTACGATGACAAGGCCCCCGAAGGCCAGGCACAGTGGCTCACGCCTATAATCCCTGCACTTTGGGAGGCCAAAGTGGGTGGATCACTTGAGCTCAGGAGTTCAAGGCCAGCCTGGCCAACATGGTGAAACCCCATCTCTACTAAAAATACAAAAATCAGCCAGGTGTGGTGGCGTGCGCCTGTAATTCCAGCTATTAGGAAGGCTGAGGCAGGAGAATCACTTGAATCTAGGAGGCGGAGGTTGCAGTGAGCTGAGATTACACCACTGAACTCCAGCCTGGGGGACAGAGTGAGACTCCATCTCGAAAAAAAGAAGGCCCCCAGAGTATCTTAAAAATGAGCCTGGTAGGAAAAATATCTAAGATCCAGTTGCCACACCTGCTATCACTGTGTTTACTGCTGGCTCAGAGAACAGTCAAGACTTGCAAATAGTAAAACTGCATGAAGCCAACAGGCAGATTTGGGAAAAGGAGCCGAATGTTCAGCGCAAGCTGTGAAATGAACTCTCTCCCTTGTATTAATTGAACCTACCATTATGTATATTGCAAGGAAGTCTCTATTCATCAGAAGACAATCCCAAACCCCTAAGATTTTCCTTCCTCCCTGCAGGTCAATAAAAAGTGATTCTAGCCGATTCACAATGTCTTTCTAGAGCACCCACTAAGAATGTGTCCAGCCTGGGAGGGCACTGTGACATTTTCAGGTCTCAGTGGAGCAGGCACACCCCTGAGACAGAGTATTGGAAATCTGGGGGTATTTATGGGCTGCCATCATCACTAGGGAGGGGGACATGGTCTTGGCCTTTCCTGGCCTGATGACATCCAGCAACTCATGGGACAGTCCCACACAATACAGAAATGTCCCACATGCCGGCTCATTTCAGAACCTGCCACTAACATTCTTATCCGCACGGGACAGTCCCACACAATGCAGAAATGTCCCATATGCCGTCTCATTTCAGAACCTGCCACTAATGTTCTTATCCGTGAAAACACTGTTTATGATAGTTAGAATTTATAACTCTGTTTTATGTATTTCTTTCTTTTTCTTTTTCTTTCTTTCTTTCTTTCTCTTTTTGAGACAGAGTTTCGCTCTTGTTGCCCAGGCTGGAGTGCAGTGGTGCAATCTCGGCTTACCGCAACCTCCGCCTCCCGGGTTCAAGCGATTCTCCTGCCTCACGCTCCCGAGTACCTGGGATTACAGGCATGCACCACCACGCCCGGCTAATTTTGTATTTTTAGTAGAGTTAGGGTTTCCCCATGTTGGTCAGGCTGGTCTTGAACTCCTGACCTCGGGTGATCTGCCCACCTCAGCCTCCCAAAGTGCTGGGATTACAGGCATGAGCCTTTGCGCCCGGCCTATGTATATCTTTTTTAAATTTCTTTTTTTTTTTTTTTTTCTGAGATGGAGTCTCACTCTGTCACCCAGGCTGGAGTGCAGCGGCTCAATCTCAGCTCACTGCAAACTTCACCTCCCAGGTTCAAGCGATTCTCCTGCCTCAGCCTCCCAAGTAGCTGGGATTACAGGCGCCTGCCACCATGCCCAGCTATTTTTTGTATTTTTAGTAGAGACAGAGTTTCACCATGTCGGTCAGGCTGGTTTCGAACTCATGACCTCAGGTGATCCATCCACTTCGACCTCCCAAAGTGCTAGGATTACAGGCGTGAGCCACTGTGCCCGGCCTTATGTATATCTTATATGAAGTATTTTCCTGTATGGTTTAACATACTGCAAATACACTTGTTTTAAATCTCGTGGCTACCTGCTCCTCTGCCTAGACTTCTTGCATGCAATGGTTTCTGATCTTTTTCTTTCTCTGAAGCCCAGCTTATTCATTATAAATAGATGCCTGCATCTGGCTCCCTTGTCATGAGGGTAGTTGTGATGAAGCATTTCCAGGTGGAAATGCAGACTGTTCTGTTAGAAACCTTTTCTTTTTTTTTTTTGAGACGGAGTCTCGCTCTGTCGCCTAGGCCTGAGTGCAGCGGCGCGATCTTGGCGCACTGCAAGCTCCGCCTCCCGGGTTCACGCTATTCTCCTGCCTCAGCCTCCCGAGTAGCTGGGACTACAGGCGCCCGCCACCACGCCCGGCTAATTTTTTTGTATTTTTAGCAGAGACGGGGTTTCACCGTGTTAGCCAGGATGGTCCCTATCTCCTGACCTTGTGATCCGCCCGCCTCAGCCTCCCAAAGTGCTGGGATTACAGGCGTGAGCCACAGCACCCGGCCCAGAAACCTTTTCTTTAGGCAGGGCACAGTGGCTCACGCCTGTAATCCCAGCACTTTGGGAGGCTGAGGCGGGCAGATCACTTGAGGTTGGGAGTTCGAGACCAGCCTGGCCAACATGACAAAACCCCGTCTCTACTAAAAATACAAAAATTAGCTGACGTGGTGGAACACACCTGTAATCTCAGCTACTCAGGAGGCTGAGGCAGGAGAATCGCTGCCTCAGAGCGACAGAGAAAGACTCTGTCTCAAAAAAAAAAAAAAAGAAAGAAATAGAAATCTTTTCTTTATAACACAGTTTGGACATTATACTGACTTTTTGGGAAGCCAAATGCATAGGGGAGTTTGTTAATGAATAGCTAACATTTACTCTGTTTCAGGCAGACTATTTTAAGTCTTTCCACACGGAACAATTCAGTTAATCCTCATGGTAGCCCTATGAAGTCAGCACTCTCATGATCCCCATTTTACAGTTGAGGAAACTGAGGCCTGGAGAAGATAAGGAACCTGCCCTAGGTCACACAGTGAGGGAATGGCAGAGGTGGGATTTGAACCCAAATCTCTGGCTTCAGGTGCATGGATCAAACTCTGAGGCCACAAGATCTCTCTTTGATTACCTAAGAATTTCATATCAGCAGAAATAAAGGGGATGTAACAAAATATCTGTTATATTCTCCTTTCTTCCTTTTCTTTCTTTTTTTAGATAGAGTCTCACTCTGTCACCCAGGCTGGAGTGCAGTGGGGCCACCTCGGCTCACTGCAACCTCCACCTCCCAGGTTCAAGCAATTCCCTTGCTTCAGCCTCCCGAGTAGCTGGGATTACAGGCGGGTACCACCATGCCAGGCTAGTTTTTATATTTTTAGTAGAGATGGGGTTTCACCATGTTGGCCAGGCTGGTCTCGAACTCCTGACCTCAAGTGATCTTCCTGCCTCGACCTCCCAAAGTGCTAGGATTACAGGCATGAACCACCACACCTAGCTTCAAAGGCCTTTCTGAAAGCCTAAGTCAGGACACCATTCATTTTAACAGCACCTTAAACTGTACGATATATCACTGCACACTTTTCACCATGGCAGATGGGAAACTCTCTCCTCTTTCTCTCTCCCTCTTTCAGGAGCCCTGTCTTCTGGTGCCACTGTCCTCCCCTTTCCTCACTGTGGCTTCTGATCCCTCTGTTATATATCCTCCTTCACAGAAAACCCACAAGGCATTTTTCTATCTCTAGCTTCAGATCCTTCCTGGGAAGAAACTGTAACTGGCAGAAACCTGACAGATAGGCAAAAATAGATTACACACATGTGTGAATGAATCCTGGACACCTGCAAATAAATTATGCATGTGTGTGACTGAATTAGGCCAGGCCCATAAATAAATTATGCAAATGTAGGAGGCAGTCACGGGGTTGTGGGAAATACATTAGGCAAACGTTGTCAAGGAAGACTACATAGTATGCGAGTTAAGACATGGGGTGAGCGAAAGGCTAATGATTATGAGAATATAGGTATAAATTATGCAGCTGTGGGTCTAAATTTTGTCTCACTATTGGAATAAATTATGCAAAGTGGTCACAGGGCTTATATTGATGTTGGGTTGGATGGGAGTATACATTACACTGAAGTGGCATAAATTATCCCAACATCAGAAATTGATGATGAATAATGAATGAATTATGCAAACCGTGATTACATATCTGGCAAATGGCTAAATTATGCAGATGTAGGTATATATCTATGCGAGCCCATGGATAAATTATGCAAATTGCACTAAGTTACTCAAGCCAATTAGCAATGTCAGAAAACACTAGGCTGGATTATATGCAAGGGTAGTATGAATTATGCGAATGGAGGATGTCTTATTGCAAAAGCGGGAATCAGTTATGCAAAAGGTAGGGAGTGTAGGAAAACATGTGAACATACGTAGCATGCATTACACAGATCACAGGGGCTCCGTTAGTACATACAACACCCTTTTGGGAGCTAAAAGGTGCCCCTTCCAAGTGAGTGTACTGTTCTTAAGTGCAAAACAGTGCGTCCCTCTGGACAAATAAATGTTTGCTGCACCCTCCAGAGATATGGCTGGGTAGCATCAGCAGGACTCCAGCCCCTCCAGCAGGACTTGCCCTGTTTGGCTCAATTCCCTTGTGTAGTCTGGTGACCTGCACAACCGTACTTGGCAGCCCTCTCAGATGTGAGTGTGCATTTCTGCAAATACAGCAATCAACACTCCAAGCCAAGAGCACCTCTCTGGATTTTGCAGACACACATGCACCAAGAAAGCATCTATGCGTCTTTGCTCACCTGGACCACACCGGGGGAAAAAACAGCAAGGATGAGATAAAGCCAGACATAGGCGAAGATGCTCCAAGAGGCAGTGACAAAGAAGACTCTCAGGTGCTTGATCTTGCGGCTCTCGCCGGCTGGGATGACGTAGATGCACACGGCGATGACCACAAACATGTTGAAGGCAGCGCTGCCCACGATGGTGCCTGGGCCCAGCTCACCCGCCTGGAAGTTGTGGCCGCAGACTTCGATGACTGACAGCAGGATCTCAGGTGCGGAGGAGCCCAGGGCCATGAGCGTGAGGTTGGACACCGTCTCATTCCAGATGCGAACGGTGCCCACGCTGGTCTCACCGTTGGCCTTGGTGATGGTGATCTCCTTCTCTTTTGACGTGATGACCTCGATGGCCGCCATGAAACGGTCGGCGATGATGGACACTCCCAGAAACATGTAGACCATGGCCACAAAGTACACCACTGCCCGTGCCGCCTTGTCACCCAGCGACGGGTCGTCGGGCTCCCACACGGGCAGCAGCACCCCCGGCTGGCAGCGGTAGGACCCCTGGCAGCCCCCTGTGCTGGTGTCGCTGTCATTGGCCGGGGGAGGCGGCAGGGAGGGGGTTGGGGTGGCTGCCCCGGAGCATGGGGGAGCCGCCAGGAGGAGTGTGACCCCCACCAAGGCCAGGGGAGCCATGGGGGGTGGTGGGGTCCTATGGGGGAGGAGGAGGAGGTCTGGGTGAGGGAAGCAAACCTCTTTCTGTCATACAAAGGTCAAAGCTCACTGGGGAAGGAGGGTTGGGGGAGAAGCTGAGGACCAATGCAGGCAGGATGGGGACTGAGGGCGACAGAGACACAGAGAGTGACAGACAGAGACCCACAGAGAGAGAGAGAGACTGAAAGATAAGGACAGAGGAACCCCCATGCACTGCTGGTGGGAATGCAAATTGGTCTATGCACTTTGGGCAACTACAGCCGAACACCACGTATCATGCAATTCAGCAGTTTTGTTCCTCGGTATGTGCCTGAGAAATAGGTCCTTATGTCCACTAAAAGGACCTACAAGAATGTTCATAGCAGGCCGGGTGCGGTGGCTACGCCTGTAATCCCTGAACTTTGGGAGGCTGAGGTGGGTGGATCAGGAGTTTGAGACCAGCCTGGCCAACATGGTGAAACCCCGTCTCTACTAAAAATACAAAAATTAGCTGGGCAGGGTGGCGGGAGCCTGTAACCCCAGCTACTCGGGAGGCTGAGGCAGGAGAATCACTTGAACCTGGGAGGCGGAGGTTGCAGTGAGCTGAGATGGCGCTACTGTACTCCAGCCTGGGTGACAGAGTGAGACTTCATCTCAAATAAAATAAGAATGTTCATAGCAGCTTTATTTATAATAGCGCCAATCTTCAAACAACCCAGAGGCCTATCAGCAGTAAAATGGAGAAATACGTTTGGAGGATTTGCACAGTGGAATATTATAGAGCACTGAAAAGGGAGTGAACTATTTGCTGCTGCACCCAGCACATGGATGAATCTCACAGATGTCACAATGGCTGAATGAAGCCAAGCACAAAAGCACTCAAACTGCAAAATTCACTGAGAGGCAGGGAGCAGGAGGCTCTGAGTTTGTTAGGAGATTCAAATGGTCTCCAACTCGGCCCTTTGAAAGCTCTTGCTCAGGATTTGGGCTGTGGCGGGTGTTGGGCCGTGTTTGTCTGTTTCAAGTGGGGCTGGGGAGGGGTTGCTGGAGGGTCTCATTCATGTCCCTCCCCAAGGTGGTAGCAGGCATCAGTCTCTCCAGCTTCCCTGTGTCTGACCTGAGGTTTTCCCCAGGCTCTATAAGTGGTGCAGTTCCTTAGGGGCTGTGACATCTAAGACCCTGTGCTGGGCTTTCTGTCCCATTTGTGGGTGTGGGGGTTCTACTGTTTCATTATTTCTCTCCCTACCTCTGGTGCTGAGTTTGAGTGGCTATTACCGTGTCTTATCTGGGTTTCCTTTTAAAACACAAATCGCTGGACACGGTGGCTCACGCCTGTAATCCCAGCACTTTGAGGCTGAGGCGGGTGGATCACTTGAGGTCAGGAGTTTGAGACCAGCCTGGCCAACATGGTGAAACCCTGTCTCTTCTAAAAATACAAAAAAAAAAAAAAAAAAAAAAAAGCCAGGTGTGGTGGCGTGTGCCTATAATCTCAGCACTTGGGAGGCTGAAGCATGAGAATCGCTTGAGCCAGGGAGGCAGAGGTTGCAGTGAGCCGAGATCATGTCATTGCACTCCAGTCTGGGCGACAAAACCAGACTCTGCCTCAAAAACAAAACAAAACCAAAAACAAAGCCCACAAATCAGCTTGCCTCATCCCCCTACTGTTCAGAACCCCCGCCAGCTCCCATCTCACTCACAGCACCAGCGTCCTCTCCAGGGCCCGTGAGGTCCTGCCCAACCTGGCCCCGACTCCCTCTCTGGCCTCTTTTCCCACCCTCTCCCCCTTGCCCAGTCTGCCTCAGCCACCCTCTCCTCCCCTCTGCTCCTCAGCCTCACCAGACAAGCTTCTGCCTTGGAGCCCTGGCACCTGCTGTTCCCCCTTCCTCGAACACGCTTCTCTATTTATGTATTTTTGAGACGGGATCTCACTCTGCCACCCAGGCTGAAGTGCAGTGGTGCCATCACATCTCACTGCAGCCTCGACCTCCAGGGCTCAAGCGACCCTCCCTCCTCAGCCTCCCAAGTAGCGGGAAGTACAGGCGTGCGCCACCATGCCCAGCTAATTTATTGTAGAGCCGGGAGTCTCTATGTTGCCCAGGCTGTTTTTGAACTCCTGGGTTCAGGTGCTCCACCTGCCTTGGCCTCCCAAAGTGCTGGGATCACAGGTGCGTGCCACCGTGCCCCGCCCACTCTTCCCCTCATATCCGCTAGCCTTGCTCTCTCTGCCCTTTCAGGTTTCCACTCTGATGTCAGCTTCCCCAAACACCCCATCCAAAATGACACCCTCCCCCTCTGGGGAGCACCCCTCCATTCCACAGGTGAGAGGACCAAGGCGCAGAGAGGTTACGGAACTTGCCCACATCATCCAGCACCAACTCTGGCTCCCAGGTCGCCTCTCCAAGAGTGGCCCTGACTCTGAGCTCCTCCGCCCCACCCTCATGTTGCCATGGTAACCCAGTGGCTTATCAAAAAGAGAAGGAGAGAGGAAGAGAGGTGTCCTGGGAACCTCCACCCTCCCAGACCCCTCTGCCACCAGCCTCATTTCTTCCAGGGGCTTCCATTTGCTTGAAAAGTTCTTCTGAGAGTCTAACCCACAGCCTGTCCCCAACTCACACCTACATACCCATGGGCTGGGAGCTGGCTCCTCTGGGGGAGGGAGGCAGCGTGTTGGCAGAACTTCCCAAGAAGGAGAGAGCAAGCGAGGAGCATGCCTGTGTGCGTGTGTGTGTGTGTGTGTGTGTGTGTGTGTGTGTGCAGGCAAGGGTGGGGGAGAGGGGTGATTCTTAAAGGGCCACCGCACAATTAGCCCCCTCAGCAAGGCCCCTAATGATACGTCTAATTAGCAGCCCCCTAATTAGCAACAACTTAGGCATAATTACAAACCCACCAGGATCCAAAGCAAAGGCTCATGCTCCCTTCTCCCTCCGCCTCCCTGGCTTTCAGGAGAAACAGGGGCCAGCCGGGAGTCAGGAATTCTTCTAAAGCATCAAACCAAACCCCGCTCTCTCTGGGAGGAAGCCTCGGCCTGGGAAGTCCTCCCTCAGGTTTAACCACCTGTCCTTCCTGCTGCAGTCCTCAAGAGAGACCACAGCCAGGTGATGCGGGTTCTCATGTCCACCCTCCTAGCCCAGGGGCTGGGTCAAGCACAGCCTAGTGCAATCCCTTTTTCCTGCAAAACCTGGTTTCTCGCTGGGGCCTTGCGAGAGGAGCAGTCAGGGAGAGAAAGCACTAGATAAATATTTGTGAAATGAATGACCAAGAGGTCTGAGCCCTGTCACCAGGGACCGTGGGCTCCCTCTGCTCCTGGCTCCTGCCTCTCCCTCTCCATCCACCAGCAGCCCTGAAACCCAATCTGCTTTTAGAATCCAGGGGCAAAAGGATCAGGTGGAGCCCAGGGTGGGAGCGGGGAGGGCAGATGGCAGGTACCGTCTCCCAGGGCCATCTCTCCCTCCCTTCGTGGGCGTGCGGCCAGCTGGGTCGGCAGTGAGCACCCCTGTTCTGCCTCACGTGCCTCTTAGGTCCTTGATCAGAAGAACAGGACTGCATGCCTGGGGGTGGGTGCAGTCTGGCGTGCCAGGTAAGACCCGTCCTTCATATCCCTCACGCTACCACCCCACAGTGGGGCGGCAAGGGAGGGTGCTTTTCTGACTGTGCCTGTGTTGGGGGGCTGGCCCTTGCAGGACCGAGCTGGGGACTCAGACTTCTAAACATGCACATTTACTGCCCCAGCATGAGCGCAGGCGCTCCCATCACCTCAAAATGGTCCAGTGTGGGGATCACACCACAGAGCTTGGGTGCTCGAGGCTGTGATACACTGATAATACGTAAACTGAGGCCCAGAGGAGGAACAGGGCTCTTAACCTAGTGCTCTTTAAAGCCATCTGAAGCCCCCTCCGTGGGCACTGTCACACAGGGCTGGGACCTCACCTGCAGCCAGGGAGACATCATACACACACACACACACACACACACACACACACACACACACCAGGGCTACAGGCACAGCCTCGTACCTTTTCGCCATCACTCACTCTCTTGCCCACCTTCTCCAGGGCCCCCTTCTCTCAAGGAAGGCAGACAGTGTGTTGGCCAGGGCCCTCTCAGCACCCCCCACTGAGACAGTGTGAGGCTGGCACACCAGGAAAGGGATGGAAGTGAGACTGCAGGAAGGACTGGCCCGGTCTAACTCAGTACCTAGTGCTTGCCCAGAGCAGGAAAGGCGCTCAGTAATTATCAACAAGAATGAATGAATCAAGAGCTGGACAAACAGCAAGAGGTATGGAAGTGAGACGGCAGGAAGGACTGGTCCAGTTACACGAGGAAGACTGGGGAGGTTAGATTGAAGGGAGGTCTGGTCTCATCTCTACTACAGAGGCTACCGGTTAAACTGCAAGAAGGACCGGCCTCAGAACGCCAGAAACAAGGCAGGGGGAGGTGGGCTCGGTCCTCAGGGGAGAGCTGGGGTGGGTGCCGGCTGGGAGGAGTGGAGAGAGCAGGGGAGCTCTGCTGAAGTGGGGAGAGGAGTTTAGAGGACTCCAGGCCTGGGGGAGCCCACTCTGCGGGTGGGGGGGTCTAATTCCTCCAGGTCCCCCCTGCCAGGGGCGGAGACAAAGGTGTGTGGGAGGAGGGTGCACTGGCTCCCAGGGAGAGCCAGAGAAGAGGAAAGAGAGAGAGAAACAGAGACTGAGATATCCAGAGACAGAGATGGAGACGAGGGGGAGATGGGGAGGGAGGGAGAGAGAGAGAGAGAGAGAGAGACATGCGGACATGGGAAGAGACAGAGACACAGAGAAAGCAGAGACAGAGAGAGACACAGGAAAGCTGAGACAAGGGAGAGAGGCAGAGACACAGAGACACAGAGAAACAGAGATGGCGCAAGAGGAAAGGAGAGAGAAACCCAGGACTTAGAGACAGAGCCCCAGAGAGACTCCGAACAGACCCCGGCACAGAGACACAGAGAGAGGGAGACAGGAGTGAGAGACTGAGAGACAGGGACTCCCAGAGGCGGCCAGACTCTGCTAGACAGAGACCCCTGAGACATGTGGAGAGACAGAAAGATGAGACCCAGACACAGGAAGGCGGGGGCAGAGGTAGAGAGCGCGAGGGGGGGTGCCCCAGACGGGGTGGGGGCGGGGTGTCCTCGCCCCCCAGTACCCAGGCGGTCCCCCTCCCCAGCCGCCCGAGAACCAGGAGGGACTGAAGGTGTTGGGGCGGCTGGTGGCACTCCCACCCCACAGAAGGTACGCGTGCTGGGCCAGGCAGCCCCCCACCTCCATAAACCAGCCCAGGGAAGCCAGCTCCAGGCTTCCCGAACCGCCCCCACTCCGCACCTGGGGTAACCCCGTCCTTTTCCCACGCCCCCACCTCCCCACCAATGGGGTCTCTTACCTGCGGCTACAGCCTGGAGCAGGTCCCCCCAGCGCTGGGCTGGCAGTGGTGGGCGACTCCGCCCGAAAGAGAGAGAGAGATTGAGAGAGAGAAAAGCCTGAGACTGAGAGGGAGAGCCGGGGAGGAGGGGAGGGAGAGGGGATAGAGGGAGGAGAAGAGGAGAGGGGAGGGACACGGGGGAGGGGGAGGCGGCGAGGGAGCGAGGGAGGGGGAGGAGCCGGAGAGAGGGGGAGGAGGCGGAGGCGGGCAGAGGGAAGGCGGTGCGGGAGGCGGGGGGAGGCCCGGGGAGGGGCCTGGGGGAGCAGGGAGCCCGAGCCTCCTCCCCAGCCTCCGGGTTCAGCACCAGAGGCAGGGGACAGCACCGGAGGGCGCTCCTGTGTGTTTCAGAAGCAGCCCCCGCCCCCCAACACACACACACACACACGCACACACACACACGCACGCAGTCTCCCAGCCATACAAGGGCCAACAGCTACAAATAGTTACAGACTTACAGAACTAGGGGGAGGGCAAGAATGTTTAGCTGGAGTCAGATCCAAATTCACATACTGTGCCTGCACAGCCTCACAAAGGAGGCCAGAAACAACCACAAAGACACCCATTAATAAGAATAACAACAGCTGCCATACATACAGGCAGCCCTGACCACGTGCCTGGCATCGGCAGCACATTATTATTATTTGAGACAGGGTCTCACTCTGTCACCCAGGCTGGAGTGCAGTGGCACGATCTTGGCTTACTGCAGCCTCAACCTCCTGGGCTCAAGCAATCCTCCTGCCTCAGCCTCCTGAGTAGCTGGGACTACAGGTGCCCGCCACCACCACGCCAGGCTTTTTCCCTCCATTTTTTTTTTTTAGGAGATGGGATCTCACCATGTTACCCAGGCTGGTCTCCAACTCCTGGGCTCAAGCGATCCTTCTGCCTTGGCCTCCCGAGTAGCTGGGACTACAGGTGCCCACCACCACCACGCCAGGCTTTTTTTCTCTTCATTTTTTTTAAGAGACGGGGTCTCACTATTTTACCTAGGCTAGTCTCCAACTCCCGGGCTTAAGCAATCCTTCTGCCTCGGCCTCCCAAAGCGCTGAGATTACAGGTGAGAGCCACCGCACAGGTGAGAGCCACCGCACCTGGCATGTTCTAATGTTTTTTATAAATTTAGGTAAATGCTATTATGAGCTTCACTTACAGACAGGGAAACCAAGGCATGAGGTGGTAAATATGGCTCCAGATTCTACACCCTTAACTGCTGCACCGCACAATTCCCCAGGCTGAGGACGGGTCAGGTCAAGAAGAGACTTGCAGGCTGGGTGCGGTGGCTCACGCCTGTAATCCCAGCACTTTAGGAGGCTGAGGCGAGCAGATCACTTGACGTCAGGAGTTGGAGACCAGCCTGGCCAACATGGCGAAACCCTGTCTCTTCTAAAAATACAAAAATTAGCCAGGCCAGGTGGCACACGCCTGTAATCCCAGCTACTTGGGAGGCTGAGGCAGGAGAAATCGCTTGAACCTGGGAGGTGGAGGCTGCAGTGAGCTGAGATCATGCCACCGCACTCTAGCCTGGGTGACAGAGTGAGACTCCATCTCCAAAAAAAAAAAAAAAAAAGAAAGAAATGAACTGCAAAGGGCCAGGCAGGTGGCCTGGGCTCCTGAAGACACAAACTCATGCACCCTGCGATGGGCCCACACACATACCCCCACGCAAGCACACACCTCTGCAAGGCACACCAGCACTACACCCACCCCCAATCCTGCTCCCCCCCACAACAGGGGGTGATGGCGTGTTAGTCGGTGTGGAGTGCTCCTTCTCTAGAGGCGGACAGTGGGAGGGAGGGGGCCTTGCTCGTGCCACCGGTCCTGCCCACTGCCAGTCCTGGCTGGACACCGTCAGGCCTGCTGGCCAGGGGAGGGAGAGGATCCGGCTTCCTCCAACTTCCCACGCCTGGGCCTGGCTTCTGGGAAAGAGGGTGAAGACAGGGGTGGCCAGGAGTTGCTGAGCTCCTAACTCCCATAAACGCTCGGTAGAGAACTGGTGGCTGGGTCTTCCCTGTCAGTGCTGGTGGTCAGACTTCTGAGTGGACCTCCATAGCGGGAGGTAGACAGATGGCCAAAATGACTACGGTGTCTGCCTCTCCCCTGAACCCCCAGGAAGCAGATGTCCTGCCCAACCCCTGCCCCCAGCCTGGATACGGCCCAGGGAATGATCATCCCCCAACCCTGCTGACCCAGATTCTATTCCTGGCCTGCAGTGGACGGAGGACAAGACTTCCATCGTTCCCACCCTCCACTGATCCTAGAGACACAGGCCTCTGATTCCTTCTCCTGGTAATACAGAACGGAGCACAGGAGGCCGGGCTCAGTGACTCACGCCTGTCATCCCAGCACTTTGGGAGGCCGAGGCGGGCAGATCACCTGAGGTCAGGAGTTTGAGACCAGCCTGGCCAACACGGTGAAACCCTGTCTCTACTAAAAATACAAAAAAATTAGCCAGGCGTGGTGGCGTACGCTTGTAATCCCAGCTACTCAGGAGGCCGAGGCAGGAGAATCGCTTGAACCAGGAGGTGGAGGTTGCAGTGAGCCGAGATCGCGCCACTGCACTCCAACCAGTGCATCAGAATGAGACTCCGTCTCTCACACACACACAAAAGACCACAGGCAAGGCAACTCCTACCACCACAGGCTGGGAGAATCAGGCTTGTCTCCCACTCCCTGGGCCCCCAACCCCCTAGGCTTTTTAGATTAGGTCTAAGCTTAGCCCTTTCCAGCATGGTCTAGCCTGGGTCTTCTCCCTGGGTCTTGCCTCAGTGCTCTCCACTGGGAACTAAGCTCACTTTCTGCTGGGGTTTAACCCTGGCCCCTTGCACAGGATCTGGCCATAGCAATTTTTTGTTGGGGTCCAACCTCAGCATTATTCATAGGGAGTCTAGCCTCAGACCCTCTGCTACAAATGGACCACTGCTTTCCCACAGCAGCCCTTTCTACCCACAAGTTTTCCTCTAAACGCTCAAGCTCCTTACCTTTCCACTGGGATCTACCCTTAGATCTAGATCTTTCCACTGGGGTCTCATGTCAGCTCTCTCCACTAGGGTCTAACCTCAGCTCTTTCCCTTCCATTTTACGTAATCTGTTCCACAGTGGTTTAACTTTTAGCCTTTCTGCTAAGGTGTCACCCCATTTCTTTCTCTTGGGTTCTACCCTGGGATCTAACCTCCGGCCTGTATCTGGGTCTAGCCTTGGATTCCCTCTCCCCCAAATCCCTCTCCCTCAATTCCTCTGGGTGAATCCAGCATCCAACACAGAGCCAGGCATACAGCAGGTGCTCACCAAATGCTTGCCGAAAAAAAGAATCGAGACAACTGGGAAATGATGTTCTTCTGGACGTATAAATAACCATCAGGTGGCCAATTCTCATCCAGAGTGGACAGGGTGGAATGGGATCATCCCTGCTTTCAAATAGGGACATTGACGTACAGAGAGAGGAGTGGGTTAGCTGGGGCCCCAGGGCACAGCTTCACCACCCTGGGGAGGTCTGGGGAGAGCATCCTGTCCTTCAGGACACCCCCCACCAGCGGCTGGAGGTGAGCACGCCATGAGTCGCCCCAGGTCTGGGAAGAGTGGGTGCATGGGTGCTTAAGAGGCTGCATTCTCAGCAGGCCCTGCACCTGCCCCGTCCTCCAACCCCTGTAGCCGACGTCTCCTCTGCTCCACTTGATGTCGAAGCCGGGTCAAGACCAGCTCTGAGGCCTGAATCAGGCTGTGCTGTGGGGAACAAGAGAATGAGGGGGATGGAGCTGAGGAAGAGCTGTGGGACCACAGCGGGACCGTCTGGAGTGAAGCAACTCCAAAGGCCAGGAGCTCGGCCCACGTGGGAGGGCAGAGAGCAGACCACAGTGTGTGGGATGGGAATGGGCCTCTGTGACAGGGGTGAAGGGGAGTGGCCTTAAGCGAATTTCTAGTGGGAGGGACAAAGCCTAGACCCAAATGTAAGGAAGTGAGATTAGAAGGAATATAAAAGGAATATAAAATTTAGCCAAGCTTGGTGGCAGGTGCCTGTCATCCCAGCTACTAGGGAGGCTGAGGCAGGACAATCACTTGAACCTGGAAGGTGGAGGTTGCAGTGAACTGAGATCACACCACTGCACACCAGCCTGGGAAACTGCACTCCAGCCTGGGAAACAGAGCAAGACTCTGTCTCGAAAACAAACAAACAAACAAAAAAACCAAAAAAAAAAAAAAAAAGGCCAGGGTGTGGTGGCTCACACCTGTAATCCTAGCACTTTGGGAGGCCGAGGTGGGCGGATGACTTGAGGCCAGAAGTTTGAGACTAACCTGGGCAACATGGTGAAACTCCGTCTCTACTAAAAATACAAAAATTAGCTGGGCGTGGTGGCGTGCGGCTGTATTTCCCAGCTGCTTGAGAGGCTGAGGCATGAGAATTGTTTGAACCTGGGAGGTGGAGGTTGCAGTGAGCTGAGATCGAGTCACTGCGCTAGAGCCTGGGTGACAGAGCAAGACTCTGTCTCAAAAATAAAATAATAAATAAATAAATAAATCTCCTTCACCAGGCCGGTGCCCCCACCCCAGCTGCTGTGAGCGCTCACAGCTGCCCCTTTCTCCTGGGAGTTGTCCTGACTGGTAGGAACTGCCTCCCTGAAATGAGTTCCTCCCTCCCCCAGGAGGAGGCCTGCACCCCCTGCTCGAAACTGCTGAGGTCGACTCCCCTCCCACCCCAAGAGCTGGGGATACCTGCAGGATGTGCACGCCCTTCAGGGAGACCACGGCAAGCTCCTGCAGCCCATCCCCGGTCAGGTCCACGTGAGCCATGGCCAGCAGGGGACTGGAGAAGCTCCGCTGCCACAGCAGATGGAACCCGTGCTGGGCCTCAGGAAGCCCCGACTCTGGGCCCCGGTACTTATAACACAGCAGTTCCTGCGGGGGTGAAGAATCAGGTCACACAGGTTGATGGGGGGACAGTGGAGGGAGGCCGGTGGGTGTGGCTCCAACTGTCAGGTCCCACCTGTCCATAGGTGGCCACCAGGACTTCTGGCCGCCCATCCAAATCCACATCGGTGACCAGGCTGCAGAGGACGCTGTCAAACTGGTCACTGCCGGGCAGGAGAAGCTGGTCTTCAAGACCCCGGTTCAGCAGGTCCCTGAGGGTCCCAAATACAGCATATAGACTGGGGTCAGCTTGCAGTGCCCAGCACCCTTGGCGGATGCTAAGCTGGGTACCGGTACTGCTTCCCTTCTCAGGCCTAGACACACTGGTCCTCCGGAAGCCTAGACATCATCATCTCAGATTTGGACATATTCATAGACCCAGCAAGGGGTCAACCTGTGCACTCAAGCCCTTCATCTCGGAGACCATCTCACTCCCAAATGGAAAGCCACAGTGTCCCATCTGAGGATTCAGATGCATGTGTCCTCAATTTAGACACCCACGCTGCCTTCGTGGAGCCCGAAGAGGGCTTGGCCCTGGCCTGGACACCTTCACCACCCCTAGAGGGGTGCCAGAGCTGGCTATAGTTGCTTCCGAGAGCTGACTGGGAAATGTTCCCATGTAATCATGTTCATGGTTTGAAAGCCACCATGGTGGGAGTATTTACACTTTGGAAACTCTGGTAAATGCTACAAACCTGGGCTTTCCTCGTGCATAGCCAGTGATTAACCATTTTCCAGCATACCTACTACATCTACTCCAGGGGGCACAGGCATCTCTGCTCCCACCCCCCAGCCTCAACATATTCCCTACAAGTCTAGACTTCAATATTCACAGCCCCCACCCCTGGGTCACGAGTATCTGTACTTGTCCAGCTCTGGGTAATCCACCCAGAGGAACTTACTGTAGAGAATGACAAGGTTAGACCACAGTGCAAAGAAAGAAGGTTAGACCACACCCATGTGTCTCAGGCCCCCTCACCGATACACCACTGCTGGCTCCAACATGCTGGCCACGAGCACGCTGTACTCATCTTGTAGTGGCCTGTCCTTGGTCTCTGGAGAAGAAACATGAATGGTAATCCCAGCACTTTGGGAGGCCAAGGCGGGTGGATCAGCTGAGGTCAGGAGTTCGAGACCAGCCTGGTCAACATGATAAAACCCCGCCTCTACTAAAAACACAAAAATTAGCCGGGCATGGTGGCGGGCACCTGTAATGCCAGCTACTCAGGAGGCTGAGGCAGGAGACTTGCTTGAACCTGGGAGGCGGAGGTTGGAGTGAGCCAAGATCACACCACTGCACTCCAGCCTGGGTGACAGAGCGAGACTCCGTCTCAGAAAAAGAAAAAAAAAAAAAGAAACATGAATGAATAGGGGAAAGGTTTTGTGGGGACAGGTTCCAGGCTCCTCGTCATACCCCAGGCCCCTTTAATGAGAGACATGCAGGTTAGATCTCAGGAAAAAGTCTTGAGGCTGTGCTACACAGGGAGGGTTAGAGATTGGCCCATGAGACAAATTATAAGTCAGACACCAGAAGGAGAAATAGGTGTTAGATGATGGCTTAAAAAGTCTGAGGTTCTGGGTGTGGTGGCTCATGTAATCCCAGCACTTTTGGAGGCCGAGGCAGGCGGATCACCTGAGGTCAAGAGTTCGAGACTAGCCTGGCCAACATGGTGAAACCCTGTGTCTACTAAAAACACAAAAATTAGCCTGGCATGATGGCATACACTTGTAATCCCAGCTACTCAGGAGGCTGAGGCAGGAGAATTGCTTGAACCTGGGAGGTGGAGGTGATAGTGAGCCGAGATTGTGCCACTGCAACCAGCCTGACCAAGACTCTGTCTAAAAAAAAAAAAAAAAAAAAAGACATTTGTGCATGTATGTTTACAACAGCCCAATTCACAACTGCAAAGATGTGGAACTAACCTAAGTGGCCATTGACTAATGAGTGGAGAAAGAAAATGTGGTATATATACACCATGGAGTACTACTCAAGTCATAAAAATGTTGTCTTTTGCAGCAACTTAGATGGAACTGGAGACCATTATTCTAAGTGCAGTAACATAGGAGTGGAAAACCAAAAAATGTATGTTCTCACAGAAGAGGGGGCCAACCTATGAGTATGCAAAGGCATACAGAGTGTATAATGGTGTTTGGAGATTCAGAAGCAGGAAGGTGGGAGGCGGTGTGGGATAGAAGCTACACATTAGGTACAACGGACACTAGCTGGGTGATGGGTGTGCTAAGATCTCAGAATCCATCACTATAGAATTCATCCATGCAACCAAAACCACTTGTGTCCCCGAAGTGATTGAAATAATTTTTTTTTTCTTTTTTGAGATGGAGCCTGGCTCCGCCACCCAGGCTGGAGTGCAGTGGTGAGATCTCAGCTCACTGCCACTTCCACATCCTGGGTTCAATCGATTCTCCTGCCTCAGCCTTCCGAGTAGCTGGGATTACAGGTGCCCGCCACCACGCTCCACTAATTTTTGTATTTTTAGTAGAGACAGGGTTTCACCGTGTTGGTCAGGCTGGTCTTGAACTCCCGACCTCAGGTGATCCGTCCGCTTCGGCCTCCCAAAGTGCTGGGATTACCGCGCCTAGTCAAAACTTTTTTAAAAAAGCAAAATGCCAGTCAGGGACAGACCCCAGTAAAGGAGCAGGAATGATCAACATATTGGGGGAAAAGGCTAGACTCTGAGTGGTGGGACAGCGGTGAGTCCAGGAGCATAGCCGGGAGCTAGAATGCAACAAGAGACACAGTGAAGGGGCCACAGAGCGGGGTGAGGAAATACCGATGTGAGACGTGCAGGTTAGAGTACAGAGGGAGAGGTGGATGCTCAGCCCCAGGGTACGGGGCTAAGGTTACACCAAAGTGAGGAGAACAACTATGGACCCTAACAGAAAAGATATGGGTTAGGCCCCATGTGCCAGTCCTGGAAGTTAAATTCACAAGAGGGGAGGGGAGGGAAGAGGTGCACTGTAGCTCAAGGCCTGGAGTGGGGGATCCAGGAGAGAGGGACTGGGGTCTGCACACTTTGGGAGAGGGGTGCAAATCTGGGTAGAAGGACCCAAGAATGCAGAGTTGCCTCTTCCCTCCCACCCGCTCTCTCCCCATCCCCTCAAACCCAGAGCTCACCCTTGGCGGCCGAGAGGCTGAACACAATCACTCGGGAGATGGGACCGTCCTGCAGGACCGACCACATCTGCAGAACCTCTGCGTGGAGAGCGAGGATTCAGAGCCCCAACCCCACCCCGGTCCCGCCCGCAGCCCTGAAACCATCGACTTTCCGCCCCCACCGTTCATCCCCACCCTAGCCCCGCCCCTCTGAAGCCCTCAACCCCACCCTAGCCCCGCCCCCAATCCCCACCCTCATCCCTTCCCCCACTTCCCCTACCTCACCCAGCAATAGCCCTCGGCCCCACCCTAGCCCCACCCGGCAAGCCCCACCCTCATCCCTCAACCCACTTATCCTCCTCCCCTACCCCACCCAGCTCCAGCCCTCAGCCCCACCCTGGCCCCGCCCTCTAGCCCTCAACCCCACCCCTTACCCCGCCTCACCGCGGCCCTCACCTCGACTCCGCTGGTCCACGTGGGCGACACGGACATAACCACTCTGACAGCCCAGAGCTGAGAGGCGCCGGGACGTGCCGGGGAAGTTGTGGACGTCCAGCCAGAGGACGCTGGCGGGCGGGTGGATGGACAGGACGGACGGCCATTGCTGGGCCCAGCCCCGCCCCTCTGCCTCCCCAGGGGCAGCCGCCCCTCCCTGTAGCCCTGGGACCCTGCTGCTTGATTCCTCCTGGATAATCCCCACCGCCCAATTCCTCTGAGGTCAATTCTCACCACCCGAGGGCTGAGTCCACCTCTTGTTTTTTCTGGGGTCACCCCTGCTGATCAATTTCTCTGAAGTCATGCCGTGGACTGATTTTTCTGAGCTCCTCCCCGGTGACCAATTTCTCTAAGGTCTCACCGCCCGATTTCTCTGATGTCAGTGCCCCGGTCCCCAGTGGCCTCTTTCGGGGCCTCTCCTACCTACTGGTCAGGTTCGTCAGCTCTGGGAAGAGGTTTTCCACGGGCTGTTCCTCAAACTGATGCAGCCCCTCGTTCTGGGGAAACCAAGACCCACCCCACCCCCGCTTAAGTCAGCCGTCAGCTTCACACATATACCCACCCAGCGCCAGCCCACAGTGAATCCCACAGGGCTCTGCCCAGCACGCCGCCCCACCTCACCTCCTTGTAGAGATGAATGGCCGGGTCGTTCCCACTCAAGAGAAACACAGTCTCAAGTTGATCCCCGACCTGGACCCTGAAAGCAGAGAAATCTAGAACCCAAGGTAGTGGAATCCACATGGTCTGAGAACCAGAACTCTCCTCTTGCAAAAACCCCTGCCTGTTGAGAACCTTAACATTCTGGGATCCAGACACTAGACCCAGGGTTAGAATCTCAGGGCTCAAGCTCCTGAGTACTGTATCTCCTTGAAATACATAACTGTAGAAACGAGCCCTCATAGAATCTCAAAATCAAGGAATGTACCTCCCAATCTCAGAATTGCGGGAACATGGCTTGCTAGAACCTCCCGCTCTTAGAGCCCGCATCTACTCCTACCTTCACTCTGTGGATTCAGGAATCGAATGTGGAACTCTAGAATGAACTGCAGAACCTTAGAAAGCTAGGACCTCTTCATTCTGAAACCCTGGTATTCTAGAAGTGCTGTTTTCTGTCTCCTTAAAAATACAAGAACTTCTAGAATTTGCCATCATAGATTTCAGATTCACGGAATGATAGAATATCCAAATCCTAGCAAGGAGAACATTAGTGCAATTAGAATCTTCAGTTTTGGGGACTCTCACCTGTTAGACCAGAGGTTGGCCAAGTTATGACCTGCAGACCAAATCCAACCCACCATCTGTTTTTGTAAATAAAGTTTTATTGGAACATAGCCACATCCATTCATTTATAGTGTCAATGGCTGCTTTCTGGCTACAATGGCAAAGTGAGTAGTTGTGACAGACTGGCCCTCAAAGCCTAATATTTACTATCTGGATCTCTACCAAAAAAAGTTTGCCAATCCCTGTTCTAGACCATCTGTGTTCTGGAATGGAATCTGGAACTCTAGAATGGAACCCACACACTTTGGGGTTCTAGCACCTTGGTATTCTAGATGCTCTATGTTCTATCTCCTCGAAAGATGAGAATGTCAGGACTTTATCATTACAGAACCTCAGAAGATTCTGGCTTCTATCGTACTGTAGAATATTCAAATGTTGGAATCTTAGAGCCTACGACTCTAGAAAACTTAGCATCTCTGATCTTGGAATGTCAGACTCTAGAACATTAGAATCTGGGAATTCTAGATGTGCAGAATTCCCAGAATTCACAGGTGCTCCATCAACTCTCTCAGATTATCTAGTTCAGGAATGGCAGTGTGGTGGCCCCTTGGCCATCCGGTCCATGGCCACCTTAAAAGCATGATGCTCCGGCCAGGCGTGGTGGCTCACGCCTGTAATCCCAGCACTTTGGGAGGCCAAGGCGGGCGGATCACCTGAGGTCAGGAGTTCGAGACTAGCCTGGCCAACATGGCAAAAACCTATCTATACTAAAAATACAAAAATTAGCCGGGCATGGTGGTGTGAGCCTGTAATCCTAGCTACTCAGGAGGCTGAGGCAGTAGAATCACTTGAACCAGGGAGGTAGAGGTTGCAGAGATCGAGCCACTGCACTCCAGCCTGGCAACAGAGCGAGCATCTATCTCAAAAAAAAAAAAAAAGAAAGAAAAAAAAAGTGCAATGCTTTAAAAAACAAATGTAGAATCTGATTGTCTATGGACAAGTTCGTGGTCTCCAGTTAGCTACAGCTTTCCAACCTCAGCTGCATATGTGTGTGTGCACATGTGCTCCCTGTTATATTACATTTGTGCTTTCCATTCTCACATGACCTCTCTGGTCCCCAAAGGCATTTTAGTTTAATTTCATTTTATTTTATTTATTTATTTTTGAGACAGAGTTTCGCTCTTGTCACCCAGGTTGGAGTGCTGTGGTGCAATCTTGGCTCACTGCAACCTCCGCCTCCCGGGTTCAAGTGATTCTCCTGCCTCAGCCTCCTGAGTAGGCTGGGATTACAGGCACACACCACCATGCCCAGCTAATTTTTGTATTTTTAGTAGAGACGGGGTTTCGCCATGTTGGCCAGGCTGGTCTCAAACTCCTGACCTCAGGTGATCCGTCTGCCTCAGCCTCTCAAAGTGCTGGGATTACAGGTGTGAGCCACCGTGCCCGGCTGGCATTTTAGTTTTCAATCCCTAATCTAGTACAACCTCTTTATTTTCCAGAAGGGGAAACAGACTACAGGGGTCTGTAAGTAAAGAAGGGGTTCGAGAAGCCAGGGTTTCTACATTTACAGTGGAGTGGGCGTCGATGCGCAGGGGACACTCACTCCGCATGGCACAGCTGGAACGGAGTGAACTGGAGCTCCAGGTTCAGGCAGCTCTCTGTAGGCAGGGCACAGGCAGGTTAGCATGGGGGACCTGCTGGGGACTCTCTCCCTCCTCCCGTCCACGCCTCACTCACGGGCAATAGAGTCAAGGTTGTACTCAGAGCCGGGCTCGTAGTCGCAGTAAATGTTCAGGAAGGGGCTGCCCTTGTCCCCTGAATCCTGGCGGAGGACACGGGGTTCAGGGGAGGGCAGGGGTGGCAGGAGGGATCCGGGGCGGCTCAGTGGAACTCACCATGTGTGTAAGGAGGAGGGCGAAGGGAGGTGGAGGGGGCTCTAGGTACCTTGATGAACGTGATCCCCACAACCAGACCCCGCTTGGGGGGTGACTTGTTGAAAGTGTCGATGGAGACAATCTCCGCATCCACTGGGAGGGGAGAGTTCTAAGTTCAGTGTCAGGCAGACTCATGCTTCCAATCTCCCCAACATGGTGAGCTCTGGCTACCGCAATGATCATGCCCTCTGGTCTGAGTCCTGACCACCATCACCTGATCTCTGTTCCCTGGGTACTAGGGATCCTGACCTGTAAGTCTGAAGAATCCTGAAACCCTAGGCTCATCCGGGCCCCAACTATGCCTGCCCGCTGATCCCAGTGACCCCCTTAAAACCACCTGATCCCATTCTTCCAGCACGGTGACCCGGCTCAGACAGAGCCTCAGAAGCCTTCTCAACACCACGTTCCAGGCCCCCGCCCCCCAGCACCATAGCGCCACCCACCGGGAATGTAGTTGAACTGCAGCTCCTTGGCCACTGGCCGGATTTTCTGTCGGAGGTCTTGGTAGCGGAAGCCGAGCACCTTGCCTTTAAGGGTGGCGGCCAGCAGCTCCCCGCGCCCGCCGGCGCCGCCTGCCAGCCCGTACACATTGCTCTGCGACGAGAAGCGCGTGAAGCTGTCCTCGCGCAACGGACAAGGCCCCGCGGCCACGGCCGCCTCCCCCATCATGCCCCTCAGTTAAGCACCCTCTCCGCAGCCCCCGCCCCAACCCGCACTACCCAACCTACGACTCTCTAAGCGACCTGAACCGCCGGGTGCCCGGCCGTTGCGCGGGCTGATGACGTACGGAAGCTGCCGGCGTTGCCCTCTCCCAAGATGGCGGCCAGGTCGCCTGCTCGGGCCTCCCAGGCGACTTTGCCCCACTGCGCCCGCGCTCTCTTCTCCTTTCCATTTCTGGACCAAGGGGCTGCCATAAGGAGTCTGTGACTAGAGATGGGAGGTGGTGGCCACGGCCTCTCGCTGTATGCTGTGTGGAAGGTCGAATCATCATCATCATAAAACTTAATATTGCCCTTATGTGCCAGGAACTACTGTAAGTGCATTCCATCTAATACTTTATTAAAAATTCGCAAGGGGGTGGAGGTAGGTACTTAAATCCATTTTAGAGATGAAGGAATTGAGGCACAGAGGGGTAAAGTAACTTGCCTAAGATCACACAGCTAGTAACGAGCGGTCAGTACTGGAAACCAAACAAGGTAACTCCACAGTTCACTATTTTTTTTTTTTTTTTTTTTGAGACGGAGTCTTGCTCTGTCACCCTGGAGTGCAGTGGTGCGATCTCGGCTCACTGCAACCTCTGCCTCCTGGGTTCAAGCGATTCTCCTGCCTCAGCCTCCCAGCAGCTGGGATTACAGGCGCCACCACACCTGGCTAGTTTTTCTATTTTTAGTAGAGATGGGGTTTCGCCATGTTGCCCAGGCTGGTCTGGACCTCCTGACCTCAGGTGATCCGCCCACCTCGGCCTCCCAAAGTGCTAGGATTATAGGCGTGAGCCCCCTTGCCCGGCCTATAGTTCATAATCTTAACAGTATCACCTTTAAAATAATTAATACATTCTTCTTGCCCCCAAGGAAAAATGATCCAGCTATAATAACCACCTCCTTTATCGAACACCTACTTGGTGACAGTCATGCTGGCTCTGATAATCTGATTCCTTACAACTGTTCTGCAAGGGCCTACTGTTACCCTCCCTGCCGGTTCACTTATTCAGGATTCATTGAGCTTTTACTATGTGCCCGGACGTCCTTTGCAAATCTGTCTCACTAATCTTTGCAAGAAAGAAACCTCTACAAAGAGGTTTATTATCCCAGTTTAGAGAGAATCAAATGGAGGCTCAGAAAGAGTAAGTCCACTGACTGATATGCTAGCAAGTGGTGGGGACAGGATGTAAACCAGGTGTTTCCGACTCTGGGGCCTTCAGGGGTTCCTGTCTGTGCTGCTTTGTCCCTAGAAGGCCATGGAGGTTTGGGTACTATGTGCACATCTGTGTATCATTTCCAGAAGACATGGGTTGGCCAGCTGTCCTGGACACCTCGAGCACACACAGACTGCAAGCTCCATGAAGGCAGCAGGCTGATCTCCCTTGATCACGGCCTTATCGCCTGTACCTGGAACACAAGGCCTGACACAAAGCAGGCATTCAGAAAATATGTGTCAAAAATCACAAACTATGTGCTGAGCATGTAAGAGACAGCTCTTACATGATGGAAAGTTCTCAAAGGCAGACTGGATAACGGAGGTGGCAAGGAATTTGTGATGATTCCAGATTTCTGGATGTGGAGAGTAGAAGTTCCTGGAGGGCAGTCTGGGAATGCCGTCAGTGCTGCTGTATTCCCAGGGCCTGGCATGCAGCAGGTGCTTAGTGAATATTCGCTGAGGGAGTGGCACGTGGGTCTAGTGCCACTTCAGCAGTGCGTTTCCTTCAGGCGTCTTCCCGCCCTAGTAACCTATAAGCCACATGTTGAGCGGATGAATGAAAAAATGAAGTTACAGGTTAGGAAGGAATCATCCTGTTAAGAGGTTTCCAATCCTAGCTGCACACTTGAACTGCCTATGAAGTTTTAACAAAACAAACCAAAACAGGCCGGGCCTGGTGGCTCATGCCTGTAATTCCAGAACTTTGGAAGCTGAGGCAGGCGGATCAACTGAGGTCAGGAGTTTGAGACCAGCCTGGCCAACATGGTGAAACGCTGTCTCTGCTAAAAATACAAAAATTAGCTGGGCGTGGTGGCGCACGCTTGTAATCCCAGCTACTCGGGAGACTGAGGCAGGAGAATCGCTTGAACCCGGGAGGCAGAGGTTGCAGTGAACCAAGATCGCACCACTGCACTCCAGCCTGGGCGATAGAGCGAGACTCTGTCTCAAAAAAAAAACAAACCCAAAAACCCCCAAAGGGTAGGAAACCTCAGTCAAACCACAATTTATCAGAGTGCGGCCCCAGTCTGGATACTTTTATTTTTGCACCATCATGCCTAATTTTTGTATTTCTAGCAGAGACAGGGTTTTGCCATGTTGGCTAGGCTGCTCTCGAACTCTTGACCTCAAGTGATCCGCCTGCCTCGGCCTCCCAAAGTGCTACGATTACAGGCATGAGCCACAGCACCCAGCCCCAAGTCTGGATACTTTTAATGACTTTAAAGCATAGCCAGGGCGGACCATCACTGATTTAGGTCATGGATGACAGAAACAGATTCTCACACTATCCTTCAGCCAGCACCCATGATGGGGGCAGACATGGTAATCAATTTCAGGTCTCAGAAGTCTTTGCTGCCATTATCAGTGGACTGGAGCTGTGGGAGAAGCTGCAGGGGAGAGAGGAGCAGGGCAGGTGTCAAGGAATTTGAACCTCACCTGCACTTCTCTAGGCTTTCTGGGCTGGAGCCCCTCTCCCAGGAGTCCACCCTGGTTTCCTAGGCAGCCCCTCCTCTGTGCAATTACTGCCCCTGCTCACTTCCTGACATTTTCCCATCATGCCTGGGCACTGAGCCTCCTTCAGCTGTCTCCTCTGTAGCGAGGGGCCCTGCGCGGGGCAGGGTAAAGCACATGTGTACCAGACAGGGCCCCCAACATGCACATTGTGGAGTGTGGTGGAGGCAGCTGGTTTCTGCCCACCTTTCCTGGGCAAAGGCTCCTGCTATCTCCTCCCCCACTCCCCAGACCCACTCGGGCCTCAGACTCTGCCCACCAAAGCCGCTTCCTCCCCCGTCCTGTGACAGATGGAACAACTGTCACCGGGGCGTTCAGCCTTCCTGCCAGAGAAATGTGGACATGGGAGATTCGGTGGGCTTCCACCCATTCTCATCCAAAGCAGTCATGAGGACCGTCACATTCGACCCTCCCACTGGCTCTGAGGGGTGGCATCACCACCGTGCATCCCAGTTGAGGAAATCAAGGCCCCTGGACCCCAAGAACCCAGAGAAAGATCAAGATGGGCGCTCTGGGACTCCCAAGCCAGAGCTCCTCCCCAGGCCCACCGTCCCTGGGTCTCCCCCACCTAGAAACTGACCCAGCCCACACGTGTTTCAAGGATGCATGCGCCTGACCTCCCAAGAGCTCGCCCAGAGTCTGGGGGACCAGGAGTGTGAGAGGGACTGGTGACTGGCCCAGGGGCAGAGTGGGTAGCAGAGGTGAGGAGGAAGAGAGACTCATGCAAAAGTGTTGTTTTTTATTTTCTTTCTTGGGCCAGCTGCAGCTTCCAACCAAGAAAACCTCAAAGCATTAGGGAAGGAGCAGGTGTGGGGCTGGGGTGGGGAGAATCCCCTAAGCTCCAGGGCCCAGGGTCTAACCTGAGAGGTCGGGGCTGCAGGAAGCTGGGGGAGGCTCCCGGGGCTGGGGGAAGAGGAGCCTGCCCCCAGCAGAAACAGCAGGTCTCAGCGGCTACATGTGCTTTAGAGCTTGGCTGGGGGACAAAAGTGGGAGAGAGAGAGAAACCGGCCTCATGACTCAGCTGGTCAGGAGATAGGGGGCCAGATGCTGACCCCAAATCCCCGGCAGCACCCCTAGCAAATAGGTCTGTATCAAAGATTCTGTACAGCTGGTTTTGGGGGTGAAGGGCACCTATGGGGGCTTAAATAAATGGACAGGGGGCAAGGGATGTAGCGAGAACAGAGGGTGACTGTCCGGCCAGCAGCCTGGGCCTCTGGCGCCCCTGCATGCTGACCCCCGGTGCCACCTGCCCACTGTGGCCCGCGGCACTCCCCAGATGGGAAAGGAGGGAAGCTCTCCAGCAAGTCTCGGCCCCACCTCTCTCTGAGCAGATGGGACAGGAAGACGGGCACTGGGGGGCTGGGTGGGGCTTAGCGCAGGTCCTCCTCATCGCCCTGGATGGTCTTCTTGATGCGCAGCAGCATGGTGGTGAGCCACTGGTCCAGCCGGGAGATGGAGTCGTATTCCTTCACCTGAGGGCACACCAGGTGATAGGCTGGCCATGCTCCCCCCGTTCCCAACCCTGCAGCCCAAGGGCACTTGTCCCAAGGTTTTCAAGATCTGTCTCTGTCACCCCTGGTCTCTGAGGAGGAGTAGAGGGAGGGCTTGAGGCCCCAACTCAGCCATGGGAGCTCCCTCTTGTCTGTCTTGACTATGCTGGGCACATCATTTCCCTTGGGGGAGAAAGATATTGTAGCTTTAAAAAAAAAAAAAGGTCCATGGCTGGGCGCAGTAGCTCACGCCTGTAATACCAGCACTTTGGGAGGCTGAGGCGGGCGGATCACGAGGTCAGGAGATTGAGACCATCCTGGCTAACAGTGAAACCCCGTCTCTACTAAAAATACAAAAAATTAGCCAGGCGTGGTGGTGGGCGCCTGTAGTCCCAGCTACTCGGGAGGCTGAGGCAGGAGAATGGCGTGAACCCGGGAGGCGGGGCTTGCAGTGAGCCGAGATCACGCCACTGCACTCCAGCCTGGGCGACAGAGCGAGACTCCGTCTCAAAAAAAAAAAAAAAAGTCCAGCATCCTCACTGAATGGGTGGGAAACTGAGGCCTGGAGATATGGAAAAGGCCACTCCTGAGTGCCATGGGACACGGGGGAGAGAAGCCACGGCCTGCTGGGCATCCCCTCCCTGAGCTCCTGGCTGAGTTGCCACCCACTGTCTGGGGCAGGAGGAACAGGATGGCATTTTCACTGTCCTCAGTTAGGGGCTTCCATTCCCAAGGGGCACCTAGGGAGAAATGCTTGACATGTGCCATTAGAGGAGTGAATCAGGACCTGAGCCGGACACCACTAAGCCCGGGAATGCTGGGAACAGAGAAAGGGAAGGGAGAGAGAGCCGCGTGGGCGGCTCCACCAGGCAGAGGGAAGCTGGCACCTCTCCCATGTCCTCAGCTCCACTCTCCTTCTCACCCCTTCCCTCCCCGTCTGTGCCTCCTGGGTGCCCAAGGCGCCCACTGTGAGTCTCACACACTCACCTGGGGGACTCAAGGAACCCTGGTCTTCAGAGGCAGACAGATGTGGCTCTGAACACCAGCTCTGTCCCTGAGGGGCCAAGGCCGAGCCTCCTGACCTCCCCAACCTCAGTGCCACCATCTATAAAATGGGGAGAACACTCCCTGCGCCTCTTGGCGCTACTTGTAAGGTTTCTGGGGTGACTGGAGAAAGAACTTCACAGTGGGCTGGGGGCCAGATGAAATGGGTGAATGTCATGGAGAGCGTGTCTGAGAAGGGCAGCTTTCCTAGGAGACCCATCCCCGTGAAGGGGCCTGGCCCCCCATGCTGGCCACTCACCGACTCGGTGTAGCTGTCCACATTCTGCTCCTCGTGGGCCTCTAGCAATTTCTGCAAGCAAATGGCAGAGAGGGGTCAGGGGCCTATGCTGACCTGAGGTCTGGCCTGGATTAGATGAAAGGACACGCTATCTGTATGCCAGGCCTGGGGCTGGGGCTTCCTGAGGACTCTCAGAGGGTCAATCCGTGTGGGTTAAACTGGGGATGGGTACGGGCGTGTTGCGATCCTGCTGCCCTATTCATCAGAAACGGCTTGCTCTCAGGGCAACCTTACCAACATAGAACATCACACAGAATGTGTGTGTGTGTGGGTATGGGGGGTGTGTGTGTTGGGTGTGGTGTGTGGTGGAGGTGTGTGTGTGTGTGGTGTGTGTGTTGGGGTGTGGTGTGTAGGGGCACGTGTGGTGTTTGGTGTGTGTTGAGTTGCGTGTGTGGTGTGTTCGGTGTGTGTGTGGGGTGTGTGTGGTGTGTGTAGTGTGTGTGCAATGTGTGTGTGTGGGGTGTGTCATGTGTGGTGTGTGTGCAGTGTGTTTTGTGTGTGGGGGGGTGTGTCGTGTGGTGTGTGTACTGTGCAATGTGTTTTGTGTGAGGGGTGTGTCGTGTGTGTGTAGTGTGTGTGCGATATGTGTGGTGTGTGATGTGTTTGCTGTGTGTGGTGTGTGTGTAGTGTGTGTGGGGTGTGTGGGGTGGTGTGTGTGTAGCGTGTGGTGTGATGTGTGTGGTGTGGTGTGATGTGTGTGGTGTGGTGTGTGTAGTGTATGTTTGGTGTGTGTGGTGTGGTGTGATGTGTGTGGTGTGGTGTGTGTAGTGTATGTTTGGTGTGTGTGGTGTGGTGTGGTGTGTGTAGTGTGTGTGTGTGTGTCCACCTAGCCATCCTGAGCTCCAGCACTCCCCGAGTTGTACTTTCTTCATCTGGAAAATGGAGACTCAAATGGCCAAACAAAACAAAACAAAACAAAACAAAACAAAGACACCCTCTGAGAACTACTGGACAAGTCTTGGCGATTGTCCCACCTGGAGCCCCAGCCACCCCCGTCTGAGGTTCGGGAAGGGGGAGGCCGGAGCACCCAGCACTTACTTTCATCAACTTGCATTCCCGGGAATCAGAGAAAGCTGGGAACAGCTCCTCATACTTTTGGACAGCCAGCTGGGCAGCAGGGAAGGGAGAAGATGAGTTAGTAACAAGAGGGTCCTCAGAGCTACTGGCCTAGCAGCTGAGGGGACTTGGGGATGTCGGGTGATATTGAGTCAGCTCTTGCACCCCTCCCCCAGCCTCAGGTGTCACCTGGCTCTGTGTCTGTCAGTACCTTCCCGTAGCTGAGCTCAGCACCAGCCTGGCTGCAGAGATGGCTGCAGGGAGAGGTGGGTGGAGGGGGAAGGTTCCCCAGATAGGCACCCACTGCCTCCTCCCACCTGGCTCAGCTGGGGCAGGGGACAAATGAGCACATCCTCCATGCCAGGCCTGGGGCTGGTGCTTCTTGAGGACCCTGAGAGGGTCAAATGACGGTGAGCCCCCTTTTCAAAGTGAGGAAACAGATCCAGAGAGGGGCAGTGACCTGCCCAGGGCACGGTGAGACATGGGGTGGGAATGGGAACCTGGTCTGACAAAGCCCAAGCTTTTGCCCACCACCGGTGCCCACAGCAGGGCAGGGCTCTGTGGGGTGTGTGTGTGTGGGGTGTGTGGGGCCACCACCCCAGGCCGTGAGCCAGGGACACCAGGAAATCCTGGACTCCGTGCTTCTGCCAGGCAATGGTAAAAAAACTCCGGCCAAGCAAAATCTAGCGCCAACCCTCCAGCTCCTTCCCGCTGGCCACGCCCCCTCCCACTGCCCTCTTTGGCCCCTCTTTTGCCAAGTGTCCTGAAAATAGGTGGGCATGTGTGAGCTACAGCTAAAGCCACGACAGCAGGAGTCACAAAGATCTGGAACACTGGGGCTGCAGGTCCCTAGTCATGTGGCCTCAAACAAGGGACTCTCGTCCCAGCCTCACCATCTTCACCCATAAGACGCGGTGACAATGGTGCTGACTTTAATGGGGTGCAGTGAGGATTCAAAAAGTGCACCCATGAAGGAAAGAGCACTAAGTGAGGCAGGAGCTGGACCCGCAAAAGCCTCCAGGGCTGGGTGGGCAGGTGATGCCAGCACAGAAACACAGCTGTGAGAACCACACTTCTCATCCAAAGGCTGGCTGGCAGGGGCCAGACGTGAGGGAGGAGCACGTCCCTCTTCGGGGGCAACGGGACCTGGCCTGGAGATAAGCACATGGTGGCCTGGTGCGGTGGTCCTGCGGGCGTGGGGTGTGCTACCTTGGCGTTGAGCATGTCGATGCAGAAGTGGCAGAGGGCCGCCTTGAAGAAGTAGTCTTTGGCGCTGTACTTGAGGAGGGGGCTGTCCATGGCATTGGTCCCCACCTGTAGCCATGGAGAAGTGGCACTGGTGAGCTCAGGGCAAGCAGCCAGAGGGCCAGAGCCACTGCCAGGCACTGGGGGGCCAGCTGGGAGCTGGTTCATGTCCCGAGGTGAGGCCCTGTTAACCCAGGACCCCAAGGGCAGGGAGCCAGGGACCAGCTTGGAGAGGTCAGCGGCCAGTGCGTGAGCGACCAAGATCAGGGTGTGATGGTGGCTGGGTGGGGGTGGAGGCTGTAGCCAGGTGTTCGTGGGCCTTCTGAGAGCCTGAGACAGTGGGAAGGAGGCAGCCTGGCTGTCAGGACCAACGGGAGGCTGGCATGGCGGTGGGCAGAGCGGCGGCAGGCGGTGGGAACATGAGAGGCGGCGCCCGCCCCTCTCTCCCAGGGGGCCAGCTGCCTGCCTTTTTCTCGGCCATCACCCAGGGCTCCGTGCACGCTGGGGGGACCCCATGTGACACTCCCTCCCTCCCACTGTGGATGAGGACCATCGGGCCATGGGGTGGGGTGCCCACGGCCACCCTGGGCCTCTTGGCACTTCTTCCCATTCCCTCCCTCTGGGTTCTTTAGCCAGCCTCACTCTGGGCCCCTCCAGGAAGCTCTGCGAGGGGTGTGGGAGGGGCACAGCCAGGGAGAGAGACGGTGCTGGCACGGCATGGAGTCGTAGGTGGAGAACATTCAGCCAGGCTGAAGACAGGGTGGGGGGATGACATGGCAAGGGATGTCGGGGGAGAGGCAGAGGGTGAGCCGGGGGAGGGGTGGTTCCAGAACAAGGTGCCGGGGCTTAGGAGGAGGCACAGGCCCTGAGAGGGGGCAGGGTGGAAGCCGCCATCCCCACCTGTCCCCACCTGTTCGTAGATGTCAATGGCCTTCTGATACTGCTCCAGCAGCGCAGCGTAACCAGCCACCTTCAGCAGACACTTGTTGGCTGAGCTGTGTGGGGAGGAGTAGTGAGGGGAAGTGGTGGCGGTCCCTGCGGGGCTGGGGCAGGCAGGAAGGGGGCTACCTGTTGGACTCCTCGCCTTTGTAGTAGTCTGCAGACTGCTCGTAGTGGGCAATGGCCTGGGGAGACACGGGGGATGGGTTCCAGGGGAGGGCAGGGAAGGGAGAGGAGGCCTCCGTGAAGCTTCCACACCCTCCGCCCTGCCTGCCTGGGACACAGCCAGACCCCATTCTCCAAGCTCTGCCGGCGCCCCATGCCCCCTTCTCGGCACTCAGACACCAGAGGACTCCCCTGGTGGGAAGAAGAGAGAGCAGCACTGGTCCTGGCTGCCAGCCCATGCAGGGCCCTGCTGCCACTCACCTTCTCGATGTCCACCAACTCTGTCTCATAGATCTCAGCAATGGAGATGTGGTGCTTGGCCGCAATCGTGAATCGGCCCTGGAGGGGACACAGGAAGGGGCTGCCTGCGACTCATGACCTCCTGCGTGCCTGCCTGCTGACCTATGACCCTTCAAGTTCCCACCCCTCAGCCACGCCTGTGAGGAGGTATGAAGAAGACCTGAGGTGTGAAGAAGATCGAGAGGTGGGGGAACACAGGAGTGAGAAGGGAGGGCCCCAGCACTAGAGGCCTGGCTATGCGTGCTGGGCTGAGCGGGTGATGTTGGACAAGCCACTCCAGGGCCTTAGCCTAATTCCATCCCATCCACGAGGGCACAGATGGTGTGACACCAGAGAGAATGTGAGCACGAGCACTTGGCCAAGGCCCTGGCCCTTAGGAAGCCTCTGATAACAGCCAGAGAGGCGGAAGGACCAGTCCAGAGCCACTTGGCAAAGGGCTCTGGAGAAACCAGGATGGGAGGGAGGGCTTGAGACCTCTGCCCAAGAGTACCAGCTCTGCCCCCAGGCCAACACCTATCTGTCAGCCTCCCCCAGGCACACCCAGAGCTCCCCAGGGAGGCCTCAGGTTCCAAGGGGCCTCGCACCTTCCATCCGCCTCCACCCAGTGTCCAGGCGCTTGCCTAACTGCTCTGCACCAGGGGCTGGTCCAACGCCACCCCCTTGCTGAGGGCAGTAGGAAAGGGCAAGGCCCTGGGCTCAGCCAGACCTTGTTTCGGGTCTCAGTGACTCCTGCTTGTAGCCACATGTCCCTGGGCAAATCATGTCACTTGTCTGAGCCCCTCTCCTCCACTAAGGAACGGGGATGACAATAATGCCAACCTCACAGGGCTGTGGATTAAACCACCCTGCAGTGTCTGGCCTAATAAATGGCAGCTGCTATTATTGTTCTAATCACAGTCATCCCTGCAGCACTGCCCTGAACGCAAGGGGTAGGGCTCGTGTCCCTGCCTGGGGTTGGAGGGCTGAGACAGACAGGGCAAGCGGAGAGGCAAAAAGGAGCTGGCCAGGCACGGTGGCTCATGCCTGCAATCCCAGCACTTTGGGAGGCCAAGGCAGGTGGATCACTTGAGGTCAGGAGTCTGAGACCAGCCTGGCCAACATGGTGAAACCACATCTCTACTGAAAATACAAAAATTAGCCAGGCATGGTAGCACACGCCTGTAATCCCAGCTACTCGAGAGGCTAGGGCACGAGAATCGCTTGAACCTGGGAGGCAGAGGTTGCAGTGAGTGGAGATCACGCCACTGAACTCCAGCCTAGATGAGAGAGAAACTCTGTCTCAAAAAAAAAAAAAAAAAAAAAAAGAGAGAGAGAGAAAGCACTGACAGGAGCCCCGGCCTGGGTGGGACCCTTCACTCTGGCTCCAGTTGGCAGCTGCCCATCTGGTCTGCATCTGTCGTTGGCAACGCGCCCTGGGGGCAGGGCAGGTGCTGAGCCTCCTGTGGGCTCTGCCTATCCCTGTGGCCTGCTGCAAGATGCTTATCAAATGTGACACTTGCGGGAAGGCTGGGCAAGGGGAAGTGCCGGACACACACTCTCCAGTAACCTAATTTCTTTTTTTGTTTTGAGACAGGGTCTTGTTTTGTCGCCTACGCTGGAGTGCAGTGGTGTGATCACAGCTCACTGCAGCCTCAACTTCCTGGACTCAAGCGATTTTCCTGCCTCAACCTCCCAAGAACTAGGACCCCAGGTGCATGCCACTACACCAGGCTAATTTGTTGTAGAGAGGAGGTCTTGCTATGTTGCCCAGGCTGGTCTCGAACTCCTGTGCCCAAAAGATCCTCCCACCTCAGCCTCCCAACATGCCAGGATTACAGGCATGAGCCACCCTGCCCAGCTCAATAACCTAAGTTCTATGAATGAAAACCATGACTGCCTGTGGAGTGAGGGGGCCGTCAGGCTGGTGGGGAGCTGGGTGAAGACCCAGCCAGCCCAGGCCAGCTCAGGTGACCTAATCCCCCCAGCTCCCACTTCCCCCTCCCCAAGTGGTTTGGCCGCAGAATAAGAACAGTGCTGGGGGTGCTGAAAGAGGGGACGCAAGGCTGGGGCAATGCAGTGGGACCCGGGGGTGTCAGGACAAGCAAGCAGCCCTTACCATGTCTGTGTAGATCTCGATTGCTCGCATCAAACAGTTAATGGCCTCTGGAGAGAAAGGGAGGTGGGAGGAGACATGAGAAAGTGAAGTCGTTTCAGCAGAAGCTGAGGAGAGGAGGCGGACGCAGGCGCACCTGGCTGCCAGCAGAGAGATCAATAGGCGCTCAGAGCTGCCAGCGCTGCCACACACTCTCAAGGGGCTGGGAAGAAGGGGACGGAATCCCTGAGCCCCAGGAAATCTGGTGAGAGGGCTGACTCTGCAGACTGTGACTTGCTGGGCACATGCTTCTGGGGGAGCCCTTCTCTCCTCGGGCTGCCAGGATGCTACCAGCTTCCCACAACCCCAGGGACAGGGCACAGCAGTGCTAGGCCAGGATGATGGCCAGACTCCCACGGTGTTTTAAGACAGACCTGCCAAGGCCCTGCTCTTGAAGGACTGAGCTGCTGGCAAAGGGGAAGGAGGCATGGGAGGCGGCCAAACCAGCATCTGAGGTGGTCTTGGAGGCAACAGGGTGCCAGGTTCTACCTGGGCTCTGCCACCATCTCTGCAGGATCCTGAGCAGCTTCTGCTCCTGCACCAGGAGGACCTGGACCTCTGGCACGAGGAGGCTGGATGTCATCAACACTGAGCCCTCAGTGTGCTCTCCACTGCCCCCTCTTCCTCGTAGCTCAGCAGTCGGGAGCCCTCTGCTCAGTCCCTTTAACCTAGTCCTGCCACCCACCAGCTCCTCAAAGGTTTTGCCAAAAAACCTGAACACACCAGGATGGCACTGAGGAAGAACTGGGCTACCTTTGTTGTACTATCTCTTGCAAGATTTTAAATTTGGGAAAGGCTTTTTTTTGACAAGTTATTTGGAGGAGAGAGAAAAGCATGAGTGGGAGGCATTTTCTAGCAGACAGAAATGAGCTCTCAGGGGGTATTTTTTAAGAACACCATTTTAGCACATCTCAGGAGGACAGGGGTGTTGTGGGGAGGGAGGCCTGGGTTGGGGAGAGGGAAAGGCAGGGAGCTTGGACAGGCCACAGGGCATGGGCTCTGAGCTTCAGCCTGGGCATCTGAAAGTTCCTGGTCACCGTGGGGGTCTCCATGGTCACCCAGGCCATGTTCGCCTGAGAAGAGGGTGCTACCAAGAAGCGCCGGGGCTGGGCTCCTCTCAAGGGGCTCACGGTCTGGATGGGACTCCAAACTCCCTCCGTGGGGAGGCATCTGGACAGAGGCTCTTTGTCTCAGGTCTGTGGCTGGGCTTTCAGGGAGTCCAACCCCTCCTTCTGACATGTAAACAGTGGGGTCCATAAGCACTCCTCTGGGGAGTGGGGTCTGTAGGTTTTGTCCAATTCAGAAAGACCTCTGGGGATCTAAAAGGGACTGAGAGAAGGTACAGCACTCAGTCCAGGTTCTAGGGCTGACAGACCGAGACTGTGGCAGCAGACAGTGGAAACGGTGGCAAAAAGGGGGCAGATGAGGAGGAAGGGGAGAGAACACAACCTAAATCCGGCAGTTTGAAGACACATACATCCTGTAATCGGCGGACCCAGAAGCAACGGCTAAGCCGGGCCACGCTGCAGAGGAGAGCAGCAGCTGGAGTGAGGTGAGAGGCCCGCCTTGCCCCGCCCCACCTGGCTGCAGTCTCCACATGGAGGCCCCGGGCTGCTCACTGGTTCACTCTCCTGGCCGGAACACCCAGGACACCAACCTGGCACCCTGTGGGCTGAGGCGGCAAAGGCTGCTGCTCCGCAGTGAGCAGTGAGATCTGCAGCTGCCACCTGGGCCTGCTGGCACTGGCTCTGGAGCACCCGCCGTCAGCATGGCACAGTCCTTGCAGTAGCAGCAGGGAGACAGCTTACCCCCCAGGCAGCAACATGGACTCACGGGGTTAAGTCCCCTCCATGTCTGGAAAGCGGCGGGCCACCAGCAGACACCTGGGACAGCTGGCTCCTGGACGAGCTTCTGACACACTCATGACTGCTACTCTTATCTCAGGTCACCAGGCCTTGTGCACTCGGACAGGCAGAGCAACACCCAGTTCTGTGGCCTGGCCCCTCCTGTACCCACCCACAGAGGGCTGGAAAGGGGCTCAGAGCAATACAGCCCAAGTTGGGGAGCTATGGCCCAGGCCACCGCCCATCCCCGCAGTCACTCCTACCAGCGACGCCCAACCTGACTTCTGCGTCTCTGAAGCCCTTCCTGGTTACACTTGGTCATCTCCTCCTTAGTAAAATGGGGGCAAATCACAGAATGCACAAAGAAATCAAATGGGTTAAAAGATGCCAAGCATCTGGTACACAGTAGAAACCCAGTAAATGGCAGCTGGGGAGGAAGTGGGGGACAAGCAGGGGCCAGGTCGCTTCTCTGCCCCAGGTACACACACTGCCCCCACCCCCAACTATCAGGCAGGCCTGGGAAGAGGCCTCGCTGGCCCGAGTCTGCCCTGAGCAGCAGCCATGGTTGGGTAACTGAGGAACCAATAACACATATGAGCATCACCCTTCCCCACCCAGAGCCACCAAGGTGGCAGCAGGCCACCCTCTGCGAGAGGGAGAGGAATTCGGGAGCCCAGTCGGGCCTCAGGCACACTCCAGCTGCCACTTGGGGGCAGGTCCTTCTGGAGGGAGTCCTGGAGGAAGCCCTAGAAGTGCTGACCCAAGACAGAGGCCTTCTAGGCTGCTGAGGAGACCAGTGATGAGGACGGCCCCAGGGTACCGGCCACCTGCTTGGGGAAGCCAGGCAAGGTTCCAAATCGGGCCTCCAGCGCTGTCTCACAAGGCACCCGGCCAAGGGCAGAGGCTGTGGGGAGCCCAGGGCAGGCAGGGGCCCCTGGACTGATGAAAGCCAAGGGTGTCCTGACTGGAAGTTTATCACACACCAGGTGCCGCGCTGGGCATGACTGCATCATCTCACAGCAGTCTCTGCTTTAACAGACGAGGAAACAGAGGCCCAAAAGACTGACTTGCCCAGGATCACAGGGGAGGCAGGGTCCTCCCAGACCACCCACCACCTGCGCTGCTGAGCCACACACAGTTGCTACATGACATTCTCTGTGAGGCTTTTTTTTGGGGACAGGATCTCACTATGTTGTCCAGACTGGTCTTGAACTCCTGGGCTTGAGCGATCCTCCTGCCTCAGCCTCCCAAAGCACTGAAATTACAGGCATGAGCCACTGCACCTGGCCTTGTGTGAGGCCTGACTAGCCTCAGACACAAAGCAGCCACTGCCCTTGATGCCAATGTGCCCCTTGCCCCACTGGGAGTCATGGCTGGCGTGCGTATCTTTAGGCTGTAGCTCTGGAAGCTGCACTAACACCCTTCCCTGCTCAACACCACGTCCCCAGGGCTCTGGACACGGCACCTGCTCTCAGCTCTACCCAGGTGAGGCTCTCCTTTCAGAACTGCCCCCTTTCTTCCTTGAAAGATCTCCCATAGCCAAATTCACGCCCCCAGCCTCAGCTCTGTGCAAGTTGGCCTCTGTGCCCTGGATGTAACATCATCTTTATACTTTCCTACCGGTCGGAGTCCTCAGCCACCTTCTGAGCTTCCTAAGGCCAGGGAGGGGCCACATCCAGACTCCAGGCCCACACCCTGCAGAGTCTCGCTGGAGAGCTAGAAAAGCTCAGATCAAACGCAGGGGAGGGACCCCACCATATCCCACTGCCAGGCAGGGCCTGTCTGCAGGAAGTGAGGGGTCTGCTGAAAGAGCAAATGGCACTCTCTGTTCGGCAGCCTGGCGCTCAGTGTTGCCCCAGAGTGTCCTTCCAGTCACTCCAGATGGGGCAGCAGCTGAACGTCACAGATGCTAAGACAGCACCTCTAGGCCAACCAGTTTCCCAGGGAGCAGAAGGAAAGGCTTGGCGGGGCAGTTTAATGGAAGGCATGGAGACTCCATGTGGTGAATCAAGCTTAAAACCAACCCAGGGTCTCCCTGGGTCATCACTGCATCAACCACGCAGCCTGCTGTGGCCCAGTGCTACCAGCCAGGCAAGCCCCATGGCCCACCCAGTTACAAGGCTGCTCCTCGGCCTCTTGCCAGGCCTGAGCCCCACCATGTGACCACTGAGGCCAACGCATGAGATGCCCAGCTGCTGAGGAGCAACTGGTCAGTCTAAGGACAGAGAAGAGCTACTGGTCAACACAAATTCATCCTCATCTGGGAACTAACACGTCAGATCACGACAAAGGGGTATGCCAGCAGTTCTCAAACACGCCATGTGAACCAGTGCTCACTGATCCATGGAGGAAGCTCCCTGCACTGCTGCAAACCTGTCTTCTCTTGGGAAGGACAGGCTTTTATTCCAAGATTATATAGCTGCTTTTTATTTTTTAAAGATTCATATATTTTCCATTCCCCTGAGATGACAGTGACAATAGATGGTCATTTTTAAAAACTGCCTGTGCTTTCTAATTAGCAACCTGTACCTGGCACCAACATTTTAAAAAATAAATTAAAATTCCCGCCACATGCAAGCAAACACTGGGCTGGACCTCCTCTTCGGGAGGCACCCAGGGGGACAAAACTGTTTTCTCACCATGAGTCAGCCCCAAACTGGGTTTCTGTCCCTAGCACGCTCTCATTTTAAGTAATTTGTTCTCTGGCAACTACATCTCGGGCTCTGTTCTCTCTAATTCCTCCCCAGGATGTAGGGAAGCCAGGTTGGGCTAATTTCCGCTCCTTTTTCGGCAGCAACTCCTACCTGGCTGGTCTCAGAATCCTCCCCGCCCCCCACACCGCTCCCTTCTGCATGTTAATTCTGACAACAGAACAGATTTTCCTCTCTCCCCGGCAGGCGGTGGGTCTGCAATGGAACTCCCACTCCCAAATGCTCCGGGATTGGGAAGGGGTGATCAGCTGCACCGACACCACCGACACGGTAGATAGGGGGGCGGAGACTTGAGCAGGGCGCGAATGCCAACTGGAAGGAAGAGAGCCAGTTCTAAAGTCAACGCTCACTCTGCCTCAGGCACGCCCCTGCCAGCCTATCACATGTCGGCCACTGGAAAAACCAGAGCCGCCAGGAAACCTGAGGAATCAATGCAGGGTGCTAGGATGGCGCTCCGGACAGCCAGCCCGTGTGGCCCGCAGAGGCCCTCACCTTGGGGGTCGGCTTTCTTGAATGCGTTGCCAGCGTCCACAAAGCAGGTGGCTGCGTCGTGCTTGCTCTGGAGCTGCAGGTGCAGCTGTGCAGCCTGGCAGAACGCGTTTCCAGCAGCTGGAACAGAAGAGAAGGGCAGTCCTGGCCTCAGTGGGGCTCCACACTTTATGAAGCCACAGAGACACTGCCCTGGGAGGTGGGTCGGGCTCTCGAGAATGCGGAAAGAGTCCCCAAGACAGGACGAGGGTGACCTGAGCGAGCCCAGACCGAGGCCTAGAACTCAGGTCTCCTGGCTCCTGCGCTCAGGTCTGCTGGCTCCTGCGCTGAGGCTCCTGGTGGCCCACCTGACAGTCTCTGAGGGCGGCAGGAAGCTGCCTCGGGGGAAGGCCCTGAGCCCCAGGTATATGGAAAGAGAGCCAGGGTAAGCCCAGGTAAAACACCATGTCCCTAATCCCAGCTATGCCAGCATTTCCAGGGCCACCACTTCTAAAGATCCAAGGAGAAGGCAGATAGAGCTGAGTTGGAAAGGATATAAAACAGAGTGAGGTGGCCTCCTGCACCTCCCGGCCTGGGCAGTCCTCCCCAGGGGAGCCTCGAAGCACAGGGCCCAGAACCACCACTAGAAGGCAAAGTACAGGCTGAAATCATGGGGTGGCTTCGGAGGGGTATTTTGGGAAGCAAGGGGCAACTGAGATTAAACCACATAACATCTTCCCATCTACTC
The DNA here is from genome assembly GCF_000001405.40 of Homo sapiens. Lineage (NCBI taxonomy): Eukaryota > Metazoa > Chordata > Mammalia > Primates > Hominidae > Homo > Homo sapiens. The sequence goes on from NC_000019.10 coordinate 47,501,357, forward strand.
CCCTTTCCAAGTCCTGTTTCTTTTTCCACAGCTCCCCAAAGCTCTTCCTGATTCTCCCAACTCCTCTGCCTCTGTTCACATTCTGTTCCCTTCACTGCAGATCCCCATGGACAAGGCACTTGCATGAATTGTGAGGCTCATGGAGTTGGGGTCGGACAACACAGAGCCGGCTCCCTCCAGGAGCTGCATGTCCAGAGAGGGAAACAGGATGTGGACAGCAAGAATGAATACATGCAGACCAGTGCCCATGGGCGGAGGGCAGAAGAGACCGTGCCTGAAGCCTCATCCATCCTGTGCTCATCTGCACACGGTCAGCTTCTGTGGGTCCCAAGCCATTCTGCCCACACATCTCCTAACTGACGTTTGGGAGGCAGCAGCATCTCTCCTCCTCCTCGTGCAGCTGACCACCTCCAGCTCAGCTCTGAGGCTTCTCCCCTTCATTCTCCTCCAGCTGAATCTGAGTCAGAGTTTCTAAGCTGGAAGAGGACCAGGAGGCCTGGCCCTATCCTCTTAAGTTTTGAGCAGCAGAAAAGACAAAGCCTTCCGGGTTTTCACTATATGATTTCATTATTTTCAAGAGTTCCAAATTTGAGTATAAAATTACGGCCAGGCGCGGTGGCTCATGCCTGTAATCCCAGCACTTTGGGAGGCCGAGGTGGGCGGATCACGAGATCAGGAGATGGAGACCATCCTGGACAACATGGTAAAACTCTGTCTCTACTAAAAATACAAAAATAAGCTGGGCGTAGTGGCACGTGCCTGTAATCCCAGCTAGTCAAGAGGCTGAGGCAGGAGAATCACTTGAACCAGGGAGGCGGAGGTTGCAGTGAGCCAAGATCGCGCCACTGCACTCCAGCCTGGCAACAGAGCAAGACTGTCTCAAAAAAAAAAAAAAAAAAAAAAAAAAAAAAATTTCAAGAAAAGGGGATATTACCGGGGGGAAATGGCCTAGGGCTTTTCTTTGAAGAGTTTGGGGGCAGAGGTAACAAATTTTAGGGGAAAAGCAACACCTATGTAATTAAAAAATAAGCTTTTTTTCTCTAGAGGAATTTTCTAAGTTTGGGAGCATAAAAATACAAAAAACATTTGGCTTTATTCACAACGTATTTTGTGAAAACTCAGGAATAACTCTTTGAATTTTGGGGAAACCAACAACATTCTCAAAAACGATGATAATCAATTTTATTGTGCACCTCTGCACCCTGCCTCCATGGTCCCACCACCAGGTTCCCTCTCCTCCACAGTCAGAAGTTCCTCCCTGCATTCAAACACTGGGTCTCTTGCCGTATTTCCTTAATTCAATCTTGGTGACATGAAAGATGTATGATGAAATGAGCCTCGAAAGGGCTCAACACACTGGCTTGTTGGACTTCTTGGGCCTGCAGGGAGCTCCAAACAGATCTCCAGCCTCCCTGAGCCCAAGGGGCTCCTCCCCACCCCTCTCCTCTGTGAAGCTATCCTGCCTCACTGGGGCAGGTTAAACACTCAGGCTCTGCAGTCAGAGCCTTGGTTTCTGAATCTTGGTTCTGTCACTTACTAGTTCTGGCATCCTGGGCAAGAGACTAAGCCAAGCCTCAGTTTCCAAATCTGTAAAATAGGGATATTTATAGACTGACCCTTAGGGCTGCTGTGCTAACGCAATTAAATGATGAGCACTTAGGACTCAACAAACAGCAGCCATGATTCACGTTGTTATTGGAATCACCTGAACATCCTCCCCCAGCCTAGAATTTAGACACTGATGGAAGCACTAAGGAAGTTACCAGGAAACCTGAAGTTCTGAATTTAAGGAGGACTCTAAGAGCTCATCAATCCACATGGGTTTATCTAGGTCTAATAATCTATTTATTCCCATCCTCTCTGTCCTTTCACCAAGGCCCCATGACCCAGAGTATAAAGTAACCCAGCAGGCACAAAACAAGAGAGCAGGCCAGTGGCTTTCCGATGCCGGAGAGGGCATACAAAGAGAAAGGGCCCTCAAGGCCAACCTCTCGGGCAGGCCTGTGTGAGTGGAAGCTGAGGGAGGAGGAGAGCACCTTGGAGGAGCTCTAGCGGAGATGACATACCACTCCAGTTTTTGGCCATTTTGAACATGTTTGCTGCTCTGGCGTAGATTTCGCATGCTTCCTCTATTTTGGATGAGCCTCTGGGGAAAAAGGAAAGAAAAAAAGGAGACAATCTAGTCGGCTATCCAGGAGAAAGCAAGCATTCTGCTCCAGTGCCGGGCACAGACGTGCCCCTACCCCTCACCCTTCACCTGTGAAGCCAGCTTCCCCCAGGCCTCTTGAGTCTGTGGCCCCCGCCCCTGCATACAATGGCACACTCACTTCGGGCAGACCAGCTCCCTCCGGGAGTACTGGGGTAGATACTGGGTGCTTGCTGGGGTAGTGGGGCGAAGAGTTCCTGACCCCACCACAACCCCAGGGTCTGACAGCCTCTTCTACTTCCTGCCTGGGATACTAGGGGCCCACTGGGTCCCAGGCGCGCTACAAATCCCCTTTCCCCGGGAGACTGCAAAGCATTCTGGGGGACTAGCCCAGTTTAAGACATCGTGTTGCTTTCGCAGAGGCAGCCTTAATCCTGTGCCTTGCACTCTGTGGTTGCTCAATAAAGACCTTGCAGCCCTGGAGTGTGTCATTACCAGCTCAGGACTGGGCATATATATCACACAGCCATACAAAGAAATGGGAAGCACTATTTTAAAGTGTAGATATAAGATGTTCCCATTTGTGTTTAAAAAAAAAAGAGGGTGGGCTGGGTGTGGTGGTTCATGGCTCCTGTAATCCCAACACTTTGGGAGGCCAAGGTTGGCGGATTGCTTGAGCTCAAGAGTTCGAGACCAGCCTGGGCCACACGGCAAAACCCCAACTCTACAAAAAATACAAAAAATTAGCAGGGTGTGATGGTGCACGCCTGTAGTCCTAGCTACTAGAGAGGCTGATGTGGGAGGATCACTTGAGCCTGGGAGGCAGAGGTTGCAGTAAGCCAAGATCACACCATTGAACTCCAGCCTGGACGACGACAGAGCCAGACCTTGTCTCAAAAAAAAAAAAAAAAAAAAAAAGAGAAAGAGAGTGAAAATAATAGAAACATACATGTTTATATAAACATAGGATATTTCTGGGCAAATACACAAAAACCTAGTAACAGCATTTTTCTCTTAAGGTGAAGCCTGCAGAAGGAGGGCCAGGTGTGGGAGGCAGACTTATTCACTGGACATCCCGTATTTGTACTGTCTGAATTTTTTTTTAACTGTTTGTACATCTTTTCGAGAAAAAAAATATATACATATATACACACACGTGTACATATATACACATGTGTATATATGTGTATGTGTATATATGTGTGTATATATCTATACATTTACACATACACAGACACACACACACACATATTTTTAAGTATTAGGATTTATATTTGGCCCTGTGGTCCAGCAATGAATTACATCTCTAGCAATTTATCCTAAAAAAACTAATCAGAAAAGTTACAAGGATGTTCAGCATAGCATTATTTAAAACAGCAAAACCCCCCAAAAACTTATTGTCCAACAGTAGGGATACACTGGGAGATAGACAGGAATTTGAAAACATAAAGGGTACCCTGTTTGGGCAGCTTCACTCTGGCTTCTTGACCTCCACATGTACATAATGAGCCTCCTCTTGACTTGGGGGACCTCATTAGTACCTCAAACCCGTAAGTCCCACTGCATTCTTCTGCCCTTAATAATACAACCAGGCTTAGCCCGCGAGGTCTGTAGTCTCTGTAACTGCTCAAACTCCCAATATCTACATAATCAGTAGAATAAAATCCACACACTCTGGAGTCCCACCAAATGGATTTCAGGGCCTCTCTTCACTGGCATAACTAGTGTTTAGTTTATTTTTAAGGAAGAGAAAAGGGAGGAGTGGGTACTTTCCCATTCAAATCATCCTCACCATCCCATCCCACACCCTGTGTCAACTGGCCCAACATTATACCTGGGAACTTGTCCACACCAACCCCAGCTGTGGAGGGGCTCAAAGGTAATTTTGGGAGCTGGGATGTGAGCATTCCTTCCCTCTGCACTGCGGATTCAGTGTGTCCAACCTGCCCATCCCTTTCAGCCACATGAAGTGCTCATTTCATCAAACCAGAGTCCCACAGCCACACACTTTGGGATTCGCTCAGTAGGGTCTGGATGGGGCCTGCAAATGAGATTTTTAACAATTGGGGTTTGGGGGGCCCAGGTAATTCAGCTGATCAGGTGAGTTTGAGAAGGAAAAATTGACTGAGACCGACTACCTGGAAAGCAGCCACCAGCGATCAGATCAGCGGCCAGGCCTGGCAATGTCAGCAGGCAAATAAATGCCCCCACGGTGGGCGGGCTGGTTGGGCCAGGGATCCTGGCCTCCTGAATCCACATCACACCAGGTAAATAATCTATTTATTCCTATCCTCTCTGTCATCTTGCCAGATGAAAAGCCTACCCTCTGCCTTCTGGGGCTGTGCTGATGCTGTCCCCCACCCTCTGCTGTCCCTGGGAAGTGGCCCTGAGCAATGTGTTCTTCCCGCACTCGCCCTGCTGCACTCTGTCTTCCCTCACCCACCTCACCTCAGCCAGCCCAACACACCTTGGGCCTTGTTTGGAGTGACTTCTTTTTTTTTTTTTTTTTTTTGAGATGGAGTTTCGCTCTTGTCGCCCAGGCTGGAGTACAGTGGCACGATCTCAGCTTACTGCAACCTCCAACTCCCGGGTTCAAGCAATTCTCCTGCCTCAGCCTCCTGAGTAGCTGGGATTACAGATGTGTGCCATCACACCCTACTAATTTTTGTATTATTAGTAGAGACAGGGTTTCACCACGTTGGCCAGGCTGGTCTCGAACTCCTGACCTCAAGTGGTCCACTCGCCTCGGCCTCCCAAAGTGCTGGGATTACAGGCATGAGCCACCGTGCCCAGCCTGGAATGACTTCTTTAGAACCCATTCCTGGCCTTGGAGAGGTAAGAAACTTTCAAAACCTTCTGGCTGAGAATCCTGAAGGGTCCTTTGGGGCCTGGCTGCAAAAAACCCTCAGAAGGACCTTCTCTGGAATGTTCTCTTAAAGGGACATTTTCAGACCTTAATCACAGGTCTGCCCACCCCACAGGTCCCCCAGCTCAGCCTTCCCTTCTTTTTGAGTGTGACTAAGTCCTATCCAGCTCCATGCACTCTCTGAAAAAGCACAGACCCTGGATGGGCAGAAATGACCCACGTCACTGAGTGGCCCACAGCGGGCAATCAACAATGAGCAGAGTCAGCCCAGCCGGGTTTATTTCAGGACGGACACAAAGCCTACCAGCTGCCCGGGCTGAAACTCTGTGATCCCAGGCTAAGCACAGCCAACCCTGCACGGGGTCAATGATTCTGTGGGGTGGAAAGGCCAGAGGGATTAACACCTGCTCAGGCCCCAGGCTTGCCTCCTTCTTCCCCTGCACCCCGCGGTCTTGCCCATTACCATGGCCAGGGGATGACAGGAGATCTCCAGGGTCCCATCCTCTTCTTTTAGAAATGGGAGTGAAGTCCCCAAAGGGGGAAAGTGACGTGCCTAGGTTCCAGTGGAAGATCCTGAAGAAGCCATTCACATACACATTTATTCACCTGGGGAACAGGTATCCGAGCATTTATTACGTGCCAGGAGATAACAACAGTACACGAAAGGAAAATCTAGCTGGGCCTCCTCTCCTGAGGGCCTGGGTGGCAGCGCATGTGACAGCTGACTGTCCCTCCCCCACTGACCTCCCCCAAGCTGCCTCTGCTTCACTCCTCCCATCCCACGGCTCTGAGCCACTCCGGGAATAGAGGGAACTGGTTTGGGCTGCCTGATGCAGGGCTGTCTATAATTACCCGCTCAGCTTTGCTCTCTCCCCCTCCAAGGCGGAGGAAGGAGTCTCAGGTCTCCCAAACACAGCCACCAACCTCAGGGACTGCCATATGGAAGGCTGGGCACTGCCAGGAATACACAGATGCCTGATGGGACCTGGGCCAGGGGGTTGTGCAGGGCAGAGTCTTAGCCCCCTCCTTCCTTCCTCCATCCACCAGGCACTTCCTGGCTGCCAGAAATACACCATGCCCTGAGACCCACCACCTGCAGCTCCCGAAGGACCTCACGAGGCAGGGTGGACAAAGTCAGGCCCCCATTTCGGGTCCTGGACTCACTCTATCTCTCTTGCCTCTGTGGAAGCCACAGCCACAGGCCTACGGTTTCCTCCTCAGACTTAAGGCCCACTGCCCCAAGTCTCCAGTCAGCACCCTCAGTGGGGAAGGTGTCCTAGGGCCCGTCACATGCCTGTGTCTTCCCTGTAAGCCCACCTCCTGCACGGCTCTCGAGACCATGTGCCTTAATCACGGCTGGCGCATGGCGTTCCCTGCCTCCCAGGCACTCCCCTGGAAGGAGCCCACAGCTCCTCACGAGAGCCCTTTGGGTGCTGCCCTTGCTTTACAGGCGAGGAAGCTGGGGCTCAGAGAGGGCGGAGGGCTTGTCCAAGCTTACCCTGCCAGGAAGCAGCAGGGCTTGGAAAGAGGACTGGGGCCCTGGGGATCCAGTCCTGCCCTTGCCTCTCACTCAGTGATCAGGAAGGCTTCCTTCCCCATGCCCAAGGCTCCTTGGGAAAATAAGGAGGGAGGACAAGGTCCCTGCCTGCCCCCACCCCTCCTCTAGATTAAAGAAGCCAGGGAGCCTGTACTGCCTAGGCTTCCCTCATCTCACGAGCAGAGGCTGCTCTCTGCTGGGGCTGCGTGGAGCATCCTCTAGGCAAAGGAGTATGAATTAAGCCAGCCCCCTACCGAGCCTGCCAGTAACAAGCCAACAGGCAGAAGGAACGTCAGAAAAAGTTAAGGCTGCCTGTGGTGCAGGGTCCACCCTGGCACAGGGAGCCGGGGGCCACCAGCCCTGCTAGTCCACTGACTGCACTGGAGCTGGGAGCTGCCAGAGGCTCAGCATCCTGAAGGCACCGCCACCAGTATCACCTGGAAGCGGGAAACCACCAGCTGCCTCCCGCCACTCTGCAGTGGGCCTTGCCTGACCAAGCAGAGTATGAGTTCCTGCAGGGCGGGGCCTGAGCCCAGCTCTGCTTTCCCATCTCTCCACAAGCCCCAGTTAACAACGGTGAAAGAATAAAGTGTCACAGGCTAACTGCCCAGCTCTGAAATCGCCACAGGACCCTCTTGTGACATGCCTGTCTGGGCAAAGACAAGGGGTAGAAAGAGAATGACTTTGGGGTGGCGAGACCTGGGCTGAAGTCCGTTTCAGGTACTTTGCTAAGTGTTCGACCTGGGGCTAGTTATCCCTGAGGCTTTTTTTTTTTAAATAAGAGATGGGGTCTCCCTGTGTTGCCTACACTGGTCTCGAACTCCTGGGCTCAAGCAATCCTCCTGCCTCTGCTCCCAAAGTGCTGAGATTCCATTCTTTATCTACAAAATGGCAGCATGTCTGGCCACAGTGGCTCACACCTACAATCCCAGGGCTTTGGGAGGCCGAAGCAGGAGGGTTGCTTGATCTCGAGTTTGAGACCAGCCTGGGCAACACAGTGAGACCCCAACTCTACTAAAAATTAGCCAGGCATGGTGGCATATGCCTACAGTCCCAGCTACTTGGGAAGCTGAGGTGAGAGGATCACTTGAGCCCAGGAGGTTGAGACTGCAATGAGCTATGATCGCGCCACTGCCCTCCAGCCTGGGCAACAGAACAAGACCCTGTCTCTCAAAAAATGAAAAATGAAATAAAATGGAGACAATGAATCTGGCCTGGGAGGAGTCTTTGTGAGGATTAGAAATGACACATAGTCAATACTTGGCACAGAGCGCAGAATGGAAAAGGTGCTCAATGGTTGCTATTACACAAAGGAAGAGAAATACGCTCAAAGGGGTGCCTGCCACCCAGGAATGGGAATTCTAGAGAGTTTCTTGTGGTGGTAAAAATAAAATAAAATAAAATAAAATAAAATAAAATAAAATAAAATAAAATAAAATAAAATAAATAAAATAAAATAAAATAAAATAAATGCTGACAGTAGTCAGACAGGCCTGGCCTCAGCGCCAGCTCATCGTGTGCCAGCCTGCGTTTCCTTATGTGTAACTAGGCATAAGACTCCACACCTTGCAGGGCTGCTGAAGCACGAGCAATCTTGCAGGCAGCACCCCACGGCGTGCCCAGCAGAGAGCTGGCCACACCACGGGCGTTCAGTAAACGAGAGCATCCCTCTCATCAGGCCCCGCAGAGGACCGATTCCAGGCACGCTTCCCTACTTCAGAATAGCAGCATGGGCTTCATCTCCATCCCAGATTAGCTAAGTAATGCTCCTCCTTCGGCTTCCAGAGTCCTGGCCTCCCATGCCCCACCCCTTACTGCACAATGCTCAAAATACATACAGGCCCACGGCCCTTCGAGATGAGCTCAGAGCCAGGATCTCACCTGCCACACGGCACACAGCCTGGCAGGCGCCCTGTTTCTTATTTTCTTATACGGATGCCCTCCTGCACCCCAACGGGATTACATTTCACCACAGACCAAGGGCGAATGTACTTCCTTTTTCTTAAAAGGTGTTCTCAAAGACCCTTGCCTCTCAGTAGCCCCATCCCAAAAAGGAGACGGAAATGTTTGTATGGCCAGGCAGCAAAGTCCTATCCATCAGGAAAGCCAGGAACTCTCGGATTCCCCAGAAACCTTGTGTGCCCTCAGGAAAGACTCCACTCTGAGACTGGGCAAGAGATGCCAAGTTTTCAGTTGTGGATCTTGGCAGCTGGCAGGGCACTGTGATTCACCAGGGTGCCCACTGGAAATGGCGCCGGGGTTTCTGCACGCTCTGCAGAGGAAGGCGGTCTGGAGAGAAATCTGGAAGCTCGTGCCCACACCAGTCTCAGCCAAGGCCCTGGGCAGGCCCTGTACAGACAAGCTGGCCCTCCCAGGGTCCCGCCGTTATTGCCTACAGGTAGTTCAAACAGGAACTGATTTGTCAAGATCTGATCTTAGGAATGCACTGTTTGTATACAGAACACCCTCTGCCACCTATTTCTCCAGCACTTCTAGCTCAACTTCCAATGACAATACCTACTAATAAAGATGACAGTGAGCCCTTAATAAACATTAGCAGAGCCAGGCAACGTGCTCCCACCACTTCCCACACATCGTCTCATTTATCCTTAAAACCACCTGAGGAAACAGTTACCATGATTTTCATTTCACAGATGAAGAAACTCCCTCTACACGTTTGTATCCAAGAGGAAGGAAGTTTTTATTTTGGCTATTTTGGGGACAGGGGAGGTGGCTGGGAAACATCAGGGATGAGGAAAAGCCCCAGGGAACAGAGCCGCCATTCAGAACCTGCAGGATCCCCAAACGGCACAGCAGGCACTCTGGATTCCCCAGGAGACACGCAGCAGGGAGGAGGAACTAGTGTGCCTGGACTCAGCCATCCCCTTCTGCTGCTGGCTCACTGTGCTGTAGTTAGGAAGTCTCCGTCTTTTTGCTTCCAGAGCAGAAGTTTGAGCTGCGCCCCCATCACCAAGGGGAGGAACAGGTATGGCTTTGAGCTTCTCCTAACTGGCTGGTGCTGTCGCCTTCAGTGGCTGCTGGTGCATCAAAGCCCCCTAGCGTCTGGCAGCCCAGAAATAATGAAGAGCAAGGGTGGCATCTGAGCACCAAGGCAGGCGACAGCACAGACACCCATCGCCTTGCGTCCCAGGTGCGGGCTCTCTGACTTGCCCTTTGACAGGGGCAGAGGCCCCTCAATGTGGGATGCTGTCATTGCTGGGGTTCCCAAAGGGGAAGGGAGAGGCACCAAGGACAAGCTGAGCCGCAACGCTCCCTTCTCCAGTCCCGGCAGCTACCAAGGACCTTGAATAAAGGTGGGTTATGAAATGTTGAACACAAGCAAACCCAGATCAGAGAGGAGGAGGTGCCTGAGTGATTCCCGCCCGCCAAGCAGGTCCTCCCAAGCTGGCCTCTGGCTGTGCTCCCAGCTCCCAGGCACACAAGCTCCGGTCAGGCCAGCCTCCCATCCTCCCTGCCCTCTGCCCTAACCTCACTCATACTCCCACAGCACCAGGTCAGCTCCTCTGGGAGCTGGAAGGAACTGAGATGAACACACCAGCTCTTTTTTTCACATATTTGGAGAAAACAGCCATGGGAGGACAGTTAAGAGGGTGGCAGCTCTCCAACACACCTAGTTTGCCAACATCCTTCCTAAATGTAGTGCCCAGAGATGGTCATGAACCTTGAGGAGAAACTACCGTGGTAGCACAGCAAAGGGGCTAAGTGAGAAGGCTCTGGAATCACACAGAACTGGGTTTGAATGCCACTTCTCCCACTTACTGTGGGGCTGGGCAAATAAGTCAACTTCTCTAAGCCCCCAAGTTTCTCTACCTCCACGGGGATTTTGTAAGGACTAAATCCATACCATCCATCAGCAGGTTGAGCCTGGCCCAGGCCAGGGTCTGAGTCAGAGCGAGCACTTAATAACCAGCATCTGCTAGTATTACCGGCACTGCAACAGCCTCCTGCTGTCACTCTCCCCCACACCAGCTGCTGCAGTCCTTTCTAGAAGGCAAACAGGAGCTCGCCAGGATGGGCCTCCCTTAGCCTCCTCGGAGATCTTCAGTGCCTCCTCCAGGCCCAGCCCTTGCTCACCAGACCTTCCTTGTCTGGCCTCACCTGCCGCTTCCACCTTTATGGTCTAACGTGGAACTCCCTGTGTTCCATCTTCCTAAGGCATGCTCCATAATAATCCTTGCCTGGAGTGCTGCTCCCTGCCAGAGAGCACCCCAGAACTCATGTTCATCCCCCCAGGGTTGGGGCCTCTCCCCCAGGAAGCCATTTCTGATCCCTCTGGATCTCAGTTCCCTGTCTTTCCAGGCAGAACCTCCCGTCACGGTAGATCTCTGTTGCACCATCCCTGCTGCCTAGAGCACCCTCCCCGGCCCCACTCCCCAGCAAGTCCTGGGATTCCTTGGGGCCCAGCTCACTCCTCACCAAGAGCCTCCCCCTGGTTCACGCTGCTTCCTCTGAGCTCAGACAGTCACAGGAATGACATCATCGAGCCCCTCCTTACAGTAGGTAATTCCACTTTATTGGTGTTTGCTGTTCATCCTGCCTTCCCAATCAGGTAGCAAATGCCTTGGGGCTGACTTAGCTGCTCCCTCCAAGCACACAGTCCAACAGCCCACTAATCCCTGGGCCAAAGGGACCAGACACCCAGAGCCACCCAGGAAAACTATCACCAAAAACCCAGCTCGTGGCCCCACCCCCAAACACAGCACTTGAACTTCTCCCCTTGTGAAGAAAAAGAAACACACACACACCCTCTCTCTCCTCGCAGCCTCTAAAATAAAACATTTTTCACCTAATCAATCCAGTCCATCAGCCCCGGATGTTTCTCCACACCAGGCAATTCGCCATCATGTTCTTCAAGTTATTTTGCTAAACATTATCCAACCTCAAACAAGGGGCGTGGCCTAGAGCCCTTTTCCTGTTCCTTCCTCTCTTGTAAAGATCCCTCTCCTTCGTGTCTTACCAGCCTCTGCCAGGCTCCTACCACAGTCTCTTCCCATCCCCAGGCCCTCCTCCCAAACCCCCTTCTCCAGCCTTCTGCAGATGTTCCCAGTCCCACCACCGTCCCCAGGCTCTGCTTCTGAGTGGCCACCACACACTGTTCTCTCTACAAGCCCACTAGTCCTTTCCCAGGTCTCCTCTCAGTTTCCACAACCTCCCCTTGACCCTTTCGGGTCGTCCCATCAGCACAGATCCCACCACCTCCCACACCACCGCCCCCTGCCAAACTCCCTTCTCCTTCCTCTGCCCAGAGCCTCATGCTCCTCTCAACCCTACTAAGTCTTCGTGGATCCCTTTTCTGTTCCCTTTCAGCTCCTCTTAGCACACTCATGTTTCTCAGTCTCTCCCTCTCCTGACCCCTCCCAGACCTCTCCGCTCGGGCGTCCACCTTGAACCCCCATCAGCTCTCTGCACGCTCCGAACCTGTTTCCTTCTGGAAGTCACATTAACAACAGCTAACACTCTCAGAGATGTAACTCCACGCCAGGCTCAATTCTAACACTCATAGCAAATGGGAGGTAGGTTTGATTTGTGATCTCCTTTAGCAGGGAGACTAAACAATTTACCCAAAGTCATGAAGTAAGTGGCAGAGCTACTTGGGCTCTTGGCACTTCTAAGCCACTACAATTTATCACAGGATGGTCGTGTCAGCTTTTAGGAGCTAACGTGAGTTTTATGCCACGTCATATGTGTTAGTTCTGTCTCCCAGGCCTTTTCCCATCCCTCTTCTCAGCATGTCTCTGTCATCCCTATTACTCGAGGATCACACAGCAGGAATTTGATCCCCCGTTTTGGTTCTCTCAGTCCCCCTGTCTCTCCCTGTTATCCCTCCATCTCCTTGGCCAAGCCACCACCACGCATTCCCCCACCCAGGAGTCTCCAGCCTCAACCCAGGCCTCCTCAGGCTTTTTTCTTTCTTTCTTTCTTTTTTTTTTTTTTTTTTTTTGAGACAGAGTCTCGCTCTGTCCCCCAGGCTGTAGTGCAGTGGCTCGATCTCGGCTCACTGCAACCTCTACCTCCGGGTTCAAGTGATTCTCCTGCCCCAGCCTCCCGAGTAGCTGGGATTACAGGTACCCGCCACCAGGCCCAGATAACTTTTGTATTTTTAGTAGAGACGGGGTTTCACCATGTTGTCCAGGCTGGTCTCGAACTCCCCGCCTCAGATAATCTGCCCACCTCGGCCTCCCAAAGTGCTGAGACCTCCACAGTCTTGACTCCATCATCCCGGGTTCCTCCGTTCAGCTGTCCTTAAACTAGTCACTGCTAACCAGGGCCGTACTCACCCCATGCACCCCCCACACTTCAGACGCGGCTCACCGCTCCTAGGATCATCTAGCCCTGAGCCCCTCTGCCTGGTGTCAGCCCCCTTCAGCCTTCACCCTCACCGCCCAGGGCCCACGCAAATCCACTGCTCCAGGGGTTGAAAAGGTCAGTCCCTCGGGCAGGCGTCCTCAGCCCCAGGCCCCATCACTGCCGCCTGAGAGCCTTCAAACAGACTCCCCTAGAGCTCCGAAAAGCCTCTGGACCTGGCTTCTCTCCCGGACTCCCTCCGTCCCCCCAGGCCGGTCCCCTCCAAGGCTTCAGGACGTACTCCCTCGGTCCAGGTTCTCCCCCGCCCGCTGGCCTGTCTTCGGCCTGGGTCCCCTTCCTCGCCTCAAGATAGTGTCGCCTCGGTCCGTGTGTCCTCAGCCCAAATCCCTTCCGCCATGTCAGACCGTCTCTCCTCAAACCGTGTTGCCCCGGCCCAGGCTCTTGGCCCTCAGCCTGCGTCCCCTCTGCCGCCTCAGGCCATGTCACCTTATTGCAGGTTCCTCTCCGTCCCCTCGGCCCGAGCTCTGCGTGCCCTAACCCGCCACCTCCGAGCGTGACTCCTTCGTCCTCTCAGCCTAGGTCCCGGCCGACCCCTCAGCCCGGTTCTCACCCAAAGAGGCCAGAGAAGAAGGACTGCGAGTTCTTCACTTTGCGCTCCGCCTCGGCCAACAGCGCCATCGCCTCCGCTTCCTTCCCGGAATTGTCCATGGCGGCCACAAAGGGACTCAGCAAAGCGCCTGACCCTGACCCTGGGAAGACTCAGCCGCGGCCGGGCCGCGGAACACAGATCGGTAAAACTCGCCCGGCTGCGTTGACGTCGCACCGGCGCGCGTCGCTTGCGGCCAGGAACCACGTGACTAGCGCTGGCCAACCAGCGGCCTCGTAACGCCGCGCCCGCTCCGCCGGACACGCCCCCACCAGCCGCCGCACGCCGCCCGTGACTCGTGACCCCCCAATCGGCGTCAAGAGACCTCAACGCATGCGCACATACCGGCGAACGGCGCTCCACTCTCTCCCCAGCGCTCTGTACCTCACCTCCCACGTGACCCTGTGGAAGGCAATGGCAGTACCCCCCGCCGAGGCCCCGCCCCACGGTGTTGCTGCTGGATCCTCCTCCACCAATCAGCAGGAGCCCTCGGCTCGCGCTGGGGCGGGGGGTCCCCCACTCGCCCTCCCCGCGGAACTCTGGCACAGTCAGCTGACCGCAGACACTCACGTGACAGCTCGGGGCCCACGCCCGGGTTTGACAGTTCTGCGCAGAACTTAGTCCCGCCCCCGCGGCTGGTCTCGCCGGTTTCTTCACTTGGAAAGGCGTTTGTGGGAAAAGGAAACCGTTCTGCTTTTTCTTGCTCCCTCTGTCGGCCAGTACTAGAACTGCTTTGGGGAGACCGGTGAAGAGAGACTGCAAACAAAAACTTAAGAGGTTCTCTAACTCTGGTTTCATAAAAAATAGCTGAAGAGGGCCGGGCACGGTGGCTTACGCCTGTAATCCCAGCACTTTGGGAGGCCGAGGCGGGCGGATCACTTGAGGTCATGAGTTTGAGACCAGCCCGGCCAACATGGCGAAACCCCGCTCTACTAAAATACAAATATTAACCGGGTGTGGTGGCACACTCCTGTAATCCCAGCTACTGAGGAGGCTGAGAGAGGAGAATCGCTTGAACCGGGGAGGTGGAGGTTGCAACGGGCCGAGATCGTGCCACTGCACTCCAGCCTGGGCGACAGAGTGAGACTTAGTCTCAGAAAAAAAAAAAAAATAGCTGAAGAGAGCGTGTTAAAAAAAAATTCAGATTCGAAGATGGGCGCGGTGTCTCGTGCCTATAATCCCAGCTACTCGGGAGGCGAGAGGATCGCTTGGGCCCAGGAGTTTGAGTCTAGTTCAAGTCCCGCCTTGGGCAACATAGCAAGACTCTGTCTCTAAAAAAAAAAGTTTAGGCTCAAACACACCTCCTGCTGTCCCAGAAAATTGAGTTGCTGGTTTCTGAGACAGGGTCTCACTCTTTGGGTTGTTGGTTTTGGAGACAGGGTCTCGGTCTGTCGCCCAGGCTGGAGTGCAGCAGCACAATCATAGCTCACCTCAGTATAACTTTGTAGTGCCAGAAAGGAAGGAAGTATTCCACACGTGTGCTCACACACAAAATTAGGGGGTATGCCAAAGGAGCCAACTGAAAGAACTCCCAATGGCCAAAGCTGGAACAATTTGAGCATCAAAATAAAGTAGTATTGGATTATAATCCCAAACATAAAGTATCCATGAGCCTATGGTCATATAGATGAATATAGAACAAATAAATAAAGGGGGGAGAATAGACAAATAGTTTGTGCAGAAGAATTCCAAATAATCTGCGTAGATACTCTGCTCTCAAGAAGGTGAAGGATACCTCCCCATTCTGTAAGTATGGACTGTGCATAGTGACTTCCTTTCAAAGAAGAGGGTACAAGAAAGGGGAGAAAAAGCCTAAATTTACAGTGGAGAAACCTGACATTGACATCTAGGTGATTGAGGTTAACCTCAACATTGATAAGTCATGTGATTAAAATGGCTCTTTACTTCTGGGATCTTTCAATCTAATCATGAAAAAAACACTAGACAAATTCCAGTTGAGCCACATCCTCCAAAATACTTGCCCAGTACTCCTCAACACTGTTGGTGGGTGCAGTGTGTCACATCTGTAGTCCTGGTACTTTGGGAGGCCAAGGCAGGAGGATCACTTGAGGCCAGGAGTTTGAGACCAGCCTGTCCAACATGGGGAAACCCCGTCGCTACTGAAAATACAAAAAACTTAGCCCGGTGAGGTGGTGCATGCCTGTAATCACAGCTACTTGGGAGGCTGAGGCAGGAGGATCACTTGTACCCTGGAGGTGGAGGTTGCAGTGAGCGGAGATTGCCTCACTGCACTCCAGCCTGGGGGACAAGAGGGAGACTCCGTCTCAAACAAATAACACTGTCAAGTCATCAAAACAAGGAAAGCCTGAGAAACCATCACAGCCAAGGAGACGTGACTGCTAAATGTAATGTCTTACCTTCGGTGGGATCCTGGAACAGAAGGGCATTGAGTTAAAAAACCAAGGAAATTGGCCGGGTGCGGTGGCTCATACCTGTAATCCCACCACTTTGAGAGGCTGAGGCGGGTGGATCACCTGAGGTCAGGAGTTCCAGACCAGCCTGGCTAACATGGAGAAACACTGTCTCTACTAAAAATACAAACATTAGCTGGGCCTGGTGGAGGGCGCCTATAGTCCCAGCTACTCAGGAAGCTGAAGCAGAATTGCTTGAACCCAGGAGGTGGAGGTTGTGGTGAGCCGAGATTGTGCCACTGTGCTACAGCCTGGGTGACAGAGTGAGACTCCATCTCAAAACAAACAAAAACACTAAGGAAATCTAAATAAACTATGAAGTTTAGTTAATAATATTGTGCCATACTGGTTCATACGTGGTAATAAATGTACCATTCTAATATAAGATGTTAATCATAGGGGAAACTGGGGTATGTGGGAATTTTTTTTTGCTGTCATTGCAGTTTTTCTACAAATCTAAAACTATCCTAAAAATCTTCTTTAAATAAAACAGTTTCCAAGGCCGTACCCACAATGGTTCCAATTCTGAGTCTGTGGTGGGTCACAGGAATCTGCATTTTTAAAAAACAGAACCCTATATAATTAGGATGCAGCCAGACCTGGTGGTTCATGCCTGTAATCCCAACACTCTGGGAGACCAAGGCGGGAGGACCGCTTGAGCCTAGGAGTTAAGGACCAACCTAGGCAAAAAGCAAGATCCTATCTCCACAAAATTAAAAAAATTTTAATTACTCCTTGGGAGGCTGAGGTGGGAGGATTGTTTGACCCCAGGAGTTTGAGGCTGCAGTGAGCTATGACTGTGCCACTGCACTCCAACCGGGACAACAGAGTGAGACCCTGTCTCATCTCAAAAAAAAAAAAAAGTAAAATTAGGATGCAGATAATCCCGGGACCACAGTTTGAGAAACCGCTATTATCTAGGGGGTTGGCTGAGCCGAGCAAGGCATAAGAAGCCTTCCCCCAACTCTCTTCATACATGAATAGACTTGCCTGGACCACCTACTTGTGGTTGCCACTGTGTCCTGACCACAGAGCAGGTGGGGGTGAGCCTGGATTACCACAAGCGGTTTTGGTTCCATGTCTGTCAAAGCAACACTATGTAAAAGCTTCTGTTTAAGCTGTTCCATTTCAGGGTAATTTGTCATGCAGCAACAGATAATATAACCCCTCAGCCTTTTCAACCAGGGAATTTTTTTCCATTTCCAGAGTTCATTGGATTTATTTAGGATGGGATCCAAACAATATTAGCAATCACATGAGAGCTTGTTAACTAGTAGCCATTCAGTTCTTATGGTGCACCCTCCCAAGTGCTTAATTTACATTTTATTTCTATTTATTTATTTATTTTGACATGGAGTCTTGCTCTGTTGCCCAGGCTGGAGTGCAGTGGCACGATCTCTGCTCACTGCAACCTCTGCCTCTGGATTCAAGCAATTCTTGTGCCTTAGCCACCCAAGTAGCTGGGATTACAGTCATGTACCACCACACCTGGCTAATTTTGTATTTTATATTTTTAGTAGAGATGGGGTTTCACCATGTTGGCCAGGCTGGTCTCGAGCTCCTGACCTCAAGTGATCCGCCCACCTTGGACTTCCAAAGTGCTGGCATTACAGGCGTAAGCCACCACGCCTGGCCATAATTTACATTTTATTTAACTGATAGGTTGCGGGGGTTGAGGAGGGGCAATTTTCATCCCATTTTACAGATTGAGAAAACTGAGGCTCCCACAGGGAAAGTGATTCGCCCTAGTTTACAAGGAGGTAAGAGGAGCCAGGATGGAATTGAGGTTCATCTCACACCTGAACCCTTTCCCTTAACTGCAGTGTTCCAACTGCTTCAAACTCAGCGTCCACCTCTGCCCCACTCCCAGCCAATCTTTAAGCCTTAGCTGATAGGTGGGCCCTCTGTGAAACCTTCTCACGCTGCCGTCTACTTTCCCAGCTCTTCAGAACACGGCTCACCCTATCATAGACACGATCACACCCTGATGCAATCAATCCTCTGCAGTCAATTCCCCATCTGAGCTAATGGCATCAACTACAGCTGCTCAGGCTCAAACCTGCCCTGCTGGCCTTGATCTGTCCTTTCCTTGACCACCTCCCACTGATGTGTGAGCCACTGACAACTCTGTCGCCCAGGCTGGAGTGCAGTGGCGCGATCTTGGCCCACTGCAACCTCCACCTCCCAGGTTCAAGTGATTCTCCTGCCTCAGCCTCCTGAGTAACTGGGACTACAGGTGTTCACCATCATGCCTGGCTAATTTTTTTGCATTTTTAGTAGAGACGGAGTTTCACCATGTTGGCCAGGCTGGTCTCAAACTCCTGACCTCAAATGATCCACCTACCTTGACCTCCCAAAGTGCTGGGATTACAGGTGTGAGCCACTGCGGAGCCTACCTTTCTTTTCTTTCTTTCTTTCTGATGGAGTCTTCCTCTACCAGGCCGAAATGCAGTGACGCAATCTCGGTTCACTGCAATCTCCACCTCCCAGGTTCAAGCGATTTTCCTACCTCAGCCTCCCAAGTCACTGGGATTATAGTCATGTGGCACCACACCCAGCTAATTTTTGTATTTTTAGGAGAAATGGGGTTTCACCATGTTGGCCACAATGGTCTTGATCTCTTGACCTCATGATCCGCCCGCCTTGGCCTCCCAAAGTGCTGGGATTAGTGGAGAGAGCCACTGCACCTGGCCATGGAGCTGCATCTTGAGTGGTCTAGGCTAACTGTGGTCATTTCCCTTCTCACTAACAGGGATCAGTTTAGAAGCGAACACAGGCTCAATGAGACATACGGGCATCTGCTGGGAGCTGTTAAAAGTTTTCCTCACTCTTAAAAAGGGAGGCAGGGAGGGGGGCTGTTTTCTCTTCTTTCCCCCGCCGCCCGCCCCCTGCCGGTCTGGATTTTGGTTCGAGGTTATTCTCGCCTCTGCTGGAGCCCTCGTTCTGCCCCTGCCCCTGCCCCTGCCAGGGGTCCCTGATTTCAAGGCTGAGCCCCTACTGGGACAGCCAAACTCCATGATTGTTTAAATCAACACCAACTCTTCTGTTACAGTCAAAAGCATTTCCAGTACCATGACCTAAAATCACCTTGTTTGCTTATTACTGCTACCTTCCTGCTCCTACAAGAGAAGGTCCGTGAGGAAAAGGGCCTCTCTTGCTTCACTATCCCTGTTGTACGGATTGGCAACGTCCAGTGCATTCTACAGCAGGTGCTTCGTAGATGTTTGCTGAATGAATGTCCAAATCAACATGCCCGTGTTCTCCCCAAGGCCCCCAGCCCCCAGGGCAGGCCACAGCTGACTCACCTCCTGCCCTTAGCACGTGGTGGGGTTCCTAAGCCTTTATTGGATCAATAGGCAGGGAAGTCAAAGACAGCAGCTCAAGAACCCAATTTAATCAGATTTACGAGTTGACATGTACAAAAAACACCGAACAATGCAGAATTCATCGCAAGACTAGGGACTGAATCTGGAAGGTAGAGTCCCCGCCCCAGGGAGGGGCCCAGCGTGTTGGAGATCTCAAGGTTTTTTCCCACTGATTCTCTAAGTCTTGGCCTTATCTAACACATGAAACCAAACCCCACAACTGAGGCTAAGATTTAAGAGCTACCCAGAGCTAAATTTTCCCCTCCCCAAGCCTCCCTGCTCTAGAAGTGGAAGGGAAAGAAGGGGAGAGACTATGAACCTAAGGAGAGTGGAGCCTCCAGCACCACCGGACAGGGACTGCATAGCTGTCCGACAACTGAGCTCCTCCTGCCTATCTGTGGCCAAATGCCCTCCATGTTTGCAGGCAGGTTGGCCAACAGGGGACAGGGAGGGTGGGGGGAGGCAGAGGGGTGCCCCAAACGCCCTGGAGAGGCCGAAGGGAGGAGGGGCAGCACTGGAGGCCCCATTCGGACTTGCTGCCACGGGAGTCACCACTGCAGGGGGCCGATGTCAGCTCCCAGCTCCTCTTCCTTTAGCTGGAAGGGCTTCACTGGCCACTTCACCCTGATGATGGGCTCCACGTGGTCCTGAAGGCGGTGCCGCTTCATATGGGCATTTCGACTCTTGATCTTGTCAAACACCCTGAGGAGTCACCAGAGGACATGGGGTCAGAGCAGGGAGGAAGGGATCACAGGGGCTGAGGCTGGGAGCCCTGGGAGTGTTTCCAGGAGAAAGCTGGGTACCTTTCACACTCTCTGCATGGAAAAATGCCCTGGCTCTCTGCACTTCCCAACAGCTCGGGGGTCCGCTTGGAGCCTGCATTTGGGCTGGAGCTGAGGATGGACTCCCTCCTATAACTCTTGGTCTTTAACTTGGGAGTTGGATGGTGGCTGGGTCTCTCCCGAGGGCTGCATGGGACCTGCAGAGGGAGCAAAAGTGACATAAGGGTGCTGACCTGTCCTGCTGTAAGAGAGACACAGAGCTGGGGGCATACGTGTCTCCTGCAGGAAAACCCTTCCATCAGGAGCACCCCCGCCCTCTGACCCCACCGTCCAACTCAACGGGTAGCAGGCACTGGGAGGAGAGAAGAGCTCCCGACACAGCCCTGGTTCCTCTACCTTTTCCTCTGTCCTTTCCACTTCCTCCGGCTCTCTCTTGACCCTCTTTTCTAGCCCTGGGGCTCGGCCACAGTCAAACTTGATCATTTTTTTCCAGATGTAATAATACTCAACGCACTGAGCTACCGTCTTTGTCTGGATCTAGTGAAAGAAAACAAGCAGGCTGTGGCTGTGCCACGCGGGCCCTGGGAGTGTGACCTTGCCATTGGGCCGGCCGCCTCCTTTGGAAAGCCCTCCGGAAGCACCTCTTCCTTTGGCTTGGCGTTACCACTCACCACAAAGGCACAGGACCACAAAATCCTTCCTGGGGACGAGGGCGTTCAAACTGGAGCCACATAGTAGCCACCAGTACCTAAGCCTGCACACTCTGAGCAGCCATTCCAGCTCAGGAATTCTTTCCTAAGGAAGATGGGCACAAAGGTTGCACCAGGGATGCCAACTGTGACATCATGCTAATAAATCGGAATGCTCTCTGCAGGCAGAATACCACACAGACATTACAACAGCTAGGCAGAGCCTCTAAAGTCTTGGCAGGAAGTGACCCACTCTAGAAGAAGGGGAGGTTTTGAGTGCACAGTGTGAACCTAGGGGATTATTTTCCCGTTCCTCCACTAAGAAAGGATCCCACTAAAAATAACTTCTGTTAAAAACAAAAGGGAAGCTGGGCTTGGTGGCTCACGCCTGTAATCCCAGCACTTTGAGAGGCTGAGGCAGGAGGACGACTTGAGGTCAGGAGTTCAAGACCAGCCTGGGCAACATAGCAAGACCCCATCTCTACAGAATTTTTAAAAAATTAGCCAGTCATGGTGGTGCATGCCTGTGGTCCCAGCTACTTAAGATGCTGAGGCGAGATGATCGCTTGAGCCCAGGTGTTCAAGGCTGCAGTGAGCCTTTTTTTTTTTTTTTTTTTTGAGACAGAATCTCGCTCTGTCGCCCAGGCTGGAGTGCAATGGCACGATCTTGGCTCACTGCAACCTCCGCCTCCCGGGTCCAAGTGATTCTCCTGCCTCAGCCTCCTGAGTAGCTGGGATTATAGGTACCCTCCATCATGCCCACCTAATTTTTGTATCTTTGTAGAGACAGGGTTTCACCATGTTGGCCAGGCTGGTCTTGAACTCCTGACCTCAGGTGATCTGCCTGCCCCGACCTCCCAAAGTGCTGGGATTACAGGCCTGAACCACCGCACCCGGCCAGCAGTGAGCTATGATAGTGTCACGGTACTCCAGAGCGAGTATCTTTTTTTTTTTTCACTGCAACCTCCACCTCCCAGGTTCAAGCAATTCCTCTGCCTCAGCCTCCCGAGTAGCTGGGACTATAGGCGCGCACCACCATGCCCAGCTATTTTTTTGTGTTTTTAGTAGAGACGGGGTTTCACCTTATTGGCCAGGCTGGTCTCGAACTCCTGACCTTGTGATCTACCTGCCTCAGCCTCCTAAAGTGCTGGCATTACAGGCGTGAGCCACCGCGCCCGGCGAGCGTCTCTTTTAAAAAAAAAAAAAAAAAAAAAAAGGAAAAGTTTAATTGCTCTAGGAAGAAAATTTCTTGGGAAATTAAATCGGCTATTGAGCGAACTCCAGAAAAGACATTCTCCACCCAAATGTTTTTCAGCTTTGTGAGTATTCACAAACGAGGAGTCAAAACAGCACAAACTCTGCCTAAGAGACATCACTAAGTTTAAAAAAAAGTTGGACTTCTGCTTCTGAACAAGATGGAGCAACAGAACCAGATTTACCCTCTCGTCCAAAACAATGAAAACACAGAGTCAAAATATAAACAATGTTTGGCAAGACACCAGGCGTCATTCAACAAAGGGCAGTGAACCCTGACAGGAAGCAAGCTGCCACCGCTCCAGCTTATCAACTTGTGTTTCCAGGCCACCACCCAGGCAGGGGCAATTTAGGCAGAACCCAGCAGGACTTAGGGAGCTGAGGTGGAGCACAGTGCCTCCGGAGACCACGGCGGTAGAGCCCACAGGACAGAGGATGGGAGAGGAGAGAGCTACACACAGAACATTCCAGAGATGGGGAGCAAATTTCCCCCAAGAACTCACCCAAAGACTGCCCAGCACATGCATGGGAAGAGACCAGCCAAAGCTGGGCAAAGAGCCATCCAAAAGGATGAGAGGGGAAAGTGTGTGCTGCTCCTACAGGGCCAGGAAGAGTGCCCGTTCCCACAGCCAGAGTGGGAAATTTTATGATGCAGGGGGCACTGGGTAGGGCAGTGACACAGTCTTGCCTCAGTAAGGAGAAATAATCAGCCTTAGAGAAGAGCTATGCTGGTCCCATCTAAAAAATCTAAAACTGAACCTAAAAGTAACTGTGTCCCAGAACAAAACTCAAGAATATTTACAAGGCTGCAAAAATATCCAGCATCCAACAGCTAACATTCACAATGCCCGTGATCTGGTGAAAATCACCATGCACGCAAAGACGCAGGATAACACGGCACATCAGGAGGAGAAAACCCAATGTATCAAAGTCAACCCACCAGAGACACAGGTGTTAGAATGAGCAGGGAAGGACATGAAAGGTTACCATAACTGTTTAATATATGTTCAAAGAGTTATGCCAGAGGCCAGGCGCGGTGGCTCACTTGAAATCCCAGCACTTTGGGAGGCCGAGGCAGGAGGATCACCTGAGGTCAGGAGTTTGAGACCACCCTGGCCAACATGGGGAAACCCCATCTCTACTAAAAATACAAAAAATTTAGCCGGGTGTGGTGGCACGCACCTGTAATCCCAGCTACTCAGGAGGCTGAGGCAGCAGAATCGCTTGAACCCAGGAGGTGGAGGTTACAGTGAGCTGAGATCGTACCACTGCACTCCAGACTGGGTGACATAGCGAGACTCTGTCTAAAAAAAAAAAAAAAAAAAGAGTTATACCAGAGCTAGGTGTGATTGCACACACCTGTAGTCCCAGCTACTCAAAGTTGGAGGATCACTTGAGCCCAGGAGGTCAAAGGGTGCAGTGAACTATGATCACACCCCTGTACTCCAGCTTGGGCGACAGAGTGAGATCCTAGATCTTAAAAGAAATAAGAACCAGTAAAACCTTCAAAACACTGCTAAGAGAAATTAAAGATGATGCATAGAGACACAGCCCCTGTTCATGAGTCAGAAACTGAATGTTGTTAGAATGTCAACTCTCCTTGGCTGGGTGCGGTGGCTCACGCCTGTAATCCCAGCACTTTGGGAGGCTGAGGCAGGTAGATCACCTGAGGTCAGGAGTTCAAGATCAGCCTGGCCAACATGGTGAAACCCTGTCTCTACTAAAAATACAAAAATTAGCCAGGTGTGGTTGTGCGCACCTGTAATCCCAGCTACTCGGGAGGCTGAGGTACGAGAATCGCTTGAACCCGGGAGGTGGACGTTGCAGTGAGTGAAGAGCGCGCCACTGCACTCCAGCCTGGGCAACGAGAGTGAAACTCTGTCTCCAAAAAAAAAAAAAAGTCAACTCTCCTCAATTGGCCTATAGAGCCAATGCAGTACCAATCAAAATCCTAGCAGGTTTTTTGTTTTGTTTTGTTTTGTTTTTTTTGGTAAAAATGGATAAGCTACTTAGAAAGTTCATATGGTAATACATGATCTTAAGACTTAGAAAGCTACAGTAGTAAAAACAGTATGGTATTACATTTTTTTGTCTTTTCAACAAAAGGTACAAATGAATATCCACATGCAAAAAATGAACTTTAACTCATACTTTACACCATATACAAAAATTAACACAAACTGAATTGTAAACCTAATTGTAAAACCTAAAACTATAAAACTTCTAGAGAAGGCCGGGCAAGGTGGCTCACGCCTGTAATCCCAGCACTTTGGGAGGCCGAGGCGGGCAGATCACGAGGTCAGGAGATAGAGACCATCCTGGTTAACACGGTGAAACCCCGTCTCTACTAAAAATACAAAAAATTAGGCGGGCATGGTGGTGGCATGTGCCTGTAGTCGCAGCTACTCGGGAGGCTGAGGCAGGAGAATGGCATGAACCTGGAAGGCGTAGCTTGCAGTGAGCCAAGATCTCGCCACTGCACTCCAGTCTGGGCGACAGAGCGAGACTCCGTCTCACAAAAAAAAAAAAAAAAAAAAAAAACTTCTAGAGAAAACAAGGGGAAAATCTTTGTGGTTGGGTTAGGCAAAGAATTCTTAGATACAACACCAAAAGCACAGTCCATAAAAGAAAAATTAATAAATGACTTCATCAAAATGACAAAATTTTTCTTTAAAAGACATTGTTAAGAGATTAAAAAGCTACAGATTGGGAGAAAACATTCACAAAGCATGGATCTGGATAAATGACGTGTCCTGAATCAATAAAGAACTGCTGTAACTCAATAATAAAAACACAGCCGGCTGGGCGCGGTGGCTCACGCCTGTAATCCCAGCACTTTGGGAGGCCAAGGTGGGCAGATCACCTGAGGTTGGGAGTTCGAGACCAGCCTGGTCAACATAGCAAAACCCCGTCCCTACTAAAAATACAAAAATTAGCCAGGCGTGGTAGCAGGCGCCTGTAATCCCAGCTACTCAGGAAGCTAAGGCAGGAGCATCGCTTGAACCTGGGAGGCAGAGGTTGCAGTGAGCATGGATTGCGCCACTGCATTCCAGCCTGGGCAACAGAGTGAGACTCCATCTCAAAAAAAAAAAAAAAAAAAGAAAACACAGACATCTCAATAAAAACATATGCAAGAGATATGAACAGACACCTCACCAAATAAGGCATACAGACAGCAAACAGGCCCATGAAAAGATGCTCAGCATCGTCAGTTGTGAAGGAAACACAATGCGATGCCACCACACTGTCATGAGAATGGCTGGAATTAAAAGGACTGGCCCTACCCAGGGCTAGCGAGTTTGTGGAGCAACTAGAAATCTCTTTTCCTGCCGGTAGGAATGTGAAATGATACAACTACTTTGGAAAATTGTTTGGCGGTTTCTTAAAAAGTTAAGCATACACCTACTAAGTCATTCCATTCCTGGTATTTACTCCTCTAGAAAACAAAGTACATGTCCATACCAAGACTGGTACCTGAATGTTCATAACGAATTTATTTATAGTCATCCCAAACTGGAAACCACTCAAATGTCCACCAACAGGCAAATGATTCTTTAAACCGTGGTACATCCACCCAGTGGAATACTATTCAGCAGTGAAAAGGGG
Source organism: Homo sapiens (assembly GCF_000001405.40). NCBI lineage: Eukaryota > Metazoa > Chordata > Mammalia > Primates > Hominidae > Homo > Homo sapiens. Next base: position 47,527,007 of record NC_000019.10, read on the forward strand.
AGACCTATCAATACCTGGAACATGGATGAACTCAAAATCATGATGCTGAGTGTGAGAAAGCTGGACCAAGTAGAGTCCATACTGTGTGACTACTCCATTTATAGCAAACTCTAGGAAATGAAAACGAATTTACAGTGCCCTGGCAGATCAGTGCTGACTGAGGACAGGGGGTGCAATGGGGAGTGATTACTATGTGGCAGGAGGAGATTCAGGGCTGAGGGACATGCTCATTATCTTGACTGTGGTGATGGTTTCCCAGGTATAGTATCAATATGTCAAAACTTAGCAAATCTTATTATACTGCAATTATGTGCAATTTTGTATACATCCAATTTTTTTTTTAGAACAGAAAATAAGCAGCAGGACATTATATGCAGTGAGATCTCATCCTTTGGCTTTTTTCGGGGTGGTGAGAGTCTCATCTTGTCACCCAGGCTGGAGTGCAGTGGTGCAATCTTGGCTCATTGCAGCCTTCACCTCCTATGCTCAAGCAATCCTCCCACCTCAGCCTCCCGAGTAGCTGGGACCACAAGCACGCGGCACCATGCTAGGCTAGTTTTTAACTTTTTTGTAGAGACAAGGTCTCACTATATTGCCCAGGCTGGTCTTGAACTCCTAGCCTCAAGCAATCCTCCCACCTTGGCCTCCCAAAGTGCTAGGATTACAGGCGTGAGCCACTGCGCCTGACCTCATCCTTTTTTTCTTTTTTTGAGACGGAGTTTCACTCTTGTTGTCCAGGCTGGAGTGCAGTGGCGAGATCTTGGCTCACCGCAACCTCCGCTTCCCGGGTTCAAGCGATTCTCCTGTCTCAGCCTCCCGAGTAGCTGGGATTACAGGCATGTGCCACCATGCCCAGCTAATTTTGTATTTTTAGTAGAGACAGGGTTTCTCCATGTTGGTCAGGCTGGTCTCGAACTCCCAACCTCAGGTGATCCACATGCCTCGGCCTCCCAAAGTGCTGGGATTACAGGCATAAACCACCACGCCAGGCCCTTTTTTTTTTTTTTTTTTTGAGACAGAGTCCTGGGCCGGGCGCCGTGGCTCACGCCTGTAATCCCAGCACTTTGGGAGGCTGAGGCAGGTGGATCACCTGAGGTCGGGGGTTCGAGACTAGCCTGACCAACATGGAGAAACCCCATCTCTACTAAAAAATACAAAATTAGCTGGGCATGGTGGCGCATGCCTGTAATCCCAGCTACTCGGAAGGCTGAGGCAGGAGAATCGCTTGAACCCGGGAGGCGGAGGTTGCGGTGAGCCAAGATTGCGCCACTGCACTCCACCCTGAGCAACAAGAGCAAAACTCCGTCTCAAAAAAAAAAAAAAAAAAAAGAGACAGAGTCCTACTCTGTTGCCCAGCCTGGAGTGCAGTGGCACAATCCCCACTCACTGCAACTCTGCCTCCCGGGTTCAAACGATTCTCATGCCTCAGCCTCCTAACTAGTTGGGATTACAGGCACTCACCACCATGCCCGGCTAATTTTTGTATTTTTAGTAGAGACAGGGTTTCACCATGTTGGCCAGGCTGGTCTTGAACTCCTGATCTCAAGTGATCCTCCCGCCTTTGGCCTCCCAAAGTGTTGGGATTACAGGCGTAAGCCACCATGGCCGGCCCTTATCTTTTTTAAAGTACATGCATACCTATATATATAAAATTTGTACAGACAGAAATGCCTGTTGCTTGGTGGAATAGGTAACAGAGGTTGCCAAGCAGAAGTAGGACTGCGGGGAGGGGCATGGAAGACTGTTCTGTGCAGGTGATGCAGGTCTGTACCATCTGGAGCTGTTCATGAGGATAGCTTTTTGACATTGTAAACTGTCTACAGTAAGAGTGCTGCCACAGGCAGGTGAGGGTGGGGCCCTCCGACCCCCGACCAGCCCTGCAGCTCTAGCTTGTCTCAGCTGTGTGAGGCAGGGCCTTGGACACCAGCCCACATTCACTTTACCATCTTGTGTATCAAGTAGAAGTCCTTCTTGTGGGCATAGAACGCCTTCTTAAAAAGCCTCTTCTCTATAGGGGTCCAGACGTCTGAACCTATCAAAGAACACAGCCAACAGGGGGAAGGCCATTTGTCCTGGGACCACAGCCATGGCTGAAATGCAGACCACCTTCCCATTTATAGCTGCCATTACTGAGTACCAATTATGTGCCAATCTCATAAAAAACTCAAAAAGTCTCCAGAAGGGAGGGACCACTACTAGCCCCACTTAACAGATGTGGCAACTGAGGCTTCAGTCGCTTGCTAAAGGCAGGTGGGGGCCCTGGCATCCTGTTTCCAGAGCTGATGGGTTCAACCACTGAACCTAAGCCCATCTTCCCTCCCCCTGGCCATGATCATTCCCCTTCCAGCTGGGCAGAGTCCGTAAGGAAACCACTGGGAAAGGGCGAAGCAGGATCCCACTAGCAGAATGTGGCGCCCACTGAGTCATCCCGACAAGGACAGGCCCTCCTGAAAGGCAGGCAAAGGTCCCGAGGAGAACTCCAGGAGGCAGGGGCAGAGCTTGCAACAGAGCTGGCCGATTCATAGGGGTCTCAGCTGGGCCAAACCAGCTCAGCAGCCTTTCCCCGTCACCTGTGTAGCGATAGTCAGCGAGCAGGTGTGTCCGTGGCTTGTGGGGCCCTCGGAGCAGAAGAGTCTCCAGGGCGACCTGGAACAAGAGGAGCGACAGGCTGCCCAGGACCAGGTGGGGGAAGAGGACCACAGGCATCCTCCCATTCATCTGAAAAACACTTGCGGCTGTCCCTGAAGACACTGCCTGTCCCAGGGCTATTCAAAGTTGCCCTGGATGGGCCACCAGCCTGTGAACTGTCTGTGCGTGCATCAACCGTGTCACCAGGCACACCACTGAATGCAGCTGAAGTTATTTTTTCACAGCAAGCCTATCCTGACGAAGGAGACTGTGTGTGGATTTATTCTGGCACAAGCTCCTTACTCCCTCAGGGACTGGCATTTTGAGGAGTATGACCCTTGCGTAGGGCCCCATTTTTATTTTCTTCATAGCACTAGTCAATAGCTAACAATTGAAAACATTTTATTTTTAAAGATGAGGTCTCACTATGTTGTCCAGGCTGAGCTCCAATTTCTGGGCTCCTTCAGCCTCTGCCTCCCAAGTAGCCAGGAATACAGGTGGGTACCACTGTACCCAGCTAGCTAACAATTTTCTTTGTTTTTTCTTTTTTTTGAGACAGAGTCTTGCTCTGTCACCCAGGCTGGAGTGCAGTGGCATGATCTTGGCTCACTGCAGCCTCCACCTCCCCAGTTCAAGTGATTCTCCTGCCTCAGCCTCCCAACTAGCTGGGACTACAGGTATCTGCCACCACTCCCTGCTAATTTTTTTTTTTTTTTTTTTTGTATTTTTAGTAGAGACGGGATTTTACCATGTTAGCCAGGCTGGTCTCGAACTCACGACCTCAGGTGATCCACCCCCGCCTTGGCCTCCCAAAGTGCTGGGATTACAGGCGTGAGCCATGCGCCTGGCCTAGCTAACAATTTGACTTTCCTAAAATGTAAGCCCCCTGAGGGCAGGGATTTTATCTCAATCACAAGTGTAAGCCATCATTGCAGGGTTTGCATAATTTGTGGGGCCCACTGCAAAATGAAGATGCAGGACTCCTTGTTTAAAAAGTATTAAGAATTTCTTTTCTTTTTTTTTCTTTTTTGAGACGGAGTCTCACTCTGTTGCCCAGGCTGGAGTGCAGTGGTGCGATCTCGGCTCACTGCAACTGCACTCCACCTCCCAGGTTCAAGCAATTCTCCTGCCTCAGCTTCCCAAGTAGCTGGGATTACAGGCGCCCACCACCATGCCTGGCTAATTTTTTTATTTTTAGTAGAGATGGGGTTTTACCATGTTGTCCAGGCTGGTCTCGAACTCCTGAGCTCAGGTGATCCACCCGTCTCGGCCTCCCAAAGTGCTGGGATTACAGGCGTGAGCCACCGCGCCTGGCCAAGAATTTCAAGACAGAGACAGCAGAGCATTAAACCAAGCGTGGAGCCCCTCAGCTGGCCCTGGCCCCAGTGCCTACAGTACAGGCAACCAGCAGGTACCCAATAAATATGTACTGCCACTCTGCTGAGGACCTGCTATATGCCAGACACTGCCTCTCAGGTTGGTGAAAAGCAAGACCATGGCATGACTCTTAGATCCTTAACACAGGCAATGTGGCTCTTCCTCTCCCGCTCCTCACAGTTAGACTTTTAATATACTTTCTAACACCCAGAATTGTGAGCGGGGGGGGGGGGGGGGGTCCTTGGAGTAGGTAGAGGCATTTATGTTGCATCAGAGGTTTGTATATATAAGTTTTCAATTGAAAGCTAAAACTCAAGGAATTAAGTAGATGAATGCAGGGCCTGAGCTGGGTCTTTGGGGCTTCCCTTCTCCAGTGCCCCCTGAGATCTCAGAGGAACCCCTGCGCTTGATTGTTGCCCCAGACAAGTAGCTATGAATTGGGCCCACGTCTTAGCATTCCCCTACAGTCCGTGCACAAGGACCACTGCAATCCCAAAGCCGCTGTGGAGGAGGATGGGCGGCCTTCTTCCAGCTTCCATCCGCTCTGAACCCCCAAGCAGACAGCACGTCACATGCACCTAGAACCCTGGGCCCCAGGAAAGCAGGGAGGGTCCCCTTGCTGTTCCTCACCTGAACGTTGCCCTGAGCCTCGTGCAGGCAGTGCAGAGCGAGCTCCAGGTTGGTGCCCCCTCCTGGCATCACGCTGGAGCATGCCACATTGCAGAGCTCGGTCACTGTTTCCAAGAAGGACATGAGGAAGAGGAGGCACACAGGAGTCATCAGGTGCTAGGGAGGAACCTTTCCCGAAAGACAGCAGAGAGGGGGTGCCTTCCCCTTCTCTCTCCTGCATCTCAGGGAGGGACAAGGAGGAAGAGCAGAACCCTGTCCCCAGCACCCACTCCTGATGGCCTGACCAGCCACCATGTGACAAAAGAGGTAGGGGAGGGAGAGTGCAGCAGGGAAGAAGCAACGCTGGCCAAGAGCCAGCTCCCTCCCACGCCCAGGGGACACTACTTGGATCTAGCGGTCAGGAGTTCCAGACCTAGGAGGAAAAACACCCTGGAAATGGAGGGGGAAGAAGGGCCCTTAGGAATTTAGCCCCAAAGCCTCAGCCACCTCTATCCTGTGTCTCTGAGCTGATCATCATATCTCCCCATGGCTTCCAGACCAGAGAAGCTACATGCTCGTCAGTTCCAGCCAGGGATCTCTCCTGGAGTTCCGGGATCTCTGCCTGAAACCGGCTTCCTATATTGATATGTCTGAAATGAGGCCACACACAGATAAGGGAGACGTACAAACATGACTGAGATGGGAAGTGAAATGGAGACGCTCTGTATGCCCTGCTCTTGGGCCACAGCCTGCTCCATGGAAACCCTCTGCTGTCTCAGGTGCATCAGGTACGTGCTGTTCCCGACAGATGCACACAGACATTTCAGAAACTTCTGCAGGGACACTTCCTCCCTTCCTCTGTTTTCCTTCATTGCCACATTTCTCTCTCAGGGTCAAGGCAGGGGAGGTACAAGCTGACACCCGGCATGTGTCTACGTCCACACCACAGCCATCCAGCCACATCCCTCAGGCATGCTTGAGTCCCACTCTGTGCCATCACCAATTCTACCTGGAACCCCAAGGTCCAGGGCATTCTGTCCCCATGTGCCACATATATATTTCTAGAAGGAATAATTTGGGGGGATTTTCATATATATATATATATTTGTAGAAGGAATAATATTGGGGGATCTTCCTACATATATTTGGAAAAATCTACCGCTTCACGCCTAGGGAGCCTATGTGAGTAAACCTGAACCCCACCATGGGAAGAAGGAACCCTTGGGAAAAGTGACACTAGAACTCAAGGTGGGGTAAAAGCAGCTTCACTGGAAAGGACCCAACTTACGGCTCAATGCTGATTTTGGTGTCATCCTTCACCACACAGATGCCAAAGGACCCATCCACTTGATCTAGAAAGCACAGAGTGAAAAGGCTCAAGAAGACAGACAGCAGGTAACCGACAGGGTCCTCTGCCTGCCTGTGTGGACGCAGCTGAAAGCAGGGTCTTTAAGATCCCATGGGTTGGCCGGGCACAGTGGTTCACGCCTGTAATCCCAGCACTTTGGGAGGCTGAGGTGGGAGGATCACGAGGTCAGGAGATCAAGACCATCCTGGCTAACACACAGTGAAACCCTGTTCCTACTTAAAATACAAAAAAAAGTAGCCGGGCGTGGTAGTGGGTGCCTGTAGTCCCAGCTGAGACAGAAGAATGGCGTGAACCCAGGAGGCGGAGCTTGCGGTGAGCCGAGATCGCGCCACTGCACTCCAGCCTGGGCGACAGAGCGAGACTCCATCTCAAAAAAAAAAAAAAAAAAAAAAAAAAAAAAAAAAAAATCCCATGGGAAAGGGCAGCACTTCAGAAAAGGTAGAGGAAGGAACTCTAACAAATTAACTCATGACAAGTATACGTATATATAAAAACAGCACACTAAAGTCTCTGGAAATTGTCCTAAGGTCATTCAGCACTTGGAGAAATATTCATTAAAAAAAATCAACTAGGCCGGGTGGGGTGGCTCACGCCTGTAATCCCAGCACTTTGGGACACTGAGGTGGGCGGATCACTTGAGGTCAGGAGTTCAAGACCAGCCTGGCCAACATGGCAAAACCCCATCTCTACTGAAAATACAAAAATTGGCTGGGCGTGGTGGAATGTGCCTGTAATCCCAGCTACTTGGGAGGCTGAGGCAGGAATCACTTGAACCTGGGAGGCAGAGTGAGCCGAGACTGTGCCACTGTGCTCCAGCCTGGGCAACAGAGTGAGATTCCATCTCAAAAAAATAAAAAATAAAAAATAATCAACTGAATATTGGTAAGAACAAGAGGCTGTTGCATCTGAGCTGTGACCTGCTCCCTTACCCAGCCAGCTCCCAGCTCCAAGGGTTCTATTCCAGGTAGGTGCAGCCCAGACAGGGGCTGCCTCTCCTGTCAGCTCCCATGCTTAAAGAATTAAAGGAAGGTATAATGACAATTTCTCATCATAGACAGAATATCATTAAGAGGTAGAAATTATTAAAAAGAGAGAACCAAATGGGAATTCTGGGGTTAGAAAGTAAAATATTGGCAAGTGAAGCTGTTGAGGAAAATAATAAAATAACCAAAATGGGGCTCAATAGGTTTGAGTTGACAGGAAGAAAATAATCTGTAAACTTGAAGACAGATCAGTAGAGACTATGGAATCCGAAGAACAAAGAGAAAAATAAAGAGAGCCTCAGAGAAATGTGGGATACCATTAAGTACAGCAGCTACATGTAACAGGAGTACCAGATGGAAAGGAGAAAGAGACAGAAAGAAATATCTAAAGAAAAAGGCCTGATGCAGTGGCTCACGCCTGTAATCCCAGCACTTTGGGAGGCCGAGGCGGGCGGATCACCTGAAGTCAGGAGTTCAAGACCAGCCTGGCTAACATAACAAAACCCCGTCTCTACTAAAAATACAAAAATTAGCCTGGTGTGGTGGTGTACCCCTGTAATCCCAGCTACTCGGGAGGCTGAAGTGGGAGGCTAACTTGGGAGTTAGAGGCTGCAGTGAGCCGAGATCATGCCACTGCACTCCAGCTGGGGTGACACAGCAAGACTCTGTCTCAAAAAAAAACCCCTCCAAACCACCCCCCCAAAACAAAAAAACAAAAGTTAAAAGCTACAGTAATCAAAACAGTGTGATACTGGCATAAGGATAAGTATACAGATCAATAGAATTGAACACCCAGAAATACACCCACACGTTTATGGTCAATTGATTTCTAACAATGAATTGTGCTGAGTCAATTCAATGGGAAGTCTTCAAAAAATGCTGCTGGAAGAACTGCATATACACATGCAAAAAAATGAATTTGGACCTTTACCTCATGTAATATATAAAAGTTATCTTCAAATTGATTACAGACCTAACCTAAGAGTCAAAATTACAAAGCTCTTTTTTTTTTTTTTCTGTTGCCCAGGCTGGAGTGCAGTGGTGCCATCCTGGCTCACTGCAACCTCCGCCTCCTGGGTTCAAGCGATTCTCTGTCTCAGCCTCCTGAGTAGCTGGGATTACAGTGCCTGCCACCACACCCGGCTAATTCTTTTGTATTTTTAGTAGAGACGGGATTTCACCATGTTGGCCAGGCTGGTCTTGAGCTCCTGACCTCGTGATCCGCCTGCCTCGGCTTCCCAAAGTGCTGGCATTACAGGCGTGAGCCACCGCACCTGGACCAAAATTACAAAACTCTTACAGGGAAACAAGAGTGACTCTGCATGACTTGGGTCAGGCAAATCTTCACATATAACACCACAAGAACAAGTAACAAAAGAAAGGAAATTGGGCTTCATGAAAATTAGAAATGTTTGTCCTGCAAAAGGACCACTTTACACCTACTAGGATGGTTATACTTAAAAAGATAGACAATAACAAGTGTTGACAAGAAGGAGGAGAAATGAAAATGTTCATATACTGCTACTGGAAATTTAAAGTGGCCCAGCCATTTTGGAAAACAATCCGGCAGTTTGTAAACAGTTAAATATGGAGTTACCATATGACCCAGCACTACACTCCTAGTTATCTACCCAAGAGAGCTGAGAACATAAATCCACACAAAAACCTGTACATAAGGCTGGGTGTGGTGGCTCAGGCCTCTAATCCCAGCACTTTGGAAGGCCAATGCAGGAGGACTGTTTCACCCCAGAGTTGTTTTTTTTTTTTTGAGACCAAATTTAGCTCTTTCGCCCAGGCTAAAGTGAAATGGCATGGTCTCGGCTTACTGCAACCTCCGCTGCCGAGACCAGCTCGGTCGGGGAGACCCTAACCCAGCGGCGCTAGAGGAATTAAAGACACACACAGAAATATAGAGGAGTGGAGTGGGAAATCAGGGGTCTCACAGCTTTCAGAGCTAAGAGCCCTGAACAGAGATTTACCCACATATTTATTGACAGCAAGCCAGTGATAAGCATTGTTTCTATAGATTATAGATCAATTAAAAGTATTCCTTACAGGAAACAAAGGGATGGGCCAAAATATAGGGATATGTCTGGCTAGTTATCTGCAGCAGGTGCATGTCCTTAAGGCACAGATCGCTCATGCTATTGTTTGTGGTTTAAGAACGCCTTTAAGCAGTTTTCTGCCCTGGGTCGGCCAGGTGTTCCTTGCCCTCATTCCGGTAAATCCACAACCTTCCAGCGTGGGTGTCATGGCCATTATGAACATGTCACAGTGCTGCAGAGATTTTGTTTATGGCCAGTTTTGGGGCCAGTTTATGGCCAGATTTTGGGGGGCCTGTTCCCAACACTGCACCCTCAGTTCAAGCGATTCTCCTGCCTCAGCCTCCTGAGTGGCCAGGATTATAGGCACCCGCCACCATGCTCGTCTAATTTTTATATTTTTAGTAGAGACGAGGTTTTGCCATGTTGGCCAGCCTGGTCTTGAACTCCTGACCTTAGGTGATCCACCCGCCCCAGCCTCCCAAAGTGCTAGGATTACAGGCATGAGCCACCATGCCTGGCCCACCTCAGAGTTTGAGACCAGTCTGGGCAACATGGCAAGACCCCCCTCCCTACATAAAAACAATTACAAAAAATTAGCCAGGCATGGGGGTGCATGCCTGTAGGCCCAGCTACTCTGGGCCGAAGCAGAAGGATCAGTTGAGCCCAGGAGGTTGAAGCTGCAGTGAGCTGTGATCATACAACTGCACTCCAGCCTGGGTGACAAGAGTGAGACCTTGTCTCCCAAAAAAACCCCAAAAATTTCTATATGAATGTTTATGGCAGCATTATTCATAATAGCCCAAAGTGGAAACAACCCAAATGTCCATCAACTGATAAATAAACAAAATGGGGCCCATCTGTACAAGGGAAAAATGTTCGGCCATAAAAAGGAATTGAGCACTGATATGCACTACAATATGAAGGGACTCTGAAAACATGCCAAGTGAAATAAACTAGACACAAAAGGCTGCATATTGTATGATTCTACTTACATGAAATGTCCTGAATAGGCAAATCCAAAGAGAGAAGGCAGATGAGTGGGTGCCCAGGCTGGGGGAAGAAGGGACTGTGGGGATATGGGCGGAGTCACTGCTAATGAGCTCTGGCTTCTTCTGGGGATGCTAAGCGTGCTCTAAAATTAAGACTATGTGATAGTTGCACGGCCTTGTGAATATCCTAAAAATCACTGCATACTCTAAATGGGTGATTTGCATGGTATGTGAAGTACAGCTCAATAAATCTGTTAGGAAAATTACATAGGCCAGGCCAGGCACAGTGGCTCACACCTGTAATCCCAGCACTTTGGGAGGCTGAGGAGGGTGGATCACTGGAAGTCAGGAGCTCGAGACCAGCCTGGCCAACATGGTGAAATCCCATCTCTACTAAAAATACAAAAATTAGCCAGGCATGATGGCGCACGCCTGTAGTCCCAGCTACTTGGGAGGCTGAGGCAGGAGAACTGCTTGAACTTGGGAGTTGGAGGTTTCAGTCAGCCAAGATCACGCCACTGCACTCTGGCCTGGGTGATAGAGTGATACTCTGTCTCAAAAAAAAAAAAAAAAAAAAGGAAATGACACAGACTGGACAGGGTGGCTCACACATTTAATGCCAGTACTTTGGGAGGTCAAGGCAGCAAAATCACAAGTCCAGGAGCTCGAGACCAGCCTGGACAACATAGCAAGACCCCATCTCTAAGAAAAATAAAAAATTAGCCAGGTGTGGTGATGCGCACCTGTAGTCCCAACTATTTGGGAGTCTGAGGCTGGAGGATCTCTTGAGACCAGGAGATCGAGGCTGCAGTGAGCTGTGATCAAGCCACTGCACTCCAGCCTGGGTGACAGAGCAAGACCCTGCCTCAAAAAAGAAAAAGAAAATGACACAGAAGGGCAGGCAGAAGCATGGTCAGGCTAAATGGCCTCTACGTTTTCTTTCGGGCTGTAAAATTCTATGCACTAGAAGGCACTTAGATCAGTCCTGGGGCACATCTGAATAGCAAAGGAACCCTCAGACTAGGTACACCCAGGCAGGAGACAATCACTGAACCCAATGCTACAAGGTAGAGTGGCTGTGGTCCGCAGGCAATCCACCCTGGGATCACAGAGTGAGTGCCCCAGCCTCACTCACCGAGCATGGAGCTGATGAGCTGGTCAGGGCTGGCCTGAGTGGACGTGGAACAGAGGGTGTTGAAGTACACCCCAGAGCCCTCCCGGATGGGGCTGAGCATTGGGGGTGGTGTGTAGGGGGAGCACTGGAATAAGCCCTTCAGGAGGCAGTCCACCAGGAACATGGGTGACCGCAGGCGGCTCTGGTGGCATCCTGCAGGGCCAGGCTCCCCAGCCGTGGAGGGTGGGGGCCGCTTCTTCCGCTTTCTCTGCTGGCTGCTCTCCTTGCTGTCTCGCTCCTCCCCGTCTTTCTCTTGTCCCTGAAGAAGTTTAGAACCACAGGTGGTCGCCTGAAGCCACCTACTGCACCACTCCATCTCCAGGATGGAAAGAGAGCAGGAAAAGGAGACCGGCCAGAGACAGGAAACTAGGAAATGCACGCCCGGCAAAGGAGGCTGGCCACACCTGAGCCAGACCTGACGTACTGAGCCTGGCGATGATCCGGCTGCAGCCTTCTCCTGCACCCACTGCCCCAGCAGAGCCCCTGACTCTGTGTAAGAATAGCCTCAATCATTAAGATGACTGGCCCTTAAAAAGAGAGAGATCCCCAGAGATACAGTGTGACGGTGAAGAAAGAAATGCTGCTCCACCCAAATGACAAGCACCGAAATGACCCAGCCACTGACTCAGGGGACCTTCAGGTCCACGGACTGTGTCCCCGAGTCCAGCAGGAGCTTCTTCAGTAGGGGGTCCTCCAGTACAGGCTGCAGAGACAAGCCCTACGAGACTGATCACTCGTAACTCACCATGCTCTCTCTCACTTCCACAAAATCTCCTCTCCGCTCTGCCAGCCCTACTCCTCCTCATCCTCTAGGTCTCAGATCCCATACCTCCTCCTCCAGGAAGCCCTCCCTTACCTCCTCAGGCTGGGTCAGGAGCCCCCTGGGAACTCTCTGGGCTCCCTCTGCTCCCAGCTCTGCCCACTCTGGGTTGTCACTGTCTGGGGACAGGCCTGTCTCCTCCACTGGACTAGGAGCCCTGGGAGGCAGGGCCCAGGCTATTGTGGTCACCTCTGTGTCCCCAGCACCACCCAGCACAGGGCCTGGCACAGAGGGGCTCAGTGAATGCTGAATGACTGAATTAACATGCAAACCAGGTTCTTCTGGATCAAGATTTTCTTTTTTTTTTTTTTTTTTTTGAGACAGAGTCTCACTCTGTTACCCAGGCTAGAGTGCAGTGTTGTGATCTCAGCTCACTGCAACCTCTCCTTCCTGGGTTCAAGTGATTCTCGGGCCTCAGCCTCCCGAGTAGCTGGGTTTACAGGTGCCTGCCACCATGCCCAGCTAATTTTTTTGTATTTTTAGTAGACACAGGGTTTCACCATGTTGCCCAGGCTGGTCTCGAATACCTGAGCTCAGGCAATCCACCCGCCTCAGCCTCCCAAAGTGCTGGGATTACAGGCATGAGCCACCACATCCAGCCTGGAGTCAAAGATTTTCTGTGGTATCTGGTTTGGGTTTTTCCTACGGCTTCCCCCAGCAGCTGCGGGCAGTGGCAGGAAGGAGGCAGGCCGACAAGCACCCACCATGGCCATGCTCCCTATGTGTCGGGTCACTGGAACCACGGGGATCGATTGGGGGACCACCAAAGGGGCTGCAGCTGTGGGGTCCAAGGGCTTCTTGGTTCCTGGGGGACTATGCCTGTCCCCTTCTGGCCTCAGCACCTGTCTTAGCGGCTTGCAAAACTCTGTGCCAAACACCTAAACACAGAAGAGAAGAGATGGCTCTTTAAGAGATAAGGTAGGTGGGGAAAGGAAGAGCTGCTTCAGCAAAAAAAGCTGTCATAGAAAACAGCAGTGAGTCTGTGGCATGGACCAAGCTGGAGAGCTGCTGCAGCCCATGGCAATGGCCTGCCCCTGGAGAGCCACACAGCCTGACTCCAGCCCCCGACCCAGAGTGACGTCCCCATCCTGAGATAAGTGACACCAATCTCGTTTACTCCCCACAGGCCTGCCAGAAACCCAGTAACCACCAAGCCACTGGTCGTCCCCCTTCACCTGCGGTTCCTGCTTCCCTCGAGGTGACGGCCACTGGTCGCTGTGAAAACACATGTGGCTGCTCAGCCCTTTCTCCGTATAAAACATCTGGCTGCAGTTCTTGCAGACAAAAGTGCTCCTGGGCTTCGTCCAGTCTGTGGGACTGCCGTTTTGCTGGTTACTGTGGGACATGGCAGGAAAGAAGAGTGGGAGATTAGGACTCTGTCCTTGATCACTGATTTTTTGTTGTTTTTTTTTCTTTTTTGTCTATAACTCCAATCCACTGACTTTTTTTTTTTTTTGGAGATGGAGTCTCACTCTGTTGCCCAGACTGGAGTGCGGTGGCACCATCTCGGCTCACTGTAACCTCCACCTCCTGGGTTCAAGTGATTTTCGTGCCTCAGCCTCCCAAGTAGCTAAGATTACAGGTGTGTGCCAATATACGTGGCTAATTTTTATATTTCTAGTAGAGACAGAGTTTCACCATGTTGGCCAGGCTGGTCTCGAATTCCTGACCTCAAATGATCCCCCTGCCTCAGCCTCCTGAAGTGCTGGGATTACAGGCGTGAGCCACCGCGTCCAGCCTGACTACTCTTGATAAACCCTATAAAATGGAGGCTGTACCCTAATCCCATTAGGACTGAAAGCATCCTCCCCACTCACTTGTCCAGGGCCGGCACAGGAAGGCCAGAGGACTCCTGCCAGGGTGCATGCAGGATCGGGGGCTTCTTAACTTACCCTCTGCCTGCCACATTCTCTTCCTTCACCGGATGGGGGAGCCTGTAGATGTTTCCACCCTGAAGATGAAAATGCATCTGAACCAACACATCCAAAATGAAGAGGCAAGAAGAGCTCAAATTACAGACTTTTAGAAGAAAACATCAGAGTAAATCTTCATGACCTTGGATTAGACAGTGGTTTCTTAGATAAGACACCAAAGCAAAACAGACAAATTAGACTTCATCAAAATGTAAAACTTTTAGCCAGGCGTGGTGGCTCATGCCTGTGATCCCAGGACTTTGGGAGGCCGAGGTGGGAGGATTGCTTCAGCCCAGGAGTTTGAGACCAGCCTGGGCAACATGGCAAAACCCCATCTCTACAAAAAATACAAAAATTGGCCTGGCATACTGGCATGGGCCTGAGGTCCCAGCGACTCAGGAGGCTGAGGTGGGAGAATCACTTGAGCCAGGAGTTCAAGGTTGCAGTGAGCCATGATCGTACAACTTCACTCCAGCCTGAGTGACAGTGAGACCCTGTCTCAAAAAAAAATAAAAAATAAAAAATAAAAACTTTTGTCCTGCAAATGGTATCATAAATAAAGTGAAAAGACAGACCACAAAATGAAAGAATATTTGCAAGTCATGTGTCAGATAAGGGTCTTGCATCCAGAATATATAGAGAACTCAAAAAATAGTAATCTGATTTTAAAAAATAAGCAAAGGACCTGAACAGACATTTCTTCTAGAAAGATACACAGATGGCCAATAAGAACACAGAAAGGTGTTCAACGTCAGCAGCCACGGGGAAATACAAATCAAAACCACAATGAGATACTGCTTCACACCCGCCAGGGTAGTTATAATTTAAACAAACCACGGACAATAACAAGTGTTAGTGAGGACATGGAGAATGTGGAGCCCTCATACACTGTGGGTGGGAAGAGGAAACAAGCAAAACAGCCTAGTAGTTCCTCAGACCTAAAACAGAACTGCTGTACGACCTGGCGATTCTACTCCTAGAACATAAATCCCCATAAAAATTTGTACATGGGTGAATATTCACAGCAGCACCATATTCAAAATAGCCAAAAAGTGGAAACAACCCAAATGTCCATCCACTGATGAACAGACAAATAAAACGCGGCCTTATCCATCCAACAGAGGATCACTCAGTCATGGAAAGGAATGCAGCTCTGCCGTTTGCCACCCCACGGATGAGCCTGGAAAACGTCATGCTGAGTGAAGGAAGCCAGATACGAATGCCACAGAGTGCATGATTCCACTCATATGCAATGTCCAGAACAGACACATCCACAGAGACAGAAAGGAGACTCGTGGCTGCCAGGCCCTGGGGGGAGGGCGAGATTGTGGGTGACAACTAAGAAATGTGGGGTTCCTTTTGGGGAGATGAAACTGTTCTGGCAAAGAGTGGGGATGGTTGCACGATCTTGTGAATATACTACAAATTACCCAACGCTACACTTTAAAATGGTGTATTCAGGCCAGGCACCATGACTCATGCCTGTAATCTCAGCACTTTGGGAGGCCGAGGCAAGCACATCACCTGAGGTCAGGAAAGACCAGCCTGGCCAACACAGTGACACCCTGGCTCTACTAAAAATACAAAAATTAGCTGGGCATGGTGATGTGTGCCTGTAATCCCAGCTACTTGGAAGGCCCAGGCAGGAGAATTGCTTGAACTTGGGAGGCAGAGGCTGCAGTAAGCCAAGATTGCACCACTATACTCCAGCCTGGGCAACAGAGTGAGAGACTCCGTCTCAAAAATAAATTTGGCCAGGCACAGTGGCTCACACCTGCAATCTCAGCACTTTGGGAGGCTGAGGCGGGTGGATCACGAGGTCAGGAGTTCAAGACCAGCCTGGCCAAGATGGTGAAACCTCGTCTCTACTAAACACACAAAAATTAGCCAGATGTGGTGGCGCATGCCTGTAATCCCAGCTACTCGGAGGCTGAGGCAGAGAACTGCTTGAACCCAGGAGGCGGAGGTTGCAATGAGCTGAGATAGCACCACTGCATTCCAGCCTGGGCGACAGAGTGAGACTCCATCATAAATAAATAAATAAAATAAATTTAAAAAATAAAATAAAGTGGTGGATTTGGCTGGGCATGGTGGCTCATGCCTGTAATCCCAACACTTTAGGAGGCCGAGATGAGAGGATTGCTTGAGCCCAGGGGTTCAAGACCAGGCTGGGCAACATAGCGAGACCCCCTCCATCTCTAAAAAATATATAAAAAATAAAATGGTGCATTATTTGGCACCTGAATAATAAAGATGTTAACAAAACAAAAATGAGGTAGCTGTGGTATGATGGGAAGCTACTCATCCTCCTGAGTAGCTGGGACCACAGGCGTGCACCACCATGCCCAACTAATTTTTTTTAAATTTTGGTAGAGACAGGGTTTCGCCATGTTGCCCAGGTTGGACATGGAGTCAGGAGACCTGGATGAGCTCTTTGGACCAGGCCCTCCAAACACAACATCTGGAGGAACCAGTGAATAATTATCAATGTGCTTAAGTGTGGGGCACGATGCAGGTGCCCACTTGTGCTTGTGGAAACCAAGACTCACAATCAGAAAACACATGGCCATTTCAAGCAGGAATCTTTAAAGGAAAGAGAGCATCTACCTTCATATCCTCTGAAGATTCTAAAAAGGCAAATCCAAAGGGAAACAAGAGAAAAAAAAAAGCAAAAAAGGCTTTGTGAGATAACAGTGTTTTGAACAACTCTGGGATATCCTCATGTTGATCTTTTTTTTTTTTTTTAAGACAGGGTCTTGCTCTGTTGCCCAGGCTGGAGTGCAGAGACACAATCTCAGCTCACTGAAACCTCCATCTTCCAGGTTCAAGCGATTCTCCCCCACCTCAGCCTCTCGAGTAGCTGGGACCACAGGCGTGTGCCACCACGCCCAGCTACTTTTTTAAAATTTTGGTAGAGACTGGGTTTCGCCATGTTGCCTAGGCTGATCTCGAACTCCTGAGCTCAAGCAGTCTCCCCACTTCAGCCTCCCATCCCAAAGGGCTGGGATTACAGGCATAAGCCACCTCACCTGGCCTCATTCTGGTCTTTTTTTTTTTAGTGGGGAAAACCACAATCTTTCGGAACCTTAATTCCTTCCTCTGTAAAATTGCATCTGGGGACTCTCTGAAATGAAATAAAATGCCTGGACAACTAACAAATGCAAAGGAAACTCACTCCACTCTGGTCAGGCCACGTGAGAGAGAGCTGGTACCTGGATTCTGCTGAATATTGTCAGCTTGGACTTGGAGGGATCTGCCGGGGGCCCGGCCGATGAGAAGGAGGCCATGGCTACCTGGCTCGGAGAAGCCGCACAGCACATATCCATCTTCGCCTTCTCTTTCCGGAAGCCGGAGAATCGCGGGGCCCTGGGGTTGCCCAAGAGCCGGTAGCCTCCACCCCGGGAGCAGGCTGGGCCCTTTTCACCTTTTGTGATCCTTGAAGCCGCGCCATTCTCGGCTGGGGCCTGCTTCCCTGGCAGCGAGGCTCCTGGTGGCTCCTCCCCACCTAACTGGGTCTGCCGTTGGCCTGTGGAGGGGAAGATGTCCTCCAGGTCCAAGGTCCCTTTAGAGGATCGCAGCTGCTTGGCCAGAGAAGAGATGTCTGGATTCCTGGAAGGGTCCAGAGACGGTGCTGCAAGGGGCGTTGGAACCGCGGCCACTTTCAGTCCCCCCTTTGCGTCTCGTCTCGTGCTGCCGGGGGAGGCCTCTCTGGGAACCCCGGGTGTGGTTTTTCTCCTGCGGGCTGGGGAGCCCTCTGCCTCGGGGTTTCCAGGGCCGGCGTGGAGAGAGTCCACAGCAGGAGCCAGTGGTGGGGGCTGCTGCGGCCACGGCCCCTGCAGCGGCCTCAGGGCGGCTGGTTTGCCCTCGGGCGCAGGGAGCTGGGAGGAGACTGCTGCCACCTGGGCATGGGAGAAGATCCGCTGGGACTTGGTGATCATCTGGAACACCTGCATCTGCTCGTGGCTCACAAGAGGTTCCTGCGACTTGAGGAAGAGCTGGCGGAAGAGCGGCGAGGCATCCGCAGGGAGCCCGCCTGCCTTCTGGGCCTCCTGGAGGCCGGGCTCCCCGGGGTTCTGGCACAGGAAGGAGTCGCAGTCGACCTTGACCTTCTTGGGGGCGCAGGGGTCATCTTCCCCGCTGGCCGACCTGGGGTCGCTCGGGGCCTCCGCGGGGACCCTGAGGAGCGCGGCAGGGAAGGGCAGAGCATCCTCCAGGCCACCGCCGGGGCCGGGCGGGGACTCCTCCGAGGGGCTTCCGCTGCTGGGTCCCGGGCCAGACTCGGAGCCCTCCCGCGAGGGCACGGCCGAGGGCTTGTGGACAACAAACACGTTGTTGCCTTTGCTTTTGGGACAGCCCGGCAGGTTCCGGAGCCACTGGAAGCTGTGGCTCGATGGCTGGGAACTGGCAGGGACCGTCTGGCCTCGGAAGAGAGGCAGGCAGGCAGGCACGGAGCCGCCTTCGGGCCAGCACTCCGCGGTGGACCGGGCCTGGAGCAGCGCGGTATCTGGCTCCGGCTCTGGCGGGTCGGGGGCGCCGTTCTCGGCGGCCCTGGAATTAGGGGCTGTGAACACGTCAGTGGCCGGCTCTTTCTGTGGGAGGCAAGGCTCCTCGGGAAGCTCGGTGTCCAGCGCTGCTGGGGCCGCGTGGGGGCCGGCTGGGGTGCAGGACGAGGACCCCGATGAGGCGGGGCAGGGACAGGCAGTGTTCCTCCCTTCGCTGTCTGAAGCCCCCGCCGGGGCTGGGCCAGGAGAAGGGGTCTTCTGGTGGACGATGCTACTCACGATGCGGCGCAGGAGGTCCCGGTGGGGCAGGAGGGAGCCGGGGGACCTGGCCTCTGGGGGCACCAGGGACCGCAGGCTGCTGGGGGGCGGCTGGCCGGCCGACTCGTGGGCGTGGGGGGAGTCCCCGCAGGCCTCTTCCTCCGGGGGGGCTTCCTTCAGGATGCACAGGCCGTGATGGACCTCGTAGTGCCGGCGCAGAGAGCGGTAGTCGCAGTAGCTCTTGCTGCAGCCCTGCTCGATGCACACGAAGGGCTTTGTCTTCTGGTGGGTGAGCATGTGCCCGGTCCTGGAGCCAGACACAAGCAGGGGCGTCACCGGGGCACCTGGGACCGGGCTTTCTGCTGTAGGACCCTGGTGGCCCCCAAAAGTCTGTGGTACAGTTGCACCACAATTCAGAAATTGTACTCAGCCCCCACGAGGAAAGACCACCCAGCAAACCCTGCTTCGGTCAAAGCCATCTGGCAGGGGAGTTCCTCTCCCCTCACCTTTAAGCAAACCCCTTACAGAAAAGTAAAAAAAAAAAAAAAAACCAGCGGGGCACAGTGGCTCATGCCTGTAATCCCAGCACTTTGGGAGGCCGAGGTGAGTGGATCACTTGAGGTCAGGAGTTTGAGACCAGCCTGGCCAACATGGTAAAACCCGTCTCTACTAAAAATACAAAAAATTTAGCTGGGTGTAGTGGCACATGCCAGTAATCCCAGCTACTGGGGAAGCTGAGGCAAGAGAATCACTTGTACCCAGGAGATGAAGTGCATTGCAGTGAGCCGAGATCACACCACTGCACTCCAGCCTGGGTGACAGAGTGAGACTCTATCTCAATAAACAAACAAACAAATAAATAAAATTTTAAAAAATACAAAAAAAAAAATCCACTGAGGCCAGATCAGATTTCCCCAGAGTGGGTTCCCAAGGAACACAAAGACCTCCAGAGTTGCTCCTCAAGGACTTTGGCACAGCTAATAAATAAGTTTTGAAAAAACACCATTCACTCCTTGGAGGTTCACGATGCACAGTAGCAAATTTAATTAATTAATTTTTTGTTTTTGAGACGGAGTCTTGCTCTGTCACCCAGGCTGGAGTGCAATGGCACGATCTCGGCTCACTGCAACTCTGCCCCCCAGGTTCAAGCGATTCTTGTGCCTCAGCCTCCAAGTAGCTGGGACTACAGGTGCGTGCCACCACGCCCAGCTAATTTTTGTATTTTTAGTAGAGACGGGGTTTTGCCTTGTTGGCCAAGCTGGTCTCGAACTCCTGACCCTCAAGTGATCTGCCTGCCTTGGCCTCCCAAAGTGCTGAGATTACAGGCGTGAGCCACTGTAGCCGGCACACAGTAGCAAATGTAAAAGCCACACAGAGAGAGACCTGTTTAACTTTCAGTGTCTCTCAAACTTATTTGCCCAGAGAACTGTTTTTGGTTTTGTTTTCAAAAAGCCCCTATTAGCATTCCTGAGAACCAGAATTCTGCAGAATAGACTGGAGGAGATGCTAACTTGGGGACGATCCTTCCTTTAACAAAGGAATCTGTGCCTTACCGTAGGAGACCCCTAAGAAGATGCTACCTGGAACCCCCCACAGCAAAGAAGCCAATTTACAGAGGCCCAATCCATAGAAACATTATAGAGCCAAACAGCCAAATGTGCCTATAGTTTCTGCAAACAGAAATGCATGTAAATATGTATTGCATCACACCTACCTCTGCATTAACACATTATAAATATAAGCAGAGGAGTACATCACCCTCTGGGCCCCCAACAGCCCTGCTCTGGACAGTCCTAGTCGATGTGGACTAAATCATAAAGTCTTTCCCCAAAGGCTCACCCTCAGCCTCTGTCTGAGGGAAGCAACAGAGAGGGAATCAGGAGACCTAAGTTCTACCCCCAGCTATTACCAACTTGTGACATGAGCAAATTGGCTCCTTTTCCTGGGGTAGGTGTGGGTGAGAGGATAAGATGAAAGATGGATTAGTCAAAGCCCCTTGTGAAAGGGAGGAGCCCCATAAGAATGCTAAGTACTTTCATCTCCCACTTGCAGGTCTCCTGGTTTGAAAAACATGTGTCTTTCTTTCCCCCACAGGCAAGACAAGCTTATCATTTCCAAGACATTAAGCGGTGGCTCACACCTGTAATCCCAGCACTTTGGGGAGGCCGAGTCACGCAGATCACTTGAGAAATCCTGTCTCTACTAAAAATACAAAAATTAGCCAGGCATGATAGTGCATGCCTGTAGTCCTAGCTACTCAAGATGAGGAGGCAGGAAAATCACTTGAACCCAGGAGGCAGAGGCTTGCAGTGAGCTGAGATCACACCTCTGCACTCCAGCCTGAGTGACAGAGCAAGACTGTCCAAAAAAAAAAAAAAAGGAAATTTTGCTCCTGACACTTTTTAAGTCAAAAGTTAAAAGGAAAAGAATGAGTTTTTTAAAAAAGAAAAAAAAACAAAAAAAAAAATAGAAAAGAAAAACAAAGCTGGGGCCGGGTGCGGTGGCTCACGCTTGTAATCCCAGCACTTTGGGAGGCTGAGGCAGGTGGATCACAAGGTCAGGAGTTTGAGACCAGCCTGGCCAATATGGTGAAACCCCATCTCTACTAAAAATACAAAAATTAGCTGGGCGGGGTGGCATGCGCCTGTAGTCCCAGCTGCTCTGGAGGCTGAGGCAGGAGAATCGCTTGAACCTGGGAGGTGAAGGTTGTAGTGAGCCGAGATCGTGCCACTGCACTCCAGCCTGGGTGACAGAGCAAGACTCCATCTCAAAAAAAAAAAAAAAAAAAGAAAAAAAAAGAAAAACAAGGGTTAATTCTCCATTGCCATGTTCTAGAAGCAGGCGTCTCATCTTTCCTGTCTCGTGCTATCCCAAAACACAGAGAACACAGATCCGTTTTCCTCAGACACCTACCAGAGACTCAGGACATAGCTCTATAAAGTTAGCCCAACTCCTCCCATGACACAATTGACTCAGAAGCCAGCTGTTAGGCGTTTTTAACCCACAAGCAGCCCATCTGCAAACAGAAGCAGGGGCTTCCTCACAGGCGTGAATTTAGGGGCTGGGACAGCAGCGCCCACTCTCTTCCCTGCGCTCTGATGGTGTGAGAAGAACGGAGTGGGCTGGGCACGGTGGCTCACACCTGTAATCCCAGAACTTTGGGAGGCCAAGGCGGGAGGATCACTTGAGGTCAGGAGTTCAAGATCAGCCTGGCCAACATGGTGAAACCCTGTCTCTACTAAAAATAATACAAAAATTAGCTGGGTGTGGTGGCGGGCGCTTGTAATCCTAGCTACTCAGGAGGCTGAGGCAGGAGAATCACTTGAACCCGGGAGGCGGAGGTTGCAGTGAGCCGAGATCATGCCACTACACTCCAGCCCGGATGACAGACAAAAAAAAAAAAAAAGCATGGAGTGGCTGTGGCTGCGGCTGAGCAGAGGTAATACACGTCTGGAAAACCCAACAGAGGACGAGACAGCAGGTTGATCTGGGAGAATAGGAAGAAGACCCAGGAACATGTCCCCACCCCCAGCCCCTGAACAGACGTTTTTCTGACCAGACTCCCACATACAGGTGGTCCTGGCGCTTAAAGGCCTTGCTGCAGATTTTGCAGACGTGCTTCCTTTCCTGGCTGTGTGTCAGGTAGTGCTTGCTCAGAGAACTGGCGCTGCTGAACACCTTCCCGCACAGGCTGCAGTCCAGAAGTGGGTTTTGAGGGGAACTGTGCTGCCGCTTTCCTTTCCTGGCACTCCCCGAGGTGGCCCTTCCTCCTTCGTCAGCCTCTTTAGCCTTAAGCACACCTAGCCCCAGGTCTAAACAGAGGGAGAAAGCACAGGTTATACACAGCCAAGGCAACCAAGCGAAAAGCACGACTAAGGCACTCTACACCTCTTAGAACCATGGTGGCCTTGTAAGTGTTGCGCGAGAACTCTTGCTCCACACAAAGTAAACAAGGTTCAGGAGCAGGTGAGGGGAACAGAAGCCCTGCAGGATGGCACCCGGACTTGGTGCCACGTGTGGAGGGATGACTGCAGACTGAAGCCCTTCCAGAGCAGCATGACCACAATGGGCTGGGCTTTATGACCACACCATCACCTGGTACTCTTGGAACGGCAATTAGAAATATATTATCCAAAACCTTGGAAAAGTAGAAATCCTTGCACACACCCAGCCAATTCTGTTTTTGGGGTTTTCACATAAGGAAATAAATGTAGCTTTGTACAAAGATCTAGCTGCAAGGGAGTAAACTGTCATACTGCTTTTCCTGGTGAAATGTTATAAACAACCTAATATCTGGGTTGGGTGTGGTAGCTCACACCTGTAATCCCAGCACTTTGGGAGGCTGAAGCAGGCGGATCATTTGAGGTCAGGAGTTCAGGACGAGCCTGGCCAACATGGTGAAACCCCGTCTCTACCAAAAATACAAAAATTAGCTGGGCATGGTGGTGTGTGTCTGTAATCCCGGCTATTTGGGAGGCTGAGGCACGAGAACTGCTTGAACCCAGGAGGCGGAAGCTGCAGTAAGCTGAGATAGCACCACTGCACTCTAGCCTGGGCGACAGAGTGGGACTCTGTCAAAGAAAAAGAAAAAGAAAGAAAGAAAGACAGGAAGGAAGGAAGGAGGAAGGAAGGAAGGAAAGAGAGAGAGAAAGAGAGAGAGAGAAAGAGAAAGAAAGGAAGGAAGGAAGGAAAGAAGGAAAGAGAAAGAGAAAGATAAGGAGAGAAGCAAAGAAAGAAAGGAAAGAAAAAGAAAAAGAAAGGAAAAGAAAGAAAGAAAAGAAAGAAAGAATCAGATGGACTAGTAGGATTATTAGCTGGTTTTATTTTCCTCTTTTTGTATAGGTAAATTGTTTATATTTTATGTATCCCTTGGATAAAATGATAAAATATATAGTTATGAATCACATCACCCAAGAAATAGTTAAAGGAACTGGGAATATTCAGTTTGGAGAGGTCAGACGTCTTCAAATATCTGAAGGGCCAGTGTATACAGGAGACAGCAGACTGCTTCTGTCTTGCTCTAAGTACAGTGGTGCGATCACAGCTCATTGCAGTCTCTAAGTCCTGGGCTCAAGTGATCCTCCCACCTCAGCCTACTGAGTAGCTGGGACTACACGGGCCACCACCACTCCCAGCTGATTTTTAAATTGTTATTTGTTGTAGAGCTAGGCTTGGTGAATGAAAATTAAAGGGAAGCTGACCTCACACCACTGGAAACATAGGGTTTGGCCTTGCTCACTGCTGTGTTCTCAGATGCGAGAGTTCCCATTCTGGCACTCACAGGCACTCAATAACTGTATGTTAGATGAAGGAATAATAAAAGATTTTTCTACTTTTTAGATTGACCTGAAAGGTGGATTAGACTGTCTTTTTTTTTTTAATTTTTTTTTTTTTTGAGACTGAGTCTTACTCTGTTGCCCAGGCTAGAGGGCAGTGGCGCAATCTCGGCTCACTGCAACCTCTGCCTCCCAGGTTCAAGCCTCAGCCTCTGCAGTAGCTGGGACTACAGGTACCTGCCACCATGTCCAACTAACTTTTGTATTTTTAGTAGAGATGGGGTTTCACCATGTTGGCCAGGCTGGTCTCGAACTTCTGGCCTCAGGTGATCCACCCACCTCAGCCTCCCAAAGTGCTGGGATTACAGGTGTGAGCCACCGCGCCCAGCCTGCCTTTTTAACTTCTTATTTCTTATTATTTTCTTGATAGAGATGGGGTCTCACTATGTTGTCCAGGCTAGAGTGCAGGGGTTATTCACAGACGCAATCATAGCTCACCGCAGCCTTGAACTCCTGGGCGTGAGCAGTCCTTCTGACTCAGCCTCCCAAGCAGGTGAGACTACACGTGCACACCACCATGCCCAGCTAATTTTTATTTTTATTTCTTGAGACAGGGTCTTATTCTGTCACCCAGGCTACAGTACAGTGGTGCGATCACAGCTCATTGCAGTCTCTAAGTCCTGGTCTCAAGTGATCCTCCCACCTCAGCCTATTGAGTAGCACGGGCCACCACCACCCCAGCTGATTTTTAAATTGTTATTTGTTGTAGAGATGGGGTCTCACTATGTTGCCCAGGTTAGTCTCAATCTCCTGGACTCAAGCAATCCTCCTGACTTGGCCTCCCAAAGTGCTGGGATTACAGGCGTGAACCATACATAGCACCTGGCTTAAACTGCCTTATGAGATGGCAAGTTTGTTTGTTTGTTGAGATGGAGTCTCACTCAGTCACCCACGCTGGAGTGCAATGGCGCCATCTTGGCTCACTGCAACCTCTGCCTCCTGGGTTCAAGTGATTCTCCTGCGTCAGCCTCCTGAGTGGCTGAGATTAGAGGCGCCTGCCACCATGCCAGGCTAATTCTTATATTTTTAGTAGAGACGGGGTTTTGCCATGTTGGCCAGGCTAGTCTCAAACTTCTGGCCTCAAGCGATCCTCCCACCTCAGCCTCCCAAAGTGCTGGGATTACAAAGTGCATGAGCCACTGTGCCCAGCCAAGATGGCAAGTTTGGAAATAATAATTTATCAGGGATACTATGGAGATGGGATCCAAGAATTCAATGGGCCAGGGCATGGGAAGAGCAGGAGGTTGCTCTAAAGGATCCAATCGTGCAAATTCTCTGTGGCTCATGAGATGCAGTGTGACAGACACAGCAGAAGGGAAACTGGGCTGGGAGTCTTGAGGCCTAGACTCTCCTCCCAATCCTGCCTGTGGCCATTTGTCATGGAACTTGCTTGGCCTTTGTCTTTGTCCTCTGAGAAATTACTATAATGAGTAGTCAAATAACTCCAACAGTTTCAACAAGGAAAAACCGGGCTCCCTCAGGCAAAAGTCCTTAGCCTTACTCAGTCACTTAAAAATGCCTATTAAAATCGAGACCATCCTGGCTAACATGGTGAAACCCCGTCTCTACTAAAAATACAAAAAATTAGCTGGGGGCAGTGGCGGGCGCCTGTGGTCCCAGCTACTAGGGAGGCTGAGGCAGGAGAATGGCATGAACCCGGGAGGCGGAGCTTGCAGTGAGCCGAGATCGCACCACTGCACTCTAGCCTGGGCGATAGAGCGAGACTCCATCTCAAAAAAAAAAAAAAAAAAAAAAAAAAAAAGCCTATTAAAGCAACTATAAAACTAGAAAACAAAACGTTTTTAAAAATTGGCAAGGAGGCCGGGCACGGTGGCTTATGCCTGTAATCCCAGCACTTTGGGAGGCCGAGGAGGGTGGATCATGAGGTCAGGAGTTTGAGACCAGTCTGGCCAAGATGGTGAAACCCCGTCTCTACTAAAAATACAAAAATTAGCTGGGCGTGGTGGGGGACACCTGTAATCCCAGCTACTCGGGAGGCTGAGGCAGGAGAATCGCCTGAACCCGGGAGGTGGAGGTTGCAGTGAGCCAAGATTGCACCATTACACTCTAACCTGGTGACAGAGAAAGACTCCGTCTCAAAAAAATAAATAAATAAATAAAAATTGGCAAGGACACTGAAAAACAGGCAAACAGAGGAACTAGCCTGGGAAGTCACTTGATCTTCTTAGAAACCAGTGTTATAAGGGCTCTACAGTTTTTTAACATTTATTTATTTATTTATTTGTTGAGATGGAGTCTCACTCTGTTGCCCAGCCTGGAGTGCAGTAGCATGATCTCAGCTCACTGTAACCTCCATCTCCCAGATTCAAGCAGTTCTCCTGCCTCAGCCTCCCGAGTAGCTGGGATTACAGGCACCCACCACCATGCCAGGCTAATTCTTTTTTTTTTTTTTTTTTTGAGACGGAGTCTTGCTCTGTTGCCAGGCTGGAGTGCTGTGGTGCAATCTCGGCTCACTGCAACCTCCGACTCCCTGGTTCAAGCGATTTTCCTGCCTCAGCCTCCCAAGTAGCTGGGATTACAGGCACGTACCACCACACCCAGATAATTTTTGTATTTTTAGTAGACAGATTTCACTATGTTAGCCAGGATGGTCTTGAACTCCTGACCTCATGATCCGCCTGCCTCGGCCTCCCAAAGTGCTGGGATTACAGGCGTGAGCCACCACGCCTGGCCAAATTATTGTATTTTTAGTAGAGATGGGGTTTCGCCATGTTGGCTGGGCTGGAGTGGAACTCCTTATCTCAAGCGATCCGCCCACCTCAGCCTCCCAAAGTACTAGGATTATAGGCATGAGCCACCATGTCCGGCCAGAGCTATAAAATTGTTTAATGCTCCGTCTGGGTAAACTGACTTTGAGGAAAATATTCAAAGAACTAATCCAAAAGAAAACTCAACATGTACAAAGTTGTTCACAGAAACACTTTAACAGTCCAAACAGCAAGAATATGGTCTAACAGTCCAATGGAATAGCTATTTCAGTGACCCTCAGTATGAAGGTCTACCTTCAATATGAAAGCAAATACACCAACTCTTACAACTTAAATGGAATTATATACTTAATATTATCTCTGCAAGACTATGTATGTCTGACTTTACCCACGTTTAAAAATTTACAAGTGAGGTCAGGTGTGGTGGTTCACACCTGTAATCCCAAGCACTTTGGAAGGCCAAGGTAGGCAGATTGCTTGAGCTCAGTTCGAGACCAGACTGGGAAACATAGTGAAACCCCTTCACTACTAAAAATACAAAAGTTAGCTGGGTGTGGTGGCACACACTTGTAATCCCAGCTACTCAGGAGGCTGAGGCGGGAGAATCACTTGAACCTGGGAGGCAGAGGTTGCAATGAGCCGAGATTGTGCCACTGCACTCCAGCCTGGGCGACAGAGCGAGACTCCGTCTCAAAAAAAAAGAAAACAAAACAAACAAAAAAACCACGAATATCTCGCCAGTGCTTTAAGGTCTATGAAGTGTGTTTACAATAGTTCCTTCTTTTGTTTTACTCTGGGGGGAAGCAGAGAGGATATTATTGTCCACCTGCTTTATGGATAAAGACACTGGGGTCTAAGAAGGCCTGACAACCAAAGATCAGAAGGGACCGGACCCCAGTTCATTCTGGAAATGTGACATCAGCCTCTAAGGTGTGGTAATGGGAAGGAAAGTCTTCAGTAAATGCTAACATCTGCCCACACACCACACAAAAGATAAGGATATCCCCAGACACCTAAGTTTCTGAACATTATTCCCTAGAATGAGTGTTCTGTTTCCTTTACTAAGAATTGGGGGCCGAGTGTGGTGGCTCACGCCTGCAATCCCACCACTTTGGGAGGCGGAGGTGGGAGGATCACTTGAGGTCAGGAGTTCGAGACCAGCCTGGCCAATATGATGAAACCCCATCTCTACTAAAAATACAAAAATTAGCCGGGCATGGTGGCAGGCGCCTGTAATCCCAGCTACTGGGGAGGCTGAGGCAGGAGAATTGCTTGAACCCGGAAGCCAGAGGTTGCAGTGAGCCAAGAATGCACCACTGTACTCTGCCTAAAAAAAAAAAAAAAGAATTGGCCGGGTGCGGTGGCTCATGCCTGTAATCCCAGCACTTTGGGAGGCTGAGGCGGGCGGATCATGAGGTCAGGAGATCAAGACCATCCTGGCTAATGCAGTGAAACTCCGTTTCTACTAAAAATACAAAAAAATTAGCCGGGCGTGGTGGCGGGCGCCTGTAGTCCCAGCTACTCCGGAGGCTGAGGCAGGAGAATGGTGTGAACCCAGGAGGCGGAGCTTGCAGTGAGCTGAGATCGCGCCACTGCACTCCAGCCTGGGCAACAGAGCAAGACTCCATCTCAAAAAAAAAAAAAAAAAGAATTGGGGAATGATTCCCAAGTAGGAAAAAAGGTGACTGTTCCCTAAGTCACCTGTAGGAGGGAAAAATTTTCTTAACCAATCCATGCAGAATCAGTCCCTAGCTGGCCACAGAAACTGTCGAACATCCTGCAGGGCCCTTCTACCCAGGTGACAGCCTCACCTTGTAAGGATGCCTGAGACTCCGAATCTGCGTACTCCTCCAGCAGCTTCACAGAATCACTGTCCTTCCCGGAGTACAGGGACAAGGTGTCTAAGTTGTCCTCCAGCACCTCGCTGGACATGTCAGGCGTTGGGAGGCTGGGGTCCGGGTCCAGACCACTCAGGCCAGCATAAAGAAAGCCTCGCGTGTTGGGACCCAAATCCCGGTTGAGGGTGTCGCTGCAGTTGAGCCCTTGGCTCTCTGAAAATGAAGGGAGGTGCATTTCTGATGGGAGGGCACCCTCGTCTCCAAGGCTGTACTGGTCCATGGCTCTCCACTGCCAGGTCTTGGCCAAAAGCTACTCTCCAGATAAGCAAAACCATGTAAGGAGACAGGGAGGAGAGAGCCCTTGATGGCAACTAATTCCTGAAAATGAAGCAAGAAGAATGAAAGTTATTAGGTGGCAAAACAGCATTGTGGGCAGAGCACGGACTTGCAATGCAAGCAGACCTCGATCTGGGTCTGTTCTCTGCCTCATAACAGCCATGTGGCTTTGGGCAAGTCACTTAAGCTCCACGAGCCCCAGGTGCCTCATCTGTAAACTGGGCATAAGAGTACTTCCTTCACAAGGTTGTTGTAACAAATAAAAGTACTTCCAGCAACATGGTGGACTGAACTGACCTCTTGCTCCAGCTATAAACATATACATGTATGACAAAAGATAATTTTTTAACACATAGCCTAGGTCAAAAGACAGGAAAAATCCCAAGTGCCAGCAGCAACAAGAAAACTCAATGCTGGAGGTGTAAGCTCACGTAGGCCCCAGGGGAAAATCAGAATCAGATACAGGGCCTAGAGCCATTTGTCCAATATGGTGGCCACTAGCTCCATGTGGCTATGAAGTACTTGATTTTTTCTTTTAATTTTTTACAGATATCAAATCGAAAATGGATAATTTTTTTTAAGATATGGGGTCTCACCATGTTGCCCAGGCTGGTCTCGAACTCCTGGGCTCAAGCGATCCTCCCACCTTGGCTTCCCAAAGTGCTGGGATTACAGGTGTGAACCAGCGCACATGGCCCTGTGAAGCACTTGAAATGTGGCTGGCTTGAACTGAGACAGGCTGTGAGTGTAAAATACAACCTGGATTTGGAAAACTTTGTACCCAAAAAAGTCAATTTAATACGTTTCTATATAGATTAAATGTGGAATGATAATTTTTTTTCTTTTCCTTTTTTTTTTTTTTTGAGATGGAGTCTCATTCTGTCGCCCAGGCTGGAGTGCAGTGGCGGGATCTCGGCTCACTGCAACCTCTGCCTCCCAGGTTCAAGTGATTCTACTGCCTGAGCATCCCAAGTAGCTGGGACTACAGGTGCACGCCACCACACCTGGCTAATTTTTGTATTTTTAGTAGAGATAGGGTTTCACCATGTTTCCCAGGCTGATCTCGAACTCCTGACCTCAGATGATCCACCTGCCTTGGCCTCCCAAAGTGCTGGGATTACAGGCGTGAGCCACTGAGTCCAGCCTGGAATGGTAATATTTTCCATATAATGGGCTAAATGCAACATGTTATTAAAATTAACTTCATCTGCTTATCTTTTTAATGTGGCTCCTAGGAAATTTAGATTATATATGGCTCGTATTCTGTATTATCAAATGCTGCCCTGCCGTCTGGGACCTGGGATGATAGCAGACACGTGGGTGAGGGAAACAGGGCCTTGAGTTCCCAGGAAACGGAGGCCTGGGGCCCTGGAAGAGCTGAACCATCCACAGGAAAACTAAATAAATGAAAAGAAAAGCTTCACACAAGCCTAGAAAAGTACCCCCAAGAACCAGAAAAAAATAGCCAGTGAGAGATGACAAAGCTGAGCATTCTACAAGTCTACAAAAGAATGACAATTACCCTGATGGCAAACTTCTCAACAGAAACAAGCCTCGAAGATAAGAATAAGAATATCATCAGTGGACTAAGGAAAAGTCAGCCAGCACAGAGCTCAACATACAGGCATGAGAGAGGGAGGGAGGAGGCTGGGCGCCAGGGCTCACATCTGTAACCCCAACACTTTGGGAGGCAGAGGAGGGAGGATTGCTTGAGGCCAAGAGTTTGAGACCAGCCTGGGCAAGACAGCAAGACTGGCTTCTACAAAAAATTAAAATATCAGCCAGGTGTGGTGGCGTCTATCTGTAGTCCCAGCTATTCAGAAGGCTGAGGCAGGAGGATCACTTCAGCCTGGGAGCTTATAGACTTTTACACACAAGGCCTAAGAATCTACCTTACAGACCCTGGTCCAAAAAATGACTAAAAGTTTTGAATCAATTGGGAAAAAAAAAAAAGAGATGATGGTAACTTCATACTTTTAAGCTTGCACACTAAAAGAATCTAAGTATAACCACCAAGAGAAGAAAAATAAACCACATAACATCTAAACTAGTAGAATTTATTCCCCCCAAAATGGGCAGGGGGAGTGGGGCAGCAGAGTTTACTTTAAAATACTGTAGGGAAAAGAGAGAAAAGACTCATAGTACTGCAACTAGGAATTAAAGAGGAAACACATCACTAATGGCCTTAGAAAAAATAAGAAGGATTATAAAAGAATACTACAGGCCAGGCGTGGTGGCTTACGCCTGTAATCCCAGCACTTTGGGAGACCGAGGTGGGCGGATCATGAGGTCAGGAGATCGAGACCATCCCGGCTAACACGGTGAAACCCCATCTCTATTAAAAATACAAAAAATTAGCCGGGCATGGTGGTGGGCGCCTGTAGTCCCAGCTACTCGGGAGGCTGAGGCAGGAGAATGGTATGAACCCAGGAGGCGGAGCTTGCAGTGAGCCGAGATCGTGCCACTGCACTCCAGCCTGGGCAACAGAGCGAGACTCCATCTCAAAAAATAAATAAATAAATAAATAGAAATAAAATAATACTATAAACAACTGTATTCAGATAATTAAAAAATTAGATAACTTAGATACATTAACTTAGTTATTTAAATTAGATAACAGATTAAAATGGGCAAACTGCTAGAAAGATACAAATTACCAAAACTTACTCAAGAAGAAACAGAATTTCTTTTTTTTTTTTGAGATGGAGTTTCGCTCTGTCGCCCAGGCTGGAGTACAGTGGCGCAATCTCAGCTCACTGCATCCTCCGCCTCCCGGGTTTAAGCAATTCTCTGTCTCAGCCGGATTACAGGTGCCCACCACCACGCCCAGCTAATTTTTTTTTTTTTTTCCTGAGACAGTTTCACTCTGTTGCCCAGGCTAGAGTGCAGTGGCGCCATCTCCGCTCACTGCAAGCTCCACCTCCCAGGTTCACGCCATTCTCCTGCCTCAGCCTCCCGAGTAGCTGGGACTACAGGTGCCCGCCCCCGCGCCCGGCTAACTTTTTGTATTTTTAGTACAGACGGGGTTTCACCATCTTGGCGAGGCTGGTCTTGAACTTCTGACCTCGTGATCCACCCGCCTCGGCCTCCCAAAGTGCTGGGATTACAGGCGTGACCCACCGCGCCCAGCCAAGAAACAGAATTTCTGAATAGACCTATGAGAAATAAAAAGACTGGGCCAGGCACAGTGGCTCACGCCTGTAATCCCAGCACTCTGGGAGGCCGAGGTGGGCAAATCACTGGAGGTCAGGAGTTTGGGACCAGCCTGACAAACATGGTGAAACCCCATCTCTACTAAAAATACAAAAACTTAGCTGGGCATGATGGTAGGCACCTGTAATCTCAGCTACTCAGGAGGCTGAGGCACAAGAATCACTTGAACCCGGGAAGCAGAGGTTGCAGTGAGCTGAGATCGTGCCACTGCACTCCAGCCTGGGCAACAGAGTGAAACTCTATCTCAAAAAAAAGAAAGAAAGAAAAGAAAGAAAGAAGGAAGGAAGGAAGGAAAGAAAGACAGACTCAACTAGTAATTTTAAAGCTCCCTGTACATCTTGCCATAGAAACACCAAAAACAAAAAATCAACTTTAACAAAACTCTGGGAAGCAGTCAAAGCTTTATAGCAACCAAGCAAACCCTAAGAAAAAGGTGACTTTGATGTTTGATTACAGGCTCACGCCTGTAATCGCAGCACTTTAGGAGGCCGAGATGGGCAGATCACCTGAGGCCAGGAGTTTGAGACCAGCCTGGCCAGCATAGTAAAACCCCATCTCTACTGAAAATATAAAAGTTAGCTGGGTGTGGTAGTGCACGCCTGTAGTCCCAGCTACTTGCGAGGCTGAGGCAGGAGGATCGCTCGAACCCAGGAAGCGGAGGTTGTAGTGAGCCGAGATTGTGCCTCTGCACTCCAGCCTGGGTGACAGAGCAAGACTCTGTCTCAAAAAAAAAAAAAAAAAAATGGTGACTGAAACCCAGTGGGAGAACTTTGTGGCATATTTAACTTACCCCTGCCCCATCCCTACTCCCTGGCTCAGCAGTGGTCTCGAAGGTAGCAGCCCATGTTTCTGGTGTGGGTTCCCTGGTGCTGGAGGGAACAGAGAGGATCTGGTTTTCAAAGAACAGTGGTTGTCTGTCTGACCTGTCAGTGGCTCCCTGAAAGCCCAATGCAAAGATCTTGCCTTTTTTTGTACCTAACTGGCAGCTCTCTGGGGTGCAGAGTGGCTACAGACAGGGCGTTTGTTGCAAACATTAAAGTCAAATGAACTAGATGCTGCAGGCTGGCGCAAAAGATATTGATTGGGGCAAACAACTGACTTGCTAAAAGCCAGGGAGGAAAAGCTGGGAAGTTGGATACTTTGGAGAAATAAAGGCTTTGAAAAAATGAGCCAGGCATGGTGGCTCATGCTTGTTATGCCAGCATTTTGGGAGGCCGAGGCAGGTGAATCACCTGACATCAGGAGTTTGAGACCAGCCTGGCCAACACGGTGAAACTCCGTTTCCACTAAAAACACAAAAATTAGCTGGGCATGGTGGCAGGTGCCTGTAATCCCAGCTGCTTGGGAGGCTGAGGCAGGAGAATCACTTGAATGTGGGAGGTGGAGGTTGCAATGAGCCAAGATTGCGCCACTGCACTCCAGCCTAGGAGACAAGGGCAAAACTCTGTCCCAAAAAAAAAAAAAAAAAAAAGTCCACACTGGCAGTTTCTTATAAAGCTACACATAGTTTTTTTCTGCATCTATTTGATGATTGTAATATATATATGTATAAAATCTTATCATGCAATCCAGCAACTACACTCTTAGGCATCCATCCAACTGAGCTGAAAACTTCAGTCCACACAAAAGCCTGCACACACATGTTTATAGCAGCTTTGTTCATAACTGCCCAAAACTGGAAGCAATCAAGACATCCCTCAATAGGTGAATGGATCAACAAACTGTGGAACATCCAGACAATGGAATGTTCTTCAGGAATAAAAAGCAATAAGCTATCAAACCACACAATGACATGGAGGAACCTTAAATGCACATTGCTAAGTGAAGGAAGCCAGTATGAAAAGATTACATACCGAAAAAAAAGAAAGACAAGACTACATACTGTGAGACTCCAACTATATCACATTCTGGAAAAGGCAAAACTATAGAGACAATAAAAAGACCAGCAGTTGTGTGGTTTGTGGGGTGAGGAGTGAAACTATTTTGCATGATAATCTAATGCTGCATACCTG
The DNA here is from genome assembly GCF_000001405.40 of Homo sapiens. NCBI lineage: Eukaryota > Metazoa > Chordata > Mammalia > Primates > Hominidae > Homo > Homo sapiens. The sequence goes on from NC_000019.10 coordinate 47,561,138, forward strand.
ACATTATACCATAGTCAAAACCCACAGAACTATACAACACAGAGACTGAGCTCTGGCTGGGTGTGGTGGCTCACACCTGTAATCCCAGCACTTTGGCCCAGGAGTTTGACAAAGTCAGACCCTGTCTCTATGAAAAAAAATTTTTTTTTAATTAGCTGGGCATGGTGGCACATGCTTGTGGTTTCAGCTACTTGGGAGGCTGAGGAGGGTGAATCGCTTGAGCCCAAGAATTGGAGGCTTCATTGAGCTATGATTGCGCCACTGCACTCCAGCCTGGGCAACAAAGTGATACCCTGTCTCAAAATAATTAATTAATTAAGTATTAAAAAAATTAAAAAATCCAAATGAATAAAAAAAGAGCTTCCACATATTCCTGGGAATTTAGAAGGTGGCATCTCAGGGTGGGCACATGTTTGGAAAGGACCAGAGAAGGCTTCCAAGCTCTCACCTCTGGCTGACCTTCGCTCTGTGCAGGCAGAGAGTGAAGGCGAAGGTAGGGTTGTTAACCGCCTGCCTGAGTGTGGAAGCAGTGCCCCGCTGCAACTACTGGGAGCTTTTTGTTTTTTGTTTTCTGTTTTGTTTTTTTTTTAGCTCCAGGAGTTTAAGAAGATCTCTGTTAAGTCACTAGCTGACCACTAAACTAACAGAACAGACTACTGACCACACCCCACAAAGAACACAATCTTTACAAAAATAGCTTAGAAAAGCCACTAAACAAACAGTTACAACCCACAATAAGCAGAAACAACCAAGCCTGAGGACAGGGAAGAAAGGAAGAATCCCATTCCCAGAGTTACCAGACTGCAATATGCAAAATATCCAGTTTACAGGCTGGGTGCAGTGGCTCACGCCTGTAATCCCAGCATTTTGGGAGGCCGAGGCGGGTGGATCACCTGAGGTCAGGAGTTCAAGACTGGCCTGGCCAACATGGCGAACCCCCGTCCCTACTAAAAATATAAAAATTAGCTGGCTGTGGTGGCAGGCACCTGCAATCCCAGCTACACGGGAGGCTGAGGCAGGAGAATCGCTTGAACTCGGGAGGTGGAGGCTGCAGTGAGCCAAGATCGTGCCACTGCACTCCAGCCTGGGCGACAGAGACTGTCTCCCCAAAAAAAACAAAAACAGGCCAGGCGCGCTGGCTCATGCCTGTAACCCCTGCACTTTGGGAGGTCCGGGAGGGCGGATCACTTGAGGTCAGGAGTTCAAGACCAGCCTGGCCAACATGGTGAAACGCCATCTCTACTAAAAATACAAAAATTAGCTGGGCGTGGTGGTGTGTGCCTGTAATGCCAGCTACTCAGGAAGCTGAGGCAGGAGAATCGCTTGAACCCGGGAGATGGAGTCTGCAGTGAGTTGAGATTGTGCCACTGCACTCCAGCCTGGGTGACAGACTGAGACTCCATTTCAAAAAAAACTAAAAACAAAAAACAAAACAAAAAAAACCAAACAGATAAAATGTCCAGTTTTCGAATCATGGAAGCTTGAGAAAAATGAGAGATCGAGTTTTTCAGCAAAAAATTATGAGTCATGAAAACAAAAAAGCATAGCCCCTTCAGATGGCCATCTGTCTCACACAAATGGAATCAGATGACCTGTGGCCTTCTGTGTCTGGCTTCTTTCACTAAGCACAGTGTTTTCAAGGTTCACCCCCATTGCAGCACGTGTCACTGCTCCATTTCTTTCCAGGGCTAAATAATGTTCCCCTGTCTGGAGAGACCACATTTTGTTTAACCACTCTCCTGTTGATGAACATTTGGGTTACTTCCATTTGGGGGCTATTGTGAATAATTCTGCTCACACCTAGATGTTAAAGAAATGCTTCATGACTCACTGAATAACAAATCTAGTGCATACTTGAATAACGGGAGTTTGGGACTAGATTTCTAGGCCACCAGTTTCTACTTTCTAAGAACTTTTCATGTTGATATGTAATAGAACCTCTGCACCTGCAATGTCTGCATTGCATGTTATATGTCTACCTGCCTGTCTGCGTGTATGCAGCCTATTGAGGCAGCACAAATTTAAAGTCACATACAGGTACGTAATCCCATATACAACTCTGAGACCCAACTGAGTTTCAGAATTTGAGGGGGTTTTAGAAGTGTAAATCAATGCATACCCCGTATTTTAAGTAACTTCCAGTGGGGTTCAAGGCAGTACCTGGTAACCAAATAATTATTTCTGCATCATTGCCTATGACCACTCAGCGTACGTGAAATAAAGGCTGTGAAAAGCAACATGTAGGGTCAGGTTTGGCCACCAGATGATATTCGAGATGCCTCAGGATTCTCAGAGCTTTTTGGGTTTCCAAAAAATCAGGGAGAGGAGTGTGGATCTGTAAGCCAAATTCAAATTTCACCAGTTCCACAGTGTCTGCTACAGTGCTGCTATAAACTGTTTTCACCACTCTATGAGGGGAAAAACCCATCTCCCCCTGCATCTCCCAATAATAAAAACAAGTGAATAAAAATCACATATATATTTTTTGAGACGAAGTCTTGCTGTGTCCCCTAGGCTAGAGTGCAGTGGTGCAATCTCGGCTCACTGCAACCTCTGCCTCCTGGGTTCAAGCAATTCTCTTGTCTCAGCCTCCCAGTACCTGGGATTACAGGCACTCACCACCACGCCTGGCAAATTTTTGTACTTTTAGTAGAGATAGGGTTTCACCACGCTGGTCAGGCTGGTCTCAAACTCCTGACCTCAGGTGATCCACCCGCCTCGGCCTCCCAAAGTGCTGGGATTACAGGCATAAGCCCCCGCGCCTGGCCTAAAAATCGTATTTATTAAGCACTTTCTCCACATCGGGTATCATACCAAGTGCTTTATATGCATTAACTTACTTCTCACAAAAACCTAGATTGTAGTATTACTTCCCTTTTACAAATAAGAGAGACTAATTTGTCCAAAGTCAAAACCCAACAGCCAGATCTTAAACCCAGATACTCTGACATTAGCGCTAATGGTCTTGCCCATTACACAGTACTGATTCCCTATAAACTGAACTGTATACTGCACTGCTCCAATTAAACTACAAAACACATAAGGTGCTGGGTCAGGGGGAAGAATGTCTCTGGACTCCCCAAGGCCAAATCACCTGCTTTCCAATATACTCCCATAGTCCACAGAACAAACTGGTCAGGTTACAACCTCAGACAGGCAAGCCAAAAGTCCAAAGGCCATGCCTTGATATTTACATCCTTCTCCAGACAGTAAAGCAAAACCCTCTCTACCGATACTGAGCTTCCTTTTATTCTGTCAACAAATACATTCAATTCAACAAGAGTTTTAGCACCTTCTAGGTACAAAACTCTCTGCTAGCCCTTACGAGGCAGAGTTTATGGTCTCCTGCAACCCGGCAGACATTCCCAAGGACCCAAATACTCTTTCCAAGAATTTTATCATTTTGTGTTTTCATTTAAATGCTCAACATCACTAACGATCAGGGAAATGCAAATCAGAACCACAATGGGATACCACCTTACTCCTGCAAGAATGGCCGTAATCAAAAAATAAAAAAATAACAGATGTTGGCATGGATGCGGTGAACAAGAAACCTTTCTACACTGCTGGTGGGAATGTAAACTAGTACAGCCACTATAGAAAACAGTGTGGACATTCCTTAAAGAACAAAAAGTGGAACTACCATTTGATCCAGCAATCTCACTCCTGGGTATCTACCCAGAGGAAAAGAAGTCATTATAAGAAAAAGATACTTGCACATGCATGTTTAGAGCAGCATAATTTGCAATTCCAAAAATACGGAACCAGCCCAAATGCCCACCATCAATCAAGGAGTGGATAAAGAAATATATATATGATGGAATACTACTCAGCCATAAAAAGGAACGAAATAATGGCATTCACAGCAACCTGGATTGAACTGGAGACTATTATTCTTCTAAGTGAAGTAACTCAGGAATGGAAAATCAAACATCGTATGTTCTCACTTTGTAAGTGAGAGCTAAGCTATGAGGATTAAAGGCATAAGAATGATACAATGGACTTTGGGGACTTGGGGGGAAAGGGTGGGAGGGGATGAGGGATAAAAGACTACAAATTGGGTTCAATGTATACTGCTTGGGTGATGGGTACACTAAAATCTTACAAATCACCACTAAAGAACTTACTCATATAACCGAGTACCACCTGTTCCCCCAAAATCTATGGAAATAAAAAACTAAAAAAAGAAAAAAGAAAAGAAAAACCCAGTACATCTGGATCATTAGAGGACTCCCTTGTAACCGAGTACTACCATGTGGTTTCAATGCCTGGGTGTGTTTATGATTGCACTCATGCCAAAAAGGACTACTTAATTGCTTCAGGCTAAAAAGAAGAGGATGGAGGGGGATTTAGTTCATAATAATGCCTTCGGGCTCTACTAGAGGCCAGCTGGCATCACGGTACAAATGGAAGTTTTGCTGCAGTTCAAATTGAGACAAGGGATGGGAGAATTGAGACCTCACAGGGCCTGCTAAACCCAAAAGGGCCCAGAGTGGCAGTCGGCAAAGTAATTGTTTCAAGGAGCAGGTAAGTTTCAGGAAATGGTATCCCTCTCATTAAATTAAATCGGTTTGGTTGCTTTGTTTATATTTAATTTGCAAATTGATTTTGGCTTTATAGCTGCACAGGAGCTATACACTTTAGGAACTTATGTCTTGTTCTATCATCACTGATGCCTTAATAGTTTTAAAACAATTTAAGTCAACATTGGGGATCCGAAGCAATTTTAATTTTTTTTCTTTTAAAAAAATGCTATCAGCCCAGCGCAGTGGCTCACGTCTGTAATCCCAGCATTTTGGGAAGCTGAGGTGTGCGGATCACTTGAGGTCAGGAGTTCGAGACCAGACTGGCCAACATGGCGAAACCCCGTCTCTACTAAAAATACAAAAATTAGCCGCGCATGGTGGTGGGTGCCTGTAACCCCAGCTACTCAGGAGGCTGAGGCCCAAGAATCTCTTGGACCCGGGAGGCGGAGGTTGCAGTGAGCCAAGATTGTGCCACTGCACTCCAGCCTGGGTGACAGAGTGAGACTCCATCTCAAAAAAAAATAAAATAAAATTTAAAGGGGCCATCATTCCATGACTGGTGGGGGTGAGGGGAAACAAAGGATTCTTCTATGAAATGCTACGACCTTTTGGGAAGGTAACCTACCATGAGATTCTAGACTGTAGAAGTAAGTCCACAATAGATAAATAATATTTACTATGTGTGTTGTTTGGAGGGGAGGGAACAATCTGAATGCCCATCTGATTTACAAATATATTTTATTTAGTCTGCAATATATTTAAATATGTTTCCATTAGTTATCCAGTTAAAGAATAGATGGGGCCAGGTATGGTGGCTCACACCTATAATCCCACCACTTTGGACAGCTGAGGCAGGCAGATCACCTGAGGTCAGGAGTTCAAGACCAGCCTGACCAATATAGTGAAACCCCATCTCTACCAAAACTACAAAAATTAGCTCGGCATAGTGGCACTCACCTGTAGTACCAGCTACTCAGGAGGCTGAGGCAGGAGAATTGCTTGAACTTGGGAGGCGGAGGTTGCAGTGAGCCAAGATCATGCCACTGCACTCCATCCTGGTGACAAAGCCAGACTCCATCTCAAAAATAAATAAATAAATAAAATAAGGCCAGGTGCGGTGGCTCACACCTGTAATCCCAGCACTTTGGGAGGCTGAGGCGGGCGGATCACAAGGTCAGGAGATTGAGACCATCCTGGCTAACATGGTGAAACCCCGTCTTTACTAAAAATACAAAAAATTAGCCAGGCGTGGTGGCGGGTGCCTGTAGTCCCAGCTACTCGGGAGGCTGAGGCAGGAGAATGGCATGAACCCGGGAGGCGGAGCTTGCAGTGAGCCAAGATCAGGCCGCTGCACTCCAGCCTGGGCCACAGAGCGAGACTCCATCTCAAAAATAAATAAATAAATAAATAAAATAAAATAAATAATAGAAAAATAGATGGATAGAGCACTAGAGCATCACTATCCAAAAGCACTTTCTGTGCTACTAAGCCTGCACTGCCCAATACTGCAGTCTTTAGCCACATACACAGAAATGCAGCTAACACCCTTGAGGAACTAAACTCTTTATTTTATTTAAGTTTAGTTAAATTTATTTATTTATTTATTTATTTAGAGACAGAGTCTCACTGTGTCACCCAGGCTGGAGTGTAGTGGTGCAATCTCAGTTCACTGCAACCTCCACCTCCTGGGCTCAAGTGATTCTCCTGCCTCAGCCTCCTGAGTAGCTGGGGATTACAGGCGCCCGCCATCATGCCCAGCTAATTTTTGTATTTTTAGTAGAGATGGGGTTTCACCATGTTGGCTAAGCTGGGTCTCGAACTCCTTACCTCAAATGATCCGCCCTCCTCGGCTTCCCAAAGCGCTGGGATTACAGGCGTGCGCCACCGCGCCTGGCCAGTTAAATTTAAACAGGTACAAGCGGCTAATGGCTACCATATCAGATGGTGCAAATCTAGGGATTTCTCATTCAAGTTAGGCTTTCCAACTTCTATTTAAAAATGTGAAAGAAAAAATCAGAAGATCTGCCAATGCTGAGTCCACATTCCTGCAAGGCAACAATTGGTTGGAGGTGAGAAGCCCCCACCACTCCCTATTCTCTCAGCTCACTGATTTCTGTGCCCTGCCAGGCCTCTGGAGGCATCTGAGTTTATGACCCTCCAAATGAAACCCTCCAAACTCAGGCTTAAATGTCACCTCCACTATAGAGAACACTTCCAACATAACAAAGTCTGAGATTAATTTCTCCCTCCTCTGAACCCTGACAAGCACTTGTGTAACAATCCACTTAACATTTACTCTAAATTATCTAGGAAGTTAATTATCTTTAAAGTTCTCCCATTTTCTCCAGACTCTCAGCTCTAGGATGGCTGGGACTCGGCCTTAGGTGTCTAAACTTCTCACAGTATCTTGCCTAGCACAGAACTTTGATCACAGAAGGCTCTGAGCATCCTTTTCATTCATGAGTGACAGAATTCCATTGTGCCACCTCTTTTCCTCTTTGAAAAGCTCCAACCACTGTTCTGCCACCACACCCCCCACCTCCTAAGCACCACCTTCTCCCTTCTCTCCCTGCATCCATGTTACCAGGGAAAGGGTCATCAAGTCTGAGTAACAGCAGGTTCCTGGGAGTTGAGCAGACAGACTTGCAGCTTTCACCCTAGCTATGCAATTTCCTTCATTTTATTTTATTTTATTTTTTGAGACAGGGTCTTACTCTGTCGCCCAGACTGGAGTGCAGTGGCGTGATCTCGGCTCACTGAACCTCCACCTCGCGGATTCAAGCGATTCTCCCATCTCAGCCACCCGAGTAGCTGGGTTTACAAGCATGTGCCACCACACCTGGCTAATTTTTGTATTTTTAATAGAGACAGGGTTTTGCCATGTTGGCCAGGCTGGCCTCGACCTCCTGCCGTCAAGCAATCCACCTGCCTCAGCCTCCCAAAGTGCTGGTATTACAGGTGCAAGCCACTGCACCCGGCCTGCAATTTCCTTCCTTACTTTCCTACTCCAATTTTTTTTGTTTTCCTGAGTTGAAGTCTCTCTCTGTCACTCAGGCTGGAGTGCAATGGCGTGGCCTTGGCTCATTGCAACCTCCGCCTCCTGGGTTCAAGTGATTTTCCTCCTCAACCTTCCGAGTAGCTGGGACTACAGGTGCACACCACCACACTGGGCTAATTTTTGTATTTTTAGTAGAGACGAGGTTTCACTATGTTGGCCAGGCTGGTCTCAAACTCCTGACCTCGTGATCCACCCACCTCGGCCTCTCAAAATGCTAGGATTACAGGCGTGAGCCACTGTGCCCAGCCTCCACTCCAAATATTATTGTAAACTATAGACCCATTTTGTTTGGCCTACACAGTATTTTTACAAATTGGATTAGTCATCAACATTTTTTTTTAATGGGGAGATTTCACCTTCCTATATGGATTTCTGGTTTCTTTTGAAAATGATTAGATTTGATATTCCTTCACAGTTAACAACGAGGTAGATCTGAGGGACAAATGGCATCTCTAGAAAGGGCTTATGGTCTCCAGTTTTCCCAGCCCTCACTTATCTTCCTGCCTGGCCCTTATAATATTCATCATTGTAATAATAATAATAATAATAACAGTGAACATTTATTGAGGCTTTATGACATGCCAGGTACTCTTGTAATCACTTGTATGTCATCGTATTTAATTCCCACAATACTTGAGGCATATACTGTATTATTAACCCTATTTCACCAATGAGGTAAATAGTCCAGAGAAGTTGAGTAACTTGCCCAAAACCAAGCTAGGATTCAACCCTGGGTAGTCTAATTTCGAAACCCTTACGCTTGCCCGCTCCACTATGCTTTTATCACACACTTGAGACTGGGACTCCTGCTTCACACTCGTGCCTACATTCTTAAGTAGAACAATCAAGAAAGACTTCCAGCTGGGCAAGGTCATTCTCGCCTGTAATCCCAGCACTTTCTGAGGCCTAGGTAGGAAGATTGCTTGAGTCCAGGAGTTCAAGACCAGCCCGGGCAACAAAGTGAGATCCCCGCCGCCCCCCACCCATCTCTACAAAAAAAATCAAAAATTAGCCAGGTGTGGTGGTGCACACCTGTGGTCCCAGCTACTCGGGAGACTGAAGCAGAAGGATTGCTTGATGTTGGGAGGTCGAGGCTCCAGTGAGCCAGGATCACACCACGGCACTCCAGCCTGGGCAAACAGCGAAACCCTGTCTCAAGAAAAGAAAGGAGAAAAGAAAAGAGCAAAACAAAGCACAAAGACTCCCTCCTATAGTCTTATAGTTATGTAACCAATAACTAATTTTAACCAGAAGGTAAAGTCATTTTCTCTGGCCGGGCACGGTGGCTCACGACTCTAATTCCAGCACTTTGGGAGGCTGAGGCGGGCAGATCACAAGGTCAGGAGATCGAGACCATCCTGGCTAACACGGTGAAATCCTGTCTGTACTAAAAATACAAAAAATTAGCCAGGAGTGGTAGCGGGTGCCTGTTGTCCCAGCTACTCGGGAGGCTGAGGCAGGAGAATGGTGTGAACCCAGGAGGTAGAGCTTGCAGCAAGCCGAGATCACTCCACTGCACTCCAGCCTGGGCGACAGAGCGAGACTCCATCTCCAAAAAAAAAAAAGTCCATTTTGGCTGGGCGTGGTGGTTCATGCCTGTAATCCCAGCACTTTGGGAGGCTGACGCAGGCAGATCACTGGAGGCCAGGAGTTTGAGACCGCCTTGCCAACATGGTGAAAACCCGTCTCTACTAAAAATACAAAAATTAGCCGGGCATGGTGGTGGGCACCTGTAATCCCAGGTACTCAGGAGGCTGAGGCATGAGAATCACTTGAACCTGGGAGGTAGAGTTTGCAGTGAGCTGAGATAGTGCCAATGCACTCCAGTCTGGGCGACAGAGCAAGACTCTGTCCTAAAAAAAAAAAAAAAAAAAAAAAAGCGCATTTTGTTTTTTTGTTTATATATAATGGGTTTATTACTGCCCTTTTAAAATCAATTAATAAACATTTTGAAAGTTGATTAGTTTAAACTTCTAATACAGCAAATGCCAGTAGATAAAGTTTACATAAACAAAAATTCTCTACAGCCTTCAATAATTTTTAAGTGCAAAGGGGTCTTAAGAGCAAAAGTTTTAAATTAGCTGGGCGTGGTGGTGCACGCCTGCAGTCCCAGCTACTTGGGAGGCTGAGGCAGGAGAATTGCTTGAACCCAGGAGGCAGAGGTTGCAGTGAGCCGAGATCGCACCACTGCACTCCAGCCTGGGAAACAGAGAGAGACTCCATCTCAAAAAGAAAAAAAAAAAAAAAGTTTGAGAACTACTATTCCAATAAGAAAAAGTCCTGCATGTCCACATACACATGTGCCCAAGCAGACACGCATCTAAAAGAAAGAAACCCGAAACTGAAAATTCCAAAGTGGTGGCCGGCAGGCATATTTTATAAGTTCCCTATGCTGTCTTTTTTTTTTTTGAGACGGAGTCTCGCTCTGTTGCCCAGGTTGGAGTGCAGTGGTGCAATCTCGGCTCACCACAACCTCCGCCTCCCAGGTTCAAGCGATTCTCATGCTTCAGCCTTCCCAGTAGCTGGGACTACAGGCGCCTGCCACCACATCCAACTAATTTTTTGTATTTTTAGTAGAGACAGGGTTTTACTATATTGGCCAGGCTGGTCTCAAACTCCTCAGCCGCCTCGGCCTCCCAAAGTGCTGGGATTACAGGCATGAGCCACTGCGCCCAGCCTACGCTGTCTTATTTAATTCTTAAATTATCAAATGTGTTGCTAGCATTTAAAAATCAGAAGGTTTCACCTAAGGATAGTTTTCTGGCCTCTTCTCAAAGAAATCGAAAGTTCTGGCAACACTGGCCTGGCATTTCCACTGCCTGGCATCACTTAGATGGGACATACAATCTTTGCTTCACGACAATCCTTACTTCTTCCCTTTACCTGTGCCTTACCTGTAAGTATCTGAGTTGCCACCCTGAGCTAGGGAAGGAAAAACGTTTTTTGCAATAAACATCAATAAAGAAACACACATCAATCTATGTCTGCACTCCTCCTAACAGGTCAACATGCACAATAAATAGCCCTTTTCCCTGTTTGACTTCTCCAAAGCAGTAACTTGTATGATTACCATTAGTACGGACTTTGGTATTGCTTAGAAACCCTCTTGAGAAAGAACGAGATCTATCCAACAAAGCAGGTGTCTTTGGCTCAGTGCAAAGGAAGGAAACTCACCAGAAGAGCAAGTTAGTGAATCTCCAGGGAACAGGAGGACCCAGTTTAGGCCCCACAGGGAGGGGGTTCAGGTGACAAGCAGACCACTGGATATGTCCTCCTGGAACACTGAGTGGTAAATGCAGGATACTCCCAATTTCTTTTGCCCTGAAAGCAGGTGGTGGGAAGGAAGAAGCAGTCAGGACTTGGGTCCCAAAGAAACAAGAACAGAGATGTGAAAATGGAGAAGAGCAACAATTTTTGGAAGAAGGCAGAAAGCAGTATCAACAGCGGAGATTTGAGTGAGGAGGAAAGGTTTTTTTGGTAAGAAGAAATAATTGTTCCTTCTTTCCTTATTTTTCCCCCGTGGGAAGAGACCTAGAGAATTTTACCGGGAGAAACTTAATTAGGGCAGAATTGGTGATAAAATAAGGATATTTGCTGGAAAGTTGGGGGTAGGTGAGGAGGACTGGAAACATAAATATTAGACGAGAGAGAAACTGGAAGGAATTAGTTGGTTTGTTCTAAGCGAAGATATTCCAAAAAGGGGCACTCTAGGTGTGAAGAAAAAAATTTTGCTGGAAAGTGATCCTGAACGGATGAAAAAAAACTGGGTTAATTTTTTTTCTTTTTTTGCGCTAAGGGAAGTTACTTAAAGGAGGGGGAGGGGCATGTCAAGGAAAGGAGGAGAGATTTGGAGTTTTGCTGGAAGATCCTAAAAAGGGATAAATCTGGGTGCCCCAAAGTGGGACTATGGAGGAGGAAGGGGGATTCTGAGCAGAAGGGGCCTGGAAGAGGCTAGCGAATGCAAGGCCCAGATGCAGAAGGTGGGGAGGTCGGGTAGGGCCCGCGGCGCGAGCTGGGGGGCTGCGAGGGGGCAGTTGAGGCCCGGGGGGACGGAGTGGGAAAGAAAAGGGGGTGCAGCGGGCCAGGGGATCCTGAGGAGGGTCTTCTCCAAGGGGGAAGGGCCTGTGGGGTGCAGCGGGGCCCGGAGCTGTTGGGTTGCAGAAGATGCGTGCGTGACGCAGGGTGAGGGGCGCCCGCCGCGCCTGCTGCGCCCCTCGAAAGGCAGATGGGGCCCCCTAAAAAAAGAAATCAAGAAACGAATGAGATTGTAAAAAGGGGGAGGGGTTGAAAAAAGAGGAAATAATAGTAATGGGGGATAAGGAGGAAAGGGAGGGGCAGGGGCAGCAGCAACCGGGTTTTACCCGCCCCCGGGGGCTCGCGCGCCGGGCCTCGCGCCTGGCGCCTCGCGGGGCTCCCAGCGGCCTCCCGCCTTCCCCGCGCCGCCCGGGGCGCACGCGCAGCCCGGCCCACCCCCGGATCTCCTCGCTCACGCGCGGCGCAGGCGCGCGTACGTGACCGCGGGCCGCCTCACGCCTCCCAGAGCGGCCTCGCGCGTGCCTCCTGGCCGCGCGCTCTCGGCTGCTTCTCCGAGGGGCGGGGCTTGCCGCGGGCGGGAAAGGAGGCGGTTGGTCGCCATTTTGGGAGGGGGCGGTTGAGGGCGGAGAGTGAGAAGAGTGAGCCGGGGAGGAGCGGCGGGGGGAGGGGCCAGTCCCCCAAGACCCGCATCCCGAGGCCGAGAGTCCCGGGAGCCTCCACTCCAGCCATTGTTCCTGGTGGGCGGTGTTAGAACGCGGTGGCGGCCGCTGGATGGCTGCCCCCAGTCCCCGGAGGGGCCTCTGAGCAGCGTCCTGGTGCTGGGAGGCCGTATCGTCTGTTTCCGAGGACCCTGTCGCGAGCGCGGGAGTCTCTCAGGGTCTCTTCTGCGTCATTGGGTGGGGGAGATGTGGGGCGAGCTGCTCCTCCCTTTTTTTAAAATTTTTTTCAGAGACAGGGTCTCTCCCTGTTCCCCAGGCTGCGATCACGGCTGCCGCACCCTCCCCTTCCTGGGCTCAGGCGATCCTCCTGCCTCAGTCTCTTGAGTAGCAGCGACCACAGGCGGGCGCCGCCACACCTTGCTAATTTTTACATTTTTTTTAGAGATAAGGTCTCGCCATGTTGCCCAGGCTAGCCTGGTTCCCCTGGGCTCAAGCGATCCTCCTGCCTCAGTCTCCCAAAGCATTGGGATTATAGGTGAGAGCCACCGCGCCCAGCCTATTCCTCCCTTCTTTGGGGAAAGGCTGAGCCATCTGGGGCCCCTGCTCCGTGCTGAGCTGTGTTGGGAAGGGCGGTAGGCCCTGGTGCCGACTGGCCAAGGACCATCTTTTTTTTCTTTTTTTTTTTTTTTGAGACAGGGTCTTGTTCTGCCGCCCAGGCTGGAGTTCAGTGGTGCGATCTCGGCTCACTGCAATCTCCGCCTCCCGGGTTAAAGCGATTCTCCTGTCTCAGCCTCCCGAGTAGCTGGGATTACAGGCACGTGCCACCACGCCCGGCTAATTTGTTGTATTTTCAGTAGAGACGGGGTTTCACCATGTTGGCCAGGCTGGTCTTAAATTCCTGACCTCGGGTGATCAGGTGATCCGCCTGCTTCTGCCTCCCAAAGTGCTGGGATTACAGACCTGAGCCACCGTGCCCGACCTGGCCAAGGGGTTTGAACTGTCCTGCAACTGAGGCAGATAATTCATTCCTTAGAAACGGAGTGCTGAAGATCTGTGGAGAATGAGAGCAGATTAGTGGTTGCCCGGGGTGGAAAGGGGCATCGCGGATCTTATCTGGGTAATGGAAATATTCTAAAACTGAGCTATGGGCCAGGCGTGGTGGCTCACGCCTGTAATCCCAGCTCTTTGGGAGGCCAAGGTAGGAGGATCCCTTGAGCCTAGGAGTTTGAGACCAACCTGGGCAACCTAGTGAAACCCTGTCTCTAAAAAAAAAAAAAAAAAAAAATTAACTGGAGATGGTGGCATGCGCCTGTAGTCCCAGCTACTTGGGAGGCTGAGGCAGGAGGATCGCTTGAGCCTGGGAGTCCAAGGCTGCAGTGAGCTATATGATCAGGCCATTGCACCCCAGACTGGGGGATAGAGCGAGACTCTGATGGGGGAAAAAAAGGGTTATGGTGATGGTTGCACAACTCAGTAAATTTCTAAAAATCAGTAAGTATACACTTAAGTGAGTGACTTTTATGTAAATTATACCTCAAAGTTTTTTTTTTTTTTAATTGATTATTGGGGGAGGAAACAGAGGAAAGAAGAGGGCCTGTCATCTTGCTTTAGGATCCCTTCATTTAGCAAGTTTTTATTGGGTCTCTGTTCTAGGTGCTCAGATATAGTGTCTGGGTCAAACAGACATTCCTCTCCTCCTGGAACTTATGTTTTAGAGCAGTGCTGTTCAGTAGTAATAAAATGCAAACTTCAAGCACCAGCCACTTATGTAATTTTACATTTTCTAGTAGCCATGTTTAAAAGGAACAAAATGTAAAGAAGGCAGGTGTGGCGGCTGGCACTTGTAGCCCAGCTACTTGTGAGGCTGAGACAGGAGGATCACTTGAACCCAAGAGTTGGAGACTGCAGTGAGCTATGGCCCTGTCTGTGTAGAGCCACTGCACCAGCCTGGGCAACATAGTGGGACCCATTCTCTTAAAAAAAAAAAAAAATGGCTTGGGACGGGTGTGGTGGTTCACACCTGTAATCTCAACACTTTGAGAGGCTGAGGCAGGAGGATTGCTTGAGTTCAGGAGGTCAAGACCAGCCTGGGCAACACACCCAAACCTAAAAATCAAATAAATAAAAGTAAATAATAAAATAAAAGAGAAAGAAACACAAGTGAAATTAATTTGGTAATATTTAATCCCAAATATTTCAACACATTATCAGTATAAAAACTAAGAGATAATTTACACTTTTGGGGCTGTCTTTAAAACCCCACATATACAGTATTTTACATTCACGGGACATCTCAATTCAGACCAGCCACATTTCCAGGGCTCCATGGAACCTTGTAGCGAGTGGCTCTGGTACTGACAGCATACCTCTACAGGGGGACAAGCAAATGCATTTACTTTTTTTGTTGTATTTTTTTGATACAGGGTCTCACTATGTCACCTAGGCTGAAGTGCATTGTTGTAATCATGCCTCGCTGCATCCTTGACTTCCTGGGCCCAAGCTATTATACCACCTCAGCCTCCTGAGTAGCTGGTACTACAGGCCTGCACCACCACACCCAGCTAATTTTTTGTATTTTTAGTAGAGACAGGGTTTTGCCATGTTGGCCAGGCTGGTTTTGAACTCCTAGGCTCAAGCAGTCTTCCTGCCTTGGCCTCCCAACATGCTGGGATTACAGGAGTGAGCCACCGTGCCTGGCTGCAAATACATTTATAATGCAGTATGTTATACCTTGAAGAAAAACAAAGGAAAGAGGATGGGGTCAGAGGGTATTGTTTTATACAGGTCAGTAAAGGCTTCTCTGGTGAGATTGCATTGAGCAGAGATCTGAAGGAAGTAAGGAAGGGTCCTATGAAAATATCTGGGGGAAGAAGAGAGGGAACAGCACGTGCACAGGCACTGAGGCAGGAAGATGTGGAACCCTTTTGAAAGACAGCAGAGAGGCCAGGCATGGTGGCTTATGCTTGTAATCCCAGCAATTTGGGGGGCCCAGGTAGGCTGATCACTTGAGCCCAGGAGTTCGAGACCAGCCTGGCCAACATGTTGAAACCCCATCTCTACTAAAAATACAAAAAATTATCTGGGCATGGTGGTGCACACCTGTAGTCCCAGCTACTCGGGAGGCTGAGGCATGAGAATCTCTTGAACCTGGGAGGCAGCGGTTGCAGTGAGCCGAGATCACGCCATTGTGCTCCATCCTTGGTAACAGAGTGAGACTCTGTCTCAAAAAAAAAAAAAAAATCAGAAGAAGAGAGACCAGTGTGGCCAGAACCACGTGAGTGAAGAAACTAGGGGCAGATGGCATAGGGACTTACAGGTCATGCTAAGGCAGGAATTAAACTCCTGGAAACAATTTCAGAGGGTTCTTCCTTTATTTAGCACACTTTTTGTTTTGTGGGGTTTTTTGTTTGTTTCTTTTATTTTCTTTCTTTTTTTCTTTTTTCTTTTTCTTCTTTTTTTTCTTTTGAGACAGAGTCGCGCTCTGTAACCCAGGCTGGAGTGCAGTGGCACCATCTCGGCTCAATGCAACCTCTGTCTCCTGGGTTCAAGTGATTCTCCTGCCTCAGCCTTCTAAGTACCTGGGATTACAGGCTCGTGCCACCACGCCCAGCTAATTTTTTGTATTTTTAGTAGAGACGGGGTTCCACCATGTTAGCCAGGATGGTCTCCATCTCCTGACCTCGTGATCCACCCGCCTCAGCTCCCAAAGTGCTAGGATTACAGGTGAGAGCCACTGTGCCTGGCCTTCTTTTCTTTTTCTTGTTTTCTTTTTTTTTTTCGCTTATTTAGCACACATTTTAAAAATGCTTTGTTTCAGCCATGTAATCTCTCTTCTTGATGGAGGAAATAAGGATCCTAGCCACTGGACAGATGAGAATCTAGTTAAAAAACAGGACTTAAGCTCCTGAAATAAATTAGCATCTTCTGTCATTGATAGACATTGAACACTTCATGGACACAGAAGATAAATGCAACACATAAACAAAAAATTAGCATTAGCCAAGCATGCTTGTAATCCCAGCACTTTGGGAGGCCAAGGCAGGTGGATCACCTGAGGTCAGGAGTTCGAGACCAGCCTGGCCAACATGGTGAAACGTCCATCTCCACTAAAAATACAAAACTTAGCCAGGTGTGCTGGTGCGTGCCTGTAATCCCAGCTACGCAGGAAGTTGAGACAGGAGAATTGCTTGAACCTGGGAGGTTGAGTCTGCAGTGAGCCGAGATCGCACCATTGCACTCCAGGCTGGGCAACAGAGCGAGACTCTGTCTCAAATAAAAAAAAGCATTTAGCATTTATTTTAAAGGCCTACAAATTAAGGTGACAACCTAATAAAAAAAAAGAATATAAGATTTGAAGAGGCACTTCATACAAGAGGAAACATGAAGTGAGGACTAACCACAACAACAAGAGAATGCAAATTAAAACCAAAGATACCGCAGCACACCTACCACTTCGGTGAATCAAAAAACATTTTTTTTTTTCTGTTTGCTGAAGCAAGACGAACTGAGTATACAGGACTAGTGACAGGTAAAATTGGTAGAACCACACTGACAAACCCAGGGGTTAACTCTAGAAAACTTCTTGATCATGTGCGCCAAGAGATGCAACAGAAGAACAAGCAGCAATGTTTGTAATAGCAAAAAAAAGAACAGAAAAGAAAGGAAAGAAACAGATTGGATCCTGGATTCTGGATTGAATAATCCTGGAACAAGATAAATAAATAAATAAATAAATAGGCCAGGCATGGTGGCTCACGCCTGTAATCCCAGCCCTGTGGGAGGCCGAGGCAGGTGGATAACTTGAGGTCGAGAATTTGAGACCATCCTGGTCAACATGGTGAAACCCCATCTCTACTAAAAATATAAAAATTAGCTGGGCATGGTGGTAGGCACCTGTAATCCAGCTAAGGCTTAGGAGGCTGAGGCAGGAGAATCGCTTGAATTTGGGAGGTGGAAGTTGCTGTCAGTGAGCTGAGATGGTGCCACTGCACTCCAGCCTGGGAAACAGAGTGACAGTGACTTCATCTAAAAAAAAAAAAAAAGACATTACTTAAAAAACTAGAGAAATCTCCAACAAAGGCCAGGCATCTGTAATTCCAGCACTTTGGGACCCCAAGGCAGGAGGATCACTTGAGCTCAGGAGTTCAAGACCACCCTGGGCAACTTGGTGAGATCCTGTCTCTACGAAAAAATTTTAAAAGTTACCCAAGCATAGTAGCACACACCTGTGGTCCCAGCTACTCCACAGGCTAAGGCGAGAGGATTGCTTTAGCTCAGGACTGCATTCCTATCTGGTTAACAGAGCAAGACTGTCTCAAAAAAAAAAAAGAAAAAATCTCAACAAAGATTGGAATTTAGTTAATAGTAATGTATCCACTTTTTGGGGTTTTTTTTTTTTTTTGAGACAGAGTCTCGCTCTGTCGCCCAGGCTGGAGTGCAGTGGCGCAATCTCAGCTTGCTGTAAGCTCCGCCTCCCGGGTTCACGCCATTCTCCTGCCTCAGCCTCCCGAGTAGCTGGGACTACAGGCGCCCGACACCACGCCCAGCTAATTTTTGTATTTTTAGTAGATGGGGTTTCACCGTGTTAGTCAAGATGGTCTCGATCTCCTGACCTCGTGATCTGCCGGCCTCGGCCTCCCAAATGCTGGGATTACAGGCGTGAGCCACCACGCCCAGCCTTTTTTTTTTTTGAGATGGAGTCTGGCTCTGTCTCCCAGGCTGCAGTGCAATAGCATGATCTTGACTCACTGCAACCACCGCCTCCCAGGTTCTGCCTCAGCCTCCAGAGTAGCTGGGATTACAGGCGCCCGTCACCACACCCAACTAATTTTTATACTTTTAGTAGAGACGGAGTTTCACCATGTTGGCCAGGGTGGTCTAGAACTCATCCTGACCTCAGGTGATCCGCCCGCCTCAGCCTCCCAAAGTGCTGAAATTACAGGCATGAACCATTGCACCCCGCCTGTTTTGTGTGTGTGTGTTTTTTTTTTTTTTTTTTTTGAGACAGGGTCTCATTCTGTCGCCCAGGCTGCAGTGCAGTGGTGCCATCTGGGCTCACTGCAATCTCCGCCTCCCAGGTTCAAGCCATTCTCCTGCCTCACCCTCCTGAGTAGCTGGGACTACAGAAGTGCACCACCATGCCTGGCTTATACATTTTTTATTTTTTGGTAGTGACGGGGTTTCACTGTGTTAGCCAGGCTGGTCTCAAACTCCTGGCCTCAGGTGAGCCGCCTGCCTCGGCCTTCCAAAGTATGAGGATTTTAGGCATGAGCCACCGAGCCTGGCCAATGTTTTTGTAGTTTTGACAAATGTATAGTTGTGTCACTTAACAACGGAGATCTGTCTGAGAGATGTATCTTCAGGTGATTTTTTCCTTGTTGCGTGAACGTCGTAAGCTGTACAAACCCAGATGGTATAGCCTAGCACACAGCTAGGCTGTATGGTGTAGCCTATTGTTCCTAGGCTACAAACATGCAGCATGCAACTGTACTGAATACTGTAGGCAGCTGAAACACAAAGGTAAGTATTTGTGCATCAAAACATAGAAAGGTACAGTAGACCAGGCGTGGTGGCTCATGCCTGTAATCCCAGCACTTTGGAGGCCGAGGCAGGTGGATCACCTGAGGTCAGGAGTTCGACACCAGCCTGGACAACATGGTAAAACCCCATCTCTACTTAAAATACAAAAATTAGCCAGGTGTGGTGGCAGGCACCTGTAATCCCAGCTACTTGGGAGGCTGAGGCAGGAGAATCACTTGAACCTGGGAGGCGGAGGCTGCAGTGAGCCGAGACCTCGCCACTGTACTCCAGCCTAGGCGATAGAGCGAGAGTCCATCTCAAACAAAAAAGAAAAGAAAAGAAAAGAAAAAAGAAAAGGTACAGTAAAAATACAGTATTATAATCTTACAGGACCTCTGTCATATGTGTAGTTCTTATTGGCCAAAACGTTGTTATGTGGCACATGACTGTCCTGTGATAAAGTAAGATGCCAACATCAGGGAAAGGGTGAGGGGGATGTGGTAACTCTTTGTACCATCTTTCCAAGTTTCCAGTAAATTTAAAATTACTCCAAAATAAAAAGTTTAGGGTGAAAAAAGAAGGAAAGGAAATGAAAATGTCCACCTATAGGAGACTGGATAAATCGTGGTATAGTTATTCAATGGAGTATTATGCAGCAGTGAAAATGAGTCAATTTCCATTACACACAGCAACACAGATGTGCTCCCATTTACATATAACATTTCAACAGGGTGTGGTGAATCGTGTCTGTAATCCCAGCACTTTGGGAGGCCGAGCCAGGAGGCATCACTTGAGGCCAGGAGTTCAAGACCAGCCTGGACCACATGGCAAGAAAAATTAAAAATAAACTGGGCATGGTGGCGTGATCTGCCTGTAGTTCCAGCTTCTCAGGAGGCAGAGGTGAGAGGAACACTTGAGCCCTGGAGGTCGAGGTTGCAGTGAGCCATGATCCCACCGCTGCACTCCAGCCTGGGCAACACAGTGAGACTCTGTCTCAAAAATAAATATCATTTCAAAACACAGGCAAAGCTAAACAATAAGCAGTTTAGGGACATAGATAGAATTATTATTTTTTTTAAAGTAAGGGAGCCAGGCATGGTGGCACACACCTGTGGTCCCAGATACTCGGGAGGCTGAGGCAGGAGGATCACTTGGGACCAGGAGTTCTGGGCTGTAGTACACTATGCCAATGCAGGGTCCACGCTAAGTTTGGCATCAGTTTGGTGGCCTCCTGAGAGCGGGGGATCACCAGGTTGCCTAAGGAGGGGTGAACTGGCCCATGTTGGAAATGGAGCAGGTCAAAACTCCTGTGTTAATCACTGGTGGGATCATGCCTGTGCATAGCCACTGCACTCCATCCTGGGCAACATAGCAAGACCCTATCTCTTAAAAAAAGAAAAAACTAGCCAGATGTGGTGGCATGTGCCTATAGTCCCAGCTACTCAGGAGGCTGAGGTGGGAGGATCGCATGAGCCCAGGAGTCCGAGGTTGCAGTGAACTATGATTGTACCACTGGACTCCAGCCTGGTCTACAAAATGTGACCTTATCTCTCATAAACAAAACAAAACAAAATAAAATGGAAGCCCCTGAGAAGCTAAGGGAAAAGATGCTCTTCAGAAGGAGAGGGGTACACCCTGGCCGCAGGTTCCTCTTCTCTGCCAACCTTTTCCTGTTGTCTCCATCTATTCACTTTGTTCAGCATTGCTTTCTGTGATTTGTCTTTTGAATCACGTCCTTCAAGCATTCTCACACTCCTCACTCCTCTCGGCCTCTAAAGGACTCACCTGGCCAAACTCCAGCCATCCTCTTCTCTGTGCCAGCCGAGCCCAGCAGAAGGAAACCACCCAGCCAGCCCAACGGGTTTTACCTGAATCAGAGAAATCACAGGCCTCAGACAGGCGCAGGGCACTCTCTATGTGTCTCTGGTGTGCTTACATTTCCCCCCTGCCCTCCAGCCCATGACTAGGTCCCACACTTCCCTGTGCACATAGAAGCCATCAGAAGGGAACCCCCTTGTCATCTGTCCCTGTGATTCCCTCTCTCAAGGATTGGGGTCTCCCTCCCTCCTTCCTTCCTTCCTTCTTTCCTTCCTTCCTTCCTTCCTTCCCTGCCTCCCGCCCTTCCTTCCTTCCTTCTCTCCCTCCCTCCCTGCCTTCCTTCCTTCCTTCTTCCCTTCCACCTCCCTCCTTCTCTCCCTCTTTCCTCTTCCATTGAAGTTTCTCCTCCTCTCCTCCTCCTCCCCCCTCCTCCTCTTCCTCCTCCTTTTCCTCCTCCCCTCCTCCTCCTCTTCCTCTGCCTGTCCTCCTCCTCCCCTCCTCTTCATCCTCCCCTTGTCCTCCTCCTCTTCCTTTCCCCCTCCTCCTCCTCTTCCTTCCCCCTCCTCCTCCCCTCCTCCTTCCCTCCTCTTCCTCTCCTCCTCCTCTTCCTCCTGCCCTCCCCCCTCTTTCTCCTCCCTCCTCTTCATTTCCTCCTCTTCTCCTCTTTCTCTTCCTGTCTCCTATATCATTCATCATCTCTCTCTCCTTCTGCCAAATCATGCCCATCACTATCCTCAAATGCTCCTGCCTCTTCCATTCATTTTTTAAAAAGAATTCCTCCCTTGAGGGAACCGAGAGATAAGAGAGACTGTAGCCACAAATCAACCACATGCAACCCAAGGACTTTGGATGCTGAGTCGAACAGACCAATGTTTTGTTTCGTTTTGTTTTTAAATTATCAGACAAGTAGAGAAATCTGAACTCTGACTGCCTATTCGATGATAGGAAAGAATTATGGTGCATTTTTTAGATGGATCACGGGATTGTGGTTATATTTCTATAAACAAACCTTATCTCCAGAGATATGAAATGAATAATCTGTACATGAAATGATGTGATGTCTGGGATGTGTTTTAAAACTATCTAGTGGGGTGAGGGTGGGGCCAATGAGAGACGGTAGAAATGAAACAGCATTGGCCATGAGTTGATAATTGGTGAGGCCCAGTGACCGGCATGTGGAGTTAATCATACTCTTTTATTTTTATATATATTTGAAAATGGGCTTATTTAAAAGTGATGTAAAAATTCCTCTCTTTGGCTGGCTGCAGTGGCTCACACCTGTAATCCCAGCACTTGGGGAGGCCAAGGTGGGCAGATCACCTAAGGTTGGGAGTTTGAGACCAGCCTGATCAACGTGGAGAAACTCTGTCTCTACTAAAAATACAAAATTAGCCAGGCGTGCTGGTGCATGCCTGTAATCCCAGCTACTGGGGAGGCTGAAGCAGGAGAATTGCTTGAACCTGGGAGGTGGAGGTTGCAGTGAGCCAAGATCACACCACTGCACTCCAGCTTGGGTGACAGAGACTCTGTCTCATAAATAAATAAATAAATAAATAAATAAATAAATAAATAAATAAAATACAACAAAATCACACAATAAAATCCAACATCCCTCGCCACATCCTGTAAATCTGGTCTGTCCACCCTCTGGCCTCACCTCCACTCTCTGTTCAGGCTTGCTCTCCTCCAAGCACACCAACAGAGCAAGTTCCTATATGCTGTTCCCTCTTTCCAGAAGATTCACCTGGCTTCTTCCCTCCCCTCCTCAGTCTATGCTCAATTGTCCCCTGCTGGGAGGTTCCTTCCACTGACTATTCTCTCCAGTTTATTTTCTTCGGGAAGCTCATCTCTACCTGACATCACGTCACACCTGGTTGTTTGTTGATCGTCAGTCTCTCTGCTAGAATGTAAGCTTCATGCTGGCAGGGGCTTTGTCTGTTTTGTTGCCTAGAACAGTGCCTGGCACGCAGTAGATAATTAATTTTTTTTTTTTTTTTAGAGATGGCATTTTACTCTGTTGCCCAGGCTGGTCTGAAACTCCTGAGCTCAAGCGATCCCCCCACCTCAGCCTCCCAAAGTGTGTGAGCCACTGCACCCAGCTAATAATTAATACTTTTTAATTTTTTTTGAGACAGGGTCTCACTCTGTGGCCCAGGCTGGAGTGCAGTGGCACAATCAAAGCTCACTGCAGCCTTGACCTCCCCAGGTTCTGGTGATTCTCCCAGCTCAGCCTCCTGAGTAGATGGGACTACAGGCATGCACCACCATACCCAGCTAATGTTTGTGTTTTTTGTAGAGACAGGGTTTCGCCATGTTGCCCAGGCTAATCTCAAACTCCTGGGCTCAAGCAATCTACCCACCTTGGCCTCCCAAATATTACTTTTAAAATAAATGAATTTAAATCTGCCAGTCTCTGACAAAATCTTATTTGGCCACAGTTGCTTTGGATGTAAAAACATGCATAAGTAAGGCTGGGTGCAGTGGATTTACCCAGACAGAGCATTACCCAGCATTTACCCAGACAGAGCCGGACACGATGGCTTATACCTGTAATCCCAGCATTCTGGGAGGCTGAGGTGGGTGGATCAATTGAAGTCAGGAGTTCAAGACCAGCCTGGCCAGCATGGTGAAACCCTGTCTCTATTAAAAATACAAAAATTAGCTGGGTGTGGTGGCTTGCGCCTGTAATTCCACCTACTCAGGATGCTGAGGCACGAAAATCGCTTGAACCCAGGAGGTGGAGGTTGCAAGGTTGCAGTGAGCTGAGATCGCACCACTACATTCCAGCCTGGGTGACAGAGTGAGACTCTGTCTCAAAAAAAAAAAGATGTGGCTGGGCATGGTGGCTCATGCCTGTAATCCCAGCATTTTAGGAGGCCGAGGTGGGCAGATCACTTTAGGTCAGGAGTTCAAGACTCAGGAGTTTGAGACTAGCCTGGCCAACAAAGTGAAACCCCATCTCTATCCAAAATACAAAAATTAGCTGGGTGTGGTGGCACACACCTGTAATCCCAGATACTCGGGAAGCGGAGGCATGAGAATTACTTGAACCCAGGAGGCGGAGGTTGCAGTGAGCTGAGATTGTGCCACTGCACTCCAGCCTGGGTGGCAGAGTGAGACTCTGTCTTAAAAAAAATAAAAACGGCTGGGCACGGTGGCTCACGCCTGTAATCCCAGCACTTTGGGAGGCCGAGGCGGGCGGATCACGAAGTCAGGAGATCGAGACCATCCTTGCTAACACAGTGAAACCCTGTCTCTACTAAAAATACAAAAAATTAGCCGGGCGTGGTGGTGGGCGCTTGTAGTCCCAGCTACTCAGGAGGCTGAGGCGGGAGAATGGCGTGAACCTGGGAGGCGGAGCTTGCAGTGAGCTGAGATTGCACCACCGCACTCCAGCCTGGGCAACAGAGCAAGACTCCGTCTCAAAATAAAAATTAAAATTAAAATTAAAAAATAAAAAATAAAAACATACATAAATAAAACACCGTCTTCCATCTTCAGCTCAGTCTACATGGTTTCTGTCATACCACTCCTCTATTTGTCATGTCCAATGGTGGGGGAGATCATCTCAATCTTGATGAAACCACTCCTATACATTTTATAAAGTTAATCAGGACAGGGAGAAATGAAAATAAACCCAGCTGGCTGGGCGTGGTGGCTCACGCTTGTAATCCCAGCGCTTTGGGAGGCCCAGGCGGGAGGATCACCTGAGGTCAGGAGTTCGAGATTAGCCTGGCCAACGTATAAAACCCCGTCTCTACTAAAAATACAAAAATTAGCCTGGTGTGGTGGCATGTGCCTGTAGTCCCAGCTACTCGGGAGGCTGAGGCAGGAGAATCGCTTGAACCTAGGAGGCAGAGGTCACAGTGAGCCAAAATTGTGTCACTGCACTCCAGCCTGGGTGACAGAGTGAGACTCTGTCTCAAAAAAGAAAAAAAAGAAAAGAAAAAAAAGAAAAGGAAAAAAAAGAAAAGAGGCCCATCTTCCGCACACTCAGCATTAATTGTGAGGCCAGCTGGCTCTCTGACCTGTTTCCCCACAATTGTTTTGTGCCTATTGTCCTAAAATCATGTAGACCTTGTTACCAGATTCTACTTCCCCTCAACTGCTCTGTAAATGACAACTTAAACATGATAAAACGTTAAGTTTTCTTTTTGAGATGTTCCCTCAGGTCCTGCATGCTGATGAAATGACTCTGCCAGCTGATCTGAGGGACCCCATGAGATGCTGACTCACCAAAGCATGCGATTTCCACGTTTGGGATTATTTCACTCCTTTCCCTGACCAATCAACAGGGCCAATTCTCCAGTCCTTTGTCCTTCATGATCACCTCAAAAATCCCAGCCCAGAACTCCTCGGGAAGACGAATTGAGGGTCTGCTTCCCTCTCCTCCCTCAGTGCCCCACAATCATTAGATCCTTTCTCTGCTGCAAACCCTGCTGTCTCTGTGCAATTGGTCTGTTGCTGCACAGCAGGCATACAAACCTGTTGTTCCTGTAACACTGAGGGAGGGTATGGAACCCAGGGGTTGGGGGACTGAAAGGGCCTCATATGGGAGGGGACAGGTTCTTACGAGACCGTCGGTAGCAGGGGTCTTCATTGGCCCTGTCCTTCCTAAAGCAGCCTCCTCTAAGCTGACTTGATGCCACACAAGTCTGTTCTCCTCCTAGGAAGAAGTCGCTGTTGGCAACATCCCCACCCAGCCCCACTCTCCTATCCCCCAGCTGCTAGTGGCTCCCAGCTGTCCCTCCAAGGCAAGTTTCCTTCAGCAAAACCACCTCTCCTGGGAGGCTACACCTGGTAACCCCCAGCCACTGGCCGACTGACCAGCCTGGGCAACATAGCAAGACCTTATCTCTACTAAAATTTTTTTTGAAAGTTAACAAGGCATGGTGACATGTGCCTGTAGTCCTAGCTACTTGGGAGGCTGAGGCAGGAGGATCCCTTGAGCCCAGGAGTTCGAGGATGCAGTGAGCCACGATTATGCCACTGCACTCCAGCCTCAGTGACAGAGTGAAACCCTGTTTCTTTTTTTGTTTTTGTTTTTTTAGACGGGGTCTCATTCTGTCACCCAGGCTGGAGTGCAGTGGCATGATCTCGGCTCACTGCAGCCTCTGCCTCCCAGGCTCAGGCGATCCTCTCACCTCGGCCTCCTGAGTAGCTGGGACTACAGGCTCGTGACACCATGTCTGGCTAATTTTTTTTACTTTTATTTTTTATTTTTGGTAGAGACAGGGTTTCACCATGTTGCCCAGGCTGGTCTTGAACTCCTGAACTGAAGCAATCCACCTGCCTTGGCCTCCCAAAGTGCTGGGATTACAGGCATGAGCCACTGTGCCCAGCCAAGAGTGAGACCCTGTTATTAAAAAAAAATTAAAAAAAGAAAATTAAGGGAGAGGGAGAGAAGGAAAAAGAAATAATTTTGGATTTCCTTTGTCATTCAATAAGTACTAAACTATGAGGTGTTGGGGTGGCCATATTTCTATATCTGATCTTAGCATCTCCCTTTTACCAGTTAGCTACAGCTGTGTAACAAATCACCAAAAAACATAGTGGCATAAAATAACAACCATATTTTTTTTTTCTCATGTGTATTTGAGTCCTCAAGATTATCCTGGTGACCCGGGCCAGGCTCAGATGACCTTGGCTGGGCTCACTCATGCATCTGTGGTCCTCTGGTGGGTTGACCAGAGACTGGCTGGTTTGGAATGCCTTCAGCTGGGATGACTCAGTTCTTCCCTACCTTTCTCTCACATTCCTCCAGCAAGCTGGCCCACACATGTTCTCATGGCGAAGACAGAGGAGCAAGAGATAGAAGAGAAATACGCAAAGCCCAAGGCCTGTTCATGAAGCTGGTACATTTTTGTTCTTTTTTTTGTTTGTTTGTTTTGTTTTGGAGACAGAGTCTCACCGTGTCACCCAGGCTGGAGTGCAATGGTGTGATCTTGGCTCACTGCAACCTCTGCCTCCTGGGTTCAAGCAATTCTCCTGCTTCAGCCTCCCAAGTAGCTGAGATTATAGCTGTGTGCCACCACACCTGGCTAATTTTTGTATTTTTAGTAGAGACGGGGTTTTGCCATGTTGGCCAGGCTGGTCTCCAACTCCTGACCTCAAGTGATCCGCCTGCATCAGCCTCCCGAAGTGCTGGGATTACAGGCGCGAGCCACCACGCCCGGCCTGGGCTTCTACTTTCTCACTCCTCTTCCCAGTCAGTCACCATTCTACCTTTTTGTGGGTCAGTCCTCTTGTTTCCATCCCCACGCCTCCACACTGGTCCAGGCCACCATCACTTCTCGCCTGGACCGACAATGACAATGACACATAAGGGTTGGAGGTGGAGGTTATGGGGTGGGGGTTGGCCCTGGGTTTCAATCCTGGTTCTGCTGTGTAGTAGCTGAGTGCCCTCAGGAGAGTGACTTTACCTCTCTGTGCCTCAGTTTCCTCCTCCATAAAGTGGGGATGATTAGCTGGGCATAGTGGTGCGTGCTTGTAGTCTTAGCTACTCAGGAGTCTGAGGCGGGAGGATCCCTTGAGCCCAGGAATTTGAGGTTGCAGTGAGCTATGATTGCGCCACTGCACTCCAGCCTAAGTGACAAAGCAAGAAACTGCCTAAAAAAAAAAAAAAATAGGCCAGGCATGATGGCTCACACCTGTATTCCAAGAGCTTTGAAAGACCCAGGTGGGGCCAGGTGCAGTGGCTCACACCTATAATCCCAGCACTTTGGGAGGCTGACACGGGTGGATCACCTGAGGTCAGGAGTTCGAGACCAGCATGACCAACATGGTGAAACCCCGCCTCTACTAAAAACACAAAAAATTAGCCGGGCATGGTGGCAGGTGCCTGTAGTCCCAGCTACTTAGGAGGCTGATGCAGGAGGATTGCTTGAGCCCAGGAGGCTGAGGTGCAGTGAGCTATGATTGAACCACTGCACATTCCAGCCTGGGTGACAAAGTGAGACCCTGTCTGTAAAATAAAAGTAAAAATAAATATGCCAGGTGCAATGGCTCATGCCTGTAATCCCAGCACTTTGGGGGACTGAGATGGGTGGATCACTTGAGGTCAGGAGTTTGAGACCAGCCTGGCCCACATAAGTGAAACCCTGTCTCTACTAAAATATACAAAAATTAGCCAGATGTGGTGGTGCAAACCTGTACTCCCAGCTACTCGAGAGTCTGAGGCACCAGAATCATTTGAACCTGGGAGGCAGAGGTTGCCATGAGCTGAGCCTGCACTCCAACCTGGGTGACAGAGTGAGAGTGTGTCTGAAAATAAATAAATAAATAAAATAAAAAGAACAGTGATTGGCACACAGTTGTCACGCCATAAATGTATTTACTGTTTGCAATAAGGAGAGGTTTGTTCTCAGGTAACAAAACATACACTAGAGCTATAATCATTAACACGGTGTGGTGTGGGGCACAAAAACCCACAAGTAGGCCAGGCATGGTGGCTTCCACTGTAATCCCAGCACTTTGGGAGGCCAAGGCAGGCAGATCTCTTGAGGCCAGGAGTTCGAGGCCAGCACGGCGAAAACCACATCTCTACCAAAAATACAAACATTAGCAGGTTGTGATAGTGAGTGCCTGTAGTCCCAGCTACTTGGGAGGCTAAGGCATGAGCATCGCTTGAACCCAGGAGACAGAGGTTGCAGTAAGCTGAGATTGTGCCACTGCACTCCAGCCTGGGTGTCAGAGGGAAACTCTGTCTCAAAATAAAGAAATAAAGAAATGGAAATAAAAATAATAAAGTGGGGATGAGGATAACACCTACTTGTAAGGTTGTTTCTTGAGGGGATCCAGAAAGTAACCATATCTGAAGAACTCAGGACTGTCCTGGGTTGTGTAATTGACTGGAATAAATGGCGGATGGGATGGTGTTGGGAAATTGATTCCGACTGATGGGCAAGGTTTGTGCTCAGCACATCCCTGGTCTCACACCAATCCTAGGAGTTAGTCCCATTTTTCTGACGCAGTAGTTGAGGCTTAAAGAAGTTCAGTCACATGCCCAAGGCCACAGTTCCTGAAAAGCTGGGCCAAGACTTGAACTGAGATCTTTCTGATTCCTAAGTTTCTCTTTCCTATTGTAAGCACCGGCTTTCTCCCTGGTCTCCCTGCTTGCCCTCTTATTCCCCCTCCGATCTTTTCTTCCCATGTCAGCCAAAGGGATTCCAGGAAAGGGCAAAGATGATTAAGTTTTTTCCTTCCTAAGATCCTTCGGCCATGTGACTTGATGCAATGTATGATCCTGTGTTGAATCCTGGGCTGGGGAAAACATTGCTATAAAGGATTTTATTGAGACAAACAGATTTGAATTTGTGGATTAAACAATTGTATTATTGTATCAACGTTTCATTTCCTGTTTCTGATTCTTGTTCTGGATTTTTTAAAGAGCATGTCTTTGTTTTTAGTAACGTCATGCTGAAGGATTTAGGGATCAAGGGACACGACGTCTTCCACTGCCTCTCAAATGTTCAGAAAAGAAACATACAGCAGAGGTGGCCAAATGTTACTGACTTGCGAATCCAGGAAAGATCTACTTACCTTTCTTGCTAGTTTTCTGTAAGCTTGAAATTATTGCTGGTAAAAAACAAAACAACAACAAAGCAAACCTTCATTCCACTCCTAGGTAGATATCCAAGAGAAATGAAAACATATATTGACACAAAAAACCTGTTATGGGTGGGTGTGGTGGCTCACACCTGTAAGCCCAGCACTTTGGGAGGCTGAGGCTGGTCAATCAGTTGACATCAAGAGTTTGAGACCAGATGGCCAACATGGTGAAACCCTGTCTGTACTAAAAATACAAAAAATAAAAATTAGCCAGGTGTGGTTGCGGGCGCCTGTAATCCCAGCTACTCGTGAGACTGAGGCAGGAGAATCACTTGAACCCAGGAGGTGGAGGTTGCAGTGAGCCGAGATTGCACCACTGCACTCCAGCCTAGGAGACAGAGCGAGACTCCGTCTCAAAATAAATATAAATAAATAAAAAAATAGGTGTTCAAACAATAACTTGTACATAAATGTCCATAGCAACACTATTCACAACAGCCAAAACAACACTATTCGCAACAGCCAAAAGAGAGAAACGTCCATCAACAAGTGAACTGATAAGTGAAATGTGGTCTATCCATACAATGGAATGTTATTCAGCCATAAAAAGGAATGAAGTACTTACTGATACTTTTTTTTTCTTTTTTTTTTTTTTTTGAGATGGAATTTCCCTCTTGTTGCCCAGGCTGGAGTGTAATGGCACGATCTCGGCTCACTGCAACCTCCGCCTCCTGGGTTCAAGCAATTCTCCTGCCTCAGCCTCCCGAGTAGCTGGGATTACAGGCATGCGCCACCACACCAGGCTAATTTTGTATTTGTAGTAGAGATGGTGTTTCCCCATGTTGGTCAGACTGGTCTCGAACTGACCTGAGGTGATCTGCCCGCCTTGGCCTCCCAAAGTGCTGGGATTACAGGTGTGAGCCACTGCGCCTGGCCAAAGTACTGCTACTTGAATGGATGAACCTTGAGAACATTATGCTAACTGAAGGAAGCCTGTCATAAGGGACTACACACTGTATGACTATTTTTATGAAATATCCAGAACAGACAAGTCCATGGAGACAGAAAGTAGATTGATAGTTGCCCAGACCTGGGGGACGGGAGATAGGAAGCGACTACTAACGGGCCAGCGGTTTTGTGCTGGGATACTGAGATGTTCTGAAGCTACATAGTGATGATGTTTGCACAGCACTGGGAATATATGAAAAACCATTGAATTATACATTTTAAAATGATGAATTTTGAGCCAGGTACAGTGGTGTGTGCTTGTAATCCCAGCTACTTTGGAGGCTGAGGCTGGAAGACGGCCGGAGCCCAGGAATTCAAGACCAGTCTGGGCAACATAGCAAGATCCTGTCTCTACTAAAAAAAATTAAAAATTGGCTGGGCGCAGTAGCTCACGCCTGTAATCCCAGCACTTTGGGAGGCCAAGCGGGGCCAGCCTGACCAACATGGAGAAACCCCATCTCTACTAAAAATACAAAATTAGCCGAGCATGGTGGTGCATGCCTGTAATCCCAGTTACTCGGGAGGCTGAGGCAGGAGAATTGAGAACTTGGGAGCCGGAGGTTGCGGGGAGCCGAGATCATGCCATTGCACTCCAGCCTCGGCAACAAGAGCGAAACTCTGTCCCCCAAAAAATAAATAAATAAATAAGGAGTTTTATGGTAGGCAAATTATATCAGAATTTTTCTTTTTTTTTTTTTTGAGACTGAGTCTTGCTCTGTTGCCCAGGTTGAAGGGCAGTGGTGTGATCTCAGTCACCAAAACTTCTGTCTCCTGGGTTAAAGTGATTCTCCTGCCTCAGCCTCCCAAGTAGCTGGAACTACAGGCACCCACTACCATGCCCAGCTAATATTTTGTGTTTTTAGTAGAGATGGGGCTTCACTATGTTGGCCAGGCTGGTCTCAAACTCCTGACCTCAGGTGATCCTCCCTCCTCGGCCTCCCAAATTGCTGGGATTACAAGCATGAGCCACCGCACATGGCCGAATTATGTAACAATTAAAAAAAACAGCAAACACTTTAATGACTGTAGATTACCTCTGGGGTCAAACCCCAAATCCCTGGTGTACCTGCAAGTCTGCCCTGTCCCTCAGACCATCTCAGCCAAACTGCTGACTTTCTAGCCACCTGCCTTTCCTCCTTCCCCAGTGCTAGGCCTTTGCATCTCCTCTTCCCTTCCACCCTCATCTGACAACTCTATTCATCTCACAAGTCTTAGCTGACTGGCCAGGAGCGGAGGCTCACACCTGTAATTCCAACACTTCAGGAGGCCAAGACCAGAGGGTTGCTTGAGCCCAGGAGTTCAAGACCAGCCTGGGCAACATGGTGAAACCCCATCTCTACAAAACATACAAAAAACTTAGCCAGGTATGGTGGCACGCATCTGTAGTCCCAGTTATTCGGGAGGCTGAAGTGGGAGGATCACCTAAGCCCAGGAAGTCAAGGCTGCAGTGAGCCATGATCATACCACTACACTCCAGCCTGGGCGACAGACTGGGACTCTGTCTCAAAATTAAAATTAAAATTAAATTAGGCCAGGTGTGATGGCTCATGTCTGTAATCTCAGCACTTTGGGAGGCCAAAGTGGTCAGTTCACTTGAGGTCAGGAGTTCAAGACCAGCCTGGCCAACATGGTCTCTACTAAAGATACAAAAATTAGCTGGGCGTTGTGGCAGGCACCTGTAATCCCAGCTACTCGGGAGACTGAGGCAGGAGAATGGTGTGAACCCGAGAGGTGGAGTTTGCAGTGAGCCGAGATAGCGCCACTGCACTCCAGCCTGGGCAACAGAGCGAGACTCCGTCTCAAAAAAAAAAAAAAAAAAAATTAAACAACCTGGAGCTTGAGATCGGCACTGGAAGTAGGGAACAGGCTTGGCTCAGTGGCTTACACCTGTAATCCCATCCCAGCACTTTGGGAGGCCAAGGGGGACGGATCATTTGAGCTTCAGAGTTCAAGACCAGCTTGGCCAAAATGGTGAAACTGTCTCTACTAAAAATACAAAAAATTAGCCAGGTGTGGTGGTGGGTGCCTGTAATCCCAGCTACTTGGGAGGGAGGCTGAGGCATGAGAATCACTTGAACCCCGGAGGCGGAGGTTGCAGTGAGCAGAAATCACACCACTGCACTCCAGCCTGGGTGACACAGGGAGACTCCATCTCAAAAAAAAAAAAAAAAAAAAAAGAGCTCAGTAACTCAGGCCTATAATCCCAGCACTTTGGGAGGCCAAGGCGGGCAGATGACCTGGGGTCAAGAGTTCCAGACCAGCCTGGCCAACATGGCGAAACCCCATCTCTACTAAAAATACAAAAATGACTTGGTCGTGGTGGCGGGCGCCTGTAATCCCAGCTACCTGGGAGACTGAGGCAGAAGAATCGCTTGAACCCGGGAGGCAGAGGTTGCTGTGAGCTGAGATTGTGCCATAGCACTCCAGCCTGGGCAACTCTTTTGAGACAGAGCGAGACTCTGTCTCAAAAAAAAAAAAGAAGTGGGGGGCAATCTTGTGGGACTCAGCCTTCAACCTGTGGGATCTGATGCTGTCTCCAGGTAGATAGTGTCAGAAGTGAATTGAATTGGAGGACAGGCTGGTGTCCCCTGGGGGGAGAAGATCCCCCTCATATCTAGTGACAGAGCGTGTTGTGAGTGTGTCGTGGGACAAACTGTTTGTGTATTCCTCTATTCTCAGAATTCCCTGCACTGTCTTTTCCTAACAATTCCTCTTTATCCTCCTCCTCCTCCAGGAAGCCTTCCCAAACCCCAGGCTGGGTCAGGTGCCTGCTCTGAGCTCCCACATCCCCAGGACTCACTCCCCCTATCCACTTTAGGGAGAAGTCTGTAACCTCCACAGACCCGAGAGTTCCACGAGGTAGACCCCAGGGTCTCCCAGTAACCGCCACAGAGCAGATACCGACAAACACTCATTGCATTGACCTAACCTCACTCCACCACCATCTCCCCAGACCTCTCGGTTCTTGCCTTCCACCAGCCCCTCACCAACCATTTTTGGCTCTTCTCCTTGCCTATGCTGCTGCCATATGTATGATTTTTTATTTTACTTAATTTAATTTAATTTATTTATTTAAGGTGGAGTCTTACTCTGTCACCTAGGCTGGAATGCAGTGGGGCCATCTTGGCTCACTGCAACCTTCACCTCCCAGGTTCAAGCGATTCTCCTGCCTCAGCCTCCCCAATAGCTGAGACTACAGGCACACACCACCACACCCAGCTAATTTTTTTCTCTCTCTTTTTTTTTTTTTTGTTGTTGTTGAGACGGAGTCTTGCTCTGTTGCCCACACTGGAGTGCAGTGGTGTGATCTCGGCTCACTGCAAGCTCCACCTCCCGGGTTCACACCATTCTCCTGCCTCAGCCTCCCAAGTAGCTGGGACTACAGGCGCCTGCCACCACGCCCGGCTAATTTTGTTTTATATTTTTAGTAGAGACGGGGTTTCACTGTGTTAGCAAGTATGGTCTCGATCTCCTGACCTCGTGATCCGCCCACCTCAGCCTCCCAAAGTGCTGGGATTACAGGAGTGAGACACCGTGCCCAGCCACGCCCAGCTATTTTTTTTTTTTTTTTTTTTGTATTTTTAGTAGAGACGGGATTTTGCCATGTTGTCCAGGCTGATCTCGAACTCCTGATCTCAAGTGATCCACCTGTCTCAGCATCCCAAAGTGCTGGGATTATAGGTGTGAGCCACCGTGCCTGGTCTGTATTATTTTTTATTTTTATTTATTTAATTATTATTATTTGTTTTTGAGATGAAGTTTCACTCTTGTTACCCAGGCTGGAGTGCAATGGTGTGATCTTGGCTCACCACAACCTTCGCCTCCCAGGTTCAAGCAGTTCTCCTGCCTCAGCCTCCCAAGTAGCTGGGATTACAGGGATGCACTACCACGATCGGCTAATTTTGTATTTTTAGTAGAGATGGGGTTTCATCATGTGGGTCAGGGTGGTATCCAACTCCTGACTTCAGGTGATCCACCCACCTCGGCCTCCCAAAGTGCTGGGATTACAGGTGTGAGCCATCACACCCAGCCTTATTTCCCACGCCGAGACAGAGTCTTGCTCTGTCGCCCAGGCTAGAG
This sequence comes from Homo sapiens, assembly GCF_000001405.40. NCBI lineage: Eukaryota > Metazoa > Chordata > Mammalia > Primates > Hominidae > Homo > Homo sapiens. Next base: position 47,595,391 of record NC_000019.10, read on the forward strand.
TGCAGTGGCAACATCTCGACTCACTGCAAACTCCGCCTCCCGGGTTCAAGCAATTCTCCTGCCTCAGCCTCCCGAGGAGCTGGGATTGCAGGCATGTGCTACCAGGCCCAGCTAATTTTTGTGTTTTTAGTAGAGACGGGGTTTCACCATGTTGGCCAGGCTGGTCTCGAACTCCTGACCCCGTGATCTGCCTGCCTCTGCCATCCAAAGTGCTGGGATAACAGGCGTGAGCTACTGAGCCCAATCAATTTTTAAAAATCATATATACTCAACACCTTTGCTTTTAAAAAACCCTTAAGCATTTTTTAAAATACAATTTTGTTTTATTTCAGATGGAGTCTTGCTGTTGTCGGCCTGGGCTGGAGTGCAATGGCGCGATCTCAGCTCACTGCAACCTCTGCCTCCTGGGTTCCAGCAATTCTCCTGCCTCACCCTCCCGAGTAGCTGAGATTACAGGCGCCTGCCACCACACCCGGCTAATTTTTGCATTTTTAGTAGAGACAGGGTTTCACCATGTTGGCCAGGCTGGTCTTGAACTCCTGACCTCAGGCGATCCACTCACCTTGGCCTCCCAAAGGGCTGGGATTCCAACTATGAGCCACCGAGCCCGGCCTATTTTTTCCTCTTTTGATCGTGATGATTCTAGTGGGTGTGAGGTTGTATCTCATTGTGGTTTTGACTTCCATTTCCCTAATACTGATGACTGAGCATCCTTTCCTGTGTTTCTTGGCCATTTCCTCACCACCTTCTGCAAGCTGACCTCAGCCCTCACCACCTCACTGAACCATCATTTCCACCTTCACCAGTCCAGTGGTTTATCTTAATTTCCCTTCTTTTCTCTCTCAGCAACTTTGGACACTTCCTCCCTCGCCAGCCATTCTTGGTCTTCGTCTTCCTTTTCTGGAGAGAAATGTAAGAACTTAGGCCAGTTAGTTAACTTCTCTGTGCCTCGGTTCTTCATCTGTGAAATGAAGATGACAACAGCTCCTACTTCAAGGTTGCTGTGAAGATTCCATCAGCTAATGTATGTAAAGGGCTCAGAAGTGTTGGGAGGCCTTGGCCAGGCGCGGTGGCTCACGCCTGTAATTCCAGCACTTTGGGAGGCCGAGGCGGGTGGATCACGAGGTCAGGAGTTCAAGACCAGCCTGGCCAAGATGGTGAAACCCTGTCTCTACTAAAAATACAAAAAATTAGCCGGGTGTGGCAGCGGGCGCCTGTAATCCCAGCTACTCGGGAGGCTGAGGCAGAGAATTGCTTGAACCTGGGAGGTGCAGGTTGCAGTGATCGAAGATCGTGCCACTGCACTCCAGCCTTGGCAACAGACCAAGACTCCGTCTCAAAAAAAAAGAAGTGTTGGAAGGCCCAGGCAGGCGCATCATTGGAGCCCAGGAGTTTGAGTCCAGTCTGGGCAACATGGTGAAACCCTGTCTCTACAAAAAATACAAAAATTAGTCAGGTGTGGTGGTGTGTGCCTTTATTCCCAGCTAGCCAGGAGGCTGAGGTAGGAGGATTGCTTGAGGCCAAGGGGTTGAGGCTGCAGTGAACTATGATTGCCTGTAGTCCCAGCTACTCGGGAGACTGAGGCAGGAGAATTGATGGAACCTGGGAGGTGGAGGTTGCAGTGAGCTGAGATCGCGCCACTGCACTCCAGCCTGGGTGACAGACGGAGACTCTGTCTCAAAAAAATAAATAAATAGGCCAGGCGTGGTGGCTCACGCCTGTAATGCCAGCACTTTAGGAGGCTGAGTTGGGGAGATCACAAGGTCAGAAGATCGAGACCATCCTGGCCAACATGGTGAAACCCTGTCTCTACCGAAAATACAAAAATTAGGTGGGTGTGGTGGCTCATGCCTGTAGTCCCAGCTACTCTGGAAGCTGAGGCAGGAGAATTGCTTGAACCCAGGAGGCGGAGGTTGCAGTGAGCCAAGGTTGCGTCACTGCACTCCAGCATGGCGACAGTGAGACTCTGTCTCAAAATAATAAAAATAAATAAATAAATATAATTTTAGGAAAAGTCACCAGAAATTCAAAACAAAAACAAACTCCGTTGCAGAAATCGGATGTGAAAATTGTTCACTTTCATTCAGAATCTGCGGGTCGGCCAGGCGCAGTGGCTCATGCCTGTAATCCCAGCACTTTGGGAGGCTAAGGCAGGCGGATCATGAGGTCAGGAGATAGAGACCATCCTGGCTAGCACAGTGAAACCCCGTCTCTACTAAAAACACAAAAAATTAGCCAGGTGTGGTGATGGGCGCCTGTAGTCCCAGCTACTCCGGAGGCTGAGGCAGGAGAATGGCGTGAACCCGGGAGGCAGAGCTTGCAGTGAGCCGAGATCGTGCCACTGCACTCCAGCCTGGGCCACAGAGTGAGACTCTGTCTCAAAAAAAAAAAAAAAAAAAAAAAAATCTGCGGGCTGAAGCCAGGTGCGGTGGCTCATGCCTGTAATCCCAGCACTTTGGGAGGCTGAGGTGGGTGGATAACAAGTTCAAGAGATCAAGACCATCCTGGCCAACATGGTGAAACCCCGTCTCTACTAAAAATACAAAAATTAGCTGGGTGTGGTGGCACACACCTGTACTCCCAGCTACTTGGGAGGCTGAGGCAGGAGAATAACTTGAAACCAGGAGGCAGAGGTTGCAGTGAGCTGAGATCACACCACGGCACTCCAGCCTGGCGACAGAGCAAGACTCTGTCTCAAAAAAAAAAAAAAAAAAAAAAAAGAATAAACAGAATCTGCTTAAGATTCTTATATCTTTAGCTTTTAAAACAATACATCTAAAGACAGAAAACGTTTACATGGCACAGTGTAATGTGGTGATTAAGAGTATGAATTTTGGAGCAGGTGCAGTGGCTCACATCTGTAATCCCAGCACTTTGGGAGGCCAAGGCAGGAGGATCTCTTGAGCCCATGTGTTCGAGACCAGCCTGGGAAACAGGACAAGACCTCATCTCTACAGAAAAATAAAAATAGATTAGCCAAGCATGGTGGTGGCACCTGTGGTCCCAGCCACTGTGGAGGCTGAGGTTGGAGGATCACTTGGACCCAGGAAGTCAAGTGGTGAACACGTTGTTGCACTCCAGTCAGCGAGATCCCTGCTAGAAAAAAAAAAGTATAAATTTTGGAACAGGGCTGCAAATCCCTGTGCCCCCTGACTCTGACAATTTTGCAACTTCTCTATGACTCAGTTTCCGTATCAGCAGGAGGTGATATTAGCATATCCTACCTGCTAGGATTGTTGGAGGCATTCAATGAGAGCATCCAAGTACAGAAAGAAGCTCGGTTAAGCATTACTTATAACTACATTGTAAATCCCCCTCTAGCCATGGGTGACTTTTATAGCCATCTGAACAATGTTTCACAAACCCTGTAGTAAAAAGGGGATGATCCGCCTGTCTCGGCCCCGCAAAGTGCAGGATTACAGGTGTGAGCCACCGCACTCAGCCGAGATCTGTTAACAGACTCCAAATCTCGACTTAGTCTCATTGCTGCAAGCGGTCTACTCATTCTCTCCTCCAGATCTTCGGGAACAGAGTAATAATAAAAATCAAAACCCAGCCAGCTCTTCCTCTGTCAGTGGTGTTGACCAGCAGAGACCGCTTCCCTTCTTAAAGGGGCCTTTCCTAGTTTCGACTTTCTCTTCTCTTTCCTAAGATGGCCTGGTGCGTTTCTCCTGTCACCCTCCCCCAAGCATAGCCAAGGAAGCGGCCCCTCCCACATAGTTGGAATGTTAAATATCTCAGTGATGACTACAAGGCTTAAAGCAACAAATAAATAAAGCCACTCTTGAGTCAGAATATTTTATTTGGTGGTGCATGAGTAACAATACCCGATAAATGAAGACACATTCTTAGCGTGTTCTCTATCCCCCAAACGCTGCGGGGTGCAGGGGCTGCGGGGGCTGCAGGTGGGAGGTCCACAGCCTCTAGGGCAGGAGCTCTAGGGCAAGAGCAGGAGCAAAGGGACATGTGGATGAAAACGGGAAATTCTCAGAATTTGTGTATTTATTGGATTTTTTGTGTGTATTTCTTTGAATGTTTTTGTGTATTTGATTTTTTTGTGTGTGCACGTATTTGAATATTTTGTGTGTATTTTTTTGAATAGGTGACACTAGGCTCAAACTTTACAAAGGTAGAAAAAGACCTAACATCCACCCACCCCTGTTTCCCCACGGAAAACTGCTGTGACCAGTTTGCTTTTTTTTTTTTTTTCCCTAGACAAAGTCTCGCTCTGTCACCCAGGCTGGAGTGCAGTAGCGGCTCACCGCAACCTCCGCCTCCCAGGATCAAGCGATTCTCCTTGCTCAGCCTCCCGAGTAGCTGGGATTACAGGCGCGCGCCACCATGCCCGGCTAATTTTTTGTATTTTTAGTAGAAATGGGGTTTTGCCATGTTGGCCAGTCTGGTCTCGAACTCCTGACCTCATGTGATCCGCCCGCCTCGGCCTCCCAAAGACCTGGGATTACAGGCGTGAGCCACCGCGCCCTGCCGCAGTTCGCTTCTGCTTTTCAAGATATTCTGTGTATTTAACAAGCAAAAGCTTGTATTTTTTCATCTCCACCTTTTACATTTTTATACCTTTTTTTTTCTCCTCTCCTACCTTGTCAGGCTACATAGCTCATACCGTGTCAGTTCAAGTATCCCTTCCTCGTTTTACGGTGACTCCGCATCCCATTGCGGGCCGCACCACTGCTTATCTGAGTCCCCCATCGATGGACAACTAGGTTGTTTCTGGTCTTTTTTTTTTTTTCCCACAAATTTTTACGAGAACAACAACAAAAAAAACAATGCTACTCAACCTCACCCCTTGGTTAGTGTTTGTCAAAAAACGGACAGGCAGAAGCCCCAACCTGCGCCCCCCAACGCCCGACTCTCCGCATCCGCCGAGGGTACCCCAGCTCCAGGGATCGCGGTGCTCAGGGACCGCGCGTCCAGGACTGGCCCTGCCTCCCAGAAGCTGTCAGGCGGCGGCCGTGGCCCGCTGTAGCCCCGCCCCGTGGCCCGCCCGCAGTAGGCCCGATTCAAATCTGGCCAATGATAGTGTGTAAACAAACCCAGGCCCCGCCTCCCGACGAATAATCCCCCGACCGGCGAGAGGCCCATTTAACCCGATGGGGTTTGGGGTTGGGACGGTGATGGAGTCGTGGCTCCGCCCCCAGACCTGGGCCAATAGGCGGCTGGGCTCCGCCCCCGGCACTTGCCGCGCTGAGGACCCGAGGCAGGGCTGGGCGCGCAGTTGCCTGATTTCGTGGCGGCTCGCAGTCTGGGCGCTCCGGGCGCTCGGCGCGGGCGGGCAGGGCCAGGAGCTGGGGCGGCGCACTCCGCGGTCCCAGCCGCATTTGAAGGGAGCGGTCAGAGGGCGGAGATCGCCCCGGCATCAATGCCCTCTCATCCCCCACTTTATTTCCACCGCCTAGCTGCTAAAATCCGGACCCGGAAACGTCTCCAATGGGAACTTGTTCCCCTCGCCCCTATTTAACAGAACCTGGAGGGGACGCAGGGGTGTTTTTGGATTGGGCAAGGCTTTCATTTCTTTCCCCTGGTTCTTACATGCATACGGGAAAATGCACGTATCTTGTGCGCCGCTCTACAGAAAACTAAAACTCCATGTGGCACCAGCAGCCTCCCAGGTCGAGAAACAACTTGGGTTGGAGAAATTTTCTTTTCGTTTCTTTGCTTTTCTTTCTTTCTTTCTTTCTTTTTGAGACGGAGTTTCGCTCTTGTCGCCCAAGCTGGAGTGCAATGGCGCGATCTCGGCTCACCCACAACCTCCGCCTCCCGGGTTCAAGCGATTCTCCTGTCTCAGCCTCCCGAGTAGCTGGGATTACAGGCATGCGCCACCACGCCTTGCTAATTTTTGTATTTCTAGTAGAGACGGGGTTTCTCCATGTTGGTCAGGCTGGTCTCGAACTCCCGACCTCAGGTAATCCTCCCGCCTTGGCCTCCCAAAGTGCTGGGATTACAGACGTGAGCTACCGCGCCTGGCCTGAACATTGTCATAATAAAATGTTTGGGGACAGGGGCAGATTTGGGTGCCTGACGATACACTCCCATTGAAGAGATGAGAAAATGGAGGAGCTGGAGAAGTGACTTGCCCTAGGTTCATCTGGTGACTCAGCCACAGAACACCTGGGTGTACTGATTTAGTCCCCACCCTGCCTGGCTGGCCTTGGGGACAAGTCGCTGAACCTGTCTGGGTCTGACTGCCTAACTCAGTGCTTAACCTAGGACTCATAACTTGCGCCTGATTCTCAAATAGAAGGGGCGTGTCACTCCCGAAGGACAGCAGGTCTCTTTCGATCTGGGCCCATATTGATCCCCAACACTGGTCTTTGGTCATCCCTTTGGCTGCCTCTGACCTTCCCCACTGATTCTAGAACAGTGTGGACCACACTCACTCATTAACTCTGAAACTTGGACAGGCTTTCCAGGATGTCAGGGGACAGACAGGACAGAGCAGGAAAAACAGACGTTTGCTCTCCCAGGGCAGGGATTGCCAGGGAATCAATGCCCTTTGATCCACCCCCTTAGTTCCACTGCCTGGTAGCTAAAACCCAGATGCTGTACCAAGGGATCGTTTAAAAAATTCCATTTGAGAATCATATGCAAGTTATGAGTCCCCCATTAAGAACTGAGTTGGTGCCTGTAATCCCACCACTTTGGGAGGCCAAGATGGGGGGATCACTTGAGGCCAAGAGTTCGAGACCAGCCTGGCCAATATGATGAAACCCTGTCTCTACTAAAAATACAAAAACTAGCTGGGCATGGTGGCGGGTGCCTGTAATCCCAGCTGCTTGGAATCGCTTCAACCCTTGGAGGCGCGCGTTGCAGTGAGCTGAGATTGCGCCACTGCACTCCAGCTTGCGTGACTGTCAAGAAAGAAAGAAAGAGAAAGAAAGATAGAGAAAGAGAAAGGAAGGAAGGGTGAGGTGGCTCATGCCTGTAATCCCAGAACTTTGGGAGGCCAAGGCTGGCAGATGACAAGGTCAGGAGTTCAACACCAGCCTGACCAATATGGTGAAAACCCGTCTCTACTAAAAATACAAAAAATTAGCTGGGCGTGGTGGTATGCGCGCATCTGTAGTCCCAGCTACTTGGGAGGCTGAGGCAGGAGAATTGCTTGAACCTGGGAGATGGAGGTTGCAGTGAGTCAAGATTGAGCCACTGCACTCCATCCTGGGCGACAGAGCGAGACTCCATCATCTAAAAAAAGAAAGAAAGAACGAGAGAGAGAGAGAGAGAGAAAGGGCTGGGCACGGTGGCTCACGCTTGTAATCCCAGGACTTTGGGAGGCTGAAGGCAGGTGGATCACTTGAGGTCAGGAGTTCAAAACCAGCCTGACCAACATGGTGAAACTCCGTCTGTACTGAAAAAAATAAAAATAAACATTTGCTGGGCATGGTGGTGCATACCTATAATCCCAGCTACTTGGGAGGCTGAGGCAGGAGAATTGCTTGAACCTGGGAGGCGGAGGTTGCAGTGAGCCGAGATCGCACCATTGCACTCCAGCCTGGGCAACAAGAGTGAAACTCCATCTCAGAAAAAAAGAAGAGAGGATAGAGAGAGAAGGGAAGGAAGGAAGGAGGAAAGAGAGAAAGAAAAAGGAGGGAAAAAGAGAAAGAAAGAAAGAGAAGAAAAGAAAAGAAAAAAGAAAAAGAAAGAAGTAACTGAGTTGAGCAGTCAGACCCAGACAGGTTCAGTGACTTGTCCCAGGGTCACTCAGGCAGGGTGGGGACTAATGGCTATCAGCCATGGCTAGGCATGGGGCTGGCCTCTTTTTATCTTTTTTTGAGACGGAGTTTTGCTCTCGTTGCCCAGGCTGGAGTGCTATGGCGCGATCTTGGCTCACTGCAACCTCCGGCTTCCGGATTCAAACAATTCTCTGTCCTCAGCCTCCTGAGTAGCTGGGATTACGGGCATGTGCCATGATGCCCAGCTAATTTTGTATTTTTGGTAGAGACGGGGTTTCTCCATGTTGGTCAGGCTGGTCTCAAACTCCCGACTTCGGGTGGTCCACCTGCCTCAGCGTCCCAAAGTGTTGGGATTACAGGCGTGAGACACCGTGCCCGGCCTGAGTTTTTTTGTTTTTTTGAGACGGAATCTCCCTCTGTCACCCAGGCTAGAGTGCAGTGGCGCGATCTCAGCTCACTGCAACCTCCCTCTTTTGGGTTCAAGCGATTCTCCTCCCTCAGCCTTCCAAGTAGCTGGTACTACAGGTGCGCACCACCACGCCCAGCTAATTTTTTCTATTTTTGTAGAGATGGGGTTTCGCCGTGTTGCCCAGGCTGGTCTCGAACTCCTGAGCTCTGGCAATCTGCCCACCTCAGCCTCCCAAAGTGCTAGGGTTACGGGCGTGAGCCACTGCACGGGGCCAGGGCTGGCTTCTTGTTGGTGTCCTCTGCACCCTACCAGAGCCATTCCAAGTGGCATGGCCCCAAGACCATCTCCCTAAGAGGTCAGGTGTGTGTATGAGGTGGGTGGATGTTGTTAATATCTATTCAGCAAACTTTTATTGAGCATTTACTAAGCACCAAGCACTGTTTTAGGGGCAGTGGATATTCTACAATGTACCAAAGGAACCTGGGAACTGCCAAAAAGGGCATGACCAAGGGAGGTAAACTGAGGCTCGCAAACCGAGGCTAATTAAGCGACTTATTTGCTTACTTGCTTGTTGGCTGTGTTGCCTAATAGATTGTGAGTTGTGTGGGAGGCAAATAGATTGTGAGTTGTGTGGGAGGCAAATAGATTGTGAGTTGTGTGGGAGGCAGGAACCCGGGTGGTGTTGGTCACCACAGGATCCTTGACACACTAGATACTAAAAAAATATGAATGAATAGACTCTGACGAAGTCTCCAGTGAGTCCCCTAGTTCTGAGTCCCCCGGGGCTGGCAGCTATGACAGAAACACAAGTGCTACACTTCAGGTCCCAGTGTACAGTGACGGCTTCAGATGAGGGCTGCGTCTCACTTTGTGGGTGCGTGACTGGGCAAAACACTTCCCTTCTCGGAGCCAATTGAGTTTTCTACACTGTATGATGGGGGTAACTAAAGGTCTCTCCCCTGTGGGCAGTTCTCATCAGAAACTGTGTTCACCACCCAGTTAACACTCTAAAAGTGTAGCTCCATCAGTGGCTGTGGAAGTGCAGAGTTAGGAAGACTCAGACTATACAAACATAAAGTAAAAAAAGTGTATACTGCTGCTTCTCAGAGGGTCCACACACCTCCAGTGGGTGGTGGATGATCACTGCTTGTTTTTGTTTTTTTGTTTGCTTGTTTGTTTTGTTTTTGAGATGGAGTCTTACTTTTGTTGCCCAGGCTGGAGTGCAATGGCGTGATCTCAGCTCACTGCAACCTCCGCCTCCCAGGTTCAAGCGATTCTCCTGCCTCAGCCTCCCCAGTAGCTGGGATTACAGGCGTCTTCTACCACGCCCAGCTACTTTTTGCATTTTTGTAGAGATGGGGGGGTTTCACCATGTTGGCCAGGCTGGTCTCGAACTCCTGACTTCAGGTGATCCACCTGCCTCGGCCTCCCAAAGTGCTGGGATTACAGGCGTGAGCCACCGCGCCCGGACTTGTTTTTGTTTTTGTTTGAGACGGAGTCTCACTCTCGCCGAGGCTGGAGTGCAGTGGCGTGATCCTGGCTCACTGCAACCTCCGCCTGCCGGGTTCAAGCAATTCTCCTGCCTCAGCCTCCAGAGTAGCTGGGATTATAGGTGTGCGCCACCATGCCTGGCTAATTTCTTTTGTGTTATTATTATTATTTTTTTGAGACAGAGTCTTGGGCTGTTGCCAGGCGAGTGCAGTGGCGCAATCTGAGCTCACTGCAACCACCACCTCCCGGGTTCAAGTGATTCTCCTGCCTCAGCCTCCTGAGTAGCTGGGAACACAGGCACATGCCACCACGCCTGGCTAATTTTTGTATTTTTAGTAGAGACGGGGTTTCACCATGTTGGCCAGGCTGGTCTCAAACTCCTGACTTCAGGTGATCCACCTGCCTCGGCCTCCCAAAATGCTGAGATTACAGGCATGAGCCACCGTGCCCGGCCTGTTTGTTTGTTTGTTTTGAGACAGACTCTTGCTCTGTTGCCCAGGCTGGAGTGCAGTGGCGCAATCTTGGCTCACTGCAGCCTCGACCTCTGGTGTTCAAGCAATTCTCGTGCCTCAGCATACGCCACCATGCCGGGCTGATTTTTGTATTTTTAATACATTAGATTTTGTAATTTTTGTATTTTCGCTGCGTTGAACAAGATGCTCTGGAACCCCTCACCTCAAGTGATCTGCCTGCCTTAGCCTCCCAAAGTGCTGGGATTATGGGTGTGAGCCCCTACACACCTGGGCCATGGAGGCTTTTTTTTCTTTTATTGCATGATGCCTAGGTTTGGGGTACGAATGAGCCCGTCACCTAGGTACTGAGCATAGTACCTGAAAGTTAGTTTTGTTTTGTCTTTTTTTTTGAGACAGAGTCTCACTCTGTCGCCCAGGCTGGAGTGCAATGGCATGGTCTCGGCTCACTGCAACCTCTGTGTCCCGGGTTCAAGCGATTCTCCCACTTCAGCCTCCCAAGTAGCTGGGACTACAGGCATATGCCACCATGCCTGGCTAAGTTTTGTATTTTTAGTAGAGACAGGGTTTCACTATGTTGGCGAGGCTGGTCTTGAACTCCTGATCTCGTGTTCCTCCTGCCTCGGCCTCCCAAAGGGCTGGGATTACAGGCATGAGCCACCATGCCCGCCCCCGAAAGTTAGTTTTTCAACATTTGTCTCCTATCCCTACCTCCCCACTCTGGTAGTCCCCAGTGTTTATCTGTCCCATCTTCATGTCCATGCATACCCAATGTTTACCTCCCACTTATAAGTGAGAAGATGAGGTATTTGGTTATCTGTTCCTGTGTCAGTTTGCTTAGGATAATGACCTCCAGCTGCATCTGTGTTGCTGCAAAGGACATTATTTCATTATTTATTTATTTATTTATTTTTGAGACAGAGTCTTGCTCTGTTGCCCAGCCTGGAGTGCAACGGCGCTATCTCGGCTCACTGCAACCTCCGCCTCCCAGGCTCAAGTAATTCCCTTGCCTCAGCCTCCCGAGTAGCTGGGACTACAGGTGCCTGCCACCACACCCAAATAATTTTTGTATTTTCAGTAGAGATGGGGTTTCCCTTTGCTGGCCAGGCTGGTCTCCAACTCCTGACCTCAAGTGATCCACCTGCCTCGGCCTCCCAAAGTGCTGGAATTACAGGTGTGAGCCACCGCACCAGGCTTCATTCTTTTTTATGACTGCATAGTATTCCATGGTGTACATTTATCACATTTTCTTTATCCAATCCACTGTTGGTGGGCACCTGAGTTGATTCCATGTCTTTGCTATTGTAAATAGCATTGCGGTGAACACCACTGTACTAAGTTATAGATCTATCATGCTTTTATGTTTGGGACATTGCATAAGGTATTCACTTGTGGAACTGATAACTTCCTGTTTACTTACTAATGATAACGGCCAGCATTTATATGGCACTTCCTCTCAGGTGCAGCTCTCCCTAGCTCATTCTTCCTCATGACCCTATGAAATGAGGCCTATTATTATCAGCATGTTAAAGATGAGGACACACAGAGGTGAGGTAATTTGTCCACTGTCACACAGCAAGAAAGTGGCAAAGGCAGGATATGAACCAGGGGCTGACTGGTTTCAGTCAGGGCCCTTACCCTCTGTGGTCTCTCAAAATTAATTTCTTCTTCTTCTTTTTTTTTTTGAGACAGGGTCTTGCTGTCTCCCAGACTGGAGTGCAGTGGCATGACTATGGGGAACTACAACCTCGACTTCCTGGACTCAAGCGATCCTCCTGCCTCAGCCTCCCAAGTAGCTGGGAGTACAAGCACACACCACCATGCTGGGCTAATTTTTGTTTGGACAGGGTCTCGCTATGTTGCCCAGGCTGGATAAATTATTATTATTATTACTATTTTTGAGACAGAGTTTCCCTCTTGTCGCCCAGGCTGGAGTGCAATGGTGTGATCTCGGCTCACTGCAACCTCTGCCTTCCGGATTCAAGCGATTCTCCTGCCTCAGCCTCCCAAGCAGCTGGGATTACAGGCGTGCACCACCACACCCAGCTAAGTTTTGTATTATTAGTAGAGAAGGGGTTTCACCATGTTGGCCAGGCTGGTCTCGAACTCCTGACCTCAGGTGATCTACCCTCCTCGGCCTCCCAAAGTGTTGGGATTACAGGTGTGAGCCACTGCGCCTGGCCGATAAATTATAAAAAAAAAAAATACGTTGAAGTAAATATTATGGGTAGTACCGCCAAGATACTAGAACACATGTTAAGGCTTAAAAAAACAGAGGCCGGGCACTTTGGGAGGCCGAGAATAGCTTGAACCCAGGGGACGGAGGTTGCGGTGAGCCTAGATCGTGCCACTGCACTCCAGCCTGGGCGAAAGAGCGAAACTCCGTCTCAAAACAAAACAAAATATAACACAACAACAACAAAATCACAATCTGTCTCGATTACTCATTTATTCAACCCGCATTCACCTACTGTGTGCACGAGCTTTTCTAGGGCACTGGGGAGGCAGAAGGGACTAAAACAAAGTATAAATCTCCCTGGGCTGCAAGCATCGGGAGGGCAGGTCCGGGGGCTCTGTGTCCCCACTGGGCCCCCAGCACTGCGCAGCGCACACAGTGGGCGCTCACCAAGCGCTCGCTAAGGGCAACGCGTGAATCCGTGTCCCGCCAGCAGGGCGTTTACGGCCTGGTGGGGCGGAAACGGACCCGACACCACCGCGGCGTCCTGGGGCTTCTGGGAATCCCATCAGCGCGGCCAGAGCGGCCGGGGACAGGCTCCGAGGCAGGCCCGACCCGCCTCCCCGGCGCCGCCGTGGCTCGACGGAGACCAGCTAGGGTGAGTGATCGAGCCACGCCTGGGGTCCCGGCCTGTCACCCCGAAGTCCCCGCCGCCTTCCACCCTGTCAGGCTCCAACTCTGGGCTCCGGCGCGGTCCCACCTCCGGGGGGAACTCCCCTCCATCCCCTCCATTTCCTTCATCCTCGACTCCCGCTATCTTTTCGGACCTGCGGCGCTCCCCCTGGACGCGTCCTCCCGCCGGACGACCGTCCTCCGCCTCAGGGGACGCGCCCAGGACGCACGGCGCCCCCTCCCCAGCCGGACCGGCGGTCTGGGAGCGCGGATCCCTTCAGCTCCCCCGCGCCCCAGCATCCGGATCAGGGCTCGAGGCAGTCGACAAACTACACCCGAGCTCGAGCAGGCGCGCCCCTGAACCCCCGGGACTGGGGCTGGGGGCGGGGGCGGCGCCGGCGCGGAGGGCCCAGTCCCCGGACGTCCGCAGCCTCCCATTGGCTCCGGGTCCCGCCGCTCGGCCTGGCGGGGCCGGGGCTGGTCCGCCCGGACGCGGGGCGGGGATTCCTGAAGCCCCTCCTCCGGCGAGGGCGGAGGGAAGAGGAGGAGGAGGAGGAGGAGGAAGGGGGTGGGGGGCGGAACACAAAACCTGAGAGGTTTTTTTTTTTTTTTTTCCGTTTGCATTTAATTAAAAAAAATTTTTTTTTTTTTTGCATACCCGAGGGGCGCTCCCCGGAACGGGCGCGGGCCCGGGGCGCGCGGGCCTGGGCGCGGGGCGGCGGCGGGGGCCCGGCAGCGGCTGCCGAGCGGCCGCCATGCGATCAGGCAGTGCGCTGACCGGCCCGGCCGGCCGGCCCCTTCTGGGTCCTCCCTTTGCAGCCCGTGCGGGGCCGTCTCGGAGACCCCGCGCCGACGGCTGCTCAAACATCAGGGTGAGTTTCTCACAATGTAGCAATTTCTCTTTAAATCTCTTAACTCTCTCTACCTGCGAGTCGGGGCTGTGACAGGGCGCAAAAGCGAGGGGGGAGTGGGGGTTGGCGGCGAGGGTGTGTGTGGGGGGAGCCGGAGCCGGGGCCGAACCCACCCCCGCGACACTCTCACACTCAGCCCCCCAGCCGGGGCGCAGCGCCCGCTGCCTCCTTTTTTTTTTTTTTTTTTTTTTCCTGCTCGGCGCCCACCGCCACCGGCACCCCCAGCCCCGCGTCTCTTCCACCACCGCCGCCGCCCCGATCCTATGGGGACCCCCCCCCAACCGGCTTCCCTGCCCAGACCCGGCGCCCAGTGCCTCCCCGGCCCTCCCGCCGGCTGCCGGGGATACAATGGAGCGGCGGAGAGAGGAGACCTAACGTTCCACGGGGGGAGGGGCGCGGAGACCCCCTCCCCGTCCCGGCCCCCTCCCCTCGCCCCGCTCCCCGCCTTTCGGGGAAGGCGAAGGCCACCGGGCAGCGGGCGGTGATCTCCCGGCCGGAGGCGGAGAGCCTGCATCTCCCCGCCTCGCTCGGCCCCTGCGCCCCCTCCCCAAATCCCTCCCGTGGGTGTCGCGGACAGTGGGGGGCCCTGGAAAGCTGGGGAGGGATGGATGGGGAAGGAGGCCACCGGGGCTCCCCCCTTCGCACCGCCCCTAAACAATGAAAGGAGTTGACTTGACCCCCAGCCCCCGGCAATAGAGGGAGGTGACCCCCTCCCCCACCCCCAGCTGAGGCTCATCCCGGAGGGGGCCGTTACGGGGGTGGGGGGGGTGAGCGCCTCCTGTCACTTCCCGAGGTTCGGGGCGGCCCCCCATCTCCTACCCCTCGGCCTGGGAACGGGAGGCACCAGGCCCGGCCGGGGCACCGCGCTCGGGTGGTGACCTTTAGACAAAGGCAGCCCTTTCCCCGGGGTGAGCCCGGACGAGCTGGGCCTGCGGCCTCCCCGGGCCCCTGCGGAGGGCAGCCAGGCCGCGGGCACCCGGAGGGAGGGATGGAGGAGGAGGGAGGAGGGATGGAGCCATCTGGTTTTCCCATCCCTGGCTGCCCCTCGTCTGCTTCCCCGACTCCTGTCACGGGCGGCCGCGGGGAGACGAGGGACCAGGGGCTGCTTGGGCCTTGGTGCGCGGCCAGCCGGGAGGACCGGGCAAGGAGCCGCGGGAGAGCTAGGCTCGGGCTCGGGCGCCGGCGGTGATTGGGAGGCACTGCGGCTTCTTCCTCTCCGCGCCCCTTTGTTTTGCTTTGTGGTTCTGAGCAGCTGAACTTCCCGGGAGGTGGGGTCAGAGGCCGCGGTGTCAGCTCTCCCGGGGAGGCCCAGGTGACAGGTCCTAGCTCTCTGGTGTCCCCATCCTGGTGGGCTGCAGTCTGTGCCCAGGCCCATGTCCTGACCATCGTCCCCTTTTGTCACCCCCCCCCCACACACACACCTACCTACCCACCCCATAGTATAATACAGATCTAGGGGTGCCTTTCTCTTACACCTCTTTACGGAGGGCACTTGAAAGGGAAACTAGAAACATCCAAGGCATCAAGGCCTGAGATTCATGATAAGCTCTCTGTGCTTTTAACCTCTCCCAGCACCTGGGGTGGGTGTGGGGGGTATTGTCAACTCTGACCTGCCCTGGGTCATGAGAAAATGGGAAGACAACTCAGGAAGCACCCCCTTCCCATGCACTGGTAGGACTTTTGGGACATGTTGACCTCCCTTGCCTTCCCTCATAGCTCCCCGCTCAAGATGGAAATATTAATAACAATATCAAACTAGGGAGCTTTATTCCGCTGCTGCTAAGTACATTACACGCTGGCCACAGTCCAAGGAGGAAATAGAGACGGGACAGACATTCCCGTTTTCCAGACAGGTTCATGGAGGCTCAGAGAGGTTAAGAAGCTTGCCCAGGGTCACACAGCCCTGGGTCACACAGAGCCCCAATTTGTAACCTCCTGGAGTTTTTCCAGCTTGGCTCAAAACTGTTAAGCCCTTCTTCTGTCCCACCCTTTGGCATTTTGTCCCCCTGACTTCAGTGGACCTGGTTCGGAAATGTAGATAATATTTAGAAGAAGCGGCCAGATTTTTTTTTTCCCTGGGAGCTGGTTTTGAGAAGGGGTAAGATGCACCTCGAAGTTGGGCTGAGGGCAGGATCATTTCACTTGTGGCTGGAATGGAGAATTGTCTGCAGGAACTGAGAACTGAAGGTGTGTGAGGAGTGGGGGAGGGGGAGCCCCAGGCCTGGCCAGTGATGGGCTCGGGGTACCTGGGAGCTGGCCCCACTGTCATCTTCTCCCTTCTCTACCTGAGCGGGGGACTTGGCCCCATTTGCTGCTACTCAGCCCTGAAGTAGAGAAGAGAGAAGCTGAACTGTTTGGGAATGTTGATGTCTGGTTGTTCCTATGCCCTGTGACCCGCTGTCGCTTTGCCACACCATGGCCCTTTGATGCAGCTAGCGGAGAACTTTCTTGCCTGTTCTCCTTGGCATGATCCACTCTGTAACCTTAGGCAGGTCATTTAACTGCTGGTCCTGTTTTCTCATCTGCAAGTGGGGGTAATTATAGTTCCTTTAAGTGACCTGGAGGTGGGTAAAAGTATTATCCAAACGTGTCATTCATATTTATCATTCAGCAGGCCGGGTACGCAGTGTGGGCACAGGGGAGGAATGTCAACTGGTGGCATTTAATTTTTTTTTTTTTTTGAGACAGAGTCTCGCTGTGTTGCCCAGGCTGGAGTGCAATGGCCTGATCTTGGTTCACTGCAACCTCTGCCTCCCAGGTTCAAGCGATTGTCCTGCCTCAGCGTCCCGAGTAGCTGGGATTACAGGCACCCACCACCACACCTGGCTAAATTTTGTATATTTAGTAAAGACGGGATTTCACCATATTGGCCAGGCTGGTCTTGAGGTCCTGACCTCAGGTAATCTGACTGGCATTTAAATTTAAGGCCAGGTGCCATGGCTCACACCTGTAACCCCAACACTTGGGGAGACCGAGGCTGGAGGATTGCTTGAGCCCTGGATTTTAAGACCAGCCTAGGCAACACGGTGAGACCCTGTGTCTACAAAAAATGAAAAAATTAGTTGGGCATGGTGGCACTCACCTGTGGTCCTAGCTACTTGGGGGTGCTGAGGTGGGAGGATTGCTTGAGCCTAGGAGTTTGAAGCTGGGGTGAGCCGTGATTGTGCCACTGCTCTCAAGCCTGGGCAAGAGTGAGACCCTGTCTCAAAAAAAAAAAATAAATAAAATAAAAAATGTAAAGGTGAGTGGCAGAATACCTTTGCCCCAGAAGAATTCCCTGTGGTCTGGGAAGGCCACCTGCAAACGAACAATTCCCCTTCAGTGACACGCACCCTCTGAGCGCTTTGGGGACTAGGCCCCTACCCCTTCAGCACTTTACCCATGCGGAATACATGCTTAGCTGTAGGGGCTGGGGGGCTGAGGGAGAGGGGCTGGGGGGCTGACGGAGAGGGGCTGGACCCAGCTCACCCAGTGTAGGAGGTAATACAGGTGATCTTGCCATTTTACAGATGGGGAAACTGAGGCCAGGGGAAGCATGTTCCACGGCCGAGCTGGGACTCCAAGCCAGACGGCAGAGACTAGTGGTGGGGGTTCCGTATTTGTCAACAGAACTGGGGAGATGGTGCTTCATGGGGTCTGATCCCAGGAGCTTTAAGGGACCCCTTATCCCCGCAGCCACTGTCCCCTCCTTTAAGTGCAGTTATTTCCCTTGGCGAGATGACAGGCATAAGTAATAAGAATTCTCGGGGGAGGTGGGCAGGAGGAGAGGGGCTGTGGGGACACCCAGATCTCTCAAGATTGAGTGCTGGCTGAATGTAGGAACTGATCTTTTTGGGGGGCTGGTGGGAGAAGTCCGAGTGAGGCCCTAGAGGGTCTCCCGGCTGACTTCCTTCTCAGAGGCCTGTGGCCCTTCCCTAACCTTCCTTCAGGAGGTGGGGTGTGCCCCAGGCTGTGGAAGGGCCAGGGGATCAGCACCCAGAGGCCTATGAAGGGGGAGTTCCTGGGGGTGTATAAGGCTCCCCAGGTTCCCGTGGGCCACCTTGTAGCCCAGGTCTAGCCAGCAGCCCAGTTCCCCCGCCAGCTCTCAACCCCCACCCGCCAGGCTGCCTTGACTCCAGGTCTCAAGAATGCAGAAGGCTGCTGGTAGGGGAAGTTAATTGGAAACAGGAAAACATGGCATTCCTTTCCAGGCCGCCTGGGCTTGGAAGGCAGAGGGGCTGCCATTTCCCTTCTCCCGCCCTGCAGGGGAGAGGGGTGGGGAGTATGGTTATCTTGCCCTGGTCATATTTGAGCTTTCTTCCCCGACCAGGCACCCTCACTTAGTAGAAACAAGAGCAGTCACCCGTGCCGTGTCCACGATGACAACTGCTGCCTGCTCCCCCAGCAGAAGAATTGCCCCCTCCTTACTCACCCCTTCATATCCCTCTGGTTTTTTGTCCCCTGTCTTGTCTGAGCTAGCTCCCTGGTAGGATGCACCTTATGCCACACTAGAGACGCATGGGGAGCGTTTGGTTGAGGGGTCCCCAGGGAGTGTCTCCTGGTTCCGTCCCTCGCATTCTCCTCTGCCTGGAGTACCACCAGTAGAGTTTTGTCCCAGTTGACTGAAGCTTTTGTGTCTCAGTGACACGCAAGTTTCCCCAGTGGAGAGGGAGAGTTTTCTAAGGCATTTCTAGTTTGGTGACAATTAGTTTTGTGTATGAGTGTATGTATTCATTGGGGGGAGGGGGAAAGGAGTGTTGGCACAAGCAGAGAAGGCCTTTGTTTCTTTAATTGTTCCCAATTAAACTTCCTGAGGGCCTACTGTGTGACAGGGCCCTGGGGATCAGTTAAGACCTTGGGACACAGTCCAGGAGGAGGAGAGAGAACGGTTGGATTAGCCGCTGTGGGGTTTCATTCATTCTGTCTGGGTGGTCTGAGACATCATCTTTTTCTCTGTCTGCCTTTTGTTCCTTTTGTTCTAAGTGATACACACACGGGGCAAATTCAGAACACTAAAGATGGTGTCTCTCCCTCTAACCTCTCCAGAATCCCTGGTCCCCTAGCTCTCTTCCCCAGAGACAGCACCTCCATTCTGATGTTCTGTGCATGTACTTTTATATATGGATGTTATGTGTTTAAAACTATTCAGGCCGGGCATGGTGGCTCACGCCTGTAATCCCAGCACTTTGGGAGGCTGAAGTGGGCAGATCACCTGCGGTCAGGAGTTCAAGACCAGCCTGGCCAACATGGTGAAACCCCATCTCTCCTAAAAATACAAAAATGAGCTGGGCATGGTGGTGCATGGCTGTAATCCCAGCTACTCAGGAGCCTGAGGCAGGGGAATTGCTTGAATGCAGGAGGCGGAGGTTGCGGTGAGCCGAGATTGCGGTAGCACTGCACTCCACTCCAGCCTGGGCGACACAGCGAGACTCTGTCTAAAACAAACAAACAGACAAACAAAAAACTATTCATCTTACACAGATGGTAGTCTGGTCTATGCATTGCTTTTTTTCCACGCTTCATCTCCCTGGGAGACCCTACCAATGTAGGTCTTCCTCTATCTTTTTCTTGGCTGCATGGTATTCCTCTGTGTGGGTGAATCCTCCTTTACTGTTATGGACGTGGAGGTGTTTCCAAAGGTTTCTGTGTGAAGCATGGGAAGGCATACGTCCGCACATGTTACAGGGAAATGAGTACGCCTGTGGGATAGACTCCTGGAAGTGGGATTGCTAGATCAAGGGCCAGTGATTTGTCTTTTGGTAGCTCTTACGGAGCACCTTTGATGTTGCACGTTGCATCTTTTTTTATTTTTTTGAGACAGAATCTTGCTGTGTCACCCAGGCTGGAGTGCAGTGGCGCCATCACTTTTCACTGCAGCATTATCCTTCCTGGGCTCAAGTGAGCCTCGCATCTCAGCCTCCCCAGTAGCTGGGACTACAGGTGCACGCCACCACGCCCAGGGAGTTTTAATATTTTTGGTAAAGACGAGGTCTCACTGTGTTGCCCAGGCTGGTCTTGAAATCCTGTTCAAGCACTCCTCCCGCCTTGGCCTCCCAATGTGCTGGGATTACAGGCGTGAGCCACCGTGCCCGGCCCCTCATGCTGCACCTTGAAGAAAGTTGTTCTCTTTCTCTCCTCTTCAATGTGATCCCACCTGTCGCCCAGGCAGCATCTCCAGGCTGCACGTGTCTTTGCCTCAGGTGACCTCCTTGTGTCTGATGACCTCCTTGCCTCTTCCTCCTGCTTATGGCCTGCGTCATGTGCTTGCCACCTGGTGTGGAGGTCAGGAGCGTGGGCTCTGGGCCCTGCCTGTTGGTTCTAATCCCAGTTCTGCTATTTGCTGGCTGAATGGCTGTGGACAGGGGACTTGCTTGGGGCCTTGGTTTTCCCCTCTATTAAGTGGGTTCATATCAGTACCTACTTGGTAAGGCTCTTGTGAGGGTCCCCAAACACCCATAAAGTGCCAAGGTAGCCTTGTCAGTCAGTGTCGGTGTCACCTGTCATTCTTAGGCAGTTTATTTCTCCTGGGGACTGTGACCCCCTTAATTGGCAGGTGTTGGATGGAATGCTGGCTTCTCTGCTTAATTGCAGTGTGACCCTGGGCAAGCAATTCCTTTGCATGGCCTCAGTTTCCTTGTCTATAAAATGGGCCCATGATGCCTCCCTCGTAGGGTCTGCTGTGAGGCTGAACGAAGCAATGTTCTGCCAAGCTGGGCAGGCAGTCGCTTTCAGGAACTAGCAAATGATGCTGCTGTTGTTTTCACTATGATTACTGTTCTCCTGCGGGACTCATGCTGACTCCTCCGCTCTGAAAGGTCCCCATTGTCTTCCTGAAAGGCACACAAGGAACAATGTTGGCATTCTAAACTGCATGGCAGCAGAGGGCACGCAGCAGGCTGCTCCGGCATGAGGCACACAGGGCTTCCCTGTACCGTGCCTCAGTTTCCCCAACTGGAAGAGTGGGCATGAGAGGAAACCCACCTCAGGCATGCTTAGTGTTCAGCACAGTGCCTGGGGTATAGCAAGCGCCCAAAAAATGTGAGTGGCTGTGATTGGAATAATTATTATTAAGTAGCAGAGTCTCCCATAGGATTAGATACCCAAGTTGCTATGGCCTTTCCCCCAAACCCTAGGCAATCAGTGTTGGCATTTTAAATGGAAGGCACAGGGCTGGCATTGGTGGCTCATGCCTGTAATCCCAGCACTTTGGGAGGCCAAGGCAGGCGGATCACTTGAGGTCAGGAGTTCGAGACCAGCCTGGCCAACATGGTGAAGCCCTGTCTCTACTAAAAATACAAAAAAATTAGCCAGGCGTGGTGGCGCATGCTTGTAATCCCAGCTACTCAGGAGGCTGAGGCATGAGAATCGCTTGAAACTGGGAGGCGGAGGTTGCAGTGAGCTGAGATCGCACGATTGCACTCCAGCCAGGGCGACAGAGCAAGACTCTGTCTCAAAAAAAAAAAAAGGAAGACAATGCCCAAATACCCACTGGGCCACAATTTCCTCTTCTGTAACAGAGCTTCCCCGCTTTGGGTGTTGTGACGCTTCAATGAGTGAAGACTTGGGAAGCTTTTTAGGATAGGACCTGGCTCTCAGGAATGCTCAGTGAAGCTTCACTTTGATTCTTATTATCTTTTATTTTTATTAATTTTTTTTTTTTGAGACAAGAATCTCTCTCTGCGCCCAGGCTGGAGTACAGTGGTGTGATCTTGGCTCACTGCAACCTCCGCCTCCCAGGTTCAAGTGATTCTTATGTCTCAGCCTCCCGAGTAGCTATGGCTACAGATGTGGGCCACGACACCCAGCTAATTTTGTATATTTTGTAGAGCTGGTGTTTGGCCATGTTGGCCAGGCTAGTCTCGAACTCCTGGACTCAAGCAATCCACCCGCCTCAGCTTCCCAAAGTGCTGGGATTACAAACATGAGCCACCATACCAGGCCTATTATTTTTAAATATTTTATTTTATTTTATAGAGACAAGGTCTTGCTATATTGCTCAGGCTGGTCTCCAACTTCTGGGCTCAACAGTCCTCCGACTTTGGCCTCCCAAAGTCCTGGGATTATAGGCATGAGCAACTGCACCTGGCCGTCTTTGTTTATTATTATTTTGTTTTCTTTTTTCTTTTTTTTTGCCATCTAGACTCGGCTTGGCAGATTTATTTATTGTTATTTTAACTTATATTTTTTATTTTTTTGAGACAGGCTCTCACTGTGTCACCCAGACTGGAGTGTAGTGGCGCCATATCGGCTCACTGCAACCTCCGCCTCCCAGGCTCCAGCAGTTCTCGTGCCTCAGTCTCCCGAGTAGCTGGAATTACAGGTGCCTGCCACCACACACGGCTAATTGTTGTATTTTTAGTAGAGAAGGGGTTTCACCATGTTGGCCAGGCTGGTCTCGAACTCCTGAACTCAGGTGATCTGCTCACCTAGGCCCCCCAAAGTGCTGGGATTACAAGCATGAGCTATGCACCTGGCCTTTTTAACTTTTTGTTAAGGAAATTTTAAAGCACTCACCGAGAGTTGAGAAAATAGCACAACCACCCCTGTGTAACCATCACCAGCTTCTGCAAAAATTTTCTGCTGATCTGATCTTTTTTTTTTGGCCATTACCTACTGTGCACATATATTTTTTCTTTTTTGCCAAGGTATTTTAAAGCAAATTCCAGATATCATATCATTTCCATTGTATTATTATTGTTATTAATGGTGGTGTTATTTCTGGGATCCAGAATTTGTTTCAGCACCTCCAGAGTCTGTCCTGTTCTATGAAGAAAGTGGCATTAGGCCCATTTCATAGGTTGGGAAACTGAGGCAGCAGGGAGTGGGCTTTGATCAGGTGGTCCTTTTTCTGTGATCCCCTTTTTGGGACTGTGGTGAATTCCCTGTCTTGGCCACACCAAGCCTCAAACCCTGTGGGTTGTTTCTGATTACACAGGTTTGGGGGTCACACCTGGGTGCATGCAGTGTGGGGTACAGGTTCTGTTACTCTGTGCAGAAATCGTCCTCATAAAGGAAGAGTTGAAGTGGGGCTGGCAGCAGGGGATGGACCCCTAGGATGACCCTGGAGGTGATGGGCAACTGGGTCAGCTGTGTGGGTTAAAGTCCTGTTTCTGCTCCTTCTAACCCTGTGACTTGGTGGCAAGCTATTTCCCTCCTTTAGTCCAGGTTAGAGAACTGGAAGTACAGGAGAGATAATAAATACTTATTTGGATGACCTTATTGTTAAATAAGGTCTAGCGTGGAAAAGATGTTTTGCAAGTGCCTGGCTCAGAGTAAACGGTCACTATTGTTAGTGTTGTTATTGCTTCTGTGTATACTCTTGAGGTTGGGGACAAAAATGCTGTTTCTAGGATTGCAGAGGAAGGGTTGATGCCCCTTGACCCCCCAGCCCGGCCCCGCTACCTTCATTCCCTTGCCATGCCCACCCTGTCCCTCTGCACTCTCCCTTTGAAGTGCTTGCCTGTTTAGGGGGCTGCCAACTTCAGCGTGGCCCCTCTCAGCCTCTTATGTCCTCTGTGTCCCAGCCTGGTAACCTTGGGAACGGAGTGAGCGGGAATATCTGTCTGAGGCTGTGAGACCCTTGCTAAAGACCCTTGGGGTCCTTGAGGGAGCGCCTGGTGGCCTCTGCTGCCTGGAGGCAGAGGATGGCCCAGTGTCCAGGGACACCTGCAGGTGAAGCTCCCCGGAGCCACCTTTCCAGAGGCTGGATGCCAACTCTCGTCCACCGTGTGAGGCTGGGCGGGCAGATGTCCACAGCGCCTGCCTCACAGGGTGGCTGTGACAGTTAGCTGGACTATAACCTCCATCACCTGGCACGCATAGTGTCTCATTGACCTCAGACACTTGGCGCCCGGCCTGGGTGCGGGAGTTCTCCCTGGGAGAAGTCTGAGCTCACAGCTTAGCAAGCTCTTGCTGTACTGCGGAATTTCTCTCCCTAGAACGTGCGCGGTGATCTCCTACTTTTGTGTGTATACTTACTCTTTCGTGGACAGTGTATATATATATGTATATATACATATATATATACACATTTTTTTTCCCAACCCCTTTTTTTTTTCCTTTTTTTTGTGTGTGTGTGTTTGAGATGGGGTCTCGCTGTTTCGCTCTGTCCCCTAGGCCGGAGTGCAGTGGCACTATCTCGGCTCGTTGCAACCTCCGCCTCCCGGGTTCAAGACATTCTCCCTGCCTCAGCCTTCCGAGTAGCTGGGATTATAGGCGCCCGCCACCACGCCCGGTTAGTTTTTGTATTTTTAGTAGAGATGAGGTTTCACCATGTTGGCCAGGCTGGTCTCGAACTCCTGACCTCAGGTGATCTGCCTGCTTTGGCTTCCCGAAGTGCTGGGATTACAGGTGTGAGCCACTGGTCCCAGCCTCTCCCAATCCTTTTTCATTGAAGTGTAATTCGTATACAGTAAAATCCGCAGAGGGGCCAGGCACGGTGGCTCACACCTGTAATCCCAGCACTTTTTGGGAGGGCGAGGTGGGAGGATCACTTGAGGCCGGGAGTCCGAGACCAGCCTAGGCAACATAATAAGACCCTATCTCTCCAAAAAACAAATAAAGACCTTAGCCAGTTGTGGTGGCCCCTGCCTGGATCTAATCTGGAGGCTGAGGTAGGAGAATTGCTTGAGTCCAGGAGGCTGAGGCTGCAGAGAGCCATTCATTAAAATGCACATAGTTTAAGCATGCCTTTCCATGAGTCCTAACCCCTATCAAGATACAGCACATTCTCGTCACTGCCAGAAAGTTGCCCTTTGCCCCTTCCTGGTCAGTACCTGCTCCCAGAAGCAGTCACTGGCTTGCCTTGTCATTGTGGGTCAGCCTTGCCTCTTCTAGAATTTCACAGAGGGGGAGTCCTGCCCCGTGGAGTCCGTTGGGTTGAGCATCTTCGGCTCAGCATGATCCTTTTGAGATGCAGGGATGTTGGTGTGTGTGTATCGGGAGTGTCTTCCTTTAAGAAATTCTTTCCCGTGAGTATTTCTTCAAGCCTGGCTTTCTCATGAGGCTCCAAACTGCAGAAGATGAGAAGGGAGGGCTGTGTTTCCTGTGTTCTCAGCTCCTGGTGTGCAGTAGGTGCTCTGTAGATGCTTGTTGAATGAATGGATGGGTGGATGACAGGCATGTCCCAGGGATGGAGAAAGGGGAGCAGAGACCCTGTCTTTGGAGTTCCTGTGTGTTTCTCAAAAAGTGTCCCACTGGCCAGGGCGCAGTGGCTCACACCTCTAATCCCAGCACTTTGGGAGGTCAGGGCAGGTGGATCACCTGAGGTCGGGAGTTTGAGACCAGCTTGGGCAACATGGTGAAACCCCGTCTCTACAAAAAAATACAAAAAGTAGCCGAGCATGGTGGTGCATGCTTGTAGTCCCAGCAACTTGGGAAGCTGAGAGGTGGGAGGATCACTTGAGCCCAGAAGGTCGAGGCTCCAGTTAGCTGTGATCATACCACTGCACTTTAGCTTGGGCGACAGAGTGAGACTGTCTCAAAAAAAAAAAAAAAAAAAAAACAAGAACAAAACCCACATGCTTCCAAATGACCAGGGATGCTTGTGAAAAATGACCATCCCTGGGCTCCACACAGACCAAACTCCTGGGAATCCCGATGAGTGGCGTCCAGGAAACAGCATTTTCATCAAGCGCTGTCTCTGAGTAGTTCTTTTGCACAGGTAGCCCAGCCCTAAATCCTAGGCCTCTTCCGGCAGCAGCAGAGCTCCCCAGCAGGCCTGTCATCCAGTCAAGGCGGCCATGGGTCTTGGAGCCCCACTCGATCTCTGTCTACGGCCATTGCTTGTCCTGACCCTGGCTGCCTCCCTGGTGCCTCTGTGTGAGCCTGGAGTCCTGTACTCACTCCCTAAGTGCTGTTCAAAGAGGGAATGAATGGGAACCTGGGAGGTAGGTCAGGATTGTTGACCTCCCCACTGCTCAGCGGGGAAACCGAGGCTCCATGAGTTCTGGTGTTTCTCCTGCAGTTCACCTGGGAGTGGAAGCCAGACAGGGTATTTCCTGGGCTAAGCAGCCATCAGTTGTAAGATGCAGCTTCCTTTTCAGAGACAAAAGTGTGAAAAATGCGCATCTTGGAGTTGATAAAACTCAGGAAAAGTCCTGTCCCACCCTGCAGTTTGCCCGCTGTCTCAAGGCTGTTTTGTGCAGGGTTGTCTTTTTCTGTTAAATTTCTGTCTCGTTAGCCAAAGGAACAAAATCCCCTGATGTCTTCCCAGTGCTTTGTACCTTCTCAAGCATGTCCCCTTCCATGGTCCTGCTTTTGTATTTAAAATTTTTTAGTCTTTTTTTTTTTTTTTTTTAAATGCGAGATGGAATTTTGCTCTTGTTGCCCAGGCTGGAGTGCAATGGTGCTATCTTGGCTCACTGCAACCTCCGCCTCCCAGGTTCAAGCAATTCTCCTGCCTCAGCCTCCTGAGTAGCTGGGATTACGGGCACATGCCACCACACCCGGCTGATTTTTGTATTTTTAGTAGAGAGGGGGTTTCACCATGTCAGGCTGGTTTTGAACTCCTGACCTCAGTTGATCACTGGCGTCCGCCTCCCAAAGTGCTGGGATTACAGGCGTGAGCCACTGCACCCGGCCTGAATTGAGAGACTTCTTTAACTCAGTTTCTTTTTATTTTCAAGATGGAGCCTTGCTCTGTCGCCCAGGCTGGAGTGCAATAGTGCGATCTTGGCTCACTGCAACCTCCACCTCCCAGGTTCAAGCAATTCTCCTGCCTTGGCTTCTCAAGTAGCTGGTGTTACAGGCGTGCACCACCACCCCCAGCTAATTTTTGTACTTTATTTTTTTTTTTTTGAGATGAAGTCTCACTCTGTTGCCTAAGCTGGAGTGCAGTGGTGCGATTTTGGCCCACTGCAACCTCTACCTCCCGGGTTCAAGCAGTTCTCCTGCCTCAGCCTCCCGAGTAGCTGGGACTACAGGCCTGCACCACCATGCCCAGCTAATTTTTGTATTTTTAGTAGAGACAGGTTTCACTATGTTGGCCAGGCTGGTCTCGAACTCCTCACCTTGTGATCTGCCCGCCATGGCCTCCCAAAGTGCTGGAATTACAGGTGTGAGCCACCACTCCCGGCCATACTTTTTTAGTAGAGATGGGGTTTCGCCGCCATGTTGGCCAGGCTAGTCTCGAACTCCTGACCTCAGGTGATCCTCTCGCCTTGGCCTCCCAGAGTGCTGGGATTACAGGCATGAGCCACCACGCCTGAGTGTAACTTGGTTTCTAACAAAAGTCTGCTTAAAAATATGTAGGAGTGGGCCGGGCGTGGTGGCTCACGCCTGTAATCCCAGCACTTTGGGAGGCTGAGGCGGGCAGATCACGAGGTCAGGAGATCGAGACCATCCTGGCTAATGCGGTGAAACCCTGTCTCTACTAAAAATACAAAAAATTAGCTGGACGTAGTGGCTGGCGCCTGTAGTCCCAGCTACTCGGGAGACTGAGGCAGGAGAATGGTGTGAACCCGGGAGGCGGAGCTTGCAGTGAGCCGAGATTGTGCCACTGCACTCCAGCCTGGGTGACAGAGTGAGACTCTGTCTCAAAAAAAAAAAAAAAAAAAAAAAATTTAGGAGTGGGCCGGGTGCGGTGGCTCATGCCTGTAATCCTAGCACTTTGGGAGCCCAAGGTGGGTGGATCACGAGGTCAGGAGTTCAAGACCAGCCTGGGCAACATGGTGAAGCCCCATCTCTACTAAAAATACAAAAATTAGCTGGGCATGGTGGCAGGCACCTGTAATCCTAGCTACTCAGGAGGCTGAGGCAGAGAATTGTTTGAGCCCAGGAGGCGGAGGTTGCAATGAGCCGAGATAGTGCCACTGCACTCCAGCCTGGGTGACAGAACGAGAGGCCATCTCAAAAAAAAAAAAGTGTGTGTGTGTGTACTCTCATATATTAGACATTACATAATACATAATAGAAATATAAAACTATACATTATTATATATAAAAATATATACTCCTATTTATAAAATTCCCTTTTATTTTCATTCCCCTCCCCGTCAGCGACCTCCTGTGCTGGAGTGAATTGCTTGCTTTGTGCGATGGATTTTTGCTTTACAGAAAGGATACTGCTTCTGTTTCTCCTCCTGCTGCTTTTCCTCCCAGTGCTGTGTTTAGAGGGTCGCCTTGTTGGTTACCTGTCCCTCCCTGCTGCTCCTCCCTGCTGTGCGCTCCATGGGCTGCAGGTAGTACAGTTCACTTCAAATCCTCATGAGGGTCAGACCCCCAGGTGTTCACCATCTCCCTGTCACAGAGGCACAGAGGTAAAATGACTTCCCAAGGTCACACAGGGAGCTGCTGCCTGAGCTGGGATTTTCGTCCTCCTGGTTAATTCAGACTCACACTCAGGCTTCCTACTGCTTGGACTGTGGCCCATGTTCTCACCTCCAGCACAAATAGCCGGTGCTGTGCCTTCAGGGACTGGGGAGAGCGATGAGGCAGGAACACACCCATTCCCCTGCAAAGCCAGATCAGTGTCTGAGGATTGCCAGCTGAGCCTGGGGAGGTCAGGCGGGGAGGCATCAGGGTAGGCTTCCTGGAGGAGGGAGCTTCTAGGGCAGGCTTTGGGGCTTGGGGGTAGGGTAAGAAAAACAGGGAATCTAGCATGATCCAAGGTCATTGCCCTGAGCAGCTGGGTGGAAGGAAGTGTTCTTTCTCTCTCTCTCTTTTTTTTTTTTTTTTGAGACTGAGACCGAGTTTAGTTCTTGTTGCCCAGGCTGGAGTGCAGTGGCGCGATCTTGGCTCACCGCAACCTCTGCCTTCGGCGTTCAAGAGATTCTCGTGCCTCAGCTCCCCGAGTAGCTGGGATTACAGGCACGCACCACCGCGCCCGGCTAATTTTGTGTTTTTAGTAGCGTCGGGGTTTCTCCATGTTGGCCAGGCTGGTCTTGAACTCCCGACCTCAGATGATCCGCCCACCTCTGCCTCCCAAAGTGCTGGGATTACAGGCGTGAGCCAACATGCCCGGCAGATTGTGACTCCCTAGTGCCCTCAGGTAAAACCTCTTCAGCTCCGTACAAAGTCTTTCTGATCTGGCCTGGCTTATCTCCTACCCTTTTCATCTTGCCTTTCACTCACCAAGCTGGTTCCCGCCTCCCCACCTCGGCCTGCACTGTACTCTGCCCAGAGTCATCTTCCCCTGCTACAAGCATACCCCAGAGAGCAGGCAGGTTAGGTTCTAGACAGTGCAGTAAAGTGAGTATCACAATAGAGCGAGCCACACACGTTTTTTGATTCTCCAGTGGATACAAAAGTTACGTTTATACGATACTGCAATCTGTTAAGTGTGCAATAACATCATGTCTAAAAAAACCAGTGTACATACCTTAATTAAAAATTGCTTTATTGCTAAAATATGCTGATACTGACATGAAGTGAGCTTGTGACTGGGAAAATGATGCAGATAGACTCACTGGACAAAGGGTTGCCAGAAACCTTCAGTTCGTAAAAAAATGCTGTGTCTTTGAAGTGTAGTAACAAGTTATGCCTGTACCTCCCACTGCCACGCCCTGACTTTTTTTTTTTTCTTTGGAAGATAGGGTCTCATTCTGTCGCCCAGGCTGGAATGCAGTGGTGTGATCATACTCACTCCTGTCTTGACCTCCCAGGCTCAAGCGTTCCTCCAACCTCAGCTACCCGAGTAGTTGGGACCGCAGGCATGTGCCACCATACCTGGCTGATTTTTTAAGTTTTTGCAGAGATGAGGTTTCACTATGTTGCCCAGGCTGGCCTTGAACTCCCGGGCTCAAGTGATCCTCCTGACTCAGTCTCCCACAGTGCTGGGATTACAGACATGAGCCACTGCACCTGGCTTTTTTTTTTTTTTTTTTTTTTTTTGAGACAGAGTCTCACTCTGTTGCCCAGGGTGAAGTGCAGTGACGTGATCTCAGCTCACTGCAACCTCCACCTCCTGGGTTCAAGTAGTTCTCCTGCCTCAGCCTCCTGAGTAGCTGGGATTACAGGCGTGAGCCACCACGCCCAGCTAATTTTTGTATTTTTAGTAGAGATAGGGTTTCACCATGTTGGCCAGGCTGGTCTCGAACTCCTGACCTCCAGTGATTTGCCCTCCTCAGCCTCCCAAAGTGTTGAGATTACAGGTGTGAGCCACCAACCTGGCCTTTTTTTTTTTTTTTTAAGAGACAGGGTCTCACTGGTGCCCAGGCTGGATTGCGGTGGCGTGATTGTGGTTCACTGTGGCCTCCAACTCTTTTGGGGCCACATCTCGCAGGTCTCTGCTTAAATGCTCCCTCCTCGGGGAAGCCCTCTTTGACTTTCTCGTCCAATTTCCTTCACTTCACTGAGCTTATTTCCATGTTAGGTGACATCCTCAGGGTCTGACAAGGACTGAATAAACCCCTAACTGATACTGAATGATTGAGGGGCCAGGTGACCTTTATACAGATCGTGAGGAGATTGGGTTGGGTTTGGATTGGGTTTTTGAGTTTCTGAGCTGAGTTGGAGGCTTAGGAGAGAAAAGGAAAGAAGGTGAGGGAAGGTTCTGGAAGAGCCTGGAGGAGGTGGTACTGGGTTGGGCTCAGAAGTGAAGTTTGCTCACAGTTTGCGAAGTGGAGAGGGTGTGAAGGCAGAGGTTGTGTGTACAATTGGGAAAGCGTTCAGGAGGCCAGCATGGATGGGCTGAGAGACACAGGAGGAGAGGGAGGCCGTGGGGCTGTGTGGGGGCCGGGGGCACGGGGAGCTGGTAGTTAGGGAGAGCTCTGGCAGCTGCCTTGCTCGACATGGAGAGGCGCCTTTTGTTTCTTGGCCCCTGGGTCTTATGAGCAAATGGTGGTTCTTAATTTGGGGTAAGAGGGAGCTCCAGTCCTTTTAGGAATCTGCTTAGAGGCCACAGACTTTTCCCCAGAGAAACACACACTTGACTCTGTATCCCAAAGTTTGGCAAAGGGGTTCAGGAGGGGTGGGGAGCCAGTTAAGAGCTGTTCACGGATCGTGATGGCAATAACCATGATAATCACAGCCAGCACTTACCTTGGCTCGCCCCAGCTTGGTTCTGGTCTAGGCCACTTACAAGCATCAGCTCCTTCACTCACAGAAGGACTGGAGGAGGTAGGTGCAGGGAGCACCCCGATTTTACACGAGTAAACTGAGGCACAGAGCGATTAAGTGACTTGCCCAGAGCCCGACAGCTGCTAAGTGGCAGAGCCCCCACTCTCTTCCCTGGATGGTCTGCTTCCTGGATGGAGCCTGTTTCTGTTTTGTTTTGTTTTGGAGACAGAGTGAGACTCTGTCTCCCAGGCTGGAGTGCAGTAGTGTGATCTTGGCTTGCTGCAGCCCCGACCTCTCGATCTCCCAGGCTCAAGCAATCTTCCTTCCTCAGCCGCCCAAGTAGCTGGGACTACAGTCATGTGCCACCATGGCCCGCTAATTTTTTGGTTTTTTTTTTTTTTTTTTTAGAGACAGGGTCTTGCCATGTTGCCCAGGGTGGTCTTGAACTCCTGGGCTCAGGTGATCTGCCTGCCTTGGCCTCCCAAAGCAGTGAGATTACAGGCATGAGCTACCACGTCCAGCTGCATCCTGGGTTTTTTTTTTTTTTTTTTTTCTGAGACAGAGTCTCGCTCGGTCACCTAGGCTGGAGTGCAATGGCGTGATCTCAGCTCACTGCAACCTCCACCTCCCGGGTTCAAGCAACTCTCCTGCCTCAGCCTCTGGAGCAGCTGGGATTACAGGCGCCCACCACCACACCCAGCTAATTTTTGTATTTTTAGTAGAGATGGGGTTTCACCATGTCAGTCAGGCTCGTCTTGAACTCCTGTCCTCAAGTGATCCGCCCGTCTTGGCCTCCCAGAGTGCTGGGATTACAGGCGTGAGCCACCGCGCTTGGTCCACCCTGGGTTTTTATTCATCAAGCCTCGCTGCCCCCTTGGTACAGGGGCCAAGACCACAGCTGGGAAGCTCCTTTCCTCTTGCCCCAAGAGCCAGCCTGGGTTGCTGCTGAGCCATTGCAGGCTGAGGCACAGCCTCTCTTTCTCCTTTTACGCTTCCTGATGTCTTCTTTAACATAATCATGGCCACCTCAGCTTCTTTCAGAGAGCAATATGTTCCTGAGCTAGAGACATGGGTGACCAGCTGGAGTCAGGATTTGGGGGGTGTGGTGTAGGTCTAGAGCCAACTGTGGCACTGGAACAAGGCCCCTACCTTGTTCAGCCTCAGTTTCCCTAATCAGCTAGAGAGGCCTACTTCCTCCTTGGAGGTTAAATAGATGACATTCATAGGTCAACGGAAATGCTGCATTTATGGCAATAACTGACCTTGTAGGTGTTTCAAAATTCAGGCCGTTTCAGACCAGAGTGCACACAGGATGATGTGGGACCCCCCAGCAAGGCAGGCAGCTCCCCGTCAGCACATATGCTAGCACTTCTGCGAAGATTTCTGCAGCAAATATATCTGCTGCTGTTGATACTAAGAGGGAGATCTAAGGACAGCCATTGCAGTTCCACTTTGCCCCACAATGAGCCAGGAAAAAAGAAAAGGATGGCTTTAGAGATTTTTGGAGGTTGGAATTGCAGATTAGGGGGCCACAGACCTAAAATGCCTACCGAGTAGGATGAGTGGGTTTTTTGTTTGTTTGTTTTGTTTTGTTTTGTTTTTTGAGACAGAGTCTTGCTCTGTTGCCCAGGCTGGAGTGCAGTGGCACGATCTCGGCTCACTGCAACCTCCACCTCCCGGGTTCAAGCGATTCTTCTGCCTCAGCCTCCCAAGTAGCTGGGATTACAGGCGCATGCCACTATGTCTGGCTAATTTCTGTATTTTTAGTAGAGACGGGATTTCTTCATGTTGGCCAGGCTGGTCTCGAACCCCTGACCTCGTGATCCACTCATGTCAGCTCCTCGAAGTGGTGGGATTACAGGTGTGAGCCACCGCGCCGGGCCAGGGTGTGGGGTTTAATTGGGATGATATGTTGTGGAGTGACTGGCACATGACAACATGACAAGGACTTTGTCATTGCTGGTTGCTATTACTATTGACTGTTGTTGCTATTATTATTACTAACCCCTCTTCGGTCTGTATGGGCTGGTGCAGACACATTGGGCTGTGATGCAGATCCACAGTTTTCTAGACTTGCACACCAGTTCCTGGGGGATCCTGTTACCACGTGAGTTCTGAGTCAGCTGGTGCAGACACTTTGCATTTCTTAACTCCCAGGTGAGGCTGCTGTGGTCAGGGGCCTGCCCTCTGAGTAGTAAGGTGTCCAGTGGTTTTCCAGGTGTTTCTGAGTTACTTTCAAGGATTCTGCAAATGGAGGGGAGGCATTGGATGCCAGGGTCAAAATAAGATTCCTTAGCTCTTAGCTTTGGGGTTTGCCAATTTGCAGCCAGGTCTGTGTTAATCATTACATATGGAAAAAAGTCATATAACACGACGAAAGTCTTTGCACCATCTCCTCTTCTTTCCTTTTCCAAAGGTGACCTCTGTGGGGAGTTTGGGGCTCATGGTCTCTCTCTGTTGTCCAGGCTGGAGTGCAGTGGCATGATCATAGTTCATTGCAGTCTCAACATCCTGGGTTCAGGTGATCCTTCCACCTCAGCCTCCTGAGTAGCTGGGGCTACAGGCACATGCCACCACACCCAGCTAATTTTTGTATTTTTTTTTGTAGACACAGGGTTTTGCCATGTTGCCCAGGCTGGTCTCAAACTCCTGGGCTCAAGTGATCCTCCTGCCTCGGCCTCCCAAAGTACTGGGATTACAGGTGTGAGCCACCGCACCTGGCCTTAATCATTTTTAAATGTGCAGTTCAGTAGTGTTAAATGTACTTTTATTATGTAACAGATCTCCAGAGCTTTTTCATCTTGCCCAACTGAAACTTTATTTATTTATTTTTTTGAGATGCAGTCTCGCTGTGTTGCCCAGGCTGGAGTGCAGTGGCACAATCTCGGCTCACTGCAAGCTCCGCTTCCCGGGTTCAAACCATTCTCCTGCCTCAGCCTCCCAAGTAGCTGAGACTACAGGTGCCCACCACCACGCCCGGCTAATTTTTTTTGTGTTTTTAGTAGAGACGGGGTTTCACCGTGTTAGCCAGGATAGTCTCAATCTCCTGACCTCATGATCCACCCGCCTCGGCCTCCCAAAGTGCTGGGATTACAGGCGTGAGCCACCACACCCGGCGTCCAACTGAAACTTTATATGCATTCAACAACTCCCCCCATCCCCAGTCCCTAGTAGCCTCCATTCAACTTTCTGTCTCTATGAATTTGACTTTAAGTGCCAAATTTAAGTGGACTCCTGTAGTATTTGTCATACTGTCACTGGCTTATTTCACTTATTGTATTGTCCTGAAGGCTTATTCGTGGTGTGGCATGTGACAGGATTTCTCTCCTCTTTAAGGTTGAATAATATTCCGTTGCATGAATAGACCACATTTTGCCTATCCATTTATCTGTCGATGAACACATGAGTTGCTTACTCCTCTTGGCTATTGCGAATAATGCTGCTTTGAACATGAGTGTGCAAATATCTATTTTTTTTGTGTGGTTTTTTTTGAGACGGAGTCTCGCTCTGTCGCCCAGGCTGGAGTACAGTGGTGCGATCTCGACTCACTGCAACCCCTGCCTCGCAGGTTCAAGTGATTCCTCTGCCTCAGCTTCCTGAGTAGCTGGGATTACAGGCACCCACCACCATACCCAGCTAATTTTTGTATTTTTAATAGAGATGGGGTTTCGCCATGTTGGCCAGCGTGGTCTCTAACTCCTGACCTCAGGTGATCCACCCGCTGTGGCCTCTTCTCAAAATGCTGGGATTACAGGCATGAGCCACGGCGCCCGGCCACCCATTTTAGCTCTTTTTAAGTGTATAATTCAGTGGCATTAAGTACTTTAATATTGTGTAACTGTCACCATTATCCATTACCAGAACCTTTTCATCATTCCAAATAGAAACTCTGTACCTATTAAAGAGTAACTCTCTATCCTCCCTTCCCTCAGCACCTCGTTACCTCTATTCTACTCTCTATATATTGGCCAATTCTTTTTTTTTTTTTTTTTTTGAGATGGAGTCTCACTCTGTCGCCTAGGCTGGAGTGCAGTGGCGCAATCTCGGCTCACTGCAAGCTCCGCCTCCTGGGTTCACGCCATTCTCCTGCCTCAGCCTTCTGAGTAGCTGGGACTATAGGCGTCCGCCACCACGCCTGGCTAATTTTTTTTGCTTTTTGTTTTTTTTTTAGTAGAGACGGGGTTTCACTTTGTTAGCCAGGATGGTCTCCATCTCCTGACCTCGTGATCTGCCCGCTTCGGCCTCCCAAAGTGCTGGGATTACAGGTGTGAGCCACTGCGCCCGGCCTATATTGGCTAATTCTAGGTACCTCATGTAAATGGAATCATCCAGTATTTGTCCTTTTGTGTTGATTTCACTTTACATGTCTTCATGGTTCATCCCTGTTGTAGCATGTATCAGAATTCTTTTCTTTTTTTGTGGCTAAGTTCATCTTCCATTGGATGGATAGACCACATTTGGTTTACCTATTCTGCCATCGATGGACACTTGGGTCATGTCCCCTTTTTGCTATTGTGAACGACGTTGCTGTGAACATAGGCTCTAAGTATCTGTTTGACTTTTTGCCTTCAGTTTGTTTGGGTTTATATCTAGGAGTGGAATTGCTGGGTTGTATGGTAATGATCTGTTCTAACTTTTGGAGGAGCAGTGGCTACATCATTTCACATTTCCACCTGCAGTGCACGTGGTTCCAGTTTCTCCACATCCTTGCCAACACTTGTTGTAGTCTTTTATTTTTTTTCCCCACACGAAGTTTTCAAAATCTGGTGTGTATTTTACACTCACAGCACATCTCAGTTGGGACTCGACATATTTCAAGTGCTCAAATGTCACGTGAAGCTGCTCATAGTGGAAAGCACAAGTTTAGTTGATTTATGTTTTTGGGGTTTTTTTTGAGACAGAGTCTGACTCTTTTGCCCATTCTGGAGTGCAGTCATCAAGGCTTACTGTAACGTTGAACTCCTGGGTTCAAGCGATTCTTTCACCTCAGCCTCCTGATAGCTGGGACTACAGATGTGCACCACCCCATCTGGCTAATTTTTTATTTTATTTTATTTTTTTGAGACTGAGTCATACTCTGTCACCCAGGCTGGAGTGCAGTGGCGCAATCTTGGCTCACTGCAACCTCCGCCTCCTGGGTTCAAGCAATGCTCCTGCCTCAGCCTTCTCAGTAGCTGGGATTACAGGCGCACGCCACCACACCCGGCTAATTTTTGTATTTTTAGTAAAGACAGGGTTTCACCATATTGGTCAGGCTGGTCTCGAACTCCTGACCTCAGGTGATCTGCCCTCCTCAGCCTCCCAAAGATCTGGGATTATAGGCATGAGCCACCACATCCAGCCTAATTTTAAAAATTTTTTGTAGAGGCAGGAACTCACTATGTTGCCCAGGTTGGTCTCAAACTCCTGGCCTCAAGTGATCTTTTTGCCTTGGCCTCCCAAAGTTCCGGGATTACAGATGTGAGCCACCGCACTCGGCCGATTTATGTTTATTATAATTATTGGTATGGCTGGAGGGCAGTGGTATGATCCCGGCTCATGGCAGCCTCTGCCTCTTGGGTTCAAGCAATTCTCCTGACTCAGCCTCCCAAGTAGCTGGGACTACAGGTGCACACTACCACGCCTGGCTAATTTTTGTATGCTTAGTAGAGACGGGGTTTCGCCATATTGGCCAGGCTGGTCTCAAAGTCGTGACCTCAGGTGATCCACCCGCTTCACCCTCCCAAAGTGCTGGGATTAGAGGCATGAGCTACTGCGCCCGGCCTTTCCCTGCTTCTTTTAAATGGAATATTTTAGTGTTCCATTTTATCTCCGCTTTTAGCCTGGTAGCGCTACCTCTTTATTGCTCTAGAGTTTCCATTCTCTGTCTTTGACTAGGACTTTGGCTTTGAATCTGAGTGAGATGGGAGCCATGGGAGGGCTTTGAGCTGGGGAGTGACCCGACCTGACATTTTTATATCCATACCTTGGGTTGCTTATGCAAGAGTGTTTCCACCGGCCAGATTCCTGGAAAAGGAATTGCTGAGGCAAAAGGGAGCGAGCATTTAGACTTTGGTGGCCCCGCCAAGTTGCATTCCAGAAAGGCTTCACCATTTTCACTGCTGGCAAACAGCAGCCGGAGCTTTTGAGTGGCTGTTCCATGCCAGGCCTGTGCCGGACTCTGGGGACCTTGGCAGGAGTCAGCCTGGGGCTGGCTGCTTCCTAATTCTCAGTCCTCGAGTCCTACCTCCGATCTCAAGAAAAGGTGAGGATTTCAGAGAGGCCATAAAAAGGAGAAGCAAGAGATGATTGTGGGTGGCTGAAGGCGGCCTGGCACATCCCAGGTGATGGGAGAGCTGGCTGCATCCGATGGTCCCACCGCAGGGAGCGTGACCAGGAGGTGGAGTGTATTGGACTGGGAACCGCACGTGTGGGCTCCCATCACTGTGTGCCATGTTGGGGTGCAGTTGAGGGGTCAAATAATAGTACCGCCCTCATGGGACTTGTTTGGGAGGATTCAGTGAGAGAGCAGAGAGCACACAGTCAGAACTTAAGGATCCGGGTTGTCATTTGACCAAATGATCAGCACGGTGGGAGGGGACCACCTTCAGGCACAGGCCCACCCAGCCTAGGGAAAGGCGTGACTCAAGTTTTGGACAGTGTTTAAGGCCTGTGTCAGAAGAACTTGGGCTCGGATCCCCAGCTGTCTCCTTCTCAGGCAAGTTCTCTGTTAGACGAGGTTAAATGACAGCAGAGTCTGCCTCCCGAAGTGGTGCAAGGGTTCGGCTCAGTGAGATGATAGCACCAAAGAGTTCAGTATCCATCCTGAACCACAGTAAGGGTTGATAAAGCTTAGCGGCTCTTATTAATA
The DNA here is from genome assembly GCF_000001405.40 of Homo sapiens. Taxonomy (NCBI): domain Eukaryota; kingdom Metazoa; phylum Chordata; class Mammalia; order Primates; family Hominidae; genus Homo; species Homo sapiens. The sequence goes on from NC_000019.10 coordinate 47,633,035, forward strand.
TTGCTGTCATTTTGTTGCTGTCATTAATTTTATTTGATTTTATTTCTTTTTTTTTTTTTTTTTTTTGAGACAGTCTCACTCTGTCACCCAGGCCGGAGTGTGGTGGTGCGATCTCAGCTCACTGCAACCTCCACCTCTAAAATTCAAGCAGTTTTCCTGCCTCAGCCTCCAAGTAGCTGGGATTATAGGTGCCCGCCACCACGCCCGACTAATTTTTTTATTTTTAGTAGAGACGGGGTTTCACCATGTTGGTCAGGCTGGTCTTGAGCTCCTGACCTCAAGTGATCCGCCTGCCTTGGCCTCCCAAAGTGCTGGGATCACAGACCTAAGCCACAATGCCCCGGCGTATTTTTCCAAGATGGGATCTCCCTATGTTTTCCAGGCTGGTCTTGAACTCTGGGCTCCAGTATTCCTCCCCTCAGCCTCCCAAAGTACTGTAATTACAGACGTGAGCCACCTTTCCTGGCCAGTCATTATTTTAAATTTAAGGCCTAATAGGCAACAGCCAGACCCTTAGTCTTCCTCTAGGACTAAAGCCCCAGAGGTGTGGGGCAGTTGCTCAGGGTCAGGAAATAATAGAGTAGAGATGGGAAGCCAGGTTCCTCTGACCCAGGGTTTCCCCATTTCTGGAGAGCTTCCAGGTTTAGGGAGCAAAGTCTCTTCTCCTGTTATAATGGACAGTGAACAAGACATGATATGAAAACACCACCAATGGTATTAATCATGCTAATGGTACCTCACCTGTAGTGAGTCATCGGGTGACAAGCCCTGACCTGAAGCCAGGCTATTTATAACCCGTCTTTATTGAGCTCCATCTGAATATTCATATGTTTAGCTCAGAAATATTAAGAATGGATTGCTGGGTGTCTCAGAACCCGCCGAGGGGCGTTCTGTGCGTTCACCCTGTCCCCCTCCAAAGCCTGAAAAACCCCTCATTTCAGAACACGTCTCACTCCAGAGGTTTCCACTAAAAGATCGTGGAGCCATGTGAATGTAAATTCCGTTTCCCCCTCTTCATACATCCCAGGCTGCATACTGCACACACCGTTTGGCATCTCCCAGCCTTGTGTTTTATTGTATTTACCACTCAGCTCTCCAGTCCTTGCCAGACGAGTGAGAATGAGCAGTGGCGTCAGGCCTTGACGGGCTCTGCAGGGTGGGCGGGAGGAGTGGGCAGTGCGGCTTCTGGAACCCATTCTCTGAAGGCTCAGAGCCTGGAGCCCAGAGCGAGGCCATGGCTGGGATGAGGGAGGAAGGGGGAAAGACATCATGGACTAACTCGGGCCTGCCCTCGACATGGGATCTGCCTTGTGGGACCAGGAGGAGGCCATGTTGGCTGTGCCCACTTTGGTGGGAACCAGGAAGGAGGCCGAGCCTTGAAAGTGGCCAGGTAGAGGAAGGAATTCAGAAAGAGTGCGCCAGAAGGGGTTTCACTCACTTTCTCTCCCCCTTGATCACTGGCACGCTGTCTGCAGCCTGTACCACTTTGCGAAACTCACTAGGTTGTCGAGAGACACCTCAGACTTAATGTGTTCAATACCATGCTCCTGATACGGTTCTCCTCCCCAGGAAGAAACCCATAAAAACCAAAACAAACAAAGCCTGCTTCTCTCCATCTCAGTAAACGGCACCATCTCAGTAAATGGCAGCTCCGAGCTCCCACCCACCTGGGCCAGATACTTTGGTGCCATCCTCAACTCTCTTCTCTCTCTTAAAATTAAATTTTTTTTTTTTTTTTTTTTTTTGGAGACAGAGTCTCGCTCTGTCACCCAGGCTGGAGTGCAGTGGCGCGATCTCGGCTCACTGCAAGCTCTGCTTCCCGGGTTTACGCCATTCTCCTCCCTCAGCCTCCTGAGTAGCTGGGACTGCAGGCACCCGCCACCATGCCTGGTTAATTTTTTGTATTTTTAGTAGAGATGGGGTTTCACTGTGTTAGCCAAGATGGTCTCGATCTCCTGACCTCGTTATCCGCCCGCCTTGGCCTCCCAAAGTGCTGGGATTACAGGCGTGAGCCACCGCTCCTGGCCACATACGTAAAGCTTTTAGAATAATGCCTGATACATCAAAAGCAACATAAATGTTAGCTGCTGTTATTATAATTTTATTGTGGTACAATATACATAACATAAAATTGAACCATTTTTAAGTATACAGTTTGGTGGCACTAAGTACCTTCATAATGTTGTACAATCATCACTACTGTCCATTTCTAGGATTTTTTTTTTTTTTTTGAGACCGGGTCTGGCTCTGTCGCCCAGGCTGGAGTGCAGTGGCTGGATCTTGGCTCACTGCAACCTCCGCCTCCTGGGCTCAAGTGATCCTCCCACCTCACTCTATCAAGTAGGCGGGACTACAGGAGCGTGCCACCACATGTGGCTAATTTTTTTTTTTTACTTTTTGTAGAGACAGGGTCTCACTATGTTGCCCAGGCTGGTCTTGAACTCCTGGGCTCAAGCTATCCACCTGCCTTGGCCTCCCAAAGTGCTGGGATTGCAGGCATGAGCCACTGCACCTGTTTCTATTTCTAGGATTTTTTTCAAACAGAAGCTCGATACCTGTTGAACAATAACTCTCCATTCTCCCTGGCCCCCAGCCCCTGCAAAACTCTTCTGCTTTCTGTCTCATTGAATTCCCTACTCTAGGCACCTCATCTAAGTGGAATCATGTGATATTTGTCCCTTTGTGTCTGGTTTATTTTATTTAACACAGTAAAGGCTCATACATGCTATAGCACATATCAGAATTCATCCCTTTCTAAGGCTGGGTAATACTCCATTGTGCAGATATACCACAGTTTGTTTACCCACTTTTCTGCTGAAATGGATAAACTTGGATTGTTTCCACCTTTTAACTACAAGTTGAGCATCCCCTAATCTAAAAATCCAAAATGCCCCAAAATCTGAAACTTTTTGATCACCAGCATGAAGCCTTTGCTTTCTGATGGTTCAGTGTACACAAACTTTTTCATGCGCAAAATTATTAAAATTATTTTATAACATTACCTTCAGACTATGTGTATAAAGTGTATATGAAACATAAATGAATTTTATGTTTATACTCAGTTCCCATCCCCAAGACAGCTCATTATGTATATGCAAATATTTCAAAACTCCTACAAAATCTGAAACCTGGAGCACTTCTGGTCCCAATTATTTCAGGTTAAGGGATGCTCAACCTGTATTATTATTTTGAGACAGAGCGTTGCTCTGTTGCCCAGTCTGGAGTGCAGTGGTATAATCATAGCTCACTGCATCCTTGACCTCCTGGGCTCAAGTGATCCTTCCTCCTCAGCCTCCTGAGGATCTGGGACTACAGGCATGTGCCACCATGCCCAGCTAATCTTTAAAATTTTTCTGTAGATTTGGGATCTTGCTTTGTTGCCCAGGTTGGTCTCCAACTCTTGAGCTCAAGTGATCCTCCTGCCTGGGCCTCCCAAGGTGGTACTGGGATTACAGATGTGAGCTACTGCGCCCAGCCTGTATTATTAATATTATTGAGATGGAGTCTCTGTCACCCAGGCTGGAGTTCAGTGGTGTGATCTCAGCTCAGTGCAACCTCTGCCTCTCAGGTTCCAGCGATTCTCCTGCCTCCACCACCTGAGTGGCTAGGATTATAGGCGTGCACCACCACACCCAGCTAATTTTTCTATTTTTAGTAGAGATGGTATTTCACCATGTTGGCCAGGCTGGACTTGAATTCCTGACCTCAGGTGATCCTCCGATCTTGGCCTCCCAAAGTGCTGGGATTACAGGCATGAGCCACTGCACCCAGCCTGTATTACTGTATTTAATATGCAACCTGGCTTCTGAATTTCTCCCTGTAACCTCACTTCCCACTGAGTCCTCTTCGTTCACTCACTTCAGCCACACCAACCTCTTCCTTCAAGGCAGGCATGAGTCTTACCCCAGGGCCTTTGAACTTGTTGTTCTCCTGCTGTGGGGCCCTCCTTCCCCTCCTTAGTCAAGCCTGCTCTTATCACCCTGTTTAAAATTGCAACTCCCTTGCGCGTCTCTCTCACTGCTTATTCTTCATAGCACTTCATTTTTGACATGCCATCTATTTTACATTGATTTTATTTTATTTTATTTTATTTATTTATTTTTGGGAGGGAGTCTCGCTCTGTCACCCAGGCTGGAGTGCAGTGGTGCAATCTCGGCTCACTGAAAGCTTCACCTCCCGGGTTCACGCCATCCTCCTGCCTCAGCCTCCCAAGCAGCTGGGACTACAGGCGCCCGCCACCACACCCGGCTAATTTTTTGTATTTTTAGTAGAGACAGGGTTTCACCATGTTAGCCAGGATGGTCTCAGTCTCTTGACCTTGTGATCCACCCACCTCAGCCTCCCAAAGTGCTGGGAATACAGGCGTGAGCCACTGCGCCCAGCCTGTTTTTATTTTTTGAGACAGAGTCTTGCTCTGTTGCTCAGGCTGGAGTGCATTGGTGCAATCTCAGCTCACTACAACCTCTGCCTGCTGGGTTCAAGTGATTCTCCTGCCTTGTTGAGACACATAATTCACATATCATAAAATCCAGCCATGTAAAGGGTACAATGCAGTGGTTTTTAGTATCTCCACAGAGTTGTGCAACGGTCATCTCTGTCTAGTTTGAGAACATTTTTTCTCACCCTAAAAGGAAACCTCATACCCACTACGAAGCCACTCCCCATCCCCTGCTCCTCCCAGCCCCAGCAGCCTTTATTTCGCTTCCTGTCTCCATGGATTTGCCTGTTGTGGGTAATTCACATAAACATGATCGTACACTAGCCGATCTTTTTGTGTCTGGTGTCTTTCTCTCTGCGTCATGTTTTCCAGGTCCACCGCTGCTGCGGCGATGCCTCATTCCTTTTTATGGCTGAATAATATTCCACTGGATGGATGGACCGGATTTTGTTGATCCATTCATCCGTGGATGGACATTGGGTCCATTCCCCTTTGGCTATTACAGAAGCTGCTTGGTGGCTGTTTCTTTAGCCAGGTGGAAGGTGGCATTTCCAGCCCCTCTCTGCCCGGGGCTGCTCTTCCACTGTGCTCTCTCGGCACCCACGGGTCTCTGCCTCCCTCCTCCCTCTATTCCTCTCTTCCCTCCTCCTCCTGCTCTTTCTTTGTGTATCTCCCCCTCCCCCAGCCTCAGCCAAGAGAGAGTGAGTCTGGAAGTAATTTCCAGGGAGCCCGGGGTAGGCCCTGAGGCAGCTCTGCTCCCCCCTCAGGGAGGCCTCAGCCTGCCCTGAACACTGGCCCCAGGGGAGGGACAGAAGGGACAGCCTGCTGCTTCTTCAGCTCCCGGGAAGGCATAGGGAGAGGGCCAAGCCTGGGAAACAGCTTTTCTCTGGGCTTTAAAAATTGTGTGCATTTATTTGATTTTTTTGGAATAGGGAACACATGCTCAAGTATAAAACTCAGATGGTACCAAGGATTTCTAGTGACAAGTCTCCTCCCTCCCCCAACTCCCAGCCACCTATACCCACGTCCTCTTCCCAGAGGCAACATGGTTAGGATTTTTGGGCCTCCTTTCAAAGAGATGTTCTGTGCATGTGTAAGCATCTCTGTCACTCGCTCTCTCTGTTTCTCTCTCTCTCTCTGTCACACACACACACACACACACACTTTTTAAGGCAGGTTTGTTTTGTTTTGTTTTGTTTTTGAGACGGAGTCTCGCTCTGTTGCCCAGGCTGGAGTGCAGTGGTGCAATCTCGGCTCACTGCAACCCCCACTCCCTGGTTCAAGTGATTCTCCTGCCTCAGCCTCCCAAGTAGCTGGGATTACAGGTGGCCGCCACCATGCCCGGCTAGTATTTGTATTTTCAGTAGAAACGGGGTTTCACCATGTTGGCCAGGCTGGTCTCGAACTCCTGATCTCAAGTGACTTGCTTGCCCTGGCCTCCCAAAGTTCTGGTATTATAGGCTGGAGCCACCATGCCCTGCCAACAGCAGGTTACATTAATACCATTCTGGCCTTTGTTTTTCCTTTTCAAAAATGTTTTAATGTTTTTGAGACAGGGTCTCGCTCTGTTTCCCAGACTGGAGTGCAGTGGTGTGATCACAGCTCACTACAACCTCCACCTCCTGGGCTCAAGTGATCCTCCCATCTCAGCCTCCTGAGTAGCTGGGACTACAGGTGTGCAGCACCATACCTGACTAATTTTTTTTCATATTTTTTGTAGAGATGAGGTTTCATCATGTTGCCCAGGCTGGCCTTGAACTCCTGACCTCAAGCAGTCCACCCCTCTCTGCCTCCCAAAGTGCTGCGATTATAAGTGTGAGCCATGATGCCTTGCACCCCACCCTGCATTTTTTTTTTTTTTTTTTTTTTTTTGAGACAGAGTCTCGCTCTGTCTCCCAGGCTGGAGTCCAGTGGTGCGATCTTGGCTTACTGCAAGCTCCACCTCCCGGGTTGACACCATTCTTCTGCCTCAGCCTCCCGAGTAGCTGGGACTACAGGCGCCCGCTACTACACACCAGGCTAATTTTTTAGTATTTTTAGTAGAGACGGGGTTTCACCGTGTTAGCTAGGATGGTCTCGATCTCCTGACCTCGTGATCGCCCGTCTTGGCCTCCCAAAGTGCTGGGATTACAGGCGTGAGCCACCGCGGCCAGCCAATTTTTTTTTTTTTTTTTTTTTTTTTTAAGAGACAGGGTTTCTCTGTGTCGCCCTGGTTGGAGTACAGTGTGGCACCATCATGACTCATTGCAACCTTGACCTCCTGGGCTCAAGGAATCCTCCTGCCTTCAGTCTCCTAAGTCACTGGGACTACAGGTGTGCACCACCACGCCCACCTAATTTAAAATTTTTTTTGTAGAGATGGGGTCTAGCTATGATGCCCAGGCTGGTCTCAAATTCCTGGTCTCAGGCAACCCTCCCACCTGGGCCTCCCAAAGTGTTGAGATTACAGGCGTGAGCCACCATGCCCAGCCTGCTGTTCTTTCTAACAACATATCAAGAGGCTCTTATTTACCAGGCTCAGCCTCTTTCACAGTGGCATGGTATTCCACTGGAAGGCCCTAACCTCTTGGGCCAGTCCTGCTTTGCCGGACACCTAGGTTAGCTTCACTCTGTCATAAGGCTACATTATTGAGCATCTCTGTGATTCACATCCAAAAATGAGAGTAACATTTATCCCTTTGTTAACTTATTTGACAGTAATTTACTGAGCTCCTATTGTATTGTATACCTGGCAGTTTTGGGAGTGGGGATGTGACATGAACAAGTCAAAGATCCCTGGCTGGGCACAATGGCTCACGCCTGTCATCCCAGCACATTGGGAGGCTGAGGCAGGCAGATCACTTGAGGACAGGAGTTCGAGACCGGCCTGGCCAATGTGGCAAAAATCTCTCTACTAAAAATAGAAAAATCAGCCAGGCATGATGGTGTGTGCCTGTAATCCCAGCTACTCGGGAGGCTGAGGCAGGAGAATCACTTGAACCTGGGAGGCGGAGGTTGCAGTGAGCCGAGATCATGCCACTGCACTCCAGTCTGGGAGACAGAGTGAGACTGTCTCAAAAGAAAAAAAAAAAAAAAAAATCCCTGCCTCTGGGGAGCTGACCTGCCAGTGGAGGATACTCAAAGTTGGGCTCATCAGACTGTACTGAGTGCTGTGGAAGAAAACAGAGGGAATGGGGGCAGAGAGGGCTGGCGGTGTGGGTGGTCATTGTAACCGGCCCTTGCTGAAAAGGTGACATTTGAACAAAGACCTGAAGGAGGCGAGGGAGCAAGCCCCATCAGTGTGAAGCCCTGTCAGGGTTCCTAGCTGCAAGAACAGCAGGTGCAAAGGTCCTGAGGCAGGGATTTGAAAACACTTACCCAGTGGCACAGCCAGTAAGTGGTGGAGCTGGGGTTTGAACTGGGTAGTCTGGAGTCAGAGTCAGATTTTTTTTTTTTTTTTTTTTTTGAGACAGAGTCTCACTCTGTCACCCAGGCTGGAGTGCAGTGACATGATCTTGGCTCACTGCAACATCCGCCTCCCGGGTTCAAGCGATTCTCCTACCTCAGCCTCCTGAGTAAGCTGGGACTACAGGCACCCACCACCACCATGCCTGGCTAATTTTTTTTTTTTTTTTTTTTTTTGTATTTTTAGTACAGACCGGGTTTCACTGTGTTAGCCAGGATGGTCTCGGTCTCCTGACCTTGTGATCTGCCTGCCTCGGCCTCCCAAAGTTCTGGGATTACAGACATCAGCCACCGCACCTGGCCAGTTTTTTTTAGTAAACTTTACTTAGGTATAATTTATGTACAGTGTGACACACCCATTTAAAAAGTATCATTGGATGCAATTTGATAAATGTGTACCATTATTAACCATCATCACGATCAGGATACAGAATGTTTCTGTTACCCCAAAAGGATCAATAATGCCCTTTTGTAATCAATCCTCCCTACCCCCTGGCTCAGGCAATGCAAAAATCTCTGCTTTCTGTAACTATAGATTCAACTTGTGTTTTCTAATCAGCACATTCAGGGAGTGTGTGATGCCTCCAGCTTTTTTCTTAGAATCTCACCTGTGGTCCTAGCTACTTGGGAGGCTGAGACGGGACAGTCGCTTGAGCCCAGCAGTTGGAGCTATGATCATGCCACTGCACTCCAGCCTGGGTGACAGACCGACACCCCATTTCAAAAAATATAAAATAAAATAAAAATTCAGCTATTCAGGGCAGGGTCTTTTGTGGTTTCATAGGAATTTTAGGATTTTTTTCTATTCCTGTGAACAATGCCATTGGAATTTTGATAGTGATTACATTGAATCTATAGACCAATTTGAGTAATATATATATATTTTTTCCTTGCAATATTAAGTATTCCAATCCATGAACATGGGATATCTTTCCATTTATTTGTGTCTTCTGTAATTTCTTGCATCCATGTATCATAGTTGTCAGTGTTCAGATCTTTCACTTCCTTGGTTAAATTTAATTTAATCTTTTTGATGGTATTGTAAATGCGATTGTTTCTTAAGTCCTTTTTTGGTTAGGTTCGTTGTTAGTGTGTAGAAACACCACTGATTTTTCCATGTTGATTTTGCAACTTTCTGCAATTTCAATTTGTCTGTTCTAGAGTTTGACATAAATAGAATCACACAGCATGTACTCTTTTGTATCAGGCTTCTGTTGCTCAGCATAGTGATTTTGAAATTCATCTATGTTATGTGTACCAGTAGTTCATTCCTTCTTTTGCTGGCAATATGCCATTATGCAGATATAATTTTTTCATCCATTCACCTGCTGATGGACCTTTGGGTTATTTCCAGTGTTTGGCTGCCATAGATGATGCTGCTTGAACATGCCTGTACGAGTCTTTGTGTGGACCTATGCTATCATTTCTCTTGGGCAAATACCTAGAAGTGGATTAGTAGGGTCAGATGATAAGGGTATGTTTAATTTTGTTAGAAACTGCCCACCTGGGCGCAGTGGCTCACACCTGTAGTCCCAGCACTTTGGGAGACTGAGGCGAGAGGACTGCTTGTGCCCAGGAGTTTGAGATCAGCCTGGGAACATGGCAAAACCCAGTCTCTACCAAAAATACAAAAAAATTAGCCAAGCATGGTGGCACGCGCCTGTAGTCCCAGCTACTCGGGAAGCTGAGGCAGGAGGACCTCTTGAGCCCTGGAGGTGGAGGTTGCAGTGAGCCAAGATCATGCTACTGCACTCCAGCCTGGGTGACAAAGTGAGACCCTGTCTCAAAAAGAAAAGAAAAAAGAAAAAGAAAAAAGAAAGAAAGTGCCAAATATTTTTCAAAGCAGTTGTTTACCACCAGCAATGGATAAGCATTCCAGTTGCCCCACATCTTCCCCACCACTTACCATTATCAGTCTTTATAATGTCAGACGTTCTAACGGGTATGTAGTAATATCTCATTATGGTTGTAGTTTTAATTTCCCTGATGACTAAAGATGTTGAACATTGCATTGATTTATGGGCTGTTTGCATACCTTCTTTTGCTCATTTTAAATTGGATCATTTGTTGTCTCTTTTGAGACGGAGTCTCGCTCCAGGCTGGAGTGCAGTGGTGCAATCTTGGCTCACTGCAACCTCTGCCTCCTGGGTTCAAGTGATTCTCCTGCCTCAGCCTTCTGAGTAGCTGAGATTACAGGCGCCCTCCACCATGCCCGGCTAATTTTTGTATTTTTTGTAAAGACAAGGTTTCGCCATGTTGGCCGAGCTGGTCTTGAACTCCTGACCTCAAGTGATCTGCCCACCTCAGCCTTCCAAAGTGCTGGGATTACAGGCATGAACCACTGTGCCTGGTCTGGAATTCTTTTAAACAGCCCTTTTTCTGGATGCTAAAAATTGACCTACAAAAGTAACTCTGTAACCAACCCAAATACATCTGGGGCCCCGGTGTGCTGCCCCTGACTGACAAAGTGAAGGCTTTGAATGTGGCTCTTTCTGCATCCTAGCGGCTCAGTCCAGGCCCTGGAGGGGCATCTGTCACCTGGGACACTGGCAGCATCCCTGGCATCCAGCCATGACCATCCCTTCTCACGGCGGGGCTGCTCACGGTGCTGTCCCTGGGGTCCCTGGCATTAGGCTGTGATGAGGTACTGGGGACACCAGCCTCCCACTGGGTGGCTGTGGACAGAAGAGCTCAGCAGAAGCCACACTGTCTGACTTTGAGCAGCCTGTAGGTTAGCTGAGAAAACAAGGCATACATTTTCATGGTTTTGCTTTTCTCGTGGTGGCCCTAACAGTTAACATCGGTTGTTTGCCATATCGGGCTCTGGACTCACGAAATCCTGAAATGGCCCCGGAAGCATGGGCAATGCTGAGAATATTTAAGCGTCCAGAGCCCCACCAGAACCCAGGCTGGCTGCGAGACTACCACATGCGTGTTCAGCTGGAACACCACTGACCTGGGGGGGTTAATTCTGTTCCGATGTCCATTTTGTAGACCTAGAAACTGAGGAACAGAGAGGGAAGTAACTTGCTTCAGGTTGCACAGCCAGGAGGCACAGAGCATGATATAGAGAGACCTTTACCTACATTCACCAACCTTTTATTTATTTCTTTATTTTTTGAGACAGAGTCTTGCTCTCTTGCCCAGGCTGGAGTGCAGTGGGGGGATCATGGCTCACTGCAGCCTCTACCTGCTGGGCTCAAGGGATCCTTCCACCTCAGTCTCCCAAGTGGCTAGGACTACAGGTGTGCCCATGATGCCCAGCTAATTATTTCTTCTTCTTTTTTTTTTTGCAGAGACTTAGGTGCCCAGGTTGGTCTCAAACTCTTAGCCCTTAGCCTCAAGTGATTCTCCTGCCTCAGGCTCCCACGGTGTTGGGATTACAGGTGTGAGCCACTGCACCTGGCCCAGATTCACCAACTTTTAATATTTTGCCACATTTCCTTTCTTTTATTTTCTTTGCTTTTCCTTTTCTTTTCTTTCTTTCTCTCTCTCCTTCCTTGCTTCCTCCCTCCCTCCCTTCCTCCCTCCCTCCCTCCTTCCCCTCCCCTTTCCCTACCCCTTCCCCTTCCCCTACCCCTTCACCTTCCTTTTTTTTCTTTCTGATGGAATCTCACTCTGTCACTCAGGCTGGAGTGCAGTGGCACACTCTCAGCTCACTGCAACCTCTGCCTCTTGGGTTCAAGCAACCCTCCTGCCTCAGCCTCCAGAGCAGCTGGGATTACAGGCGCCCGCCACTATGCCCAGATAAGTTTTGTATTTTTAGTAGAGATGAGGTTTTGCTATGTTGGCCAGGCTGGTCTCAAACTCCTGGCCTCAAGTGATCCGCCTGCCTTGGCCTCCCAAAGTGCTGGGATTCCAGGCGTGAGCCACCGCGCCCGGATTTCATTCCATATGCTTTTATTTCTACAGGCCAGTAGAGCAAAAGGTTTTCTGTCTGCAGGTCTCAGTTTACTCTTAAGGAAAATGAACCAGTTTCACCTGAACTCTACACACACACACTTCCTCTTTCTCTCTCTGTCCTGTGTTTCTCCTAAACGATTTGAGAGTAGGAATGACACGAACGTGCATTTCCAAAGAACCATTCTCTTATGTAACCACAGGACAGTTATCAAATGCACCTTGTTGAACATTGATTGATACAACACCATTAATGCAGCCACTCTCCGTATTCTGGCTCTGTCAGTTCTACTAACGTCCCTCAGAGCCGTATCCTCCCCACCCCGATGTAGGATGAGGTTTGGAATCACGCCAGTTGCATTTACTTGTCTGGTCTCTTTCAGTCCCTTCATTCTGGAGGGTTTCCTCAGCCTTTCTTTGTGTTTCATGACGTTGACATTTTAGAAGGGTCCAGGCCAGTTATTGTGTAGAACGTCTCTCATTTTCAGTTTGTTGGATGTTTCCTCTCAGTGAGATCCAGGCTACGCATCGCTGGTTGGAATTTCCAGAGCCTGTGTTCTTAACCACCCTGAGGTTCTGCCTTTGAAAGGGACATTCTGGTTCCTTTCCAAAGGGCTGGTCATCATCTTGTCCTTGTTCTGGCAGGTGGTGCGTTCAGCTGGACAACCCGCTGCATTCATAATATTGGGGTCATATAATTTCAAGAAAAGGTTAAAGAAAAATGGTCTCTTAACATGAAAAGGTCATAGAGGATCATTAGAAGGAGCAAAAGAGGAAAGGGGAGGGAGCAAAAAAGAAACTGGAATATACAAAGTTCCAAAAACGCAGATAACACAAAAGTAGCTTGTAATCCTGTCACTCCTGGGGTAGAGCAAGTATGTTAATGTTTGGGCATATTTCCTTCTGATCTTCCTTCTGATTGGCTCTTCCTCTTGCCCTCAGGCATTCAGTTTGCACAGTTGACAGGAGAGACATATTTTGAGAGCTGAAGACTGAGATTCCAGGTGCAGTGGCTCACGCCTGTAATCCCAGCACTTTGGGAGGCTGAGGCAGGCAGATTGCTTGAGGCCAGGAGTTCAAGACCAGCCTGAGCAACAGAGTGAGACCCCGCCTCTACAAAAAATTAAAAAAGTTAGCCAGGCGTGGTGGCATGCGCCTGTAGGCCCAGCTATACTGGAGGCCAAAGCAGGAGGATCTCTTGAGCCCAGGAAGTTGAGGCTGCAGTGAGCCATGATTGTGCCACTGCACTGTAGCCTGGTTGACAGAGTGAGACCCTGTCTCCAAAAAAAGAAAAACGTAGAAAGAAAAAAGAAAACTCAGGGCAGGGGGGCGTCAGCCAGGGAGGTGCATTTTGGGATCTGGCAGGGGGTGGAGGAGGGGTACGTCCAGCATGCGGAATGCTCTGCCCACTGAGGGCTTGTGTCCCCAGACCTGGGATTTCTGCCTCACAGTGTGGACACCAGGGTCCTCAGGGGAGCAGAGATGGGTCCCTGCTGGAAACTTCCCTATGTCTCCAGAGCGCCTGCAAAAATCTCCAGAAATCGCCAGCCCCTCGTGAGTTTGGAGTGGAGGCTTTTAATCAAGTCCAAGGGATCAGCTCAGCCCGACACACATGCACACAGACACACGTGTGCGCGCACACACACACGGCTGAAACACCATGCTTAAGAACATTTCTCCCATGTGTTTTACTTTTTGAGCCTTAGCCCGGGGATTTGAGAATAACAGCTATTCCTGAGAGTACTTCCCGAGCACATCCTGGGAGCTCAGGTCACGCACTTCACCCGTATTAATTCGTTTAATCCTCCTGACAGTCCCTTGAAGGTGAGACTGTTACTATCAGAAATGGAAATTGAGACACAGCGAGGTGAAGTAAGTCAAGGATTCCTACAGAAAAGTGTAAAATATGCTCATTTCATCCAGCAATTATAAAGTAACACTCTCACACACAGTTATTCCTTTTTTTTAACAGCTTTATTGAGATATAATTCACATACCATACAGTTCACCCATGTAAATCGTTCACCACAGTTTATAGTGTGTTTGCAGAGTTATAACCATCACCATAATCTATTATAGAACATTTTCCTCACCTCAAAAAGAAACTCTGCATCCCTTAGCCATCATCCCCACTCCTTCTCCCCCTCCCAGCCTCCAGCAACCACAAGTCTACTTTCTGGCTCTGTGAATTTGCCTATTTTGGACATTTCGTGGAAACAGACTCTTACACGACGTGGCCTTTTGTGCCTGGCTTCTTTCACTCAGCGTGATGTTGTCAAGGTCCCTCCGTGTGTGTCAGTGTCTCATCCCTTTTCATGGCTCAGTAATACTCCATTGTATGGATAGGCCACATTTTGTTTATCCGTTCAGTTGGTGGACATTGGAGGTTTTTTTTTTCCAGTTTGCACTGTTCTGAATGATGCCGTATGAATGTTTGTGTGCAGGCTTTTGTGTGGACACTTGTTTCCATTTCTCCTGGTTTCTACATGGGAGTGGAATTGGTGGGTCACAGGGTAACTGTGTGTTAACCTACTGAGACCAGCCAGACTCTTCCACGGCAGCGGCACCCTTGTATATCGCCCAGCAATGCATGAGGGCTCTGATTTCTCTATCATTTTGATGATTCATCCATTGTCCTGTTGATAGGATCTGGGTTGTTTCAGTTTAGGGGTGCTATGAACATTCTAGAATGTGTTTTGCGGTCCACCTCTGCCCCGCTATGCATAAAGTTGGGATTCCATAGACAGTAGGTCCTGTTAGGTAACAGGAAAAATGATCTGTGGGCTCCTCTCTCTCCTTGGCACGTGTGTGTGGCCCACGTTGCATGTTCTTGTAGAATCCTCCTTCCCGGGTGAGGATTGGAAGCCATGATCGCCTGCCTCTGTTGCTGGTTTTAGTCTTTAACCCTTGCTCTGTGGACTTGAGAAATGTGCTTTTCCATGGTGCCTGTGACCAAGATGTCCGCATCGTTAGTGAAGACCCTGCTATGTCCTTGACCACACTGCACGGGGATCCTGTCCACGATGGGGGGTGTCCTGTTGGGCTTGAGTGTCTAGATATGGAGACCGTAGTTCGCGGGGGGAGTGGGGGGCCGTTTGGCATATTTGCCCTGGCATTTGGGGTTGTTTATTGGGGGTGGGAGTGCTCCTGGCATTTCCTGGGCGGGAACTACTGGTGTAGACCTACTGGATTAACTTGCTCCTGGGTCGGTGTGCGGGATAGGGGGAGGGTGCATCAGTCTTTGTGGAGCGTCTGCCTTCTCTCCGTCTCCCTGTTTTCCTGTTACCGTCTCCCCGTCCCTCTCTCTGTCTCTCTGAACTGCTCGTTCCCTCCTTGCCTTCTGTGCCGATGCCCAGTTGAACTGCCCATCCCTATAGATTGGGCGTCTCTGAGCCCGCAGTGGCTGCCTGAGCTGTAACCCACCCCGTGCCCTTTCACCTCCTCTCCCGCCTCCAGCTGACCAATCCCTGGGGTTTCTGGTCGGCCTGTGGATGTGTCCCGGTCAGGCCTAGGTCAGGCGCCTGACAGCGTCACCTGTGGCCACTGAGAATCATCCTCCTTCAGGAGTCCCAGTCAGTCAATATTTACACAAAGCGAACAAAAAGAAACCTGGAGCTCACCACTCTTGGGGGAGCCAGGCAGGAGCTAAGATAAGTCCCATTTATGGCCTGTCAGATAGCGATCGGCACCTGCAGTAAAGCAAGCAGGAGAGGGACTGGGGGAGGGCTTGTGACTACAGACGGCCCTGGTGACACTCGAGAAAAGGAAGGGCATGGCTGGGAGTGGTGACTCATGCCTGTAATCCCAGCACTTTGGGAGGCTGAGGTGGTGGATCACCTGAGGTCAGGAGTTTTTTTTTTTTGTTTGTTTTTTTTTTTTTGAGACAGAGTCTTGCTCTGCCACCCAGGCTGGAGTGTAGTAGGCTGATCTTGGCTCACTGCAGCCTCTGCCTCCTGAGTTCAAGTGAGCCCTGGGCTCTCCTCCCTCAGCCCCCTGAGTAGCTGGGACTACAGGCGTGCACCACCACGCTGGGCTATTTTTTTTTTTTTTTTTGAGGCGGAGTCTCACTTTGTTTCCCAGGCTGGAGTGCAGTGGCACGATCTTGGCTCACTGCAAGCTCCGCCTCCTGGGCTCACGCCATTCTCCTGCCTCAGCCTCACAAGTAGCTGGGACTACAGGCACCCACCACCACACCTGGCTAATTTTTTGTATTTTTAGTACAGACGGGGTTTCACCATGTTAGCTATGATGGTCTCAATCTCCTGACCTTGTGATCTGCCTGCCTCGGCATCCCAAAGTGCTGGGATTACAGGCGTGAGCCACTGCACCCGGCCTAATTTTTGTATTTTTAGTAGAAATGGGGATTCTCCATGTTGGCCAGGCTGGTCTCAAGCTCCTGACCTCAAGTGATCCACCTGCCTTGGCCTCCCAAAGGCTCGGATTACAGGCATGAGCCACTGTGCCTGGCCTGTATGTTATTAATATTATTGTTAATCTTTTCATTTATTTGTGAGCGCTGTTATATGCCCTCTGTATCTTTTGTGAGGATTAATTTAGTTAAAAGTTGATCTCATAATATATAAGTCAACACAATCAGAAATTCAAACAGGAACGTATTGACAAGCAAAGGAATGTTACTGTCTCTGCCTCGAAGATCTTGTGTCCTGCCTGGAGACACTTCACTTCCCCACTCACCTGCCACTGTCTGCTCAGTGTCAATGTATTGATTACCTGTCCAACAGAATCTATTTTATCTCTGAGGTTAGGGAATTAGTAGAAATTGATATCCTACTAATGGAATAGAACAGAGAGTCCAGAAGGAGAACCAGGCACATTAAGACATGGTATGAGGTCGATATGGCCAATGGTCAGATTTGTGGGGAAACAAGGGACTCATAATAAATAGAGGTAGGGATCAAAAGTAAAAAGGTCATCCACAGGTGGAAGGAGATGAAATCAGATCCCTACCTCACACTGTACAGCAAAGCCAACCCCAAGATTATTGAGTACTCAAAGTCAAATATAAACTTGGAAGCTGCTTAGACTTTGGGGTAGGGACAGATTCTGAAATGAGATTTAGGTTAGTGTAAAAGTAATTAGATTTTTTGCCATTAAGTGCAAAAGTAATTGCAGTTTTTGCCATTACTTTTTTTTTTTGAGACAGAGTCTCTGTCGCCCGAACTGGAGTACAGTGGCACAATATCAGCTCACTGCCACCTCCACCTCCAGGGCTCAAATGATTATCCTGCCTCAGCTTCCTGAGTAGCTGGGATTTACAGGTGCATGCCACCATGCCTGGCTAATTTTTTTGTTTGTTTGTTTGTTTGTTTTTTGAGGTGGAGTCTTGCTCTGTCACCTAGGATGGAGTGCAGTGGTGCAATCTCGGCTCACTGCAACCCTCCACCACCCAGGGTCAAGTGATTTTCCTGCCTCAGCCTTCCGAGTAGCTGGGATTACAGGCACCTGCCACCACCCCGGCTAATTTTTTGTATTTTTCATAGAGACAGGGTTTCACTATGTTGGCCAGACTAGTCTCAAACTCCCGACCTCGTGATCCTCCCGCCTTGGCCTCCCAAATTACAGGGCTGAGCCACGGCACCTGGCCAATTTTTGTATTCTTAGTAGAGACAGGATTTCACCATGTTGACTAGGCTGGTCTCGAACTCCTGACCTCAAGTGATTCTCCCACCTTGGCTTCCCAAAGTGCTGGGATTAGAGGTGTGAGCCACTGTGCCCGGCCAGTTTTTGCCATTACTTTTAATGGCAAAAGGTGCAATGATTTTTGCACCAACCCAATATAAAAGGTGTTGCTCTGAGAGGGAGGTGTGGAGTTCTTGCCCATAGCTGCCACTTCAGTATTTCTCCTTCTCTGAGGCTCTGGGCAGCCCTCCCTGCTGTGCCCTGGATTGGGGTCATCTCTTCTCTTAATAAGGTGATCAGTAGCTTTGGGACCAGCAGAATGCATTAGAGGGAAATGGGCTTCACTGAAGAGGGCAGTGGATGAGAGGAAGGAGCATGTGTGAGGGCTTGTGTGCACCACACATCCTGACACCATCCGCCCAGCCCGCACAGCCTGACACCATCTGCCCGGTCCACCCATCTTGACACCATCTGCCTGGCCCACCCGGCCTTCTCAAATGCTGGAGGGCTCTTGGCTCTGCTGTTCCCTTACACTCCTTGGCCAATCCATCTGCAAACCCTCTTGCTCTGCTATTATGTCCAGAATTTGACTGCGCCTTGTCCCCTCCGCTGTCACCATGTCTCCTGCCTGGACCATTACCGTCGCCCCCTCTCTGTGCTTCCGTCCTCACCTTCTGCAGTCCGTTCTCCACTCTACAGCCAGAAGGAACCTGTGAACACCCAAGTCAGGTCATGTCCCTGCCCTGTCCGGAGCCCTCCCTCAGCCCTGGGCTCACCTGGAATAAAAGCTGAAGTCCTCGCCCTCGTTGTCTGTCTGACCTCGCCTCTCCTGCATGCCTACTCATGCTCACGCCCTCATCACTGCCCGTGGTCCCTGAGGCGCCCACGTGATTCTGCCTCAGGACCATTGCATGTCCTCCTCCTTCTGCCTGGAGCCCGCTCTCCTGGGGTGGCCACATTGCTGCTCCCCTTACCTCCTGCACATCCTGTATGTACCCCAGCCCTCCCCAACCCATTCTTGGCATCCTTGCCCTCATCTTCTCCTCGGGACGCTGTCTCTTGGTTCAGGGTCTGACTCCTGCCGGTAGAACGTGAGCTCTGGGAGAGCAGGGATGACTTCCTCACTCCCAGCACCATCGGGAAAGCGTTTGACTTCTCTTTGTGGAGCAGTAGGGATCAGTAGGGAGCCCTAAGAAGGGGAACAGCACGATCTTAAATAAAATAGGTCGCTCTGGCCACCAAGTGGGGAACTGAGTTTAGAAGTGGGAGGTCAGTTAGAAGTCCCTGCCACCCTCCAGGCAACGAGCACGAGAGGGTTGGGCAGACAATGCTGGTTCCAAGACCTAGAGAAGGGTGGGCTGGAGTTATTTAAGAGACAGGAGGAATGGTGGCATCTTTGAGCCAACCAGCGTTGGCTGATTCCCACAGATGGCGCCACTCCTGGCTGTGATGTGGCTGCAAACCCACGGCTTGCCCGGGACCTGCTCTGGGACAGGAACGTTTGAACCGCACCAGGTCAGCATCTGAAGGTGTTTGCTGTAAGACCCAGGCCTGTGACTCTGCCAGCCCAAACCCCTGCCAGGTCCTGGGCAGATGTCGGCCTGCTGTCACTTCTCTGGACTCTAAGGCTTTTTTGCCTGTGTGGCATGTGAGAAAAATAGGGGAGTGATTAGGAAGGCTCATGCAGAATCCAGGTAAAAAACTATTTCAGGTATGGAAGGGTGGAGGGGAGGAAGGTCATCTGGAGTATTTTTTTTGAGACAAGGTCACCCAGGCTGGAGTGCAATCGTGTGACCATGGCTCACTGCAGCCTCGACCTCCCAGGCTCAAGCAATCCTCCTACCTCAGCCTCCTGAGTAGTTGCAATCAGAGGCATGTGCCACCACACCCAGCTATTTTTTTAAAAAATTTTTTAGAGAACAGGGTCTCACTATGCTGCCCAGGCTGGTCTCAAACTCCTGGGCCCAAGTGATCCTGCTCTCTTGGCTCCCAAAGTGCTGGGATTACAGGTGTGAGCCACTGTGCCCGGCCTGTCCAGACTCTGTATAGACATCAGCAGTCAGGCAGTGTGGCATCTTGGAAAGCAGCCAAGGCTTTGGTGTCCAAGAATCCCAGGTTCTAATCTCATTGCTTCCTCTTACTACTCGTGGCTTTTTAGCTTGTGTGCATTCGGCTGCAAGTAACAGTTGACTTGACCACTGATGGCTTAAATACTCTCTTATTTTTTTCAACAAATATTTCTAAATTTAGTTTTTGAGATGGCTAATTCACCAAGCTGAAAAAGCAAAAATTATTTTGAAAACTATGCAGTGGAACACCTCCTATTCCTGTTCCGATCTGCCAGGTCCCTTCATAGTTAGTCATTGTGTTTAGTGTCATATACACCCTTCCTGAAGTTCTTTAGGCATTGAAAAGCATTCAGAATATGTATCATGTCTCCTTCACCCTTTTCTTAAGCAGATGGTAACGTTTTACACACACCCTTCTACATTTTACTTTTCCATGTAGCAGTAGTCTGGGCGATCTTTCCCTATCAGTACACAAAGAACGTCCTCATTCTTTTTTTTTTTTTTTTTTTTTTTCCGAGACAGGGTCTCGCGCCGTCCGCCAGGCTGGAGTGCAGTGTTATGTTCTCAGCTCACTGCAACCTCCACCTTCACTGGCTCAAGCGATCCTCCGACCTCAGACTCCAGAGTAGCTGGGATTACAGGTGCTCACCACCACACCTGGCTAATTTTTGTATTTTAGTAGAGATGGGGTTTCATCATGTTGGCCAGGCTGGTCTCAAACTCCTGACCTCAAGTGATCCGCCTGCCTCGGCCTCCCAAAGTGCTGGGATTATAGGCATGAGCCACTGTGCCTGGCCTCATTCTATTTTTTTTTTTTTCAAGGACATCTTTACTGACATATTCACATACCATAAAATCCACCCATCTAAAGTGTACCAATTCAGTTGTTTTCAGTATATTCACAGAGTTGTGCAGACATCACCACAATCCATTTTAGAACATTTTCATCATCTCAAAAAGAAGCCGTACTCATGAGCAGCCGCTTTGAATTTCTCCCTCCCCGCAGTCCTTAGCAACCACGCATCTACTTTCGGTCTCTCTGGGTTTGCCTATTCTGGACATTTTGCATAAATGGAATCATGGAATATATGGCCTTTGTGCCTGGCTCCCTTCACTTGGTGTCATGCGTTCCAGGTTCATGCATGTTGGAGCGTGTGCCAGTGTTCCTTCCTTCTTATGGCGGAGTAATAGTCTGTGATATGGATACACCACATCTGTTTATCCGTTCATCCACGGACGGGCATTTGGGTTCTACCTTTTGCTTCTTGCAAGTAAAGGTGCTGCGGATGTTCACAGGCCAGCCTTTGTTTTGTTTTGTTTTTTTGAAACTGAGTTTCGCTCTTGTTGCCCAGGCTGGAGTGCAGTGGCGCAATCTCAGCTCACTGCAACCTGTGCCTCCCAGGTTCAAGTGACTCTCCTGCCTCAGGCTCCCGAGTAGCTGGTATTACAAGCGTGAGCCACCGCACCCAGCCTTGGGCCAGTTTTTGTGTGGACATATGTTTTCGACTCTCTTGGGTCTATAAGTAGGAGTGGAATTGCTGGGCCACGTGGCAACTCTATGTTTAACTTTTGGAGGAACTGCCAGGCGGGTTTCCACAGCAGCTGCAACCTTTTACAGTCCTACCGACAGTGAGTGAGCATTCGTGTTCCGCCACACCCTCACGAACACTTGCCCTTGTCTGTCTCTTTGATTTGAGCTATCCTAATGGATGCGAAATGGTATCCTCTGGTTCTGATGTGCACTTCCCTGGTGGCTAATGATGTTGAGTATCTTGTCATGGCCATTTGTATACCTCTTTCTTTTTTGTACAGCTGCATACTATTCCCCTGTTTAGAGAAACTGTAGTTGATTTAACCTGTTTACTACTGCAATAGTCCTGCCCAAGAAATTAAAAAAAAAAAATCAACCTGTTTACTACTGATGGCCAGTGGGTTGTTCCCAGTATCTTGCTATTATTATTATTATTATTTTTTGAGACGGAGTCTCGTTCTGTCACCCAGGCTGGAGTGCAGTGGCACGATCTCAGCTCACTGCAAGCTTTGCCTCCTGGTTTCACGCCATTCTCCTGCCTCAGCCTCCCGAGTAGCTGGGACTAAAGACACCTGCTACCGTCTTGCTATTATTAATAGAAACATAACTGTAAGGCCAGGGCATGGTGGCTTATGCCTGTAATCCCAGCACTTTGGGAGGCTGAGGTGGGAAGATTACTTGAGCCCAGGAATTCAAGACCAGCCTGGGCAACATAGCAAGACTCCATCTCTATGAAAAAAAAAAAAAAAATCACAAAACAACACACCTGTAAAAGCCCCTAACTGTATAATTTTGGTCGTGTCAATGGTACCTGCAGGATATGTTCCCATAAGTGAAGTAGCCAGGCAGAGGGTGAATGCGTCTTGATCTTAGTGGGTATTGTCATGTGCAGGGGGTCCTCATTATTCCAAGATATCATATTTGCAGATTTCATCTAATCGCCAACGCTTACTCATAACCCCAAAATCAATAACGCACAATGCTTTTCCCATCATTTATGGACACTCACAGAATAGCAAAAAATTTGAGTCACCTGGTGCACACATCTCCAGCTGCAGTCAAGCAACGCCACACCCTGCTTTCTTATTCTCTTACTATAAACAAGTGTCCTTTTTGTGGTCTAGTTAGTGCCATGTTTTCTATATTTTTGTGCTTTGTGATTTTGCTGTTTAAAATGTCCCCAGTTTGGCCAGGCGTGGTGGCTCTCACCTGTAATCCCAGCACTTTGGGAGGCCGAAGCAGGTGGATCACCTGAGATCAGGAGTTCGAGACCAGCCTGGCCAACATGGTGAAACCCTGGGTCTACTAAAAATACAAAATTAGCCGGGCGTGGTGGTGCATGCCTTTAGTTCCAGATACTTGGGAGGTGGAGGCAGGAGATTCGCTTGAACCTGGGAGGTGGAGGTTGCAGTGAGCAAAGATCACACCACTGTACTCCAGCCTGGGCAACAAGAGCAAAACTCTGTCTCAAAAAAAAAAAAAAAAAAAAAAATTAGTAAAATGTCCCCGGTTTAGGACAGGTGCAGTGGCTCATGCCTGTAATCCCAGCACTTTGGGAGGCTGAGGCGGGTGAATCACCTGAGGTCAGGAGTTCGAGACCAGCCTGGCCAACACGGTGAAACCCCATCTCTACTAAAAATACAAAAAAAATGAGCTGGGCTTGGTGGCGGGCACCTGTAATCCCAGCTACTCGGGAGGCTGAGGCAGGAGAATCCCTTGAACCTGGGAGGTGGAGGTTGCAGTGAGCCGAGATCGCTGCACTGCACTCCAGTCTGGGTGACAGAGCGAGACTCCATCTCAAAAAAAAAATAAAAATAAAAATAAAAATAAAAACGTCCCCAGTTTAGTGCTGAAGTGCCGTCTAATGTTTCTAAGCTCAAGAAAGCTATAATGTGAGGCTGGGCATGGTAGCTCACGCCTGTAACCCCAGCACTTTGGGAGGCCAAGGTGGGAGAATCGCTTGAACCCAGGAGGTCGAGACCAGCCTGGGGAACATGGTGAGATCCTGTCTCGACACACACACACACACACACACACACACACACACACACACACTCTGAATAAATAAGTAAATTTTAGAATTAGCCAAGCGTGATGGCGCACACCTAAGGAGGACCACATGAGCCTGGAAGGTCAAGGCTGCCATGAGTTCTTTTCACACCACTGCACCCCAGCCTGGGCAACAGTGAGACCCTGTCTCAAAAAAACAACGAGAAGGCTGTGACGTGCCTTTCAGAGAAAATACACGTATTAGAGAAACTGCATTCAGGCACAAGTTAGGGTGCTGCTGACGTGAGGCTCAGTGTTAATGAATCAAAACTATACATTAAATAAGGTGTCTTCGAACAGAAACACACATAAGCCAAGGTTTTATATTGGTTGGTGAAAGCATTGTGGCCAGAGGCTTTCAGGAACCTAACTTTGTATTTCCCCCAGGAGACATGGTTAATGTCTAAGTATTTGCTAATCCAATGTTCACAGTCACTTTTTAGATTCTGTAATATATAGAACACAGCCACCTGGAATAACGATCAATTGCACAGGGGTTTTTTTTCTACATGCTAGGGGTGCTTTACTGGGTTCTAATTTATGTGCAGTAAAATGCACAAAACTGAAGCGCGCAGCTTGATGTTTTCTGACAAATATTACCTGTGTAAGCATCACTCAGCTCTAGCTAGAGAACACGTCCATCATCTGAGCAGGCTCCCTTATAGCCTTTCCCAGTCATTCCTGCATCCCTCCCTTGAAGCGGCCACACGTCTGATATTTTTCCCCCACTATAAATCAGTTCTGGATATTGTAGATTTGTTTGGTTTTTTTTTTAAGATGGAGTCTTGCTCTGTCGCCCAGGCTGGAGTGCAGTGTGGCGATCTCGGCTCACTGCAACCTCCACCTCCCGGGTTCAAGAAATTCTCCTGCCTCAGCCTCCCGAGTAGCTGGGACTACAGGTGCCCACCACCACGCCCAGCTAATTTTTTGTATTTTTAGTAGAGACAGGGTTTCACTGTGTTAGCCAGGATGGTCTCGATCTCCCAACCTAGTGATCTGCCTGCCTTGGCCTCCCAAAGTGCTGGGATTACAGGCGTGAGCCACTGCGCCGGGCCCATGTTCTAGATCTTTACACAAATGGACTCACACAGTGTGTAGACTTTTGTGCCAGGCTTCCTTTGCTCAGCATGATCCATTTAAGACCCATTTGTATTGTTGCTGTAGAAGTCCTTCATTCCCTTTTACTGCCAAACTGTATTCTGTCGTGTGGATGTAACAGTGTATTCATTTACCTGTTGATGGCTTTCTGTGCCATTTACAGTTAGGGGCTTTTATGAATAAGGCTGCTGTGAAATTTTTTTTTTTTTTTGAGACGGAGTCTTGCTCTGTCGCCCAGGCTGGAGTGCAGTGGCATGATTTCGGCTCACTGCAAGCTCCGCCTCACAGGTTCATGGCATTCTCCTGCCTCAGCCTCCCAAGTAGCTGGGACTACAGGTACCCACCACCACTCCCGGCTAATATTTTGTATTTTTAGTAAAGACGGAGTTTCACTGTGTTAGCCAGGATGGTCTCGATCTCCTGACCTTGTGATCCGCCCACCTCGGCCTCCCAAAGTGCTGGGATTACAGGCATGAGCCACCATGCCCGGCTGCTGTGAAAATTTTTGTACAGGTGCTTTTGTGGACATACTTTTCACCTCCCTTGAGTAAATACCTTGGCGTGACATTGTTGGGTCATAGAGTTGGTATATATTTAACTTTACTTAATCCAGGCTTTAATTCTCTTCTGGGACAAGATGTCTAGGAGAAGGCCATTCCAGGGATGTTTGGCAGCTGAGGATTGTCAGGCCAGTAGGTCAGTGTCCCTCTTATACTCTCTCTCTCTCGTTTTTTTTTTCCCTGAGTCTGTTTTGCTAGGGAACCTCTGATTCTCTTGACCTTCCCCTCAGGAATGCATAATGGCTGCTGCGGCACCAGTCATTGTCATTATATTCATAGCAGTCTTTCAAGCAAAAAGGAGAGGGAGCAAACAGTCTTCCCAAGACAAGATTCTGCCTCTTTAGCCAAATGTGAAAACTTTCCCATATCCATTCTGAGCTGCAAGGGAGTCTGAGGAAGAAAGTTTCTGGCCAAGGAGCAGGGGTCTGCACTCACTATGGTCTGTCCTCTGTTGACCAGGATGTTGGGGCTGGAAGTGTTTGTCAGACCCTGGGCAACTTCTAAATTAGCCTTCCTGAGCCTCAGAGAAGACTCGGTGGGACCACTTGGTCAGGGGCCTGGACCTTGACCAGGAACTGGTGGCTTGTGTTTGATACAAGAACAAGAACCCCAGAAGGAAAACTAAAGAGACAGAAGCTTCTAGGCCGGGCATGGTGGCTCATGCCTGTAATCCCAACACTTTGGGAGGCTGAGGTGGGCAGATGACTTGAGGTCAGGAGTTCGCCAGGCGTGGTGGCGAGTGCCTATAATCCCAGTTACTCCTGAGGCTAAGGCGGGAGGATTGCTTGAACCGGGGAGGCAGAGTTTGCAGTGAGCTGAAATCATGCCACTGCGCTCCAGCCTGGGTGACAGAATGAGACTTCGTCTCAAAAAAAAAAAAAAAAAAAAAAGCAGCAGCAGCTTCTAGAACAGTGGTTCGCAGAGTGTGGTCTGTGCCAGCAGCATCAGCATCACCTGGGAACTCATTAGAAATGCAGAGTCTCAGGCCGCACCGGGACCTGCCGATTCCCAGATTCTCAAATCTGTATTAGGAACCAGTGGTCTACAAACCCGTGCGCACGTCTTGGGGAACGTTTGTTTTCCCCTTTGCTTCCCTTAGCTGCATTTTTTTCCCCTGAATTCGAAGCCTGCTTCGTTGCCTGATGACGTGTGAGTCCCTGTGTCCGGTGAACATAATCATTTCTTTTGTATTTCCGCCACCCACCCCGAATGCCTGTACTTTACCCTCTCCCAGGGTTTTTCCTGTTTCTCATAAGCCAGCATTGAGAAAAATCCAAACCCTTTTGAGATACCTGGTTTTCTTGGCAAGACTGCAGCTTTATAGCTGTATTTAGAACAGCGTCGAATGGTGAAAAGGGAAAAGAGAAGATGCATAAAACATTTCTAGTTTGTAACTACCTGTATAAAATAGGCTTTTAAGAGCCAGACATCAGTCGCTTTATGAGCAATCTAAGCTTTATGGGGCCCACTTTATTTGGTTAAACTAATTCAATGATTTTAGAGATCTAAAGGTCACTAAAAATAAAGATGGTGTAGATTTTAATTGCTCTTCAAATTGCTCTTTCTCTGTCTTTCCCAACAGGGGTGGAGGTGGGTGAAGAATCAACATTTTTTTCCCTGTTTTCCTTTTCTAGCTTTAAAATAGACACATCATGCAAGCGGCTACATATCCAGGGCCCAGCCAGCTCTTACGGGGCTTTTTCATGCAATTGAAAATGGTGCTTTGTCCGAGAGGGCATGACTCTGTGGTGTGTCCTTTGTATGAATTGGGAAAGGGGACTCCTTTCTCCATGTGGATGCCACCCTTCTCTGGGGCTCATAGGTGTGAGCAGAACCTGGACTGGATTTGATGCCCCACTTGCCCCTTTGTCTGGATTCCTTTGTGCAGTGAACAACCTGTGCAGCTGTACATGGTGGTGCATACACACACACACACACACACACACACACACACACACACACACACACACGTTCTCTTCTCTTCTCTCTTTCTTTTTCTTTTTTGAGACAGGGTCTCCCTCTGTCACCCAGGCTGTGGTGCAGTGGCATGATCTTGGCTCACCACAGCCTTAGCCTCCCAGGCTCAAGCAATCCTCACACCTCAGCTTCCCAAGTAGCTGGGACCACAGGTGCACACTAGCATACCTGGCTAATTTGTAAAATTTTTTGTAGAGATGGGGTCTCACTGTGTTGCCCAGGCTACATATATATCTTCTATACTCTGTACGTATTGTATGCGTCTCTGTCTTAGAAACTTACATGTACATTAGTTTCCCATTGTCGCTGTAACAAATACCACAGATGCAGGATCTTAAAACAGAAAACTATTCTCGTATAGTTCCAGAGGCCCTAAGTCCAAAATGAGGGTGTTAGCAGGGCCACTGGGGTTGTCAGAGCTGTGCTCCCTCAGGAGGCTCTAGGGAAGAGCCTAGAGCCTTCTTCGCCTGGTCCAGCCCCCGGAGCTCTAGGTGGTCCTTGGCTCGTAGCCACGTGACATTAAGCTTTGCCTCCTTCTTCACATGGCCTTCTGTTCTTCTGTGACTTCTCCTTTGCTGTTAAGAGGACATTTATCATAGGATTTTGAGCCTACCCAGATAATCCAGGACAGTCTCATCTCAACATTGTTAATCTAATTATGTCTACAAAGACCCTTTTTTCCAAATAAGGATGGCCACATCCACAGGTTCTGGGATGTTTACATATTTTTTGTGGTGGGAGCCACCATTCAACTCACTACAAAGGCCTTGGAAATACATCCTAAGAGCTTAACTTCTAGGCGTCATAGCATGTTAAGTCCACGTACCAGGTGAACACATCACCTCATTTGTCTGTCTGACCAAGGTTCACGGGAATGACTCATTCGAGGCATTTCAGGACAACTAAAGGGATAGAGGACCTGGCCGGGTGAGTGGCAGAGGTGGGGAACCTGTTGTAGTACACCCCTGCTGTGGGGGGTGGAGGGAGAGATGGCCAGGCTGGCATCATCATGTAGTTCCCACGGGCTTAGGAGTCTCAGCTGGGTTCAAATCCTGGCTCTTGGGTGACCTTGGGCAAGTACCCAACCCTTTTTGGCCTCAGTCTCCTCATTTGTGTAATGGGCATGAGGATAATGGCATCTGCCTTATAGTGTTGCTGTGAGAATGAAATGATAAGATGAAGCACTTTGCCGGGCGTGGTGGCTCACGCCTCTAATCCCAGCACTTTGGGAGGCTGACGCGGGCAGATCACGAGGTCAAGAGATTGAGACTATCCTGGCTAACACAGTGAAACCCCGTCTCTACTAAAAATACAAAAACAAAAAATTAGCTGGGCGTGGTTGTGGCGCCTGTAGTGCCAGCTACTCAGGAGGCTGAGGCTGGAGAATGGCGTGAACCCGGGAGGCAGAGGTTGCAGTGAGCTGAAATCACGCCACTGCACACCAGCCTGGGTGACTGAGCGAGACTCCGTCTCAAAAAAAAAAAAAAAAGACGAAGTACTTAGTAAGCATTCAGCAACCTTGGCTGGGGTGACGAAGATGATGAAGTCAGAGGTGGCCGTAGCCAAGGGCTCATGGGACAGAATCTGACCCATCAAATGCCCAGACTCCCAAACACCAGGGCTCATAGCCACGTGGCCCAGGCAGAGGTTGGACTCGTAGTTGGGGCAGGTCCAGTCGGTGGCCAGCGAGGAAGGGGGTTCGCGGGGAGGAGCAGAGGCCAGAGGGAGCCGGGCCGGGGAGGAGGGCTTTCTATGGTCGTTTACACATGGCATCTCGGTGTCCAGTGTGGGGCAGGCATATAGGAGGAGCTGAGGCTGCTTGGGCAGCATTTATTTACCAATCGGTAGGTCAGCTTTTGAGTATTTTAATGGCAGGAGCAGCCAGATGTCAATAAGCCAAATGTGAACCCAGGCTTGGTGATGAGAAAATACATTTACTACATTTGGGCCAGAATAGTGGTCATGGACAGGAGGGCACTGACTGGAGAGATATGGGAGGTGGGATGGATAAAACTTGGATGAGTCAGATGTGGGGTCAAACTTGGTTCCTAAGTCCCCAGAGAGAGCTGTATCAGTGAGCTGTCACTACATAACACACAGCCCTGGCTGGGCACAGTGGCTCATGTCTGTAATCCCAGCACTTTGGGAGGTCAAGATGGGAGGATCGCTTGAGCCCAGGCATTTGAGACCTGCCTGGGCAACATAGTGGGACCCCGTCTCTGCAAAGAATTAACCAGGTGTGGTGGCGTGCGCCTATAGTCCCAGCTCTTCAGGAAACTAAGGTGGGAGGATCCCTGGAGCCCAGGAAGTCAAGGCTGCAGTGAGCTGTGATTACACCACTGCAGTCCATCCTGGCCAACAGAGCGAGACCCTGTCTCAGAAAATCAAAATAATAA
Organism: Homo sapiens; assembly: GCF_000001405.40. NCBI lineage: Eukaryota > Metazoa > Chordata > Mammalia > Primates > Hominidae > Homo > Homo sapiens. The sequence goes on from NC_000019.10 coordinate 47,662,137, forward strand.
TAAACAGAAAAAAGAAAACCATGATCCCAACGGTTAGAATTTGGACTGGGCGTAGCTAGGTGCTTCTGGCCTGGGCTGGGTGTCTGTAGTCAGCTGTTGGACAGCTGGTGACTGCGTCTAGGGCTTGGCTGGCTGTTAGCTGGGGTGATGGGGTGATGGGCACGTGGCTCTCATCCTCTTGCAGGCCAGCCTGGGCTTCTTCACCTGGCAGCTGGGCAAAGACTGGAAGTGTGCCAGGCTCAGAATCACACACCATCGGCCAGGCTCCTTGGCTCATGCCTGTAATCCCAGCACTTTGGGAGGCCGAGGCGGGCAGATCACGAGGTCAGTTCAAGACCAGCCTGACCAACATGGTGAAACCCCGTCTCTACTAAAAATACAAAAATTAGCCGGGTGTGGTGGCACGCACCTGTAATCCCAGCTACTCAGGAGGCTGAGGCAGGAGAATCGCTTGAACCCGGGAGGTGGAGGTTGCAGTGAGCCGAGATCATGCCACTGCACTCCAGCCTGGGCAACAAGAGCAAGACTCCATCTCAAAAAAAGAATCACACACCATCACTTTCACCACATTCTGTTGGCCAAAGCAAGTCAAGAAGCCAGCCCAGGGTCAAGGGCTGAAGTCATAGACCCCACTTCTTAATAGGAGGAGCTGCAAAGAGTGTGGGACGAGGGAGGAGAATTTCTGGCCACTTTGCAATCAACCACAGTGGCCTTTGTTTCAGATCCCCTTTCCACCAGCCCTCTCACATTTTGTTTGACCTCTCTTCTTAATCAGTGACCCACAAAGAACAGCCCTTGACCCATGTGAGAGGCCTTGCCATGGGTTGCAAAGAAAATCCAGAAATGGGAGCTCTTTTTGCGTCAGGTTGTATTTGTCTGCAAATAATGGGAAACCACATAGTGGCTTAAACCATAAGGATTAACAAGTTTGGAGGCGGGCAGCCCATGAAGAGTTATGAAGAGTACAGTCAGGCCGGCGCGATGGCTCACGCCTGAAATCCCAGCACTTTGGGAGGCTGAGGCGGGTGGATCACTAGAGGTCAGGAGTTCAAGACCAGCCTGGCTAACGTGGTGAACCCTGTCTCTACTAAAAATACAAAAATTAGCCGGGTGTGGTGGCACGTGCCTCTAATCCCAGCTACTCAGGAGGCTGAGGCAGGAGTCACTTGAACCTGGGAGGCGGAGGTTGCAGTGAGTCAAGATTGCGCCACTGCACTCCAGCCTGGGTGACAGAGCGAGACTCCGTCTCAAAAGAAAAAAAAGAACACGGTCTTTTTGTCAGCTCCCATCAACCATCCTCTGCTGGTGGGCTTTTCAGCCTCAGGTTTGTTGTCCCGTGGTTGCAAAATGGCTGCCACAGCTCTAGTCATCTCAACTGTATTCAAAACTGGAAGCAGGAGCAAAAGACTGTCTTTCTGGAGAAACTCTGTCTTTGTATTCTGGAAGGAAAACTTTCCCTGAAAGTCTCACTGAGCAGAACCTGTCTGTACACTTCAGTTTTTACTATTTGCACAACTGTGGTTACTCTAACTGCAAGAAAGGCTGGGAAAGTGAGTGTCTGATAAAGGAGATAGGAATGCCTCTGGCTTAGTTCAATTATTTTAAGGCTATTTTGACCACAACTCACAGTCCAAAATATGTTTCTTTGTGTCGCAGTACACACACACACACACACACACATTATTGAAACCAATTTCTCAAATACTCACTCTTACCATGTATGATACACGTTAATGTCTTCCATTCCATTCCATTCCATGCATTTTAATTATTTAAAGCAGTTCCTGGTCACAACCTGCTAATTTGATTTCACAACCTTCAAAGGCATGACCCATAGTTTGAGAAAGACTGGCCTAGAACAGTCTTTGTTTACATCTTAGCGTTGGCAAGTGTTAACCCTGCACAGAGTCAGGCTTCTGCGAGCGGAGGAGGAGAGGTGGGGAAATGGTGTTTTGAAAAGCAACAGATAGACTTTGCCACATCATTTGCACTTCTTATCAGCAAATGATATCGTTCTGGAGACTTTGTATTACTGGCAGGCAACCTGAGGTTACTCCAATTTATATTGGGAAATTAAAATTCGCCTGTTTGTGGAGCTTAGCTGGCCCTTTTAATTCCGTATCCTGCTAGCAGCCTGGCTTCTGCACAGCTCCTGATGACAGCGCAAAACTCCGATTGCATTACAAGTGGAGGAGGAATTCACACAATTTTCTGGAAGGACACTGTGTCATTGTTGCGTCATGGCTGTTCTCTGGAGCTGGTTGTGGTTTTCAGGCCCGGCCTTTCCTGCTTTTTATAGTGTGGTGGTGAAGAGTGAGGTCTTCAGAATCACAGGGTCTGAGTTCAAATTCTGGTCCCATGGTGCGATCTGGGGCAAGTGTCCTGACCACCTCCGAGTCTCCTTTTCCTGTAAGATGTGCATCAGCAGTGCTTCCGTGGGGATGGGGAGGGATCGGTGGGTATGGAGTAAGCACAGGGGCTGGTACCCGGAAGCACTCAGGCAATGCGGGCTCTTCAGGGTGTGCCAGGCAGCTTCGGCTGTGTGATGCCACAGTGACGAGTGGGCCCGGGTCGCAGTGGTCCGTGGTGGCAGAGGCTGGCTTCTCGCTCGTGTGTGTGCCCGTGGGGGGTTGGCTGTGGCTCTGGCCACATGTCCGCCCTGTTCTGGAACTCAGGGGAACTATGTGATGGCTCTTGAAGCTTCTGCTCTGAACAGACACAGTGCGCCCACTCCATCTCATGGAAGGAGAATCTTTCCGTAGGAGCAGGCCCACTGGGTGGGGGGCAGCGGACAGATGGTTAAAAAGCCAGTGTGCCACACCAGGGCTTGTCTCCAGGGTGCTGGTGACAATTTTGGGTCCGCAACCCTGCATACTAGTTTTCAACCCCCACCCCCCCGCCCCCCCACTCTGCAACCTCAGTCACTGTTTCAAAAGTTTCTGAGTGTGGGGGGTAGGGGAGAGGTCTCCAGCACCCTCCCTGGCTGAGAACCACCAGCTGTGCTCCCCAAGCCAGGGATGGGGTCTGCCTCTGCCCTTTTGCTGTCCTCAGCACCCCCCACCAGACACACAGTAGGTGCCTACTAAATGTACATTTCAGCAGGTTGCCTCTTGAATAAATGAAAGGATTTGTTTAATTTCCTCTGCAAATTCATTCATTCATCCCACAGATATTTATTGAGCTCCTACTGTATGCCACATAATGTGCCAGCCCCAGGGATCTTGCAGAGGACAAAACAAGCAAAAGTTCCTGTCCTGGGGGACATTTCGGTAGAGGAGACACACAGTAAACAACCAAACCATCAGACGGATATATGATATTTGATGTTAAAGTTTTGGTTTTGTTTTTTTTGGGATGGGGTCTCGCTGTCTTGCCCAGGCTGGAGTGCAGTGGCACGATCACAGCTCACTGCAGCCTCGAACTCCTGGGTTCAAGCAATTCTCCTGCCTCAGTCTCCTGAGTAGCTGGGATTACCGGTGTGCAACACCATGTCTGGCTGGTTGTTTTGTTTTTTTTTAATCTTCATGTGTGTCTTGAAAGGCTTCCCCTGCCTTCTGGGTTGAGAGCAGCAAGACACCTAGCTGGCCTGGTGAGGGTGCACACAGTGCAGGTGCCGCAGCGCCCCCAAAACTGCTGTTTTCCATTGCGTTTATCTCATCTGGAAAATGGGGGTAATACCAGGGTGTTTGGAAGGATTCAAAGAACCCTGGTACCTGGCTGAAGCAGGAGATCTGTTAACCCTTCCAGATACACACACAGGCCATGTGCGGCAAACAGCACCAAAGTGGGGCCGGGGACTTCTGTCCAGCCTCACTGGGCTGTGGCCCAAAAGCTCTGGGAGTCGCCCCATTAGATAGCATCAACAGTGGCAATTAAAATGATCACAACTAGCGTACACACTGCTTACAAAGTACTTTAGGGCATGGATTAGAGGTGTTCCTATGTAACAGTCCCATGGAGGACGTAGTGTTATCCTCCCCAAACGGAGGCACAGAGGGGATAAGTAACTTGTCTTAGGGTACACGGCTGGGAACGGGAAGTGGCAGCCCAGGGATGGGAGCCTCAGAATCAGTCAAGGTGCACTTGATTCCTGCTGTGAGCATGCACAGGCAGTAACCCCAGCCCCTCGCCCAATTTCTTTTTTTCTTTTTCTTTTTCTTCTTTTTTTTTTTGAGCTCTGTCATCCAGGCTGGAGTGCAGTGGCGCAATCTCAGCTCACTGCAGCCTCTGCCTCCTGGGTTCAAGCAATTCTCCTGCCTCAGCCTGCGGAGTAACTGGGATTACAGGCATGTGCCACCACACCCAGCTGTTTTGTATTTTAGTAGAGACAAGGTTTCATCATGTTGACCAGGCTGGTCTTGAACTCCTGACCTCAGTTGATCCTCCCACCCCGCCCTCCCAAAGTGCTGGCATTACAGGTGTGAGCCACCACGCCCGGCCTTCTTTTCTTTTTGAAATGGAGTCTCACTCTGTCGCCCAGGCTGGAGTGTGGTGGTGCAATCTTGGTTCACTGCAGCCTTGGCCTCTGTAGCTCAAGTAATTCTCCCACCTCAGCCTCCCGAGTAGATTGGACCACAGGTGCCCACCACCACCCCCTGGCTAATTTTAAATTTTTTTGTAGAGATGAGATCTTGCTGTGTTGCCTAGGCTGGTTCTCCAACTCCTGAGTTTAAGCCATCCTCCTGCCTCAGCTTCCCTGCCTTGGCTGGGATTACAGGTGTGAGCTAACCATGCCTCCCTCCTTTTTACTTCTTTGAAGTAAAATTTTCCTGTGTTGAAACACACAAATCCGAGCTGTTAAATTCTGAACACTCACATAACCACACCTTGGTCACAACACGGACTGTTTCCCTCTCCCCAGGAAGTTCCCGTTCATGTCTTTTTTCTTTTTTTTTTTTTTGAGACGGAGTCTTGCTCTGTCGCCCAGGCTGGAGTGCAGTGGCACGATCTCGGCTCACTGCAACCTCCGCCTCCCGGGTTCACGCCATTCTCCTGCCTCAGCCTCCCGAGTCGCTAGGACTACAGGCGCCCACCCCCACGCCGGGCTCATTTTTTGTATTTTTAGTAGAGACGGGGTTTCACCATTCACACAATGGTCTCGATCTCCTGACCTTGTGATCCGCCCGCCTTGGCCTCCCAAAGTGCTGGGATTACAGGCGTGAGCCACAGCGCCTGGCCCTATTCATGTCTTTAGTGTTGTCATTGGAATGAAAGCACATGAATACAAAATCCTCAGAGACAGCTCTGCAGCCTCCACTTTGAAATTCACCCTCGGGACTGGTTTGCAGAAGCCTCACGGGAGCTGCATCCCCTCCTGTCTCTAATTCTGCTGGTAGGTAGGTCGTGCACAGAGCTTGGGCCACGCCTACCAGAGCCAGGGAGGAGGCATGAACAGACGTGAACCCTTCATCTTGGGAGCTCGTGCACACCTTCAGGCCAGGCAGGAACAGGGCACCCGCATTCCAGAGGAAAAGAATCCTGTGTTCCAGGGTCTTGCGACATCTGCTTTCTAGCTCTTTCTGGGATCGGGACCTGAGAGGAAGAGAGAAAGCCACTCGCCACTCCTGTTCCTTCCTCCTCCTTCCATGCCAGTCCCTTTATCTCCTTTTCCAATCCGAAGCATCCCAGGCATTCATAAAATGATAACAGAGACGCACACCCCCATCACCCAGCCTCGCGATAGTGCCTGAACATTCTGCTGTATTTGTTTCAGATCCTACGAGAGAAGTAGCAGGAGAGGGTCGCCTGTTGGGTAGTGGTGAAGGGCGAGGCCTCTGCAGTGAGCCTGCCTGGGCTGAAATCCCAGCCTGGGTGGGGTGCGGTGGCTCATGCCTGTAATCCCAGCACTTTGGGAGGCCAAGGGGGCACAGATCACCTGAGGTCAGGAGTTCAGACCAGCCTGGCTGACATAGTGAAACTCTGTCTTTACTAAAAATATAAAAAATTAGCTGGGCGTGGTGGTGCATGCCTGTAATCCCAGCTACTCCGGAGGCTGAGGTAGGAGAATCGCTTGAACCTGGGAAGCAGAGGTTGCAGTGAGCCGAGATCGCGTCATTGCACCCAGCACCCAGCACATAGTGGGCCCGCAGTCAGCGTGGTTTATCATTGTCATAGTCGGTCCTTGTTCTTCACAGATCCCGTATTTGCGAATTCACCTACTTGCGAACATTGGTAACCCCAAAACGGTGCTGATCATTTGCAGAAGTGGGTAGAGTGGCCAAAAAAATTGAGCTGCCTGACATGCAGGTTCCCAGCTGAGGTGGGGCCTGATGTCTTGTTTCAGCTCAAATTGCAAAGCAGTGTCGTTTTTGCAATCTGTTTAGTGCCACATTTTTCACATCTTTGTGAGTCTTTTTTTTTTTTTTTTTGAGACGGAGTCTAGCTCTGTCACCAAGGCTGAAGTGCAAGTGGTGCGATCTCGGCTCACTGCAAGCTCCGCCTCCTGTGTTCAAGTGATTTTCGTGCCTCAGTCTCCTGAGTAGGCACGACTACAGGCACCCGCCACCAGGCCTGGCCAATTTTTTCTATTTTTAGTAGAGACTAAAGGGTTTTGCCACGTTGGCCAGGCTGGTCTCGAACTCCTGGCCTCAAGTGATTTGCCCGCCTCAGCATCCCAAAGTGCCAGGATACAGGCATGAGCCACGGCGCCCGGCTGTCTTTGTGCTTCTTATTGGTGATTTCTCTGTTTAAAATGGCTCCTAGGCCAGGCGCAGTGGCTCACTCCTGTAATCCCAACACTCTGGGAGGCCGAGGTGGGTGGATCACTTGAAGTCAGGAATTTGAGACCAGCCTGGCCAATATGATGAAACCTTGTCTCTACTTAGCCGGGTATAGTGGCAGGTGCCTTATCCCAGCTACTCAGGAGGCTGAGGCAGGAAAATCACTTGAACCTGGGAGACGGAGGTTGCAGTGAGCCGAGATCGCATCACTGCACTCCAGCCTGGGTGATAGAGCAAGACTCACACACACAAAAAAATAAATAAAATAAAATAAAATAAAATGGCTACAAGCAGGGTGCAGAAATCTAGTGTTCCTAAGGGCAGTGAGGCTGTGATGTGCCTTCTGGAGAAAATACCTGTGTTAGAGAAGCTTCCTTCAGGTGGGAGTTATAGTCCTGTTAGCCATGAGTTCAATGTGAATGAATCAACAATATAGATTAAATAAGATGGCTTCAAACAGAAACGCATATAAGTCAAGGTGATGTATCGATTGATGGGTGAAAATACAGTGGCCAGAACCTGGCAAGAACCTAGCCTTGTATTTTCCCCAGGAGTGGCAGCTCAGCGTTCACGGTGACTTTCTAGAACCTCACTACTGCAAATAGCAAGAATTGGCTGTATTTTGTTATACTGAAGTGCCAGTAAATGACATAGTATAATGTTATATACTATGTGTATACATAGTATATAACACTATATGTTATATACACTATAGTGTATGTGCTACATATATGTAGTATATATATGGGATAATAGTATGTATAGTGTGGTTTTGTTCTATTTAAATTATTCTTATTTTTATTTTTATTTTATTTTTTTGAGATGGAGTCTCACTCTGTCGCCCAGGCTGGAGTGCAGTGGCACGATCTTGGCTCGCTGCAAGCTCCGCCTCACGGGTTCACGCGATTCTCCTGCCTCAGCCTCCCGAGTAGCTGGGACTACAGGCGCCCGCCAGCACGCCCGGCTAATTTTTTGTATTTTTAGTAGAGACCGGGTTTCACCGGGTTAGCCAGGATGGTCTCGATCTCCTGACCTCGCGATCCACCTGTCTCGGCCTCCCAAAGTGCTGGGATTACAGGGGTGAGCCACCGCGCCCGGACAGATTTTTTTATTTTTGAGACAGGGTCTCACTGTCGCCCAGGCTGGAGTGTAATGCCACTATCCTAGCTCACAGCATCCTTGACCTCGTGGGCTCAAGCGATTCTCCTGCCTCAGCCTCTCAAGTAACTGGAACTACAGGCAAGCGACCATGCCCAGCCAAAAAACTTTCTTTTTGTAGAGACAAGATCTCCCTGTGTTGCCTAGCCACGCTGGTCTCGAACTCCTGAGCTCCAGTGATACTCCTGCCTCAGCCTCCCAAAGTGCTGAATTTACAGGCGTGAGCCACCGCGCCAGCCATTTTGTGTGATTCTAAATTTTTTAAACTTCCCTTGAATGTTGCCTTTTCAGCCTCCCGTCTCTCTTCCATCCCCCTCCTTTGTCCATCCCTCTCCCACCTACATCCCATAGCTCTGTCCGTCTCTGACCACGTCTTTTTCCTTTTCGCTGACTTTCTCACTCACTGTCTGTCTCTCATTTTCTCCACAGCTGGCCCCCAAGAGGACCCTTTCCAAGTCCCCAGCTGGGGGCCCTGTGTAGACCTGGAGTGGACACGCCCCTCCTTCCCTTCATGATTCGTTTGTAGCGCAGGTAACCAGCGAAGCATCCCTGTTCATTCCTGGAGGGGCAACCGTCCCTCATTCCACCTCCCCAGCACCACCTTGGCCCCTGGATGAGGAAGGAGCATTCCTTCCTGGAAGAGCCTGGCTAAGCAATATCTCTGGTTCTTTCTTCTCCCACCTGGGCCTCCTGGGTCATCTGGGCCATCACCCTGCCTCTGCATTAGCTGCAAGCAAAATCTTTCTCTCTGCCCCTTTCCCCTTTTCTCCAGATTCTTTGCAGACCATGCCTTTGCATGCCTTCTGTGAGCGGGTTGGGGAGGGAAGGGGCTCATAGGTCATGGACCTGGTGACACAGGGGGAGGAAGCCTGGTGGGGCTGGGATGTGGAGCAGGTGGTGAGAGTACGTCCTCACCACTTCTAAGGCAGCGAGAGCCCGGGAGGCACCTCCCCGGGGACACTCCCCACAGCCAGCCCCTGAGAGGTAGAGTAATTGGCGTGTGGGGCTCTGGAGATGCATGTGTCTCTGTGCTGCAGGGAGGGTGATCCGTGAACCCTGGAAAAGTATGTGTCACATTTCTTACCCACATGCATGTTTTGGCATGAAACATGCGTGTGTCATTAGATTTTTCACAACTTGATTCAGCAAATATGCCCCAGCCCACTGTGGGGGGTCCCTGGTCAGGGCTCTTCATAATGTCACTGAGCACTGGGGATGGAGGACTTGGGGGTGGCACTAAGGAGGCCCCTGTTAGGGGAGTTCAGAGTATGCTGTCAGGGTGAGGGGCTGTGAACCAGCTGAGGGTGCATGTAAGATTTTATATGTGGGGTTTTTGGGTGGGAATGGTGACCCGTGGCAGTTGTCACATCGTCAGTGAGGTTTGGGACCCCCTACCCCAACAAAAAAAGAGGGTAAGGGAACTCCACGGTCCTGAGCTGTAAATTCCCACCATTCAGGGATCAGGTCTTCTTTTCCATTGTGTATTGTATGTGTCATTGGGAGGAGACGGGAGCAGAGGGTGCAGGAAGTAATGAAGGGATGAGTGGCTGGAAGGATGGGTCTGTGTGGGTATTTGGCAGAAGGGAAGGAGGGGTGTTTGGATGGAAGCTTGGAAGGATAGAGGGATGGGTAGGTAGATGGATGGAAGGATGGAGGGATGGGTAGGTAGACGGGTAGAAGGATGGAGGGATGGGTGGGTAGATGGGTAGAAGGATGGAGGGGATGGGTAGGTAGATGGATGGAAGGATGGAGGGATGGGCAAGTAGATGGAAGGATGGAGGGATGGGTAGCTAGATGGATGGAGGGATGAATAGGTGGATGGATGGAAGGATGGGAGGGATGGGTAGGTAGATGAGTGGAAGGATGGAGGGATGGGTAGGTAGATGGATGGAGAGATGGGTAAGTAGATGGGTGGAAGGATGGAGGGATGGGTGGGTAGATGGATGGAAGGATGGAGGGGTGGGTGGGTAGATGGGTAGAAAGATGGAGGGATTGGTAGGTAGATGTATGGAAGGATGGAGGGATGGGTGGGTAGATGGATGGAAGGATGGAGGGATGGGTGGATGGATGGAGGGATCGGTAGGTAGATGGATGGAAGGATGGAGGATGGGTAGGTAGATGGATGGAAGGATGGAGCATGGGTAGGTAGATGGATGGAAGGATGGAGGATGGGTAGGTAGATGGATGGAAGGATGGAGGATGGGTAAGTAGATGGGTGGAAGGATGGAGGGATGGGTGGGTAGATGGATGGAAGGATGGAGGGATGGGTAAGTAGATGGATAGATGAAGGATGGGTAGGTAGATGGATGGAAGGATGGAGGATGGGTAGGTAGATGGATGGAAGGATGGAGGATGGGTAGGTAGATGGATGGAAGGATGGAGGATGGGTAAGTAGATGGGTGGAAGGATGGAGGGATGGGTAGGTAGGTGGATGGAAAGATGGAGGGAGGAGGAGACTGATGGCTAGAGGGAGGAAAGAGGAAGCTTTGGAGGGAGGGTTGGCTAGTTAAATGTTTCTGAGGGCTGGTTGGATGTTTGGAGAAATGTTTGGAAAGATAAAGAAGTGGATGGATGGATGGATGGATGGAGGCAGGGAAGGGAGGGATGTTTTGGAGGGTTGGAGGAATATTTGGAGGGGTGTTTGAGGGGAGGGAAGGCTAGATGGATGGGAGGGTGGATGGGTAAATAAATACAGAGAACACCTGCTTCCCCTGGTGTCAGATGGGACTAACGATCCCTTCCCTATGGGGGTGGAACAAGCTAACATTGCTGAAGTGCTCAGACAGTGCCTGGCACCTAGTGAGCACTCGACAAATGTTAGCCATCCTCATCCTCATCATTCAGACCATAGGGCTCAGCCTTGCCCCGGTGGCTTCTCTGACTCAGAGCGCCCCTCCTCATGAGCCCCTCTCCCTTGCTTCTGCCTCAGTTTCCCCACCACCCTCCCCTTCCTTGGGAACACATTGCAGACATCTTCAAGGGTCACCCAGAGCCTTGAGCCACAAAGCCCTTCTTGTCTACACTGGCTCCCTCACTCCTTCACCCGTTTATATGTAGGACAGACCCCCACCACACGCCTCATGTCTGGGGAGGCAGGACAGCAGGGTGGTGAAGAGCAGGGCTCAGGAGCCAGGCTTCCTAGGTTCCAGGCCTGGCTCTGCTGCCTGCTTGCTGGGAGACGGAGGATGACCCTCCCGGTGCCTCCAGTTCTCATCTGCAAAGTACAGGCCGTGGGACCCCTCCTGGGATACCCTGAGGATTAGCTTAGTGTGTGTGAGGCATGGTCAGGACTCACTTAGTCTTGGTTGATATCATCATTATCATCATCAGGTGCTGGGAGAGTTGGAGTGGGAGGAAAAGGACCCTGTCCCTGGTCAGGGGTTTCTGGCTGGGAGGGCACCTGGGAGGTATTCCTTGTCCCCATCTATCCCCATGGACTCAAGGGAACAGAAACTCTGACCCCCTCCAGGGGGCTCCCCTGAAGGGAGGGGGCCAGGCAAGCTGCCAAAATCTAACCTTGTCTCCCTCGCCCTCTTCCTGACCCCACCCCATCCAGTGGCGATGGATGATGAGGATGGGAGATGCTTACTAGACGTGATTTGGTGAGTAACGGGCTCCCCACCCCCTGCCCTCTGTCTCAACCCCCTCCCTTCCCTCCCCTCCCCAGCTCCTTACCTCCTCAGCGTCTCTTCCTCTTCTCTTCCAGTGACCCACAGGCCCTCAATGACTTCTTGCATGGATCCGAGAAGGTAAGCATGGGCGCAGGGAGAGGCATTCCCTGAGTGGGGGGCTGTCTAATTGGGAGTGAGGGACAGGGAGAGACATGTCCCTTTGATGAGGTAGCCATCTGCCTTGTGGCTTCTAACGCCAGGCACTGGAGTTACGGCCATGAGCAAAACTCATGGTAATCCCCTGTCCTCCTTCCATGGACACCTCCTTGGGAAACAAAGAAACCAGTCACTAATAAAGGTAATGGTGAAAAGGACCATGTAGAGTATGATAAAAAATAATAATGTCATTTGCACAATGAAAGAGGTTTAAAAGAAAATAAATGGGTCCCAGGGGCTCCTTTAGATAGTGTGATCAGAAAGGGTCACACGAGGGAGGTAACATTGAAGGTGAGACCTGAAGGATCACAGGGAGGTAGGTGGCCAGGCCCGGTGCTCCTGGCAGAGGGAAGAGCAAGTTCAAAGGTGGGAGAGAGCTTGGCATGGTTGAGGAACAGGAAGGAGGCTGATGGGGCCAAACTGAAGGGAAAACTAGTAGGAGGTGAGACTGTAGTAGGTAAAAGTCACCAGGTTGTGTAGGCCTGGAAGCCCGATAGAGGAGTTGTTATTTTTATTCTGAATGTGACAGGCAGCTCTGATGGGCCCTTAAACACGAGAATGCCATATTTGATTTGCTTCCCAGAGAACGGAACAAAATGGGGAAAAGTAGAAGTCTGTTGAGCTCTGAGCAGCTGTATTAGTATCTATGGCTGTGTAGATTATCCCAGCATGCAGTGCCTTCAACAATTGTTAGAGCTCTTGCAGTGTCTGAAGGTCAGGAATCTGGGAGCAGCTTAGCTCGGTGGTTCAGGCTCAGGGACTCTCATGAGGTTGCAGTCAAGCTGTAGGCTGGGGCTGCAGTCATCCAAAGGTTTGACTGGGGCTGGCAGATGTGCTTCCACCAGGACTCATTCCTGTGGCTGTTGGCAGGAGGCCTCAGTTCCTCACCACGGGGGCCTCTCCTTAGTGCTGCTTGAGTGTCTTCACAGCATGGCAGCTGGCTTCCCCCAGAACGAGTGATCCGAGAGAGGACACAGGAGGAACCCGCAGTGCCCTTAATGACCCAGTCTCCAAAGTCCCACACCCTTCCTCCCATCACACTGTATTCACTAGAAGCTAATCAGTCAGTCTGGCCAGCACTCAGAGGGAGGGGAATTGAGCTCCACCTCTTGAAAGGAGAGGTTTCAAATAATTTATAGAGCAGAGGCATGAGCAATGGGATGATGGCAGCCTGGGCCATGGTGCAGGCAGTGGGGGAGGCATGTGGCACTGGATTTGGGATCTATCTGGGAGGTGGCATCAACTAGACTTGCTGGTGGACTCGATGTTGAGGGGGAGAGAGTGTCCACCATGGCTCCTGGATTTTGGCTTGAGCAACTGAGTGGATTCTGGTGCCATTTTCTGAAGTTGGGAATTTGGGGAAGATTCCAGAAGTCCAGGTGGTGCTGGTGGATGTACAAGTTGGGGTTCTGGAGAGATGTCCAGATGGAACAAGAAATTAGGGAAGCCCGAGCCATGGACATACATTCACTGGGCACATATGTGGATGCCAGGGCCTGTTCTGGGCACTAAGGATGGTGCTAAGCATCTGAGAATGCCCTGCCCTTCCAGAGATGGCACCGCATGGCTTGTCAGGTGCCCGGATGGTAGGTGTGCCAGGCACTCAGGCTGCGTTGGGAAAGGAGTACTTAGTGAGAAGGGACAGGAGCTGTTGGACCACGAGTGACCACTCCTGAAGGCTGTGCTACTGGAGAGACTGGGGGGCAGTGGCAGGGCGCAGCTTGGGCAGAGGCGTGAAGGCAGGATTCCGGAATTCGAGGCAGTCACAGCAGGATCGCTTCGCAGGCCAGGCTCGGGGACTCAGTGCTGGGGATGCCTTGGGTTTTAGGCAGGCACCCAAGCCCCTGCCTTTGGGGCCTCTTTTCGGAGGCGAGAGTTTCCCATACCCCCAGCCCTCTCCCATCCCAACCCTTGTCTTTTTGTCCTGAGTGACCCTAAATTGGTTTCTGCTCCAGAGCATGGGCCTGCCCTGCTGACTTTTGACCTTGGATGGGGCGGGTCTTGTTGCAGCTTGACAGTGATGACCTCCTGGATAATCCCGGGGAGGCCCAAAGTGCCTTCTATGAAGGTCCTGGGGTAAGTGCCGTGGCTCCCGATCATTGCCTGAGCTGTTGGGGCTGCCAGCGGGAGGAGGGCCCTGAAGCCAAGAGGGGAGGCTTGGGCTCATCTCGTGAGGGCTGTTGACAGGAGGAGGGCGGGGGTGGGCCACCCAGGGTGGCTGGACCACCCTGGCAGTGCAGGAGGGAGCAGAGCTGGGGAACCCTGTGGGGGGCCAACATGGACAAGGCTGACTGTGCCTTGCAGACCCCTTGGGGAAGAGGTGAGGGTCCCCGAGGCCTTGGGGCCCTGGGGTGGCTCATGCAGAGTGGTTCTGGGGAGCTGAAGCGGATGTGGGTTGTGGGGTTCACAGGGGCACTCCTGGAGAGCAGAGGGCTGGGGGAGGCCTGGGGTCCTGCCCAACTCAGCCATGGCAGGGTGTGACCTAGGGGAGGGGCCTCCTCACCTGCAGACTTCAGTCTTCACCTGGGCAGTGAATATGGGTGCTGAGAAAAGCCCAGAGTGGCCAATGCAGAGGATGTTTATTGAGCACCTACTGTGTGCCTGACTATGCCGGTCCCATGACTAAGTGCCAGTTGTCCACACCACGGTGGCCACCTCCTTCCTCCTTCTCCCTCTTCTGTTGCTGCTTTCCCCCCTTCACCTTTTCCTCCCCCCACCTTCCTTCGGCCTCCCCCCTCCCCGCCTCCCCTTCCTCCTTCCCCCCCTCACCCTCCCCGCCTTCCCTCTTCATCATCAGAACACGCATTCACCAAACACTTATTATACGACCAGCCCTTCCTTGTTATCTTCATTTAGTTCTCACAGCTATAATATCATATTCCAAATAGCTTATCTTTCATAATATAAATGATGAGGAAATGTAGTAATTATATAATGTTGGTCTATTTACAGGCCCAGTAACAGTGGTGATCCTGTTACTATTTTGTGATCACACTTCTTACCACGACCATCATTTTTGTATACCCTAAGATCCCCATTCAGGTTCTAAACACTCTCCACACGTGACATCAGTGAATTTTCACAGGCATCCCAGGAGGCAGGTTGGTTGTGACCATCTGGCAGTTAAGAGCTCAGGGGGTTACAGTGGCCTGCCTGGTCCTCAGTCGGTTGGAGGCTGAGCCAGAGCCCTGTCTGCCTGCCACTCCCCGCCACTCACCAGTGGTTGACCCAGGCAGTTCCCTCGTCTGTGAAATGAGGAAGGGAGCAGCACCCGCCTCATGGGACTGTCACCAACAACAGCATGGAGAATCACAATAATAATGAGTGATGATGATAGATGCTTCTCGAGCACCTGCCAGGGGCCGGGTGATACCGTGAACCCTCCATGTGGATTTACTGAGAATCCTGGAAGCTGCAGATTTTGATGGGTTATCTGGTCAGTATTGGTGGAGATGGAAATCTGTATCATAAGTATTGTTTGTGGGGCTTTCCACACATATGCCTGCAGATATTTTTCCATGCGTGTCCTGGGTTGCAGTCCAGGATAGCATGAAAAGCACTTAAAAAGCATTGAGGCTGGGCACGGTGGCTCACGCCTGTAATCCCAGCACTTTGGGAGGCCGAGGTGGGCGGATCACCTGAGGTCGGGAGTTCGAGACCAGCCTGACCAACATGGAGAAACCCTGTCTCTACCAAAAATACAAAATTAGCCGGGCATGGTGGCACACGCCTGTAATCCCGGCTGCTTGGGAGGCTAAGGCAGGAGAATTGCTTGAACTCGTGGGCGGAGATTGTGGTGAGCCAGGATCACACCATTGCACTCCAGCCTGGGCAACAAGAGTGGAAACTCCGTCTCAAAAAAAACCCAAAGAAACAAAAAGCATTGAACTCACAGTGCGGTTGGCACAGAAGTTCACAAATGGGAGCCACTGCTGATGTGAGCTTTACTCCACCAGAACTACGACTGCTTGTCAGAAACCTTTAGGGCCAGGTGTGTTTCAGAATTTCGAATTTCTCCAATTCTGGAAAAGTGGTGCCATATGTGTGGTGTGTGTCATGTCACACGCTTGCCTTTCGGCGGCCAAACTTGGGATGTCACATCATGTGGATAAATGGATCCCACCTAAAGTGCCATGTTGGTTCTGGTCAGGTTTTGCTGCCAACAGAGCTATGAAAACAGTCTCAGTTCTTAGAGCTTTTTGGGTTTTGTAATTACAGATAAGTGTTGTGGGCCTATATCACTATTTAAACAATAGTTGCTTATTTTTATTTATTTTTGTTTTGTTTTGTTTTGAGATGGAGTCTCACTCTGTCACCCAGGCTGGAGGGCATTGGTAGGATCTCAGCTCATTACAGCCTCCACCTCCCAGGTTCAAGCCATTCTCCTGCCTCAGCCTCCCGAGTAGCTGGGACTGCAGGCACGTGCCACCACGCCTGGCTAATTTTCGTATTTTTAGTAGAGATGGTGTTTCACCATGTTGGTCAGGCAGGTCTCAAACTCCTAGGCTCAAGTGATCCACCTGCCTCTGCCTCCCAAAGTGCTGGGATTACAGGTGTGAGCCACCGTGCCTAGACTTTATTTTTGTTTTTTGGGCGTCAGCTGGTAGAGATTGGGGGACAGCACCCCCGCGGGCTTGGGCTGGATGGGCATGGGCGTGCGATGCAGGATCACGTTGGGCGCCGGGACCAGTGGTGACAAGCTGAGGCCTGGGGCCACCACCAGCGGCTTTCCTGAGGGTGCCCCGCTGGGTCTTACTCTTGTCACTTAGGCTGGAGTACAGTGACACAATCATAGCTCACCGTAGCCTGGAACTCCTGGGCTTAAGAGATCCTCTCACCTCAGGCTCCCAAAGTGCTAAGATTACAGGCGTGAGTCACTGTGGCCTTGAACAGTAGTTTTTTTTATTACATTTTACTGATGGGTACAGATGAAGAAACTGAGGTCAGATCAAGCACGCCCTAGGTTACACAGCTAAGCCTTGGCAGAGCTGGGATTTGATCCCGGGTCCAGCCACTTGCAGGTGGAATGTTCTTTTTTCTTTTTTTTTTCTTTTTTTCTTCTTTTTTTTTTTTTCTTCTCAAAGTCTTGCCCTGTCACCGAGGCTGGAGTGTAGTGAAGTGCTCGTAGCTCCACTCTGCAGCCTCAAACTCCTGGGCTCCAGTGATCCTCTCACCTCAGCCTCCCAAGTAGCTAAGACCACAGGCACATGCTGCCACCCCTGACTAATTTTTCTTTTTTAAAATTTTTTTCTCACTGCGTTGCCCAGGCTGGTCTCAAACTCTTTGGCTCAAGCCATCCATCCTCCTACCTCAGCCTCCCAAAGTGCTGAGATTACAAGCGTGAACCACCATGCCAGGAGGGAATGTTCTTTCTTGAACGTGGCTGCCCTGTCACCTCAGCATTCTTTGCGGCAGCTGTGGCCTAAGCGTAGCCCCTTGCTAACCTCAGCTCTTTCCTTCCCACCTTTCCCGGCCTGCAGCTCCATGTGCAAGAAGCTTCCGGCAACCACCTGAACCCAGAGCCCAACCAGCCGGCCCCCAGTGTGGACCTAGACTTCCTGGAAGATGACATCCTGGGCTCTCCTGCGACAGGGGGCGGCGGCGGGGGCAGTGGGGGCGCTGACCAGCCCTGTGACATCCTCCAGCAGAGCCTCCAAGAGGCCAACATCACGGAGCAGACGCTGGAGGCCGAGGCTGAGCTGGACCTGGGTCCCTTCCAGCTGCCCACCCTGCAGCCTGCGGATGGCGGGGCAGGCCCGACGGGCGCTGGAGGGGCAGCGGCCGTGGCTGCGGGGCCCCAAGCCCTCTTCCCAGGCAGCACCGACCTGCTGGGGCTGCAGGGCCCGCCTACCGTGCTGACCCACCAGGCCCTGGTGCCGCCCCAGGACGTGGTCAACAAGGCCCTGAGTGTGCAGCCCTTCCTGCAGCCTGTGGGCCTGGGCAATGTGACACTGCAGCCCATCCCGGGCCTCCAAGGCCTGCCCAATGGCAGCCCTGGGGGTGCCACGGCGGCCACACTGGGCCTGGCGCCCATCCAGGTGGTGGGCCAGCCCGTCATGGCGCTCAACACGCCCACCTCCCAGCTCCTGGCCAAGCAGGTGCCCGTCAGCGGCTACCTGGCCTCGGCGGCTGGCCCCTCGGAGCCCGTGACGCTGGCGTCGGCCGGTGTCTCGCCACAGGGGGCTGGCCTGGTCATCCAGAAGAACCTCTCGGCCGCTGTGGCCACCACGCTCAATGGGAACTCTGTGTTCGGAGGCGCGGGGGCCGCCTCGGCTCCCACCGGGACGCCCTCGGGACAGCCGCTGGCGGTGGCCCCAGGCCTCGGCTCGTCGCCACTGGTCCCGGCGCCCAACGTGATCCTGCATCGCACACCCACGCCCATCCAGCCCAAGCCCGCGGGGGTGCTGCCGCCCAAGCTCTACCAGCTGACGCCCAAGCCGTTTGCGCCCGCGGGCGCCACGCTCACCATCCAGGGCGAGCCGGGGGCGCTCCCGCAGCAGCCCAAGGCCCCGCAGAACCTGACGTTCATGGCGGCGGGGAAGGCGGGCCAGAACGTGGTGCTGTCGGGCTTCCCCGCGCCTGCGCTGCAAGCGAACGTCTTCAAGCAGCCACCGGCCACCACCACCGGAGCGGCCCCGCCGCAGCCCCCCGGGGCCCTGAGCAAACCCATGAGCGTCCACCTCCTGAACCAAGGCAGCAGCATCGTCATCCCCGCCCAGCACATGCTGCCGGGCCAGAACCAGTTCCTACTGCCTGGCGCCCCGGCGGTCCAGCTCCCGCAGCAGCTCTCAGCCCTGCCGGCCAACGTGGGCGGGCAGATCCTGGCGGCCGCTGCCCCCCACACAGGTGGACAGCTCATCGCGAACCCCATCCTCACAAACCAGAACCTGGCGGGCCCACTGAGCCTGGGCCCCGTGTTGGCCCCCCACTCCGGGGCCCACAGCGCGCACATCCTCTCCGCCGCTCCCATCCAGGTGGGCCAGCCTGCGCTCTTCCAGATGCCCGTGTCGCTGGCGGCGGGCAGCCTGCCCACGCAGAGCCAGCCAGCGCCCGCCGGGCCGGCCGCCACCACTGTCCTCCAGGGGGTCACCCTGCCCCCCAGCGCCGTGGCCATGCTCAACACCCCCGACGGCCTGGTGCAGCCGGCCACCCCTGCCGCTGCCACCGGGGAGGCCGCGCCTGTCCTCACGGTGCAGCCTGCCCCCCAGGCGCCCCCCGCGGTCAGCACACCCCTGCCCCTGGGCCTCCAGCAGCCGCAGGCGCAGCAGCCCCCGCAGGCCCCCACCCCACAGGCCGCCGCCCCGCCTCAGGCCACCACCCCCCAGCCCAGCCCTGGCCTGGCGTCTAGCCCGGAGAAGATCGTCCTGGGGCAGCCGCCCTCTGCCACCCCCACGGCCATCCTCACTCAGGACTCCCTGCAGATGTTCCTGCCCCAGGTAAGCAGGGCGGGGCAAGGGAGCAGGTACCGGAGGAGGCGGGTTTGGGAGGAAGAGGGGTCCTGGGGCGAGGCGCCAAGATCCAAAAGTGGATGCCACTGTGGCAGCTGGGGGGGGAAGGTCTCAGTCATGGCACAGGTGGCCCCTAAGAGGAGGCCCGAAGGGTGAGGGCCCTGGCTGAACTGGCAGGAAGATGGATTGGCAGGTTGGCTGACTGATAGACAAGGGGCAGGACAACTGTTAGGCAGTGAGAGGGACTGGCAGACAGACAGACAAAGAGAGGGACCAGTGAACAGACAGAAGGGTAGGCACTGGCTGGGCTGCTGACAGATGGAGAGGAGAGGGACCGGCAGGGAGAGGGACTACCCGACGGACAGAGAAGGGCAGGCACTGGCTGGCCTGCTGACAGACAAGGAGAGGAATCTCAGAGAGAAAGTGGACGAGACAGGGACAGAGGGACAGGCAGGTGGGGCAGGAGAGAGGCAGGGCAACGTGGAGCTGGCAGAGGGGCCAATGGGAGCTCAGAATGGAGCAGGCTGCCTGGGTTTCGGCCTCTGTGCCTGGCACCCTGCCTGCCAGGCTGCCCACTACCCCATTCTCTGGAACCCTGGGAGCGTCAATAGGGGCAGGGGTCTCGGGTGGGGAGGTCGAGGGCCTGTGGGGGCGGCTTTCTGATCCTGTGCGGGCTGCCCGTTGCAGGAGAGGAGCCAGCAGCCCCTCTCCGCAGAGGGCCCCCACCTCTCCGTGCCTGCCTCGGTCATAGTCAGCGCCCCGCCTCCCGCCCAAGACCCAGCCCCAGCCACCCCCGTCGCCAAAGGAGCTGGCCTCGGCCCTCAGGCCCCCGACAGCCAGGCTTCCCCGGCTCCGGCCCCCCAGGTAGAGGGACCCCAGCAGCCTGTGTCCGCAGCACAGACCCAGCCTCGCCCCTCCTGCCCGCTCTCCCGCTCCTCGCTCTCCGCCCTGCCTGCGTCTCTGTTCTGCTGACTTGGAACACAGAGCTCTCCTTCACCCCCCAAGTGTCTCCTAGTGATCATGGATGCCTGAGACCAGGGCCGGCCCTGGGGGAGCCCACGCGCTGCAGGAATGCAAGACACACACGGAAGGAAATCTGTTCTTTCCTAAAATTATAATTTTCAAATCTGAATAAGTAATACATTCAGATAATTCACATTTCAAACGGTACAAAAAGATGCATAGTGGAAAGCCCCCGTCTCCTGAACCGTGGCCTCCTGTTGTCCTCCCAAGGTGGTTTCTTGCATTTGTTATCTGGATAGGGAAACAGAATCAAATAGATTCTTTTCCTTCAATTTTTACAAAAAGGGTAGCATCTTCTGCCTGCGGTATTGCATCTTTTATTATTTAAAAATTGATCTTGGAGACCATTCTTCATTCTCTCTCTCTTTTTTTTTTTTTGAAATGGAGTCTCACTCTATCACCCAGGCTGGAGTGCAGTGGCGCGATCTTGGCTCACTGCAACCTCCGCCTCCGATGTTTAAGTGATTCTCCTGCCTCCACCTCCCGCGTAGCTGGAGTTACAGGTGCCCGCCACCATGCTGGGCTAATTTTTGTATTTTTAATAGAGACGGGGTTTCACCATGTTGCCCAGGCTGGTCTTGAACTCCAGACCTCAAGTGATCCGCCCGCCTCAGCCTCCCAAAGTGCTGAGATTACATGTGTAGGCCACTGTGCCTGGCCCCATTCTTCATTCTCTTGTGTGACTGCGTAGTATTCCACTGTGTGGGTGTGCGGATATTTATTTAGCCAGTCTAAATTGTTGTTAGGTTTTTAGGTCACTTCTGATCTCTAGCTATTATGAACAAGGCTGCAAAGAATGCCTTTGTATGTATGTCGTTTTGTAGGGTAAGTTCTTCAAAAGGAATTTGCTGGCTCTAAAGGCATATGCATTTTTATCTCTGACAGACATTGCCAAATTGCCGCCTGTGGAGTGTAAATTAGTTTAACCTTTATCAGCAATATGTGGTTGTGCCTTTTTTCCCCCGCCCCCCGCAACCTCACCAGTATGTTGAACTTGGCCAATCTAGATAGGTGAAAAATAGTATCTTGTTTTGTTTTCATTTGCATTTCTTTTATTGTGAATGAGGTCGGGCAGATTTTCATAAAAGTAAGAGCCATTTGTACTTTCTGTTCTATGAAACTGCTCATACCCTTTGCCATTGTAAAATCTGGGTTGCTGTCATTTTGCTGTAGATTTGTAGAAACTCTTTACATATTAGGAAAATTAGCCTTTTGTCTTAAAGTAATAACCATTATGCTTACGAGTCATAACATAACAGGTTAGGGAGGGCTACGTTCTTTTTTTTTTTTTGAGATGGAGTCTCGCTCTGTTGCCCAGGCTGGAGTGCGGTGTCGCGATCTCTGCTCACTGCAAGCTCCGCCTCTCGGGTTCACGCCATTCTCCTGCCTCAGCCTCCCGAGTAGCTGGGACTACAGGCGCCCGCCACCACGCCGGGCTAATTTTTTGTATTTTTAGTAGAGACGGGGTTTCACCATGTTAGCCAGGATGGTCTCGATCTCCTGACCTCGTTATCCACCCGCCTCAGCCTCCCAAAGTGCTGGGATTATAGGCGTGAGCCACCGCACCTGGCCTACCTTCTTATTCTAGAGCAGTGAATGTGGTACTCATTCAAAAAAGACCAGTGGATAGGTAGGAAGAGGAGAGTGTGACAGTGACAAGGGCAGGATGGCAGAAGTCAGCACAGGCTTTGACCTCGAACGGCCATGGTTTCACTTGCACGCTCTCCCACTTACCATTTAACCTTCAGCAACCAGTTTTTCATTCCATCAGCAGGTGCCTAGGCAGGCTGAGGGAGCACTTAGGTGGAGTAAACGAGTTACTATATGCTTAGCACAAAGTAAGCACTTGATAAATGTTTGCTTTTATTATTATTACTATTATCTTGAGGGGGACAGAGTCCCACTCCGTCGCCTAGGCTGCAGTGCAGTGGCAAGATCTCGGCTCGCTGCAATCTCCACCTCCTGGGTTCAAGTGATTCTCCTGCCTCAGCTTCTGGGTAGCTGGGATTACAGGTGCCTGCCACCATGTTTGGCTAATTTTCATATTTTTAGTAGAGATAGTGTATCACCATGTTGGCCAAGCTGGTCTCAAACGCCTGACCTCAGGTGAACCACCTGCCTCGGCCTCCCAAATTGCTGGGATTTACAGGCGCCCGCCACCATGCCTGGCTAATTTCTATATTTTTAGTAGAGAGATGGGGTTTCGCCATGTTGGCCAGGCTGGTCTCAAACTCCTGACCTCAGGTGATCCACCCACCTCAGCCTCCCAGAGTGCTGGGATGACAGGTGTGAGACACCGCGCCCGGCCTAGCACTCTCTCATTTAAACCTCACCACCTCCACCAGGTAGGTGGTAGCATCTCATTTTGCAGGTGAGGAAACAGAGGCACAGGGAGAATAATTAGCTTGCCCAAGGTTGCACAGCTGGCAAATGGTAGGGCCTGGATTAAAAACCCTGGGGGCTTATTGCTGGAAACACCTGAAGTCTTGAGAAAGCCAGACCTGGGTGTGAATCCAGCTCTGCTTAGTGGAGCTCTCTGAGGCATGGATTTTGCATCTAAAATGGGAATAAGCCCAGTGACCTGACATGATGGCACTGCACAGAGCCAGCGCTCAGTGAACAGACACTTACTGTTAGCAGTTGCAGTAATGATGCTGTAGCTGAACTTATTTTTTTGGAAACAGGGTCTGGTTCTGTCACCCAGGCTGGAGTACACTGGTGCAATATTGACTCCTACAACCTCCGCCTCCCATGCTTAAGTGATCCTCCCACCTCAGCCTCCGAAGTAGCTGGGACTACAGGCATGTGCCACCACGCACAGCTAATTTTTTTTTTTTTTGTATTTTGTTTTGTGGGGGAGATATGGGGTCTCACTATGCAGCCCAGGCTGGTCTCGAACTCCTAGGCTTAGTAATCCTCCCACCTTGGCTTCTCACAGGGCTGGGATTATGGACGTGAGCCACTGTGCCTGGCCACGCGGATGACCTTTGAGAAGGAAGCTTAGTGCGCACAGGCAGGTGTGCACACGAGCTGATTCTTAGTCACACACAGAGGCTCGGAGGCACAAGGTAGGGCCCTCCGCAGTAGCTGTATCTGCAGCAGTGGGGACCCAGCATGACAGAAGGTGGTCAGTGAATGTTTGTTGGGTGAGCAAATGGATGGACAGATGGATGGCTGAATAGACGGACGGATGGATGGCATGGGTGGGTGTGTGACTGGGTGATTGGCCAAGTGTCCCCTGGTGGGGACAGAATCATCCAGACTGGGAACCGCTATCCTGTGGATATGCAGGAATGCACGGAATAGCAGTTCCCAATCTGGGTGATTCTTACTGTTTGTAAGAATAGTGGTTCCCTTACTGTCCGAACTCCAACCCCTGCACTCGGAAGGAACTCTGTGCTCTCTGTACCCAGATGGATTTGGCAGCCTCTGTGTGTGTGTGTGTGTGTGTGTGTGTGTGTGTGTGTGTGTGTGTGCGCGCGCGCGCGCATGCGTACATTTTCCCTTTGTGTTAACACAAACAGAAATGCAAAGACTGTGTTCTGCATCTGGCTTTGCTTATTTAGCAACGCATCTTGGAGCACTGGCTTTCAGACCTTTTTTTTTCCTTGACCCACCACCCGGGATAAGAATTTGTTTTTTTTTTTTTTTCTCTGTCACCCAGGCTGGAGTGCAGTGGCACGATCTTGGCTAACTGCAACCTTCACCTCCCAGGTTCAAGCGATTCTCCTGCCTCAGCCTCCCGAGTAGCTGGGACTACAGGCGCACGCCACCGCATCCAGCTAATATTTGTATTTTTAGTAGAGACAGGTTTTCTCCATGTTGGCCAGGCTGGTCTTGAACTCCTTACCTCAGGTGATCTGTCTGCCTTGGCCTCCCAAAGTCCTGGGATTACAGGCATGAGCCACCATGCCCGGCACAAGAATTTCATTTTATGTCACCACCCAGGACATGCATACATATATGTATTTGTATATATACACATATCACTGAAACAAAAGTTTCATGAAATATTACCTATATTACAATGTGTGATACACATCAATATTTTCTATTTTGTTTCCATTGTTTTTTCTGGGGTTAGCGGGGAGGCATGGAGTCTCCCTCTGCTGCCCAGGCTGGAGTGTAGTGGCACTATCTCGGCTCACTGCAACCTCCACCTCCCAGGTTCAAGCGATTCTCCTGCCTCAGCTTCCCAAGTAGCTGGGATTACAGGAGTGCCCCACCATGCCAAGCTGATTTTTGTATTTTTAGTTGAGACAAGGTTTCACCATGTTGCCGAGGGTGGTCTCAAACTCCTGACCTCAGGTGATCTGCCCACCTTGGCCTCCCAAAGTGCTGAGATTACAGGCGTGAGCCACTGCGCCCAGCCTCTACTGTTCTTTTTAAGTGCTGGTTCCAACTCCCTAAGATGACTTGAGCCATTACCAATGGTTACTATGTGTAGGGGTGTGTTTTTATTTTTGGGGGTTTTTTTGCAAGCTACCATCTGGGAAGATTGCTGTGATGTGGGAGTTAGGAAATAGGACTTGGCCACTTACAGGCCCTGTGACCTTCAGCAGGCTGCTTGCCTCTCTGTTGTACCACGGTGTCCTTGCGTGCAGAATCAGAATGATAGGAACAGCGGCTACTTTGTAGAGCTGTGAGGGTTAAATAAACTAATATCTGTAAATTAATAGATGTATATTAACATTAAAATGTTTTAGAACAGAGTTGGGCATGTTGAAAGAGCTATGAAGGGAAAGAAGCCAGGCAAACTTTCTTTTTGCTTATTTGATTTTTATTCATTTATTTGTTTATTTTTCTGGGCAACTTTCTATAAAGAGGCAATAGTAAACGTTTCAGGCTTTTGCGGGCCATATGGTCTCTGTTATTATAGCACAAAAGCAGCCACAGACCATATGTAAATGAATGAACACGGGAGTGTTCCAATAAAACTTTATTTAAGGACACTGAAATTGGAATTTCATGTAATTTTTGCAAGTCACGAAATAGTATTCTTATGATTTTTTTTCTTCAACTGTTTAAAAATGTAAAAATTATTCTTGGCTTGTGGGCTATAGTTTGCCTCTTTCTTTTGATGTCTTTATTGTGTTTTGTGATATGGACATACCATTATTTCTTTATTCAGTCCCCTCTTGAGGAATACTTCAGGTGGTTTATTTGTCATTGTTAACAAACAAAACTCCTATAAGATATTCTTGACTGAGCGTGTTGGCTCACACCTGTAGTCTCAGCACTTTGGGAGGCCGAGGCGGGCAATCACCTGAGGTCAGGAGTGTGAGACCAGCCTGGCCAACATGGGGAAACCCCATCTCTACTAAAAAT
Organism: Homo sapiens; assembly: GCF_000001405.40. NCBI lineage: Eukaryota > Metazoa > Chordata > Mammalia > Primates > Hominidae > Homo > Homo sapiens. Next base: position 47,687,640 of record NC_000019.10, read on the forward strand.
ACAAAAATGAGCCAGGCGTGATGGTGGGCACCTGTAATCCCAGCTATGCTACTTGGGAGGCTGAGGCAGGGGAATCCCTTGAACCTGGGAGGCGGAGATTGTAGTGAGCCTAGAGAGGGTTGCAGTGAGCTGAGATCGTGCCACTACACTCTAGCCTAGGCAGCAGAGTGAGACTCTGCCTCAAAAAAAAAAAAAAAAACTTGCACCCATGCTTTGCACACAGGTATGAAAGTACTTGTAGGGTAAATTTCTAGAAATAGAATTGCCAGACGTAGATGATAAGCTTTCCAGCCATTTTGTGGAAAGTGCTAAACCTTTTTGAAAAGGTTCATGCCAGTGATGGCTTCACTTGGTCCTGCAGCTTTACTGACACACGAGATTAGCAGCTGGCCTGTTCTTTGCCAGGCTGGAAAGTGACACACCCCCTGTGCTTTTCTCTAATTGTGTGTGAAGTTGAGCATCTTGCCGCCTCCACGTGGGGCTCTCGAAATCTCTTGGAAGCTGGGCGTGGTGGCTCATGCCTGTAGTCCCAGCTACTCAGGAGGGAGGCTGAGGCAGGAGGATCACCTGAGCCCAGGAGTTTGAGGTCAGCCTGAACAACATAGCGAGATCTCATTTCTGAAGAAAGAAAGAAATGGAAGGAAGAGAAGGAGGGAATCTCTTGGTGAACAATCCACTCATATGTTAGTTTTTTTGCTTTGGGAAGCTAAGATGGGGGATCACTTGAGGCTAGCAGTTGAAGACCAAATAATAATAATAATTTTGTGCTCATTTAGAGAATGTAGAAAATACAGAAAAGAACAAAGAAGAAAAATAAGTCACATGTAATACCACTGTGTGCAAGCAGTTGGTAAAAAAAAATTTTTTCTGGCCAGGCACAGTGGCTCATGCCTGTAATCCCAACATTTTGGGAAGCCGAGTTGGGTGGATCACGAGGTCAAGATATCGAGACCATCCTGGCCAACATGGTGAAACCCCGTCTCTACTAAAAATACAAAAATTAGCTGGGCATGGTGGTGTGTGCCTGTAATCCCAGCTACTCAGGAGGCTGAGGCAGGAGAATTGCTTGAACCCGGGAGGCGGAGGTTGCAGCAAGCGAGCTGAGATTGAGCCACTGCATTCCAGCCTGGGTGACAGAGCGAGACTCCGTCTCAAAAAAAAAAAATTTTTTTTTCTTTGTTTTGTTTTATTTTTTGTTTTTGAGACAGAGTCTCTCTCTCTCTCTCGCCCGGGCTGGAGTGCAGTGGCGCGATCTCGGCTCACGGCAACCTCTGTCTCTGGGATTGGAGCAATTCTTCTGCCTCAGCCTCCCAAGTAACTTGGATTTACAGGCACATGCCAGCAAGCCCGGCTAATTTTTGTATTTTTAGAGAGACGAGGTTTCACCATGTTGGCCAGGCTGGTCTTGGACTCCTGACCTCAAGTGATCCACCCGCCTTGGCATCCCAAAGTGCTGGGATTACAGGTGTGAGCCACTATGCCAGGCCTAGCTTTGTTTTTTCTAAGACAAATATTGTAGAAGAAGTAATATTTTGGTATGAAGTTTCTGTTTAACCCCCCGACCCCAATTTTATTTAAAACATTTTTTAAATAAGTCATTTTATTCACATAGTATGATCATCAGAAAGTTTTTTTTTCTTTTTTTCCAGAGACAGGGTCTTGCTCTGTTGCCCAGGCTGGTCTTGAACTCCTGGGCTCAAGCAGTCCTCCTGCCTTGGCCTCCGAGAGTGCTGGGATTACAGGCATGAGCCACTGAGCCTGGCCTAATTTATTTTTATTTATTTTTTCTGAGACTGAGTCTCTCTCTGTCGCCCAGGCTGGAGTGCAGTGGCAAGATCTTGGCTCACTGCAAGCTACGCCTGCTGGGTTCAAGCAGTTCTCCCTGCCTCAGCCTCCGGAGTAGCTGGGATTACAGGTGCACACCATCCCGCCCTGCTAATTTCTGTATTTTTAGTAGAGACAGGGTTTCGCCATGTTGGCCAGGCTGGTCTTGAACTCCTGACCTCAGGTGATCCGCCTGCCTGGCCTCCCAAAGTACTGGGATTATTATAGGCGTGAGCCACCACGCCTGGCCACCTGGCCTAATTTTTGTATCCCTTTCCAGTTCTTCGTGTATATACAACCTAGTGCAAATATGGTTTACGTTTCTCTCCCATTTGTACCCAAAGGGGAGCTCATTATGTACTTACTGTGGCAGCAACAGTGAGTTTGCTTGTTTTCTGTTAGAGTCTTGAAGTATTCCTTTGTACAGAAGAGCCACAGTTCATTTCCCCAGGAAATGCCATATTGATGCACTTTAGACCATATCCAGATTTTGGCGTTCTACACGAAGCTGCAGGAAACAACTTGTTCACCTGTTTTGTTTTTGTTTTTGTTTTTGAGACAGAGTTTCGCTCTTTTTGCCCAGGCTGGAGTGCAATGGCGTGATACTGGCTCACTGCAACCTCCGCCTCCCAGGTTCAAGCAATTCTCCTGACTCAGCCTCCCTAGTAGCTGGGATTACAGGTGCACGCCACCATGCCCAGCTAATTTTTGTATTTTTAATAGAGACGGGGTTTCACCATGTTGGCCAGGCTGGTCTCAAACTCCTGACCTCAGGTGATCCACCCGCCTCAGCCTCCCAAAGTGCTGGGATTACAGGTGTGAGCCACCGCGCCCGGCCTACTTGTTCACCTGTTATTTCCCACATATGCAGGTCTGTTTACTTCCTGGAAGCCTGTTTGCTGGACTAAAGCAAATGTGCATTTATAACTTGGATAGCTACTGCTGAATTGCGTTCCTCTTGAGTTGTAGCAAATTGTGCCAGTTGAGACCCCTAAGGGCAGTATATACAAGCATCTTTACTAGACATAGGCTTTATTCCTAATGCGACGGGTGGTAAATGGTACCCTAGGGTGAAAAATAGTGCCCTGGGGTGCGTTTTGCTGTGCATTTCTCTTATTACAAGTGAGGTTGAGTAGCTCTGAAAATACTTAAGCCTTTTGTCTTTCCTTTTCTGTGCACTGTCTGATCATATCCTTTGCCCCTTTTTCACCAGTTGTAATTCTTAGTGATTTCTAGAGTCTCTCTATATATGAGAGAGATGAACTTTGTATTTGGAGTTGCAACTGTTTTCCCCAGTAAGTCATTTGGCATGTGACTTAATTTGTGGATTGTGTGTGTGTGTGTGTGTGTGCGCACTTTTGATGAGAATGAAATTAAATTTTTTTAATTTTTTGGTATCTTTAAGCTTTTTATGTTTAAATGACTTCAAACACATAAAAAGTTTCAGAATTAGTACAGAGAGCTCATAGGAGTTCTTTACTCCTCAACTAGATGTATTAGTTATCTATTGCTATGCAGGAAATTACCCTCAAAACTTAGCAGCTTCAAACAGCAAGTATTCACGTGTCTCACACTGTTTCTAAACATTAGGAATCTGAAAGCAGCTTAGCTAGGAGGTTCTAGCTCTGGATCTCCCATGAAGTTGTGGTCATCTGAAGGTCCCACTGATCTGGAGAACCTGCTCCCACGCTCACTTGTGTGGCTATTAGCAGGAGGCCTCAATTGCTTCCTCAGTGGGCCTCTCCAAAGGGCAGCACATGACACACAGCGGTTGGCTTCCCGCAAAGTGAGTGACCCAATAGAAACAGACAGAATGCTCAGGATGGGAGCCGCAGGCTTTTTATAACTAATCTTGGAAGTGTCATATAATCACTTCTGCCAAATTCTATTGGCCACAAAGACCAGCATATGGGAGGGGACTGAACACAAGGAGGTGAGGATTGTTGGTGGCTGCCTCCCACGTCTACCCATTGTCAGCCTTTTGCTACATCTGCCTTGACCTTAGCATTCTCATTCTGTGTACACTTTTTTCTGAATCAGTTGAGAGTAAGTTGCAACCATTATACCCGTTTGCCCCTTAATATTTTATTTTATTTATTTATGTATTTATTTATTTTTGAGTCTGAGTCTCACTCTGTCGCCTAGTCTGGAGTGCAGTGGTACAATCTTGGCTCACTGTAGCCTCTGCCTCCCAGGTTCAAGCAATTCTCTTGCCTCAGCCTCCTGAGTGGCCGGGATTACAGGCACACATCGCACCCTGCTAATTTTTGTGTTTTTAGTACAGATGGGGTTTCACCATGTTGACTAGGCTGGTCTCAAACTCCTGGGCTCAAGTGATCCACCTGCCTTGGCCTCCCAAAGTGCTGGGATTGCAAGCGTGAGCCACCGCGGCCAGCCTACCCCTTAATATTTTAGTATAATATTTCAGCCTTGGAGAACAAGGACATTCTCTTACTTAACCATCATACTGCAAAGAAATAAAGCAGACAGCATTGACATGATACTGTTGTCATATCCTCTGTCCATAATCCAACTTTACCAGGTGCCCAGGGATCCTGTAATGTTGTATTATTCTCCTATTTCATGTAGCATTGGAGTGCCGCTGCATGTGGGCCACCTCCCTGAGCCCTTGGAACCTACTGAGTGGGCCAGTTCTCTTTTCTCCGACTCAGCGACGCACCTGCCATTGGCCATTTGAGTCATTTCTCCTTTTCCTCTATTGTAAATGCTCCCAAAGTGGGCAACCCCATAGCAAGTACTTGAATATTCTTTTTTTTTTTTGAGACGGAGTTTCACTCTTGTGCCCAGGCTGGAGTGCAGTGGCGCGATCTCATTTCACTACAACCTCCGCCTCCTGGGTTCAAGCAATTCTCCAGCCTCAGTCTCCTGAGTAACTGGGATTACAGGTGCATGCCACCATGCCCGGCTAATTATTTTTGTATTTTTAGTAGAGACAGGGTTTCATCATATTGATCAGGCTGGTCTCGAACTCCTGACCTCTGGTTATCTGCCCGCCTCAGCCTCCCAAAGTGCTGGGATTACAGGCGTGAGCCACCGTGCCCGGCCGAATATTCTTCATCACAGATTCCTGGAGGGGAATTTCCAGGTCAAAGTTGTGACCCTTTCAAAGTCCCCAGACCAAGCTGCCTTCCAGGAGGCAGTCCCACCAGCCGTACACAGCGCCAAGGACTGCGCCTCTCATCTCTTCTTAGAGGTGGCAAACCTTTTGAAGACTGATTGATTGATTGGTTTGGTTTGGTTCTTTAACTGTCAGAAGTTACTCAGGGCCCAGCTTGGAAGGGATGCTGGAAGGGCCCTGGGACTTAGAGGCCAAAGCTGGTGGTGAATCTGATGTCATGCCGAGATGCCCGGTTCTGGAGTGTGGTGGTGCTGGCTGTCCTCGGGCAGATATCCTGAGCCCTCTGAGCCTGAACTCAGTCAGCTTTGAGAAATGGCTCAGAAGTCACTGAGCAGTGTAAAGGCCTCAGTTCCGCCTTCACCAGCCTGGAGAGTCTGGACCAGTTTTGGAGCCTTGGCCTCAGTTTCTTATCTGTGAAATGGGTCCAGTGTTACCACTGCCCTCAGGGCTAGGGAGAGATCACACAAATGGATGCGGGAGGCCGGCCATTCGTGTTAGATCAGCATGAGCTGTTACTAGGATGCAGATTCTGTGACAGCAAGTATCACGGTGCCAGCCCAGTGTTGGGTGCACAGCTGGTGCCCACTGGTTACACAGTGGCTGCTCTGGTTATGATTCTTTGGGAGGAGGGTCCAGAACGGCAAGGTGCTCCGTCTGAGACATGCTTTAGGCGAGGTGGCTGTGTGCGTGTGACAGAACTAGCACCAGATCGCGTGTGCTTGCAGACACAGGCTTCATCAGAGTCTGGTACGTCGTGCACACGCATGCACGCTTGTACCTGCAAGCTCACGTGGCGCCCAGGTAGGCCTGCAGCCATGGACACACAGGCACACAGAGGCAGGTGCCCAGGACACTTAGAAGGGGGTCCAGGCCTTCCCATGCCCGCATCCAGAGGTCCACACGTGGCTGTGAACCCAGGCCTGTCCCTGTGTGGCCATCCGTATTCTCGGCAGCCCCCGTGCCGTGGCCATCAACCCCGAGCCATGGTACACAGCATCATGCTGGTGTCTCTTTGCCTTGACTTGGCTGGATGGGCTGGTGGGGGCTGGCGGCTGGGACGCTGCCCTGCCTGCCCTCCTTCCCCGCTGCTGTGCTCGCCGCCCGGCCCTCCTGCCTCCTGCTGGGCAGCGGGTGTGGTGCCCCTGCTGCCACCGCCACCACTGCCTCTGCTTCCTCTGCTGCTGCCACCCCAACCCTGCAGGGCTCGCCTTTGTCTGGGGAACTGCGAGGGGTGGGGGGAATGGGGCAGAAGTGGGGTTGAGATCGGAGGCCAGAGAAATGTGGAGGAGCTGCGGTGGGGGACAGAGGTCGAGGGCAGGTGGAGGGGGTGCTGTGGGGAATGAGAGGCGAGGGAGGGAAGGGCAGCCGTGGTGGGCTCCTCTCTCAGGATGGGTGTGGGCTAGGAAGGGGGCTTCTGGCGGGGATGGCTGGGGACCCCAGTGTCTTGGGGCAACAGGAGCTATGGTTGGTTCTGACCCCCGCCCCTCCCCTCTCCCTCCCTCCCCTGCCCAGATCCCGGCAGCGGCTCCGCTGAAGGGCCCAGGCCCCTCTTCGTCCCCGTCACTACCTCACCAGGCCCCTCTGGGGGACAGCCCCCACCTGCCCTCCCCACACCCCACCCGGCCCCCTTCCCGCCCACCCTCCCGGCCACAGAGTGTGTCCCGCCCTCCCTCAGAGCCACCCTTGCACCCTTGCCCCCCACCCCAGGCCCCCCCAACTCTGCCTGGCATCTTTGTCATCCAAAACCAGCTAGGCGTTCCCCCGCCTGCCAGCAACCCGGCCCCTACTGCCCCAGGCCCGCCGCAGCCGCCTCTCCGCCCCCAGTCCCAGCCGCCTGAGGGACCGCTGCCCCCAGCCCCCCACCTCCCTCCATCCTCCACCTCCTCTGCTGTGGCCTCCTCCTCTGAGACGTCCTCCAGGTTGCCAGCCCCTACGCCATCCGACTTCCAGCTCCAGTTCCCACCCAGCCAGGGGCCCCACAAGTCCCCCACTCCCCCTCCAACCCTCCACCTGGTCCCTGAGCCGGCAGCACCCCCCCCACCGCCTCCTCGGACCTTCCAGATGGTGACCACCCCCTTCCCAGCGCTGCCCCAGCCGAAGGCTCTTCTCGAGAGATTTCACCAGGTAACGGGAGGCAGGGACTGCCCGCCCCATCAGCCCCATCCCATCCCACCCTCTCAGTCTGATGGGAGCCCCTCCGCCTTACGGCTCTGTGATCCTCCCCAGCCCTGCTGCGTCTGGACACCCCTACACCTAGCCTATGTTCCCCACCCCTCATCCACCTGTCCCCTCCTCAGGTGCCGTCCGGAATCATCCTCCAGAACAAGGCTGGGGGGGCCCCTGCCGCCCCGCAGACCTCCACCAGCCTGGGGCCCCTCACCAGCCCCGCTGCGTCTGTGCTGGTCAGTGGGCAGGCCCCATCTGGGACCCCCACTGCCCCCAGCCACGCCCCCGCCCCGGCACCCATGGCCGCCACAGGTAGGAGAGAGGTCGCCTATGTGCCCAGGGAGACGGGGCCTGAAGATGGGTGGGCGGGGCTGAGCAGGGAGAATGGGCTGGGGCAGGGCTGTGGGACTCAGCACAGGGCATCAGCCAGAACTCAAGGGACACAGGAAGGCCAGAGGTGGCAGGGCTGGCCCCAGATTTGAAGGGCCGGAGGGCCAGGAGGAGAGCGGTGGGGTACAGGATGGGGCTCCCGTTTGAGGAGGGGGCCTTCATGCAGTGACCGCAGGCCCTGTCTCCCCCACCCCACCCACCCCCAGGCCTCCCTCCTCTGCTTCCAGCCGAGAACAAGGCTTTTGCCAGCAACCTCCCGACCCTGAATGTGGCCAAGGCCGCTTCCTCCGGGCCAGGGAAGCCCTCCGGGCTGCAGGTAAGGGGCCCTTAGAGCAGGGGTCAGGACAGGACCAGGAGTCTTCGGGAACTGGGAACTGGGGCTGGCAGGGGCAGGGAGACACTGGAAGACGCGGACAGGATGAAGCTGGGACCATCAGGCAGCTGAGACACCACGAACAGCCGTGCAGGGACAGGAAGGGCAGAATGACACCCAGACAGGCAGCCAGAGATGAGGGAGAAACACGGAGACGGTGGGACGGAGACGGCACCAAGACTACTGGCAACAGTGTAAGGGACTATGACTGGGGAAAGAGCAGGTGATATGGACACAGGACGGGAAGGACAGGGCTGAGATGACAAGATGTGAGCTCAGGACAGGAAAGGCGGGTTTAGATGAGACAGACCGGAGACGGAGCAGATCAGGGACCGAGAATGAAAGGGTGAGAGGGTGGGGACAGCTGAGGCCGAGGCCACTTGTAGATGTAAGACGTGGGGGAGACAGAAGACAAGGAGAGGAGCAGGTGGGAGGACCAGGACCCAAGAGGCCGGGAGAAGCTCAGAGATGGAGATGCCAGAATGAAGGCCAGACGCTGAGGACAAGAGGGGAAGCCAGGAAGGGAGGCGGGGGGGCGAAACGACAGGAGCCACACTGGGAGAGAGACTGTGCGAGGCAGGGGCACTGGGTGCTGGGCGGTGATGTGGGAAGCAGGCATCCGGCAGAGGAGGGAGGTCACACAGAGGCAGCCCTGGGCGAGGGGACGGAGGGAACCCAGGCAGAGGACACCCAGGGCTCCAGCCTGCCTGTCACCCTCTCCGTCCACTCCCCAGCCCAGCCCAGGTCTTCCCCTGGGGTTCATTGTGATGGGCAGGGGATCCTGTAGCTGGGGCCAGGCCCCCACCTGGGTGAGACACTGGTCCCCTGTCCCGTCTTTATCCTAGGCTAGAGGGGAAGCTGGTCGGGGGAGGGAAGGCTTCTGGAGGCAAAGGCCTCTCACTCGCCTTTCTTCTCCCAGTATGAGAGCAAACTGAGTGGCCTGAAGAAGCCCCCCACGCTTCAGCCCAGCAAGGAAGCCTGGTGAGTCCACACCCCATCCTTGCATGCCTGCCCTGTACCTTCCAGAGACCTGGGGGAGCATGGGGCCACCCTCCAGAAGCAGAGTTGGGCAGGCCCAAGTGCCAAGCCCAGCTCCACCTCTTGGTAGCGATGTAGTTCCCTCATAGACCCTCAGTTTCCCCCTCTGGAAAATGGGGTGACCAGAGAGTGGTGGAGGGAGGGTGGGCTGTGGCTCCGCCAGGCTGGGGCTCAGGAGGGCGGCAGTTTGGTCCATCCTGGTTGTTGCTGTGCCCTCCATGTCTCCCACACGGCTGGGCCGCGTCGGTGCTGAGCCCCACTGGGTGGGTGAAGTGATGGGTGGGGGAAGTGAGTGGGTGGACATGGCTGTTGGGAGGATGATGGGGGGGGTGTTTGGGGATGGATGGATGGGAGTCTGGGCGGATGGATGGGTAAATGCTGGATGCCTGCCTGCCCTCTCTCCTGCCCTCCTTCCACCACCAGGGTTTTTTGTTTTGTTTTAGGGGGGGTTCTTTGAGCCAGAATCTTACTCTGTCACCTAGGCTAGAGTGCAATGGCACAATATTGGCTCACTGCAACCTCCGCCTCCCCCGTTCATGTGATTCTCCTGCCCCAGCCTCCCAAGTAGCTGTGACCACAGGCGTCTGCCACCATGCTCGGCTAATTTTTGTATTTTTAGTAGAGATGGAGTTTCACCATGTTGGCCTCAAGTGATCCACCTGCCTCGGCCTCCCAAGGTGCTGGGATTACAGGTGTGAGCCACCACGCCCAGCCCACCATGAGTGTTTTTTTAAAAACATATAAGTCCGGGGGGCAGAGGTTGCAGTGAGCCGAGATCATGCCATTGCACTTCAGCCCAGGCGACAGAGCAAGACTGCATGCCCTCACCCAAAAAAAAAAAATTTTTTTTTATATATATTGTGGAGACAAGGTCTTACTATGTTGCCCAGGCTGGTTGGTTTTGTTTTTGTTTTGTTTTGTTTTTGGAGACGAAGTCTCATTCTGTCACCCAGGCTGGAGTGCAGTGGTACAATCTCGGCTCACTGCAACCTCTGCCTCCTGGGTTCAAGTGATTCTCCTACCTCAGTCTCCCGAGTAGCTGAGATTACAGGTGCATGCCACCACACCTGCCTAATTTTTGTATTTTTAGTAGAGACGGGGTTTCATTATGTTGGCCAGTCTGGTCTTGAACTTCTGGCCTCAGGTGACCCACCCATCTCAGCCTCCCAAAGTGCTGGGAGTACAAGTGTGAGCCACCATGCCCGGCCTAGGTTGGTCTGAAACTCCTAGTCTCAAGTGATCCTCCCACCTCAGTCTCCTGAGTAGCTGGGACTACAGGCACGTGCCACCACACTCGGCTAATTTTTAAATAATTTTTGTAGAGACAGGGTCTTGCTGTGTTGCCCAGGCTGGCCTTGAACTCCTGGGCTCAGACAATCCTTCTGCCTCGGCCCCGCAAAGCGCTGGGATTGCAGGCGTGAGCCTCTGCTTGGCCTAGGAGTGTGAATTAAGTCCCCACTCAGTGCCCAGGCCTGAGCCCCATGTTGGGAACACAGGAGTAAGTGACACAAAGTCCCTGCCCCCACAGTGCAGAGAGGCTGCTGGTTTTTAGCCGAGGGTGGAGTTGGGCCTGCCTGGTGGGGGAGACAGTCACACTGCCAACAGACAAAACCCATTGTAACATGGGCTACAAAAGCGGCCCGTGAGAAGACAGGATCCAGCCTCCCTCCCTTCTTCCCGAAGGCTGCACTTTGGAGGAGGCACGGTGGAGCCACACTGGCCCCAGGTGGCAGGAGGCAGAATAGCAGCTTCCAGGCTCTGGCCTCACTTCCCGCTCTGCTCTTCCTCCCTTACGTGCTTTGGAGAGGAGTGACTTCACTTCCTCGACCTCACCTTCCCTTTCTGTAAAATGGGGATAGCGATAGCACTGCTTTGGTCGGCCCCAGGGACTCAGTGAGATGGAACAAGCACGTTCAGTACATGGGAACACCACTGCCCAAGTATTCCCCTTCCCGCTGTTGTGTTCAGTTGCGGCCTGGGGCTGAGGGTTCAGGGACTTCCCCTGGCCCTCACCCGTCCCCCCCACCCTCCGCCGTGTGTGGTCTCTCCCCTTTCCACCCGCAGTTTCCTGGAGCATTTGCACAAACACCAGGGCTCCGTCCTGCACCCCGACTACAAGACGGCCTTCCCCTCCTTTGAGGACGCCCTGCATCGCCTCCTGCCCTACCATGTCTACCAGGGCGCCCTCCCCTCCCCCAGTGACTACCACAAAGGTGAGGCCTCCCCAGGACACGGCCCTATATGTCCCAGGGGACCCCAGCCCGTGGGGCGGGGCGTCGCCAGTGTGGAGCCGCAGGTCCACGGTGCGCTATGCTGACCCTGCCCCGCCCTCCTTCCTGCGCATCCGCGGCCGCCCCCAACATCTCCGCCCTTGCCTCTCTTCCCTTCCTCGCAGTGGACGAGGAGTTTGAGACGGTCTCCACGCAGCTGCTGAAACGCACCCAGGCCATGCTCAATAAATATCGGCTCCTGCTCCTGGAGGAGTCCCGGGTAGGGTCAGAGTCGCCTTCCTCGCCTCTGGGCTCCTCCTCGCTGGGACACTGCCCCTTTCCCTCACCCGCTCTGGGCAAGGTGGAGCCTCCCGCCCCTCCTAGCCCCGGGAGGGAGGTTGGGAGGGAGGCGGGAGCTCCCATCACAAGGACAGTTTGGACCTTGCACGCATCGTCCCCGTCGCTCGCGCCCCTTCCCCCTTCTTGCTGGTTCACTCGCACGTCGTCTTTTCCCCCACCCCAGAGGGTGAGCCCCTCAGCGGAGATGGTAATGATCGACCGAATGTTCATTCAGGAGGAGAAGACCACCCTTGCCTTGGATAAACAGCTGGCCAAGGAGAAGCCGGGTGAGAGGGGGGAGTGAGAGGGGAGGGGAGGGAGAGGTGCCCCCACCCCACCTGGGCAGAAGAGTTAGATTCAGGGCGGGGAGTGGGTGTGTGGCCCTACCTCACTCCACCACTAGGCGGTGCCCCAGCTCCACCTTCCTGCTGGCAGCTGTGCCTCCCCTGACCTCCCGCCTCTCAGACCAGATAGCCCACATCCATCTTCCTCCATCCCTGTGTGGCCCTTCCACCCCCACCACTCTGGGATGGGGGGAATATTTCTGCCACCCCCGTGGGACACAAAACAGGAGAGCAGGCGCCTAGGTTGCAAAATATATAAGGTAACGCCCACTCTTGGGTGCCAGTCCTTTGCTTGGGGACCCTGAGAGTGAGCACCTCCTTAAGTGTTGCACCTTAGGTGGCTCGCTGGCCTCACTCTAGTCTCCTGTCTGCAGGAAACGGTACAGGCAGATCCCAGCTGCCAGAGTTTCCAGAATATTCCCTTAGCCTTTGCCCACATTCCAACTCCAGGGCTTCCCTGGATAAAAGCATGGTCCCTGCTTTGTGCTGCCAGGCGCAGGCTTTTTACGTCGAGCTCTGGACCTTAATTTTGAAAAAGTAGTCATTGGTACTTAAATGAGTGCAAAGGGGTGGCCATAGTGAAGGAGGGGCCAGGAGCGAGTCTGAAGTCTCTAGGGTAGGAGAGGAAGGGTAGTTCCGTGGTTAGGGGCTCGATGCTGGAGTCTTGGTTTAAATCCTGGCTCTGCCACTTACTAACTGTGTGACCTTGGGCAAGTTACTTACCTTCTCTGTGTCTCTGTATTCTCATTTTGTAAAGTGGGGGTTATGATGATCAGCTTACAATCTCTTATCTGACACCCTCGGGGCCTGATATGTTCTGGAATCTTTTTGCTTTTAGAAAGGCAATGAGCTCACTCCAGCCTGGGCGACAGAGCGAGACTCCGTCTCAAAAAAAAAGAAAGGCAATGAGCTACCTCAATGCTGTCTTCTGATTTACCCCCAGTGGGTTTGGGGAAGCACTGTGTGATCAAACACACTAGTATTTCTGGAGTGAAATCGATGGGTATCCAGAGTAGTTGAGATAAATCATGACCATAAATAACCTCATGTAGCCGGGTGTGGTGGCTCACACCTGTAATCCCAGCACTTTGGGAGGCTGAGGCGGGCGATCACCTGTGGTCAGGAGTGTGAGACCAGACTGGGCAACGTGGCGAAACCCTGTCTCTACTAAAAATACAATAATTAGCCAGGTGTGGTGTCTGGCACCTATAATCCCAGCTACTTGGGAGGCTGAGGCAGGAGACTCGCTTGAACCCAGGAGGCGGAGGTTGCAGTGAGGTGAGATGGCGCTACTGCACTCCAGCCTGGGCAACAGATTGAGACTGTCTCAAAAAAACAAACAAACAAACAAACAAAAAACCTCATGTCATTTCGGACCAGATTTTGAAATTAGATACCTCCTTAGCCCCATTTTTAAAAAGTTATGTATATAATTAGAGCAGTGCTGTCCAATAGAACTTCATATTTTATTTATTGTTTTTTTGTTTGTTTGTTTGTAGAGACAGGGGTCTCACTACTGTGGCCAGGCAGGTCTCAAACTCCTGGGCTCAAGCGATCCCCCTCCCTTGGCCTCCCAAAGTGCTGGGATTACAGGCCTGAGCCTTGTTTTGTATTCTCTTAATTTACTTATGTCTGAATGAGCCCCACGTGGCTCGTGGCGCTGTGCCAGGCACAGTGGTTTTAGAGTTGGGGGAATTTGGGCCTTGCTGAAGAGGGTCTCACCAAGCCTATCCTGAGGATTGGAGGGTCCAGGGTGCAGTCTGGTGCCTGGCAGGTAGTAGGTGCTCACTGCACACAGCTCCTCCCAGCTCGGTCGGGGGGTCCTCATCCTAACCCCGCGGGTTTTCTTTGCCCCGATTCTGCAGACGAGTACGTGTCTTCCTCCCGCTCGCTCGGCCTCCCCATCGCAGCCTCTTCCGAGGGTCATCGGCTTCCCGGCCACGGCCCCCTGTCGTCTTCAGCTCCCGGGGCCTCCACCCAGCCCCCTCCACACCTGCCCACCAAGCTTGTGATCCGGCACGGCGGGGCAGGCGGCTCCCCTTCGGTCACCTGGGCCCGGGCGTCCTCCTCCCTGTCCTCCTCTTCCTCCTCCTCCTCTGCCGCCTCCTCCTTGGACGCCGACGAGGACGGCCCCATGCCCTCCCGCAACCGCCCGCCCATCAAGACCTACGAGGCCCGGAGCCGCATCGGGCTCAAGCTCAAGATCAAGCAGGAAGCCGGGCTCAGCAAGGTCGTGCACAACACGGCCCTGGACCCCGTGCACCAGCCCCCGCCACCCCCCGCTACCCTCAAGGTGGCCGAGCCCCCGCCACGGCCGCCACCACCACCGCCGCCCACGGGCCAGATGAACGGCACGGTGGACCACCCGCCGCCTGCCGCCCCCGAGCGCAAGCCCCTGGGCACCGCCCCGCACTGCCCGCGCCTGCCACTGCGCAAGACCTACCGCGAGAACGTGGGGGGCCCTGGCGCGCCGGAGGGGACGCCCGCAGGCAGGGCACGGGGAGGCAGCCCGGCGCCGCTGCCCGCCAAAGTGGACGAGGCCACCAGCGGGCTCATCCGCGAGCTGGCGGCCGTGGAGGACGAGCTGTACCAGCGTATGCTGAAGGGCCCCCCGCCAGAGCCCGCAGCCAGCGCCGCCCAAGGCACCGGGGACCCCGACTGGGAGGCGCCCGGGCTGCCCCCTGCCAAGCGGCGCAAGTCCGAGTCGCCCGACGTGGACCAGGCCAGCTTCTCCAGCGACAGCCCGCAGGATGACACGCTCACCGAGCACCTGCAGAGCGCCATCGACAGCATCCTGAACCTGCAGCAGGCCCCCGGCCGGACGCCCGCGCCCTCGTACCCCCACGCTGCCTCGGCCGGCACCCCCGCATCCCCGCCGCCCCTGCACAGGCCCGAGGCCTACCCACCCTCCAGTCACAACGGTGGCCTCGGCGCCAGGACGTTGACCAGATAACACCGGGCCGCCTCCCCTTCCCCGTCCCCTCCTCCCGAAGACGCCGGGACAGTCGGGTGTCCGCCCTCAGCCTCCTGGGGACTCGAGCCGGGGATCCCCTGACGGTTTTTCTTGCCTAAGTTATTTGAGTCACAAAGGCCTCCTTCCCTGCCGCCTGCTTCAGCTGGGTTGCTGGGGGGTGGGCGTGGATTTAGGGAGGGGGCTGTGATGTAAAACGTCTCCCCTGCCAAAGGAGGGGCAAAGTGCTGTGTCAGTTCCTGTTTCTTCCCATTTCCTGGCACACTCTGCCCCTCTGTCCGGGGGACACGCGCATGTGTTTGCCAGGGATGGGGCCACCGGGTTGATGCCAACGCTCCGGGTGCCTGTCTTGTCTGTGTGGCTTCTCAGATGGTGGAGGGTGCTGGGAGCTGGCAGGGTCCTTCCAGACAGTCTCAGCCTCTCCCCGCCGCCCCCAACAGGCTGTCAAACAAAACCGGAGAGGGGGTGGGGGAGCCAGCCTCCCAGCGTGCTGTGCCCGCAGGCACCCGTGTGACATCCGCACGTCCAGCTCCGTGACCTGTGTGTGTGTGTGTGTGCACAAGTGAGTGAGAGATTTCGAACGCCCACCCCTCGACTTTGAAATCTGAGCAAAACAAGAAACTGGGGTCTTCCTCTCCCCCGAACCTCTCCCCAGCTAGTCTTCCCTCTGTTCTTCCTGCCTCCAGCCGCCCGCGCCAGATTTTGAAATCTCGGAGACAAAACTAGTACTGTAAGATAAATTTTTTTGTACTGTATTTATTGTGTATAACGATTTTTTTAAAGGAGAATTCTGTACATTTAGAACTCTTGTAAATTAAAAACCGATCCTTTTTTTAAAACTGTACTCATGCCCCCTTGGCCCATTGCTTTTGGGTTTGTGAGGGTGGGGGAGTGTTTGGATCTGGGATTGTGAGGCCTTCTTCCGCATGCATCTGTTGAGCACCTGCTGAGTACCAGGCCCCGTTCTAGGCTCAGGGGGTTCAACATGAACAAGGCAGACAAGAGTCCCTGCTAAGCCGGTAAGCTGACTTGTTAGTGGGGAAGGCGGGTGGTAAACAGCTAAGCCAGATCAAGCCAGTTCTTCTTATTTCCGGTAAGGTTCTATAATCTCTGCATACACTCTGAGAATTAGTGAATACTGAGCCATTGCCCCCAGGGAGACAGGGTTAGGTTTCTAAGGGCCTCTGATCACCACAGTTCAGTCAATACATCACCTTAGTTTACATGTGTTGCTGTTTAAAAACACTTCTTTATGTATTTTTGAGACGGGCTCACTCTGTCACCCAGGCTGGAGTGCAGTGGCACGATCGTGGCTCACTGCAGCCTTGATCTCCCAGGCTCAAGTGATCCTCCCACCTCAGCCTCCCGAGTAGCTGGGATTATAGGCGCACCACCACGCTTAGCTATTTTTTTTTTTAATCTTTCTGTAGCAATGGGATCTCACTATGTTGCCCAAGCTGGTCTGGAACTCCACGGCTCGAGTGATCCTCTGGCCTTGGCCTCTCAAAGTGCTGGGAATACAGACGTGAGCCACCACGCCCAGCCCTAAAGATACCTTATTTCATTTATATTGTTGATTCATTCACATTGAAGTCATGCCAACAGCATTATAACTGGAACCTGGAGCAAGCCTATTTCACACATATATTTTATCTTTTCTCCAAAGGCACATCACAGCTTCTTGGTGCTTTAAGGTCACTAGACCGCACTTCAGCTGTACGCTTGGGCCCATTTTAAACAATGAGTCACCAACAAAAAGCACAAAAATGTGAAAAGCGTGGGACTAGATAAACCAAGAAAAGGACGCGTGTTTATGGTACGAGAGCCAAAACGAGGGCAGAATGTCGCCTTATTCAACCTCAGCTGGGAACGAACGTCTGTGTTGGGCAACTTGATATTTTGCTGCCGTGTGTGTGTTGAGAGTCTTGACTTGGGGGTTACAAAGAAGTTTTGATGAGCAGATAAATGCACAAATATGGCATTTGCAAATAGTGAGGGTCCACTGTAAATGTATACAGTGTCAGATGCCCATATAAAGAAGAATCAGGCCAGGCACGGTGGCTCACACCTGTAATCCCAGCACTTTGGGAGGCCAAATCGAGTGGGTCACCTGAGGTCAGGAGTTCGAGACCTGCCTGGCCAACATAGTGAAACCCCATCTCTACTTATAAAAAATATATATATATACAAAAATTAGCTGGCATGGTGGCACACGCCTGTAGTCCCAGCTTCTTCAGAGGCTGAGGCAGGAGAATCGCCTGAACCCAGGAGATGGAGGTTGCAGTGAGACGAGACTGACACTCCAGCCTGGGCAACAGAGTGAGACTCTATCCCCCGACCAACAAAAAAAAAGAAGAAAAAAAATCATGCTAGGTGTATTAGTCCCCTCAAGCTGCTATAACAAAATGCCCCAAATAGGGCAGCTTAAAACAACAGATATTTATTCTCCCACAGCCCTAGAGGCCTGAAGTCTGAAAACAAGGTGGCATCAGGGCCATGCCCACTCCAGAGGTGCTAGGGAAGGATCCTTCCTTGTCTCTGCCAGTTTCTGGTGGCCCCAGGTTCTCCTTGGCTTGTGGCTGAATCAGTCCAATCTCTGGCTGACTTCCCACTGTATCTCTTCTCTTCTAAGGGCATCAGTCATATTGGAGTTTTGCCCATCCTACCAGTATGCCCTTGTCATAACTTAATCATATCTGCAAAGATCCTGATTCCCTTTTTTTTTTCTTCTAGCTTTCTTTTTCTTTTTCTTTTTTTGAGACAGATGTCTTGCTCTGTCGCCCAGGCTGGAGTGCAGTGGCACGATCTCAGCTCACTGCAATCTCTGCCTCCAGGGTTTAAGTGATTCTCCTGCCTCAGCCTCCCGAGTAACTGGGACTACAAGCATGTGCCACCACGCCCAGCTGATTTTTTGTATTTTTAGTAGAGACGGAGTTTCACTGTGTTAGCCAGGATGGTCTCAATCTCCTGATGGCATGATCCACCGGCCTCAGCCTCCCAAAGTGCTGGTATTACAGGCGTGAACCACCGCGCCCAGCCCTTCTAGCTTTCTTCAGATCACAGACCCTGATTCCAAATAAAATTACATTCACAGGCACTAGGGTTAGGACATCAGCCTATATTTTGAGAGGACAGAACAACTCAATCCGTAATGCAGGGTAAGGAGGTGGGTGTCACAAGTGAGTGACAATTATCTGGGCTGGTGGTGTGGGGGTAAAAGAATTTACCAAGACAGTGGTAGGTTAAAAAAAAAAAAAAAAAAGCAGATTTATGGGCTCACGCCTGTAATCCCAACTCTTTGGGAGGTGGGCGGATCACTTGAGGTCAGGAGTTCAAGACCAGCCTGACTAACAGTGAAACCCCATCTCTACTAAAAATACAAAAATTGGCTAGGTGCAGTGGCTCACGCCTGTAATCCCAGCACTTCGGGAGGCTGAGGTGGGTAAATGACCTGAGGTCAGGAGCTTGAGACCAGCCTGGCCAACTTGGCAAAACCCTGCCTCTACTAAAAAATACAAAAATTAGCCAGGTGTGGCGGCAGGCACCTGTAATCCCAGCTACTCAGGAGGCTGAGGCAAGAGAATCACTTGAACCCAGGAGGCAGAGGTTGCAGTGAGTTGAGATCGCGTCATTGCACTCCAGCCTGGGTAACAAGAGTGAAACTCCATCGAAAAAAGGTAATAAATAAATAAAAATACAAAATTAGCAGGGCGTGGTGATGCACACCTGTAGTCTCAGCTACTTGGGAACTGGGAGGATCACTTCAGCCCAGGAGGCAGAGGTTACAGTGAGCCAAGACTGCACCACTGCACTCCAGCCTGGGCAACAGAGTGAGACTCCATCAAAAAAAAAAAAAAGGCAGATTTATGAAATAAAGTAGGAAAATATATTGCAAAGTTGCAATGGGCAACACAGCCAGGGAGAAGCTGACTGCAAGGAAACAAAGGCTTGCTGGGGGTTGTATAGGATGGAGTTGGTTTTTTCATTTGCTTTTTAGATAGAGTCTCGCTCTGTCACCCAGGCTGGAGTGCAGTGGCATGATTTCAGCTCACTGCAACCTCCGCATCTCGGGTTCAAGCAATTCTCCTGCCTCAGCCTCCTGAGTAGCTGGGATTACAGGCACCCATCACCATGCCCAGCTAATTTTTGTATTTTTAGTCGAGATGGGGTTTCACCATGTTGGCCAGGCTGGTCTCGAACTCCTGACCTCAAGTGATCCGTCTGCCTCTGCCTCCCAAAGTGCTGGGATTACAGGCGTGAGCCACCATGCCCGGCATATAGGAGAGTTCATGTTGTGTGCTGAAGAGGGCTTTGTGCAGTACTGATAATGCCAGGGTTACAGTGAGCTCACTTGCAGGTGTCTGGTGATACTTGGGCGCAGGAAGATTGAGTTATTTGTATAGGAGGGCTATGTCCTGGACAGTAAAGAAAGGCAGACCTGTAACTTAGCTGCTTTATCTTTTTGCTTTCCTGCATTCTCAGCAGCCTGACTCTCCCTAATTAGGACTCCGCAAGTGGGCAAGACAGCTGTCAGGCCCTAGTATGCCTTTGTGTGAACTAGAAAAGGGCACCCCTCTCTCCTGGGCCCAGAATTTGAAGAGCAGAGCATGAGCTGGGCTCCAGTCCCCTCTCACCCATTCAGTGAGTGCCTTGTGCAGTGAACAACCTGCCCAACTGCACATCAGGGCCCTCGGGATCAGGTGGGAAGGGAAAGATTCTTTGAGGAGGTGATATTTGAGCAGAGACATGCAGGAAAAGAGGGAGGAAGCCACAGGAGAGCTCTCAGGGAAGAGCATCCAAGGCAGAGGGAACCGCCAGTGCAAAGGCCCTGTGGCAGGAGCCTGCCTGGAGTGTCGAGGAACAGCGAAAAAGCCAATGCGGCTGCAGCCCATAAGTGATGGGGAGAGGTCTGGAGGTGAGGTCCGAGGGGGAACAAAGGGCACCTCATCGTGCGGGACCGTGTCCTCCATGGGGATGATTTCGCTGTTACACTGAGACGGGAGCTTCAGGAGGGCCCTGAGCGAACTTAGGTTCCCCAGCACCCTCTGGTGGCTGTTTGCGGGAATAGACGAGGGGTAAGGGTGGAAACCAAGCGCAGCGAGGAGGCAACTGCTGTGAGTCCAGGTGGGTGGTTGTGGCGGCTGGACCGGGGTGATGCACCCTGTTTCTCTGCAGGCCCCTGGAAGTGTTTTGTTTGTTTATTTTTTGGTTGTTTTTAGGACACAGGGTCTCGGCCCAGCACAGTGGCTTGCTCCTGTAATGCCAGCACTTTGGGAGGCAGAGGCAGGTGGATCACCTAAGGTCAGAAGTTCGAGACTAGCCTGGCCAAAATGTCGAAATCCGGTCTTTACAAAAAAAAAAAAAAAATTAGCTGGGTGTGGTGGTGTGCGTCTGTGATCCCAGCTACTGGGGAGGCTGAGATGAGAGGATTGCTTGAGCCCAGGAGATGGAGGTTGCAGTGAGCTGAGATTGCACCACTGCTTGCACTTCAGCCTGGGCGATACAGCCAGACCTTGTCTTAGAGAGAGAGAGAGGCAGACAGACAGACAGAGAGAGAGAAGGTCTCACTGGGTCACCCAGGCTGGAGTGCAGTGGTGCAATCACAGCTCACTAAAGCCTCGAACTCCTGGGCTCAAAGGATCCTCCTGGCACAGCCTTCTGAGTAGGTGCATACCACCTCACTTGGCTAATTTTTATTGTTTTATTTTTATTTTTTGTAGAGACAGGGGTCTCACTGGCCTATAGCAGTCCTCCCGCATCAGCCTCCCAAAGTGGTGGGATTACAGGCATGAGCCATGGCAATGGGCCCCCTGGGGTTGTATGTGGGTGGGAAATTGATATCTGGGGTCTCAGAGGGATGGACCATCCCCTTTCCTAGCTCTAGAACTACTCCCTCCACGTGTGAAATAAAGCACTATAGGAAAACAGCTGTTTCTTAAAAAAAAAAAAAATTTTGGCTGGGCGGGGTGGCTCATGCCTGTAATCCCAGCACTTTGGGAGGCCGAGGCAGGCGGATCATGAGGTCAGGAGATCGAGACCATCCTAGCTAACACAGTGAAACCCCGTCTCTACTAAAAATACAAAAAAATTAGCCGGGCGTGGTGACTGGTGCCTGTAGTCCCAGCTACTCAGGAGGCTGAGGCAGGAGAATGGTGTGAACCCGGGAGGCGGAGCTTGCAGTGAGCTGAGATCCCACCACTGCACTCCAGCCTAGGTGACAGAGTGAGACTCCGTCTCAAAAAATAGATAAATAATAAATAAATAGATAATTTTTTTTGAGATGGAGTCTCACTCTGTCGCCCAGGCTGGAGTGCAGTGGCACAATCTTGGCTCACTGCAACATCCGCCTCCTGAGTTCAAGCCATTCTCCTGCCTCAGCCTCCCAAGTAGCTGGAATTACAGGCATGCGCCACCACGCCTGGCTAATTTTTTTGTACTTTTGGTAGAGACAGGGTTTCACCATATTGCCCAGGCTGGTCTTAAACTCCTGGGCTCAAGCGATCCACCCTCCTCGGCCTCCCAAAGTGCTGGGATTACAAGTGTGAGCCACTTCGCCCAGCCTAAATGGCTGTTTCTTAACATCCTTGGATCACAAAACTCTCGGAGAGACTCTCCTGAAAGACCCCTCCTGATTACTCACAAGGACTCGTCCACAATTTCCACGGGCTCCGGGACTCAGTTCTGCAAGGCTGACTGCCTGCAGGCGAGCGGAAGAACAGAACAGCAGTGACCAACCTTTACTAAACAGGGAACCGCATGGGTTAGCATATCTGGTCCTCACAGCAGCCCCAGCGTGGGAACTAATAGGCCCAGCTTGCAGGTGAGGAAACTGAGGCCCCAAAGATGTAGTACATGGCAGACTGGGCTGTGAGCCAACCTGCCTCAATGCATTCATTAGAGAGAGCTGGCTGTGGGGCCAGTGAGCGATGAGTGTATACAATCGCTGAAAATATCCACAACTGGGCTGGGTGCGGTGGCTCATGCCTGTAATCCTAGCACTTTGGGAGGCCAAGGCGGGTGAATTGCCTGAGCTCAGGAGTTCAAGACCAGCCTGGGCAACATGGTGAAACCCCGTCTCTACTAAAAAATACAAAAAATTAGCCAGGCTTGTTGGTAGGCACCTGTGGTCCCAGCTACTGGGGAGGCTGAGGCATGAGAATCGCTTTAACCTGGGAGGCAGAGGTTGCAGGGAGCTGAGATCGCACCACTGCACTCCAGCCTGGGAAAGAGTGTGAGACTCTGTTTCCAAAAAAAAAAAAGAAAAAAGAAAAAAAAATCCACAACTGCAAACCGATGAACGCATCAGTGATTCCTCTGGGTGGCGGGGACCCAGGTCCTGCTGATGACGCTGTGCTTTGCTGCTAACATTTGTGGTTGACAGAAACTCTGAATTTTAGTGAAAACTCCAGCTGTCTTTTTCCCCCCACATCTAAGTTCACAGATCCTCCGGAATTTTTTTTTTTTTTTTTTTTTTTGAGACGGAGTCTCACTCTGTCGCCCAGGCTGGAGTGCAGTGGTGCGATCTCGGCTCACTGCAAGCTCCGCCTGCCGGGTTCACGCCATTCTCCTGCCTCAGCCCCCAGAGTAGCTGGGACTATAGGCGCCCACCACCACGCCCGGCTAATTTTTTTGTATTTTTAGTAGAGACAGGGTTTCACCGTGTTAGCCAGGATGGTCTCAATCTCCTGATCTTGTGATCCGCCCGCCTCGGCCTCCCAAAGTGCTGAGATTACGGGTGTGAGCCACCGCGCCCAGCCGATCCTCCAGAATGTTTTGCAACAGGTTGAGAAGCCCTGGGGTAGAAGTGAAACAAGACTCTCCCATCAGACAACTCTGGCTCAACTCCGAGTTCTTCCACACCTTGGCAGGCCAAACTCTACTTTCTTTTTTTTTGAGACAGGGTCTTCTTCTTTCACCCAGGCTGGAATGCAGTGGCGCGATCACAGCTCACTGCAGCCTCGGCCTCCTAGGCTCCAGTAATCCTCCCACCTCAGCCTCCCGAGTAGCTGGGACCACAGGTGTGCACCACCACACTCGGCTAATTTTTAGATTTTTTTTATCTTGCAGAGATGGGGTCTCACTATGTTGCCCAGGCTGGTCTTGAACTCCTAGCCTCAAGCAATCCCCTGCCCCAGCCTCCCAAAGTGCTGGGATTACAGGCATGAGCCACTGCACCCAGCTCTGAGACTTTACTTCCTTGTATTTCAACTTTCCCATCTGAGACATAGCAATAATAATAATAATAACAATAATAACAGGACTTGCCCTCCTGGGGGAAGGGAGATGATTTAGGTGATGCTTTTGGAACAGGGCCTGTCTCCTAGCAGTAACAACATTAACGTAAGTTATCATTAAGCTCCAGACCTTTTATATATTATATATATAATAGTAATATTATAGTAACATGTTATTGGCTGGGCCTGCTGGTGCATGCCTGTAATCCCAGCTACTCGAGAGGCTGAGGCACGAGAATCGCTTGAGCCCGGGAGGCAGAGGTTGCAGTGAGCCAAGATCGCGCCACTGCACTCCAGCCTGGGTGACAGAGCAAGAGTCTACCTCCAAAAAAAATAGAAAAAATAAATAAAATGTTATAATTATAATAATATAATATATAATATCAGTTTTATTGAGATATAATTCAGAAGCCATGCAATTCACCCATTTAAAGCATACAATTCAGTTGGGCATGGTGGCTCATGCCTATAATCCCAGCACTTTGGGAAGCTGAGGTGGGTAAATCACTTGACGTCAGAAGTTCGAGACCAGCCAGGCCAACATGGTGAAACCCCTTGTCTGCTAAAAACACAAAATTAGGCCGGGCGCAGTGGCTCATGCCTATAATCCCAGCACTTTGGGAGGCCGAGGCGGGCAGATCACGAGGTCAGGAGATCGAGACCATCTTGGCTAACATGGTGAAACCCTGTCTGTACTAAAAATACAAAAAATTAGCCGGGAATGGTGGTGGGCGCCGTAATCCCAGCTACTCGGGAGGCTGGGGCAGGAGAATGGCGTGAACCCGGGAGGCGGAGCTTGCAGTGAGCCGAGATCGTGCCACTGCACTCCAGCCTGTGCGACAGAGCGAGACTCTGACTCAAAAAAACAAAACAAAACAAAATTAGCCAAGTGTGGTGGCATGCACCTGTAATCCCAGCTACTGGGGAGATTGAGGGAGGAGAATAGTTTGAACCCAGGAGGCGGAGGTTGCAGTGAGCTGAGATCGTGCCACTGCACTCCAGCCTGGGCGATAGAGTAAGACTGTCTCAAAAACAAAAACAAAAACCAAAACCCCAAAACTCCTGTTTCTTGGAGATATGATGAGGGTTCGATGAGCTAATACATGCATGCAAAGAGCTCAGAGCGGTGCCTGCACATAGGAATGGCTCAGTCAACATTAGGGATTGTTTCTACAAATGTTTACTGAGCCCCTGCAGGGAGTTGGGCATTGTGCAAAGCCCTCACGGGGCTCATGTTCTCAGGGCAAAGACAGTCCCTTAGGCAGAGAAATGTGGAATATGCAGAGTGGTTGGGAGGGCTGTGGAGAAAAATAGGGCAGTGATAAGAGGTAGAGAGTGGGTTCTACCTTAGCCAGGGTGATCCTGGAGGACTTCTCTGAGGAGGTGACATTTGAGCAGGGACCTGAAGGAGGGGAGAGAGTGAGGCATTCAGATCCCTATGGGGAAAGTACTCCATGGAGAGGAGTCAGCAAGTGCAAAGGCCATGAACTTGGAGGGTTGGGGGTGTGTCTGAGGAATGGTGAGGAGGCCACGGCGGTTGGAGCCGCCTGAGGAAGGGGGACAGGGGAGATGTAGGTGGATCATGCTAGGCTTTGTGGGCCTTGGTGTGGACTTCGGCTTTTACTCTGAGAGAGAGGAGAGCCAGGGAGGGTTGTCAGCTGAGAAGTTTCATCAACTCCCTTAAGTTTTAATATTAATATTATATTTACTTATTTATTTGCGATGGATTCTCACTCTGTCACCCAGGCTGGAGTGCAGTGGCGTGATCTTGGCTCACTGCAACCTCTGCCTCCTGGGTTCCAGTGATTCTGGAACTTGGGAGCCTCAGCCTCCCAAGTAGCTAGGACTACAGGTGCGTGCCTGCATCCAGCTAATTTTTGTTTATTTATTTATTTTTGAGATGGAGTCTTGCTCTGTCCCCAGGCTGGAGTGCAGTGGCGCAATCACTGCAAGCTCCACCTCCCCTGTGTTTAAGTGATTCTCCTGCCTCAGCTTCCCAAATAGCTGGGACTACAGGCGCCCGCCACCACGCCCAGCTAATTTTTTTGTATTTTTAGTAGAGATGGGTTTGCACCATGTTGGCCAGGCTGGTCTTGAACTCCTGACCTCAAGTGATCCACCCGCCTCGGCCTCCCAAAGTGCTGGGATTACAGGCGTGAGCCACCGCGCCCCGTCCTATTATTTTTTTTAGAGGTGAGGTCTCGCTCTGTCACCCAGGCTGGAGTGCAGTGGCACAATCATAGCTCACTGCAGCCTTGACCTCCTGGGTTCAAGCTATCCTCCCACCTCAGCTTTCCAAGTTGCTGGGATCACAGGTGTGCACCCCTGTGCCTGGCTAAATTATTTTATTATTTATTATTATTTTTAATAGACATGGGGTCTCGCTATATTGTCCAGGCTGGTCTTGGACTCCTGGCCTCAAGCAATCTTCCCACCCTGGCCTTCCAAAGTGTTAGGGTTACAGGCGTGAGCCAGGGCGCCCGACCTGTTATTGTTACTATTATTGCTGCTGCTGTTGTGATTCCCGTGTTAAGAAGAGAGACAGACTGGGGAGCAGCCCAACGCTGGAGGTGGAGGCGGAATTCGAACCCCAGGCTGGACGCTGGAGCTCTCGCCCGCCGTGCTAAGGCGTCTTCCCCACTCCCCACAAGGGGGCGCCAGAGGCCGGGCGCCCGGTTTTGAGGGGGGCGCCTCGTCCCGCCCCTCCCTCCTGTCCTCCCTCCCGTCCTCCCCGCTCCGGGCCCCACCCGGCTCAGACGGCTCCGGACGGGACCGCGAGCACAGGCCGCTCCGCGGGCGCTTCGGATCCTCGCGGGACCCCACCCTCTCCCAGCCTGCCCAGCCCGCTGCAGCCGCCAGCGCGCCCCGTCGGTGAGTGCTCCCAGCACCGCAGCTGTCGCCTCCCGACCCCCGCCCAAGCCTGCCCTGGTTCCTCATGCCTGACCCCTGCTCCCTGCCACCCTGTCCCCAGTCTGTAACGGTCTCCCCAGGTGTCCCCCAGTCTTCACCAGTCCCCCCAGTCTGTAACCATGTCCCCCACTCTTCCCACTCCTCCCACTCTTCCTCCCACTCTTCCTCCAGTCTTTCGCAGCCTCTCACACTCCCCCAGTCTCCTCCATCCTCCCCCAACACCCCTCCCTATCCCCTGGGCTAGAAGAGATCCTCTCTGCAGGGTCTCCCTCCACGCCCTCATCCATATCAGCTAACTTGGTCCCTCCAGCCACTCAAGAGCCCCTCTCCTGCCTCACCAGCTCCATCGGCCACCGCTGATAGCATTCTCCCCAGCTCTCTCTCAGGGCCCTCCCTGCCTGGGACACCGCCCAGAGCCCTCTCCCTCTGCCCACATCCCAGATCCTGCCTCTCTTTTCCATTCTTGCCACTCCTTTACGAACTCCTTTTGCTTTTATCTCCCCTACTCCCTGGCCACCCCTTTTAAGTCTCATGATTTTATGGATTTTAGCATATTTGATTTGCAGTTATTTTGATGCTCAAATTGCCCCATGTTTGGCCACTGGGCACCCCTGCAAGCTGGGTCCTCTGTCCCTGTAACATGCCCTATCGGCCTTTGAGCACTTCCTCACCTTCTGACCCAGGCTCACTTGTTCTTCCCTGCCCCCGCCCTGGAATCCACCATTTCTCTAAGGAGTCCCAGGTTCTTTTAGTGGGGAATGGTATTTAGAGACTCCCATCTCACCAAAAGTTGATTCTTTGAAAAGATCAGTAAAATCATAAGCATCAACGGGGAGCAATCGTTTTTGTTTTTCTTTTTTAAAAAAAGCAAATACCCACACCTGTGGCTGATATCGGGAATGAAAGAGGGGACATCACTACAGATCCTACGGTGAATAAAAGGCTAGTAAGGGAAGATAGAGAACACAGTCTGGGTGCTGGAGGTGCTCATTGCTCCTGGGTTGGTCATGGCTAACCTCCCTAACTCAGATCTTTAGACCTATAATAGGATTGCAACCTCTGAGGTCAGGCTGCCTGTGTTTGAGTCCCAGCTTGAGCATTTTCCAGCTAAGTGATCTTGGGTAATTTATTGCTGTCTTCCTGAGCCTCCTTTGCCTTGTTAAAAAAGCAGAGATGAGCCGGCATGGTGGCACACACCTGTAATCCCAACAATTTGGGAGGCTGAGGTGGGTGGATCACCTGAGCTCAGGAGTTCGAGACCACCCAGGGCAACATGGTGAAACCCATCTCTACTAAAAATACAAAAAAAAATTAACTGGGTGTGGTGGTGCATGCCTCTAGTCCCAACTACTTGGGAGGCTGAGGCAGGAGAATCCCTTGAGCCCCAGAGGTGAAGGCTGCAGTGAGCTGAGATTGTATCACTGCACTCCAGCTTGGGCTACAGAGTGAGACTCCATCTCCAAATAAATAAATAAATAAATAAATAAATAAATAAATAAATAAAAAGAAAGAAAAGCAAAGCAAAGCAGGGATGATAATAGACCTACTTTACAGGGTTATAAATGTTAAGTGAGTTAGTACAGTACCTGGCATGCAGTGATCATAAATGTTGCATTATTTTTCTTGTTAACACCCAACAGCCCTCATGACCTGGGTGCACCCAGGCAACCTTCTCAGCTCCATTTCTCACCCCTCCTCTTTGTGCCCCTGTGTCTGGCCACCTACCCAGATGTTTCATGGCTCCCAGTACACCAGGACCTTTCACATCCCCAGACCTTTGCACGCACCGTCCTCTCTGCCTAAATCCCCTTGTCTTGCCTGCTCTTCATGGAGCAGCTCAAAAGTCAACCCTGCCCTGAGTCTTACTGGTGCTGTGGTCTGTTTCTCATGCCCTCCTCTGGATGTCTGGCATGTGTCTGGGTCCTTACTGGGGGCCCTGGGTGGGTAGGGGATGATCTCTGGCTCATTTCTGGGTCCACAGTGCCTGAAGCATGGAGTGAGTGATTTCAGTGAAAAGGTGTCAAATGATGGAAGGGAGAAGGGAGGAAGAAATGAATGAAGCGATTAAGGAATCCGTTTCTTCCAGGCAGCTTCTGCATCCTTCGCCTTGTCCATCTCTTGGTCTTCCACTACCACCATCAATCCCCCTTCTTCAACCATGTCACCATTAATCTTTCTCCTCCTTCAGCTGGTTCGCTACGATCTCCCTATTTTTTTTGAAATGGAGTGTCGCTCTGTCAAGTGCAGTGGCGGGATCTCGGCTCACTGCAACCTCTGCCTCCTGGGTTCAAGTGATTCTCCTGTCTCAGCCTCCCAAGTAGCTGGGACTACAGGTGGCCACCACCAGGCCTGGCTAATTTTTTGTATGTTTAGTAGAGACAGGATTGCACCATATTGGTCAGGCTGGTCTCAAACTCCTGACCTCAGGTGGTCCACCTGCCTCAGCCTCCCGAAGTGCTGGGATTACAGGCATGAGCCACTGTGCCTGGCCTTTTTTTTTTTTTTTTTTTTTGAGATGGGGTCTTACTCTGTAGCCCAGGCTGGAGTGCAGCGGCATGATCATAGCTCACTGCAGCCTGCAGCCTTGAACTCCTGAGCTCAAGCAATCCTCCTGCCTCAGCCTCCCAAAGTGCTAGGACTACAGGCATGCACCACCATGCCCAGCTAATTATTTTTTTTGTAGAGATGGGGGTCTCACTATTTTACCCAGGCTGGTCTTCAACTACTGACCTCAAGCAATCCTCCTACCTCAGCCTCCCAAAATACTAGGATTACAGGTGTGAGCCATCGCGCCTGGCCCAATTCCATTCTTCCTCCTGCCACCTGCCATCCATGCTCTGTGACCACATATTTGTGACCACAAATATCTGTGCTCCTCCTCCTCCTCCACCCATCCTGTCACCCAGACAGTCTACACTCAGACCCCTTTCTTCCTCCTTGGCTGGGCCGCCTATGCTCATGCCCTCTCCCCCTCCCACAGGCAGCTCTCCATCTGCACGTCTCTCCGTGAACCCCGTGAGCGGTGTGCAGCCACCATGTTCAGCTGGCTGAAGCGGGGCGGGGCACGGGGCCAGCAGCCCGAGGCCATCCGCACGGTGACCTCGGCCCTCAAGGAGCTGTACCGCACGAAGCTGCTGCCGCTGGAGGAGCACTACCGCTTTGGGGCCTTCCACTCGCCGGCCCTGGAGGACGCAGACTTCGACGGCAAGCCCATGGTGCTGGTGGCCGGCCAGTACAGCACGGGCAAGACCAGCTTCATCCAGTACCTGCTGGAGCAGGAGGTGCCCGGCTCCCGCGTGGGGCCTGAGCCCACCACCGACTGCTTTGTGGCCGTCATGCACGGGGACACTGAGGGCACCGTGCCCGGCAACGCCCTCGTCGTGGACCCGGACAAGCCCTTCCGCAAACTCAACCCTTTCGGAAACACCTTCCTCAACAGGTGTGCCAGCCGCGAGCCCAGGGCGCATCTTTCTTTTTCTTTTTGTTAAGACAGAGTTTCCGCTCTTTTCGCCCAGGCTGGAGTGCAGTGGTGCGATCTCAGCTCATGGCAACCTCCACCTCCTGGGTTCAAGCAATTCTCCTGCCTCAGCCACCTGAGTAGCTGGGATTACAGACACCCACCACCACGCCAAGCGAGTTTTTGTATTATTAGGTACAGTTGGGGTTTCACCATGTTGGCCTGGCTGGTCTTGAACTCCTGGCCTCAAGTGATCCACCTGCCTCAGCCTCCCAAAGTGTTGGGATTACACGAGTGAGCCACTGCGCCCGGCCCTGGGGGCACGTCTTTCTGTCCCAGGGGTGCATCTTGCTGTCCCCCTTCTCTGTCCCCTCCCTGACTGTGTTTCCCTCCTTCTCAGCCCCAATTCCCTTCTCTCTACCCAGTTCTTCCCATGCCTGTCTCTGCTCTCTTATCCAGGGGAGCACCTAGGCTAGTGAAGTCAGTATGCCTGGTTCAAATCCCGGCCAGCTGGGTGGCCTCAGGCAAATGACTTGACCTCTCTGCCCTTCTTGTAGCCTCATCTGCAAAAATGTGGATCAATCACCTTGGGCCAGGCCCGGTGGCTCACACCTGTAATCCCAGCGCTTTGGGAGGCCAAGGCAGGTAGATCACTTGAGGCCAGGAGTTGGAGACCAGCCTGGCCAACATGGTGAAACCCCGTCTCTACCAAAAACACAAAAAATTAGCTGGGTGTGGTGGTTCGTGCCTGTAATCCCAGCTACTCGGGAGGCTGAGGCAGAAGAATTGCTTAAACCTGGGAGGCGGAGGTTGCAGTAAGCCGAGACCGTGCCACTGCATTCCAGCCTGGGCAACAGAGCGAGACTCTGTCTAAAAAAAAAAAAAAAAAAAAAGGGATCAGGATCACCATGGTCTCTAT
This sequence comes from Homo sapiens, assembly GCF_000001405.40. Lineage (NCBI taxonomy): Eukaryota > Metazoa > Chordata > Mammalia > Primates > Hominidae > Homo > Homo sapiens. The sequence continues at coordinate 47,717,954 of NC_000019.10, forward strand.
GCCATGGTTGCTGTGAGGACTTGGAATAGCACCTGGTGGCCGGGCGCAGTGTCTCACGCCTGTAATCCCAGCACTTTGGGAGGCTGAGGCGGGCAGATCACTTGAGGCCAGAAGTTTGAGACCAGCCTGGCCAACATGGTGAAACCCCGTCTCTACTAAAAATACAAAAATTAGCTGGGTGAGGTGGTGCCCACCTGTAATCCCAGCTACTCGGGAGGCTTAGGCAGGAGAATCACTTGAACTCGGGAGGCGGAGGTTGCAGTGAGCTGAGATAGTGCCATTGCACTCCAGCCTGGGCGACAACAGCAAAACTCTGTCTCAAAAAAAAAAAAAAAAAAAAGAACAGTACCTGGCACAAATTAAGTGCTCACTGAACATGAGCTGTGGCTGGTTATAACTCTGAGATGGTCCTGGTTGCCCTTTTTCTGTCCGGTGTCTTTCTTCGCCCATAAAGGATGCTTTGCCATGCGGTCCCGAGTCCCTCTTCATGTTTTCTTCGTGTTTTCCCTCCTTCTGTCCTTCCCTGTTGACCCCTGACCCTCCCTCTGCCCCCAGGTTCATGTGTGCCCAGCTCCCTAATCAGGTCCTGGAGAGCATCAGCATCATCGACACCCCGGGTATCCTGTCGGGTGCCAAGCAGAGAGTGAGCCGCGGTGAGTGGGGCCAGACCCTGGGGTCTGAGGGAGGAGGGGCTGGGGCCTGGACTCCTGGGTCTGAGGGAGGAGGGACTGGGCCCGGACTCCTGGGTCTGAGGGAGGAGGGGCTGGGGTCTGGACTCCTGGGTCTGAGGGAGGAGGGGCTGGGGTCTGGACTCCTGGATCTGAGGGAGGAGGGGCTGGGCCCAGACTCCTGGGTCTGAGGGAGGAGGGGCTGGGGGCCTGGACTCCTGGGTCTGAGGGAGGAGGGACTGGGGTCTGGACTCCTGGGTCTGAGGGAGGAGGAGCTGGGGCCTGGACTCCTGGGTCTGAGGGAGAGGGGCTGGGCCTGGACTCCTGGGTCTGAGGTAGGAGGGCCTGGGGTCTGGACTCCTGGGTCTAGAGGAGGAGGGGCGGTGTCTCCGCTGGGACTTGGGCCTGTGTCCTCTGGCCCTGGCTGGCGGGGCAGCCGCAGGGAGCTAGTGGAAGCTGTGACTGCTCCATGCTGGCTCGCATTGATGGGTGGGGGAGGTGTGTGGGTGACCACGTGGTGGGAGCGGGCAGGAGCCGCACGTCTGGGCAGGCAGGAAGGATGGGAAGGGAGAGATGAAGAGGGACAGGGATTCCGAGGCAGTGAGACAGCGACGCAGGGAGACACAAGGCCTGGAGATGAGGCAGAGCCTGGGCAGGGGAGGCAGAGCCCGGGCAGGGGAGGCTGGGCCCTGCGAGCTCCTGGCTCTGCGTCTGGGCCACAGATGGGGCCGAGAAGGGGATGGGAAGGGAATCTGGGTGGGGGCCAAGGCCAGGCCTGGAATTTATAAACAGCTGTGCAAGGAGAGTGGCGGGGGGTGGATTCCAGCCGGGGCCTCCGGGCGTGCTGAGCCCTCACCACCCCTGCCCAGCCCAGCTCAGCATCTGTGGTCCCCCAGCCCCACAGATCTGTGTCCCCCACCCCCCATGGCCTTGGAGGCCCAGAACTGGGGCAAAGGAGGCTGCTATGTGGGGCAGAGAGGATGGGAGGCCCTGGCGAGAAGGCTGGGCCTGGGGTGGGGTGGGGACGCTGGGGGTGACCATGTCTCTGGCTGCCGTCCAGAGGCCCCACGGGAGAAAGGCAGGAGGCAGCTGCAGAAACGATTGGGAGGACACGCTGCCAGCTGAGGGGGAGGAATTCCTGGGGCTCCCACCCCAGGGCCTGGACCTGGGACAGCGGGAGGGAGAGGCTCTCTCAGCCAGGGCAGGGGTGCCGGCAGGGGGGTTCAAAGGCCATGGGTGGTGGGGGAGTGGGGAACGGGGTCTCCCTCCCTGGCCTTGAGGATAGAGGAAGAGGAGGAGAGAGTGTCCAGCTGTTGGTGTGTATATGTGTGTGTGTGTGTGTGTGTGTGACTTTGTGTATATCTTGGGAAAGTGTGTCATTATGAGTGTACTCCTGGGTGTGGTGGTTCCACGCATTTGTGTATAGCAGTGGACGTGCCTCATTGTGGCCATGGCTCTGAGGTTGTATGACTTTGAATTGTGTACATGCCTCTGTGTGTGTGTGTGTGTGTGCGCATGTGCCTATAATTGTGGCTGGAAGACTTTGTTTTGTTTGTTTTTGAGACAGAGTCTCACTCTGTCGCCCAGGCTGGAGTGGAGTGGCGCGATCTCGGCTCACTGCAACCTTTGCCTCCCGAGTTCAAGTGGCTCTGCTGCCTCAGCCTCCTGAGTAGCCAGGACTACAGGCGCCCGCCGCACCCATGTCCGGCTAATTTTTGTATTTTTTTTTAGTAGAGACGGGATTTCACCATGTTGGCCAGGCTGGTCTCGAACTCCTGACCTCAGGTGATCCTCCTGCCTTGGCCTCCCAAAGTGCTGGGATTACAGGTGTGAGCCACCATGCCCGGCCTGCTGGATGACTTTGTGTGACTCTGAAGGGCTGTGTAGGGCTATGAGAGACTTTGTGGGATAGTGTGCAACTGATTCTGTCCCTATATACTGTTATATTGTGACGTGTGTGTGTGAGAGAGACAGACATAAAGGGCAACTTTTGTCTATGTGTCTATGTGGATTTAGTGTGTATCATTGTAGGTGTGAGTCTGACATTGTGTGCCTGTGTGTGAGATGGTCTAGGCATATATGTGTATCTGGGCTGTGGGCTGTGTGTGACTTTGTGTGGCTGCATGGGGCGGTCAGGGCTGCGGGGATTTTGTGGGACTGTGTGTGACTACCTGTGATTGTATCTCCGGATACAGTTGTGTGCTTCTGTGTGGTGTTGTGTATGTGAGAATGTGTGTGTGTGCAGGAGTGCATCTTTTGTGTAACTGTGTGTGATTACGTCTGTGTGTGTGCCTTTGGATTTGGGAGGGCATGGGAGGTTATGTGTGTGCGACTGTGTCTGTGTGGGTGTGCATGCATGTGTGCCTCTGTACCTGTGTGTTCGTGCAGGTCTCTGTGTCTATGCCGTGTGTGCATCTCACATTATCTTTGTGATTGTGTGACCACAAACATCTGTGTAGGTCCCAGATTGTGAACACGGGTATGTCTGGGAGCCTGCATCTTGTAGTAATTGGCTATGTTTGTGTCTGGATGTGCTACTGGGGGTGTGTGTGTGTGTGTGTGTGTGTGTGTGTGTATGCGAGCTCATGTGTGTGGCTGCCTCTGCATGTAAGATGTGTGAACACACGCATGTGTGATTGTAGCATAGTAAAGCCCTCAAATCTGGGCTCTGCTACTTTTATTTATTTATGTTATGCTACTTTTTTTTTTTTGAGATGGAGTCTTACTCTGTCTTCCAGGCTGGAGTGCAGTGGTGCGACCTCGGCTCGCTGCAACCTCCGCCTCCTGGGTTCAAGCAATTCTCTGCCTCAGCCTCCGGAGTAGCTGGGATTACAGGCGCCTGCCACCATGCCCGGCTAATTTTTTTGTATTTTTAGTAGAGACGGGGTTTCGCCGTCTTAGCCAGGCAGGTCTTGAACTCCTGACCTCGTGATCCACCCACCTCGGCCTCCCAAAGTGTTGGGATTACAGGCATGAGCCACCGCCCAGCCTATTTTCTGCTGCTTTTAAACTGTGGGACCTTAGGCAAGCCACTTAACCTCTCTTTGCCTCAGTTTTCTTACCTGCAAAATGGGAATAATGGGCTGGGCGCAGTGGTTCACGCCTGTAATCCCAGCAGTTTGAGAGGCCAAGGTGGGCAGATTACCTGAGGTCAGGAGTTCGAGACCAGCCTGGGCAACATGGTGAAACCCTGTCTATACTAAAAATACAAAAATTAGCTGGGTGTGGTGGTGCTTGCCTGTAATCCCACCTACTCGGGAGGCTGAGGCAGAAGAATTGCTTGAACCCAGGAGGTGGAGGTTGCAGTGAGCCGAGCTCATGACACTGCACTCCAGCCTGGGCGATAGAGTGAGACTTGGTCTCAAAAATAAACAAACAGAAAAACAAAACACACACACACACACACACACACACACACACACACACACACACACACTGGGAATAATAATACTAGCGGCCTCATAGTTGTCCTAAAGGTTAAATTAGTTAAAACATACAAAGCACTTAGAAGGTGCACACTTGTGTGTGCACACAGTAGGCGCTATGGAAGTGCCAACAATGCCTGTTTTCGCTGGGTGAGTGCCGTTGTGGGCCCAAGGTTCCTTTTTGCCACGTCTCCCATCCCACACTGACTCAACCTCTCTCCCTTCTTCCCTCCCCGCCCCATGAGACACACTTTCCGAATCTGGGCCAGTATGTGTGTTTGTGGAGACACCGGGAGGGAGGGGGGGCTCCAGTTGCTGTCCCTCCAGTGACTTGGCCCTTCCTCCCCCAAAACAACGGCCCCCAACCCCATCCCGGTCCCTGCGTTGCCCGCAAGGAGGCTGCTTCCTCTCAGGCAGGATGGGTGCAAGCACCAGCTCCCCGGAGGAGCATAGGGGCCCATGGGACTCCTCTTCTGTCGCCTCTTACCTGTGTGTCTTGAGTAAGTCCCCTAACTTCTCTCTCTTTTTTTTTTTTTGAGACGGAGTTTCGCTCTTGTTGCCCAGGCTGGAGTGCAGTGGCAGGACCTTGGCTCACTGCAACCTCCGCCTCCTGGGTTCAAGTGATTCTCCTGCCTCAGCCTCCCGAATAGCTGGGATTACAGGTGCCCACCACCACACCCAGCTAATTTTTTTGTATTTTTAGTGGAGACGGGGTTTCACTATGTTGGTCAGGCTGGTCTCGAACTCCTGACCTCAGGTGATCCACCCGCCTCAGCCTCCCAAAGTGCTGGGATTGCAGGCGTGAGCCACCACGCCTAGCTAGTCCCCTAACTTCTCTGTGCCTCAGTTTCCTCATCTGGAAAATGGGGTCAGAACAGTGCCCACCTCCTGGGGTTGTTGTGAAGAGTCACTGAGTGAGCTCTAGCTGGAGGGCATGAAGTCAGTAAATCAGGGCTAGCTCCTTGTTCTGCCAGTTAACTCTTCGTCCTCCGGGTTCCCACTCTGCCTTCCCTCCTCCTGGAAGTCCTCCTTGACCCCCAGGCTGGGGGTTGGGTCAGGCACTGGCCCTGGGCTCCCACAGCTCCCTGGATCCCCCTGCCCACCCTGGGCTGACCACTCAGGGGCCAGGTCTGTGTCCCCAGTGGGCTGAGAGATGTAAGGACAAAGCTGAAACTGCCTCAGCCTCCACACACACAGCAGGGACCACAGAGGGTGCTTCCCAGTGGGTGACATCACCATGACTTGCTGAGTGCTTACCGTACATCCAGCACTGTTTTTAAAAAAACAGTTTCATTGAGGATTAACGTACACGCCATAAAAACTCAACCATTATGGCCGGGCTCAGTGGCTCATGCCTGTAATCTCAGCACTTTGGGAGGCTGAGGTGGGCGGATAATGAGGTCAAGAGATGGAGACCATCCTGGCCAACATGGTGAAAACCCATCTCTACTAAAAATACAGAAATTAGCTGGGTGTGGTGGCACCTGTAATCCCAGCTACTCGGGAGGCTGAGGCAGGAGAATTGCTTGAACTCGAGAGGCAGAGGTTGCAGTGACCTGAGATCGCGCCACTGCACTCCAACCTGGGCGACAGCGAGACTCCGTCTGAAAAAAAAAAAAAAAAAAAAGCTCAACCATTTTTTTTTTTAAAGAGACAAGGTCTTGCTCTGTCTGCAGGCTGGAGTGCAATGACGCAATCATGGCTCACTGCAGCCTCCAACTGCTGGGCTCAAGTGATCCTCTTGCTTCCTCCTCCTGAGTAGCTGAGACTACAGATGCATGCCAACATGTGTGGATAATTTTTTATTTTATTTTTTTCTGTAGAGACAGGGTCTTGTCATCTTGCCCAGGCTGGTCTCAAACTCCCAGGCTCAAGCGATCCTCCTGCCTCTACCTCCCAAAGTGCTGGGATTACAGGTGTGAGCCACTCTGTCTGGCCACTTCCATCATTTTTAAATGTACAGTTCAATGCCAGGCATTATTTTAAGCTCTTTATATATATTAGCTCATTTATATTCTTTTAATCTTCACAACAGTCTTTTTTTTTTTTTGAGACAGAGTCTCACTCTGTCGCCCAGACTGGAGTGCAGTGATGCTATCTCGGCTCACTGCAACCTCTGCCTCCCAGGCTCAAGCGATTCTCGTGCCTCAGCCTTCTGAATATGTGGGACCATAGGCATGAGCCACCAACACCGGGCTAATTTTTTTGTATTTTTAGGGCTAGGCTGGTCTTGAACTCCTGGCCTCAATTGATCTGCCCACTTCAGCCTCCCAAAGTGCTGGGATTACAGGTTTGAGCCATCACACCTGGCTTCACAACAGTCCTATGATTTGCATTTTACAGAAAAGAAAACACAAGTTCAGAGAGGTTAAGCTACTTGCCTAAGGTCACACAGTGGATGGGGGCAGAGGAGGGACTCAACTCCAGGTCTTCCAGACAGCTAAGTCAGGGGGTCTCAATCGCTTCTCTCTGCTCTCCTCAGCATTGCTTGTTGGTGAATAAATGAGTGAAGAAGCAAAGGTGAGAATGAGTGGATGAAGGAGTGAATGAGGAAATGAATGGTGAAAGGAATGAATGAATGAGCATGGGAACCCATGGCTGGGATGGGTGCTTCATAAGAGCAAGAATCTTGTCTGTGTGTTCTCTGCGGTATCCCAGGCTCCCAGGACAGGGCTTGGCACACATGAGACTCTCAGTAAGTATTGCTAAATAAATGCAAAATATTTAACTTCTCAGCCTGGCCAACATGGTGAAACCCCGTCTCTACTAAAAATACAGAAATTAGCCAGGGTGGTGGTGCATGCCTGTAATCCCAGCTACTCGGGAGGCTGAGGCAGGAGAATTGCTTGAACCTGGGAGGTGGAGGTGGAGGTTGCAGTGAGCCACATTCATGCCACTGCACTCCAGCCTGGGCGACAGAGTGAGACTCTGTCTCAAAAAAAAAAAAAAAAAAAAAAAAAAAAAAAAAAAAAATTATCATCTGCTATGGCAAGAGCACAGCTATCCAGCATGAACTCTAGTTGCTGGATCGTGGGGAGATACAACAGGTCCTGGGGAGGAGCTGGGGTGATAGAGGCATGTGGCAGGCTTGGGGGTTCCATAGAAGCACAGGGGGATCTCTTAGCAAACATGTCAGTATTTTTAACAACCTATATGTACATACCGACGCACACCTGTAATAACTGCTTAATGAATGAGCAAATGAAAAAATGGAGGCCGTGAGGCTGGGCGCGGTGGCCCACGCCTGTAATCCCAACATTTTGGAGGCTGAGGCAGGAGGATCAGTTGAGCTCAGGAGTTTGAGACTAGCCCGGCAGCCCGGGTAACATAGTGAGATCCCATCTCTACTCAAAAAAAAAAAAAAAAAAAAAAATTAGCCAGGTGTGGTGATGCGCGCCTGCAGTCCCAGCTACTAGGGAGGCTGAGGTGGGAGGATCACCTGAGCTCCGGGAAGCAGAGGTTGCAGGGAGGCGTGATCCCGCCATTGTGCTCGAGCAAAGGAAAAGGGGGATGATTGCCCCCTGTAGCCAGATGGCTTGAGGGGCTGGGGCCAGAGCGAGGGGGGAAATTCTGGGCACTGGAGAGCCAGAGCAGTAGTGCCCACTGAGGGCCTTGGCTATTTTGCCCAGACAGGATTTGGACAGCCAACAACGTGAACATCTTTACAGTCCAATATGCAAGAGAATGGGATACTACTGAGAATGGCTGGAGGGTGGGGGTCTGATTTCTGCCCCTTGCGCCCCTGTCTCTCCACTCCCACTCCAGGCTACGACTTCCCGGCCGTGCTGCGCTGGTTCGCGGAGCGCGTGGACCTCATCATCCTGCTCTTTGATGCGCACAAGCTGGAGATCTCGGACGAGTTCTCAGAGGCCATCGGCGCGTTGCGGGGCCATGAGGACAAGATCCGCGTGGTGCTCAACAAGGCCGACATGGTGGAGACGCAGCAGCTGATGCGCGTCTACGGCGCGCTCATGTGGGCGCTGGGCAAGGTGGTGGGCACGCCCGAGGTGCTGCGCGTCTACATCGGCTCCTTCTGGTCCCAGCCCCTCCTCGTGCCCGACAACCGGCGCCTCTTCGAGCTGGAGGAGCAGGACCTCTTCCGCGACATCCAGGGCCTGCCCCGGCACGCAGCCTTGCGCAAGCTCAACGACCTGGTGAAGAGGGCCCGGCTGGTGCGAGTGAGTAGTCCTGAGGGCTGGGCGCGCATTCTTGGAGGAGGTTTCCTCGGTCCTCTCCTACCAGTGCTGTGAGTCCCTGACTTATCAGGGCCCAGGTTAGTTAGTTCTCTTGAAGTTGGGTCATTCTGGCACAGAGTGAAGCCGGGAGGAAGAACTGTATGGAGAGACTCATTCCTCTGCCTTTGGATTTCTGTGTCAACTCCGTGTCACCCTGGCTTCTCTGTCCTGGTATTTCTATTTCTTCTTCCTCTTCCTCCTCCTCCTCCTTCTCTTCTTCTTCTTCCTCTTTTTCTTCTTTCTTCTCTCTTTCCTCCTCCTCCTCTTCTTCTCCCTCCTCCTCCTCCTTCTTCTCTTTCTTCCTCCCCTTCCTCCTTCCTTCCTTCCTTCCTCTGTTCCTCTCTCCCTTCCTCCCTCCTCCCTTCCTCCTTCCTTACATCCTCTTTCGTTCCCTCTTCTTCCTTCTTTTTTAAGAGATGGAGTCTCGCTCTCTTGCCCTGGCTGGAATGCAATGATGCAATCACAGCTCACCACAGCCTTGAACTCCTGGGCTCAAGTGATCCTTCCTCCTTAGCCTGCCCCAAGTAGCTGAGACCACAGGCACGTGTCACCACGCCCAGCTAATTTTTTATTTTTTGTAGAGTCGAGGTCTTACTGTGTTGCCCAGGCTGGTCTTGAACTCCTGCCCTCAAGTGATCCTCCCCTTTTGGCCTCCCAAAGTGCTGGGATTGCAGGCATGAGTATGTTGAATTTTTGAACTTCCTATAAAATATAGACAGACAAATACTCATTATTCTACCCTCTTTATTTTTTGATAATTTATAAGATTGTGGTTCAAAGGTTTCCAAGTTCATTGGTTTATTCCACAAATATTTCTTTTTCTTCTTCTTTTCTTTTTTTGAGACGGAGTTTTGCTCTTATTGCCCAGGCTGGAGTGCAATGGCGTGATCTCGGCTCACCACAACCTCCGCCTCCTGAATTCAAGCGATTCTCCTGCCTCAGCCTCCCGAGTAGCTGGGATTACAGGCATTCACCACCATGCCCGGCTAATTGTGTATTTTTAGTAGAGTATTTTTAGTTGGTCAGGCTGGTCTTGAACTCTCAACCTCAGGTGATCCGCTCTCCTTGGCCTCCCAAAGTGCTGGGATTATAGGCGTGAGCCACCGCGCCAGGCCCACAAGTATTTCTGGAATGCTTTCTGTACACATGGTGCTGGGGCTGGGGATGGAGGGAACAGACAAGGTTCCAGCCCTCCTGGGGCTCATCTTTTTTTAAATTTAATTAATTAATTTATTTATAAGCTAGTCAAATTTAGCAGTGGGGGTGGGGAGTTGCATGCCAACTTTACTGACACTAATAAGTTCTGATAACCAAGGCCAGGTGCGGTGGCTCACGCCTGTAATCCCAACACTTTTGGAGGATTGCTTGAGCCCAGGCATTGAAGACCAGCTTGGGCAACATAGTGAGACACCATTTCTATTAAAAAAAAAAAAAAAAGTTCTGATAACCCACTACCATTGGACCAGCCCCGGGGCTTATCTTTTGATGGAGGGAGACAGAATAAGTAAACAGACATAAAATAACAATGAAGGCTGGGTGCGGTGGCTCACGCCTGTAATCCCAACACTTTGGGAGGCCGAGGGGGGAGCAGATCACTTGAGGTCAGGAGTTCGAGACCAGCCTGGTCAAGATGGTGAAACTGCGTCTCTACTAAAAATACAAAAATTAGCCAGGTGTGGTGGCGGGCACCTGTAATCCCAGCTACTTGGGAGGCTGAGGCATGAGAATCACTTGAACCCGGGAGGCAGAGGTTGCAGTGAGCTGAGATTGTACCACTGCACTCCAGCCTAGGCGACAGAACGAGACTCTGTCTCAAAATAAAAAAAAAAAAAAAGATGAATTTATTACATCTTAGGCGCTTCACAGCACCCGTCTCCCATGACTCTTGTTTGATTGTGGCCACAGATTGTCCCCTTCTCTCACTCCTTTCCTCTGTCCTCATCTCCCATTCCCTTCCCAGCGTCCCCTGCACTTCACGCTGGTGGCCTCAGTCCTGTGCACTTGCTGCTCCCTCTTCCTGGAAACCTCTTCTGCCTTCTTCCCCCTCCCACCTGGCCATCCACAAGGCTCACTCCCTCCTCACCCCTTTCAAGACTCTGCTCAAATGCTCCCTTCTCAGGAAGGCTGTCCATGCCCTCCTTTGAATGAATATAACTTCCCCCATATGCGTCCTTCTTTACCCTAACCCTGTTGTCCTTTCCTTTCCTTTCTTCTCCTCTCCTCTCCTTTCTCTCTTTCTCTGTTTCTCTTTCTCTCTTTCTTTCTCTTTCTCTTTCTTTTTCTTTCTTTCTTTTTTTTTTTTTTTGAGACAGGGTCTCCCTCTGTTGCCCAGGCTGGAGTGCAGTGGTGCGATATCAGCTCACTGCAACCTCCACCTCCCGGGTTCAAGCGATTCTCCTGCCTCAGCCTCCTGAGTAGCTGGGGTTACAGGCGTGTGCCACCACACCCAGCTAATTTTTTGTATTTTTAGTGGAGACGGGGTTTCACCATATTGGTCAGGCTGGTCTCGAACTCCCGACCTCAGGTGATCCGCCCGCCTTGGCCTCCCAAAGTGCTGGGATTACAGGCGTAAGCCACCACACCCAGCCAATCAGGGCTCTTTGAATTCCTTCACTGATTTATCCCCAGTGCCCGGAACAGAATTGGTGCTCTGTAAATATTTATTGAATGAATGACATTGAACAAACAGTTGCATTGAACAAAATCTCCTCTATGCCTGGCCTGGTGTTGGGTGGTGCAGGAGACACAACAGTGACCACGATGGTTCCAGTCCTGTCCTGCTGGGGCTCCCAGTCCTAAATAATGAAGGCAGTTCCAGGGCTCAGTCCTCACTGGGGCTCCTGGAGAGGAGACAGATCCATCCCCAGGCACCGATGACCCAGTGTGGTCAGAGCTGGGGCGGGGTAGCTGGGGCAGGCAGAGAGGGCTTCTTTGGAGGAGAGGGCATCTGAGGGGAAATGTCAGTGTTGAACCCAGTGTAGACAGTGTGCTAACTCAATTAGAGGCTGAGGATGTGGCTGAGATCAGAGGTGGTGTGGGCTGTGTCCGGGAATCTGTGCTTTGTCCCTAGGGCACTGGGGAGCCATGAAAAAGTTCGGAGCAGGGAAAGGAGATAATTAGACTCAAGCTACCTTTTGGAGGGTGGATTCAAGGCAGGAGAGTCTAGGAGCCTGGAGACCAGGCAAAAGGCTTGGAGGTTCCTGGATCAGGACAGGCCTTGGGGAGGGAGAGGAGAAAGGAGAGCGCGGGTTTCAGAGCGATTTTGGATGTCAGATGGAACTTTCTCAGGGGGAGGCTGCCAGGGTGGAGGCGGGGCAGGAAGCTGGGCAGGCAGGGAGGCCAAGAAGGTTCTAGGGGGTGGAGGAGCCTGAGGTGTTGGTTTAAGGAGCAGCGAGAGTGGGTGAGTCAGAGCCCCCACCCCCACCCCAGGAATCCTCCTTCGGAGGGAGCGGCCCACTGTGGACCAGGCTGCCACTCCTGGAACCTTCGGAATTCACCTTGCGCTCCTCTGCCCAGGCGGCTCTGCAGTGTCTCTCTCTCTCTTTTTCTGTCTCTATGTCAGTCTCCTTTCTACCTCTCTCTCAGTCTCTTTCTTCTCCATTTTTACTTTTTCTTTTATTCTAACTCCCTTTCCTTTTCTTTCTCGCTCTGCCTCCTCCTGTCTCTCCATCTCTCCCCCGCTCCGCCGCCGCCCTCTCTCTGTCTTCCTCCTGGTCTTGCTTAGACTCCCCCAGGTTCGTTCCCGCGGGTCCCTTGGCGGGAGCTGGAGCACAAGGCCCAGGGACAGAGGGGTGGGTCCGGGCCAGACACCTGGTGCCCCCGCCGGGCTGGGGGCGGCTCCGGAAACCCAGACAAACCCCGGAGTCAGGGACCCAGCCCCGGCCCAGCCCGCCCTCTCACCTTATCTCTTCCTGGCACCTTCCCCTGCTTCCTCTCTGGAAAAGCCATCAGCGCCCTCCCGCCTACCCTCCTTTGGTCCCTACGGAGCCGCCCTTCGGCCCTGCCCCCTGGCTCCATTGGCCCGCTCTCACAGGCCCCGCCCCCAGCCCGGCCACACCCCTGCCCTGATTGGTCCTTCAGACCATTAGGCACTCCCTCCCCCTCTTCCTGCAGGTTCATCCATGGCTCCCCAGTGCCGTTCAGGACACAGGAGCATGGGATTTAGGGTCCGCTGTGACCAAGGCTCACTGCCCCTCCTTTGCCCCGTGTCGCACCCCCACCCCTGCTCCTCACATATGAGTCCGCCACACTTGGTCGTCACCAACAATAGCCATACTGTTAACCTCCCCTCATGCTCTCCTCCAAAGATACCAGGCCTTCCTGGACTCTCTGGGAGGAGGCATTCACCCTCCTCCCAGTGCCTCAGTTTCCCATCTGTACGATGGAGGGTGTGGACGAATCCTCTGGCTCTAAGTCCTTTGGCTGAAGTGATAGCTGTTAGAAGGGGAGATTTTATGATGCTGTGATACGTAAGGCCAAGATCTTGGGAGGGTCTGATTCTATAGACGCCAAGATGCCCTGAACCTTCAGACCACATTCTCTGCAGTGGCCCAGTGACATTCATTCAGCAGTTGCCGATCGCATGTGGTACTCCTCTAGGCTCTGGGGATACAGCAGGGAACACAGATAAATTCCTTTTCTCATAGAATTACTTTTTAGTGGGGAAGCAAACATTAAACAAATCAATGGTTATGAAGAAAAATGAAGCGGAGGAAAGAGGGGCTGGCGAGGGACTATTTTAGAGCGCTCTGAAGGAGAGGAAGGGGTAAGAGGAAGGGGTGAGCCGAGTGGCGATCGGGTGGAAGAGCAGTCCATGCAGTGAGAACAGCATGTGCAAAGGCCCTGGGGCAGCCATGCACTTGATGTGTTTGAACTGAGAGCCTAACGGGGCTGGAGACAGGGTGGTGGTGGAAGGTGGAAGAGATGAAGATTTAGAACCAGTCAGGGACCACCAACGTTCTCAGCAGTCTAAATTTGTGATTCTTTAAAAAAAAAAAAATATATATATATATATATATATACATATATATATAATTTTTTTTTTTTTAGATGGAGTCTCTCTCTATCACCCAGGCTGGAGAGCAGTGGCATGATCTCGGCTCACTGCAACCTCTGCCTCCCAGGTTAAAGTGATTCTTGTGCCTCAGCTTTCCGAGTAGCTGGGACTCCAGGCAGGTGCCACCACACCTGGCTAATTTTTGTATTTTTAGTAGAGATGGGTTCTCACCATGTTGGCCAGGCTGGTCTCGAACTCCTGACCTCAGGTGATCCGCTGGCCTCGGCCTCCCGAAGTGTTGGGATTACAGGCATGAGCCACTGTGCCTGGCCTAAAAGAATTTTTTAACTAGTCTTTTTTATTGAACATTTAAGACCATCTCATGGAAAGGCATTCATACTTTATCAGACATGATTCTCCCACACCTCACCCCACCAGCTCCCAGGGCCTCTTTTCTAGAGGCAACCCCCATAAGTAGTTTCTTGTGTGTCTTTCCAGATATACTGCATTTTTTTTTTTTTTTTTTTTGAGACGGAGTCTCGCTCTGTCGCCTAGGCTGGAGTGCAGTGGCATGATCTCGGCTCACTGCAAGCTCCGCCTCCCGGGTTCACGCCATTCTCCTGCCTCAGCCTCCCGAGTAGCTGGGACTACAGGTGCCTGCCACCACGCCTGGCTAATTTTTTGTATTTTTAGTAGAGGCGGGGTTTCACTGTGTTAGCCAGGATGGTCTCGATCTCCTGACCTCATGATCCGCCTGCCTCTGCCTCCCAAAGTGCTGGGATTACAGGCGTGATATACTGTAATCACGCCCGGCCAATATACTGCATTTTGTAAAAGCATTTATTTATTATTATTTTGTTTTGAGACTGAGTCTCACTCTGTCGCCCAGGCTGGTGCAATGGCACGGTCTCAGCTCACTGCAACCTCCACCTCCCAGGTTCAAGTGATTCTCCTGCCTCAGCTTCCCATGTAGCTTGGATTATAGGTGGGCACCATCAGCCCGGCTAATTTTTGTATTTTTAGTAGAGATAGCATTTCACCATGTTGTCCAGGCTGGTCTCTAACTCCTGACCTCAGGTGATCGACCCGCTTCAGCCTCCCAAAGTGCTGGGATTACAGGCGTGAGCCACCGCGCCTGGCCTATTTATTCATTTTTTTAGAGACAAAGGCTCGCTGTGTCGCCCAGACTGGAGTGCAGTGGCGACATCATAGCTCACTTCAGTCTCAAACCTCTGGGCTCAAGTGATCCTCCCTCCTCAGCCCCGGCAATTCACTGGGACTATAGGCGCGCGCCAGTACACCCAACTAGTTTTAAAATTTTTTTTTAGAGACCAAGTCTTGCTATGTTGCCCAGGCTGGTCTCGAACTTCTGGCCTCAAGTGATCCTCCCCCCTTGGCTTCCCAAAGTGCTGGGATTATAGGCATGAGCAATATTTAATTTGTGAGCTTCCTATAAAATATAGACATACCAATATTCATTATTCTGCTCTCCTTGTTTATTTTTCGATAATTTATAAGATTGTGGACCAGGTGTGGTGGCTCACACCTGTAATCCCAGCACTTTGGGGGACCAATGTGGGCGGATCATCTGAGATCAGGAGTTCAAGACCAGCCTGACCAACATGGAGAAATCCCATCTCTACTAAAAATATAAAATTAGCTGGGCATGGTGGTGCATGCCTGTGATCCCAGCTACTCAGGAGGCTGAGGCAGGAGAATCGCTTGAACCCAGGAGGCAGAGGTTGCAGTGAGACAAGATCGCACCACTGCACTCCAGCCTGGGCAACAGAGTGAAACCCCATCTCAAAAAAAAAATAAAAAATAAAAAATAAAAAGATTGTGTTTCAAAGGTTCTCAAGTTCATTGGTTTATTCCACAAATATTTCCTGAGTGTTTTCTGTACAGATTGTACTGGTGCTGGAGATGGAGGGAACAGACAAGTTTCCAGCCCTTCTGGGGCTCCTTTTTTTTTTTTTGAGACAGTGTCTTGCTCTGTCACCCAGGCTGGAGTGCAGTGGTATGATCATGGCTCACTGTAGCCTTGACCTCCCCGGCTTCAGTGATCCTCCCATCTCAGCCTCTTGAGAAGAGAAGATTAATAAATCAAGACATTAGGCCAGGCGCGGTGGTTCATGCCTATAATCTCAGCACTTTGGAAGACTGAGGCGGGCGGATCACAAGGTCAAGAGATCGAGACCATCCTGGCCAACATGGTGGAACCCAGTCTCTACTAAAAATACAAAAATTATCATGGTGGCGGGCGCCTGTAGTCCCAGCTACTTGGGAGGCTGAGGCAGGAGAATGGCGTGAACCCGGGAGGTGGAGCTTGCAGTGAGCCGAGATTGAGCCACTGCACTCCAGCCTGGGCGGCAGAGTGAGACTCTGTCTCAAAAAATAAATAAATAAATAAATAAATAAAGTCATTATTTGCACCACTGCACTCCAGTCTGGGTGACAGAGCAAGACTCTGTCTCAAAAAAAAAAAAAAAAAAAAAAAATCCACTGTCCATTTGGGAGAAAAAAAGAGTGAAGAAAGCAAAAAGCGAATAACGTCTTAGTATTGTTCTTAAAATAATTTTGACCACAGGAACCCCCGAAAGGATCTTGAGGACCCCTGGGTTTCCCTGGACCACACTTCGTGAATTGCTGCTGTAGGGCTTTGTCGGCTTCGGTAGAAATTTTGAACTTCAATAAGCAAATAGAGAGTTATGAGCAGCATCCCCTGGGCTCATGTTCCTTCCTGAAAAATGCCCTCTTGGGCCACTGCTGCATGGAGCAAGGGTTATTGGGGCAGGATGGGGAGCTGGGAGACCTGTCGGGCCACCTTGGGTGTCTCCCCAGGCAAGAGAGGATGACGCTCGAATGGACATGGTGGCCACTGAGGTGGAGAGAAATGAGAAGCAGGGGAGAGGCTGGGCGTAGTAGCGGGTGCCTGTAGTCCCAGCTACTCAGGAGGCTGAGGTGGGAGGATGGATTGAGCTGGGAAGGTGGAGGTTGCACTGAGCCGAGATTGTGCCACTGCACTCCAGCCTGGGGGACAGAGCCAGACCCTGTCTAAAAAAAGCAAAAAAGAAAAGGAAAGTAGGGGAGAGAGGGAGAGACATAGGAGGAGGCAAAAGGGACTCATTGATAGGTTGGATGTGGCTACTTAACAGGAGGAAGAATCAAATATCAAATCAATAATGATTTCAAGAGCTGGGTACCGTGGCTCCCGCCTGTAATCCAGCACTTTGGGAGGCTGAGGCAGGCAGATCATTTGAGGTCAGGAGTTTGAGACCAGCCTGGCCAACATGGTGAAAACCCCTCTCTACTAAAAATACAAAAATTAGTGGTGGCGGGCACCTGTAATCCCAGCTACTCGAGAGGTAGAGGCAGGAGGATTGCTTGAACCCAGGAAGTGGAGGTTGCAGTGAGCCAAGATCATGCCATTGCACTCCACCCTGGGCAACAGAGTGAGACTCCCTTTCAAAAAGAAAAAAAAAGTGATTTCTAGAGCCGGACGGGGTGGCTCCCGCCTGTCATCCCAGCACTTTGGGAGGCCGAGGCGGGTGGATCTCTTGAGGTCAGGGGTTCGAGACCAGTCTGGCCAACATGGTGAAAGCCAGTCTCTACTAAACATACAAAAATTGACCAGGCATGGTGGCACGTGCCTGTAATCCCAGCTACTCGGGAGGCCAGGGCAGGAGGATTGCTTGAACCCGGAGGTGGAGGTTGCAGTGAGACAAGGTTGCGCCACTGTCCTCCAGCCTGGGTGACAGAGTGAGTGAGACTCCGTCTCAAAATAAATAAATAAATAAAAATAAAATTTCTAGATTTCTGGCCTCAACTGGGAAGGCAGGGCTGGGGATGCCCTTTTCAGAGATGGGCACAGCTGAGGGCGACACAGCTCTGAGGGCTAGGCTCAAATTCCACTTAGGGCATCCTGGTATGGAGCTATCCAGGAATGTTGACAGGGCAATTAGCTCTGAGTCCTGAGCTGGAGGGAGAGGCTTAGGCTGGTATGCAGATTCGGGAGTGGACCTCTTGGAGGGGTGTTTAAAACTGGGAGGGACTCAGCTCACTTAGTTAGCAGAGAGGAGGAGCCCAGGGTGAGCCCCAGCAGGAGGAGGCCATGAGGCTCACAGTGTGGCACCTCCGCCTGCAGCACCTGTAACTTGTCAGAAATGCAAATTCCCATCTGGGCAGTGGCTCTTGCCTGTAATCCCAGCTACTTGAGAGGCTGAGGCGGGAGGATCCCTTGAGCCCAGGAATTTGAGGCTGCAGTAAGTTATGATCGCACCACTGCACTCCTGGCTGGGTGATAGAGCGAGACCCTGTCTCCAAAAAAAAAAGAAAAAAAAGCAGGCCAGGCGCGGTGGCTCATGCCTGTAATCCCAGCACTTTGGGAGGCCACGGCGGGTGGATCACCTGAGATTAGGAGTTCAAGACCAGCCTGGCCAACATGGAGAAACCCCGTTTCTATTAAAAATACAAAAAAATTAGCCGGGTGTGGTGGCGCATGCCTGTTAATCCCAACTACTTGGGAGGCTGAGGCAGAAGAATTGCTTGAACCCAGGAGTTGGAGGTTGCAGCGAGCTGATTGCACCACTGCACTCCAGCCTGGGCAACAGAGCGAGACTCTGTCTCGAAAAAAAAAAAGACTGGGCACGGTGGCTCACACCTGTAATCCCAGCACTTTGGGAGGCCAAGGTGGGCAGATCACGAGGTCAGGAGTTTGAGACCAGCCTGACCAGCATGGTGAAACCCCATCTTTACTAAAAATACAAAAATTAGCTGGGCATAGTGGCGCATGCCTGTAATCCCAGCTACTCAGGAGCCTGAGACAGGAGAATTGCTTGAAGCCGGGAGGCGGAGGTTGCAGTGAGCCGAGATTGTGCTACTGCACTCCAGCCTCGGTGACAGAGCGAGACTCCGTCTCAAAGAAAAAAAAAGAGAGAGAGAGAGAGAAAAAGAAATAAAAGAAATACAAATTCTCATGCCCCAGCCCAGACCAAGTAAATCAGAATCTCTGGGAGTGGGGCCTGCAGCCTGTGTTTTAACAAGCTCCCTGGTGGACCCTGATGCAGGCTGAGGTGAGAACCCTTCCCACAGGTTCACGCTTACATCATCAGCTACCTGAAGAAGGAGATGCCCTCTGTGTTTGGGAAGGAGAACAAGAAGAAGCAGCTGATCCTCAAACTGCCCGTCATCTTTGCGAAGATTCAGCTGGAACATCACATCTCCCCTGGGGACTTTCCTGATTGCCAGAAAATGCAGGTGGGAAGCTGCCCAGGAGGGAATGTTGGGGGTGGGTGATGGGAAGGTTGGTTTCTGGAAGCTCTGAGATGGGACCTCAAAAGCCAGAGGGATGGATGGCAGGTTCTGGAAAGCGCCTCCCTCAAATAGTTCCGTGGGAGCATGGTTTTATGAGTCAGGCTAGGGGAGTGAAGAGAAAACCCAAAATAACAGTGGCTAAATTAAGATAGAGAGTTTTTCTTTCTTTCCTCCATAAAAAGTCCCAGAAAGTGATCCAGGACTGGTTTGGTGCTTTACAGAGCCAGGGATCTAGTCCCCTTCTGTCTTATTTCTCTTCCATGCCTGGCCTCCAGGCCCAAGGAACTTCATGGTACAAAAGGGCTGTGAAGGCTCCAGCCATTGTGTCTGCGTTCCAGCCAGCAAGAAGTTGGGAAGGGGGCCAGGCATGGTGGCTCACGCCTGTAATCCCAGCACTTTGGGAGGCCGAGGCGGGCGGATCACGAGGTCAGCAGATCAAGACCATCCTGGCTAACACGGTGAAACCCCGTCTCTACTAAAAATACAAAAAATTAGCTGGGTGTGGTGGTGGGCGCCTGTAGTCCCAGCTACTCGGGAGGCTGAGGCAGGAGAATGGTGTGAACCCGGGAGGCGGAGCTTGCACTGAGCCAAGATAGCGCCACTTTACTCCGGCCTAGGCAAAAAGAGCGAGACTCCGTCTCAAAAAAAAAAAAAAAAAGAAAAGGAAGTTGGGAAGGGGAAGAAAAGAGTAGTCTCTTTAAGAACACTGTTTATTTTATTTTCATTTATTTATTTGAGACTTAAATATTTATATTTGTAAAATATAAATATTTAAAATATACACAGCTGGGTGCAGTGGCTCATGCCTGTAATCCCAGCACTGTGGGAGGCCAAGGCGGGTGGATCACCTGAGGTCAGGAGTTCGAGACCAGCCTGGCCAACATGGTGAAACCCCGTCTGTACTAAAAATACAAAAATTAGCTGGGCATGGTGTTGCGTGCCTGTAGTCCCAGCTACTGGGGAGGCCGAGGCAGGAGAATCCCTTGAACCCGGGAGGCAGAGGTTGCAGTGAGCTGAGATCACACCACTGCAATCCAGCCTGTGTGACCGAGTAAGATTCTGTCTCAATAAATAAATAAATAAAATAAAATATATACGTTTAAAAATTTATTTATATATTTTTTAGAGATTTATTTATATATTTTTCAGAGACTCTGTTGTCCAGGCTGGAGTGCAATGGGGTGATCATAGCTCACTGTGTACTTGAACTCCTGGGCTCAAAGGTCCTTCTGCCTAGCCTCTAGAGTAGCTGGGACTACAGGCACATGCCACCATGCCTGGCTAGCTTTTTTTTTTTTTTTTTTTTTTGAGACAGAGTCTCACTCTGTCACCCAGACCGAACTGCAGAGGCGTGATCTTGGCTCACTGCAACCTCTGCCTCCTGGGTTCAAGCAGTTATCTCACCTCAGCCTCCCAAGTAGCTGGGCCTGCAGGCATGTGCCACCACGTACAGATAATTTTTCATACTTTTAGTAGAGATGGGGTTTTGTCATGTTGGCCAGGCTGGTCTCGAACTCCTGGCCTCAAGTGATCCTCCTGCCTTGGCCTCCCAAAGTGCTGGGATTATAGGCAGGAGCCACCATGCCTGACCAAGAACACTTTCTAGAACAGAGCTGTCCAGCAGTACGTTCTACAATGATGGAAATGTTTCATTCTGCACTGTCCAGTATGGTAGCCACTAGCCACATTCAAATGGAATGTTAACGTGTATTTCTTTTTTCTTTTTTTTTGAGATGGAGTCTTGCTCTGTTGCCCAGGTTGGAATGCAGTGGCAAGATCTTGACTCACTACAACCTCTGCCTCCCGGGTTCAAGCAATTATCCTGCCTCAGCCTCCCAAGTAGCTGAGATTACAGGCATCCGCCACCACGCCCAGCTAATTTTGTATTTTTGGTAGAGATGGGGTTTCACCATGTTGTCCAGGCTGGTCTCAAACTCCTGACTTCAGGTGATCCTCCTGCCTTAGCCTCCCAAAGTGCTGGGATTGCAGGCATGAGCCACTGCGCCCGGCCTGTATTTCATTTTAATTAATGTAAATAAGCACATGTGGCTAGTGGCTGCCATACTGGACAGGCTAACAGTAGAAGCTGCACATGCAACCTGTGCTTGCCTCAGTGGACTTGAACTTAGTCATACTCTGGCTGCCAGGGAATCCAGGTTGCAACCTAGGATCCCCAACCCTTCAGAGTCGTGATCAGCTGGCCTCTCTGCCTTGGCTCAGGAAATTCACATAGGGCTGTGAAAGGAATCCATTTTCGCAGAGACTGTCCTGGTGCAGTCTGGGCCACTTAGAGTAGCCCGTGTGAGAAGCAGTGTGACGCCAAGTCCACCCCTACACCCCAAAGTGACTTCTTCGGTGGGGAGGGGGTGGTCCCAGGAACCCCTGATGATCTGATCATCTCAAATCTCACCTCCAAATTTGGCAGCCAGCCACTCAGTCCTTTCTGTGTGGTGTGGTAGCACTGTGACAGGAATTAAGCTTTCTTAACTTTCTTTTTTCTCTCCCCCCCTGCACACTTTTTTGTTTTGAGACAGGGTCTTGCTCTGTCACCCAGGCTGGAGTACAGTGTGGTGCTATCTTCGCTCACTGCAACCTCTGTCTCCTGGGGTTCAAGAGATTCTGTCTCAGCCTCCCAAAGTAGTTGGGACTGCAGGCGTGCACCACCACACCTGGCTAATTTTTAATTTTTTTTTTTTTTTTTTTTTTTTTTTAAGAAATAGGGTTTTGAGGCCAGGTGCAGTGGCTCATGCCTGTAATCCCAGCACTTTGGGAGGCCGAGGTGGGCAGATTGCCTGAGGTCAGGAGTTCGAGACCAGCCTGGCCAACATGGCGAAACCCCATCTCTACTAAAAATATGAAAATCAGCTGGGCATGGTGGTAGGCGCCTGTAATCCCAGCTACTTGGGAGTCTGAGCCAGGAGAATCGCTTGAACCCATGAGACGGAGGTTGCGGTGAGCTGAGATCGCGCCATTGCACTCCAGCCTGGGTGACAGAGCGAAACTCGTCAAAAAAAAAAAAAAAAAAAGGAAAGAAAAGAAAAGAAATAGGGTTTTGCCATGTTGTCCAGGCTGGTCTTGCACTCCTGGGCTCAAGTGATTCTCCCACCTCAGCCTCCCAAAGTGCTGGGATTACAAGTGTGAGCCACCCAAGCCTGCTGAGTTTTTTTTTTTTTAACTTTTAATGTTGTACGTGCTGGCTGGGCAGCTGGAGTTGGGTAGAGGGCGGTTAGGGTTCTAGGCTGGTGTGGATGCTCTGAGAAAGCTATACTTGATGCGAAAATATTGAAATCCTTCTCTGCTAGCTGGCAAAGGGCCGCTGCTCTCACTCATCAGAGGGGCCCCAGCCTCCCCACCCTCCAGTAATTCTGGGGCACAGGAGAAAGCCTCTGGGACCTTGTTGCCCAAGTATCTTCTCATTGGTGGGTGCCCGAGCGGAACAGGTTGTTCAGATGTTCAAATACTTCTGCATGTGTCAGTAAAGAGCTGCCACTCTGGCTGGGTACAGTGGCTCACACCTGCAATCCCAGCACTTTAGGAGGTTGCGGTGGGAGGATGGCTTGAGCTCAGGAGTTCGAGACCAGCCTGGGCAACATAGCAAGACTTGGTCTCTACAAAAAATTTTTAAAACTAGTTGGGCGTAGTGGCGCACACCTATAGTCCCAGCGAATTGCGGGGGCTGAGGAGGGAGGATCACAAAAATTTAGCTGGGTGGGTGGTGTGTGCCTGTGGTCCCAGCTACTTGGGAGACTGAGGCCAGAGGATCGTTTGAGGCTGGGAGTTGGAAGCTGCAGTGAGCTATGTTGGCACCACTGCACTCTAGCCTAAGTGACAGAGCGAGACCCTGTCAAAAAAAAACAAAACAAAACAAAACAAAAATGGCTGGGCGCGGTGGCTCATGCCTGTAATCCCAGCATTGGGAGGCTGAGGCGGGCGAATCATGAGGTCAGGAGTTCGAGACCAGCCTGGCCAACATGGTGAAACGCTGTCTCTATTAAAATTACAAAAATTAGCTGGGCATGGTGGCGCATGCCTGTAATCCCAGCTACTTGGGAGGCTGAGGCAGGAGAATCGCTTGAAACCGGAAGGCGGACGTTGCAGTGAGCCGAGATTGTGCCATTTGCACTCCAGCCTGGGCAACAAGAGCAAGACTCTGTCTCAAAACAAACAACAGTAAAAAAACCCCACAACAGCTACCCCCGAGCTTCTCCAGTGTCCTGATACCACCTTGCAGCCTGAGGGCCTCAGGGATGGCGCCGCTTGAATTCTGGGTGCCCCTGTCCCCCACCACAGGAGCTGCTGATGGCGCACGACTTCACCAAGTTTCACTCGCTGAAGCCGAAGCTGCTAGAGGCACTGGACGAGATGCTGACGCACGACATCGCCAAGCTCATGCCCCTGCTGCGGCAGGAGGAGCTGGAGAGCACCGAGGTGGGCGTGCAGGGGGGCGCTTTTGAGGGCACCCACATGGGCCCGTTTGTGGAGCGGGGACCTGACGAGGCCATGGAGGACGGCGAGGAGGGCTCGGACGACGAGGCCGAGTGGGTGGTGACCAAGGACAAGTCCAAATACGACGAGATCTTCTACAACCTGGCGCCTGCCGACGGCAAGCTGAGCGGCTCCAAGGCCAAGACCTGGATGGTGGGGACCAAGCTCCCCAACTCAGTGCTGGGGCGCATCTGGAAGCTCAGCGATGTGGACCGCGACGGCATGCTGGATGATGAGGAGTTCGCGCTGGCCAGCCACCTCATCGAGGCCAAGCTGGAAGGCCACGGGCTGCCCGCCAACCTGCCCCGTCGCCTGGTGCCACCCTCCAAGCGACGCCACAAGGGCTCCGCCGAGTGAGCCGGCCCCCCTCCCATGGCCCTGCTGTGGCTCCCCAGCTCCAGTCGGCTGCACGCACACCCCTGCTCCGGCTCACACACGCCCTGCCTGCCCTCCCTGCCCAGCTGTAAGGACCGGGGGTCTCCCTCCTCACTACCGCCAGACACCCCGGTGGAAGCATTTAGAGGGGACCACGGGAGGGACAAGGCTTCTCTGTCCGCCCTTCACACCTCCAGCCTCACGTTCACTTAGGCACATCACACACACACTGGCACACGCAGGCATCCATCCATCCGTCATTCATTCAAATATTTATTGAGCACCTACTATGTGCCCAGCCCTGTTCTAGGCACTGGGCATTACCATAGAGAACAAAATAGACAAATACATCTGCCCTCATGGAAGGTGACGTTCCCAGGAGAGGGCACCTACACAGTCACGCAAACACACACTAATTCCTGGCAGGGCCCCCAGCCCCTCCCCTGGCTGAGCAGCCCTGTGGCTGAAATGACTAGCAGATAAACAGACCCCCTTCTGCTCCGCTTCCTCCTGCCCAGCCAGGCAACACCCTCAACCGGCTCCATCACATCCTCAGGTCTCGGGACCATGGGGGGCTCAGAGGGGAGACACACCTACTGCTTCCTCAGATGGGCCCCTCCGCAGCCCCTTCCCTTGCTCGGGGAAAGCCCCCAATTCTGCCCACACCCATTTATTTCCTTCCTTCCTTCCTTCTTTTCTTTCCTTCCTTCCTTCTTTTTTGTTTTTGCCCCCAATTCTGCCCATACCCATTTCTTTCTTTCCTTCCTTCCTTCTTTTTTGTTTTTGCCCCCAGTTCTGTCCACACCCCTTCCCTTTCCTGTCCTGTCCTTTCTTTCTTTTTTGATAGAATCTTGCTCTGTCGCCCAGGCTGGAGTGCAGTGGTGAGATCTCAGCTCACTGCAACCTCCACCTCCTGGGTTGAAGTGATTCTCGTGCCTCAGCCTCCTGAGTAGCTGGGACTGCAGGCACGCGCCACCACGCCCAGCTAATTTTTGTATTTGAGTAGAGACGGGGTTTCACCATGTTGGCCAGGCTGGTCTCGAACTCCGCATCTCAGGTGATCTGCTCGCCTTGGCCTCCCAAAGTGATGGGATTACAGGCATGAGCCACCGTGCCCGGCTTCACACCCATTTCTTTAAAAAGGATCCCGTAGCAGGCAGAAAAGCCCCTTCCATCCTGCTCCTCTGATACTGTGCCCCCTTGGAGATATTTCCGTCCTCCACCCACGTGTCTGTGGCTGGAACTGCCCAGCCTGCTCCTGGCCCCCTGGAAGCCTCCCCACAGCTGGTAATCTGGACTTAAGGATTGCTGGGCCACCGCCTCTCTGCCTACCACCATTCCATATTTAAGTGGAGCCCCTACGTAGAAAGGCCCCGGGGCTTTATTTTAGTCTCCTTTTCAGGGATGTCGTGGGCGGGGGAGGGGGTTCTTGGTGCTACAGCCCTCTCCCCACCCCTAAAGGGACGCCGACGCTGTTTGCTGCCTTCACCACATATTAGTGCTTGACCCTGGCAGGGGACCCCATGGAAAAGATGGGGAAGAGCAAAATACATGGAGACGACGCACCCTCCAGGATGCTCGCTGGGATTCCCACGCCCACCACTGTCCCCCACCCCATGGCTGGGAGGGGCCTCTGAACGGAACAGTGTCCCCACAGAGCGAATAAAGCCAAGGCTTCTTCCCATGTGGCAGTGAGGCTGGCTTGGGACAGGGATCGCCCGCCCTCCCCCAGGGAAAGAGAGACCTGGGCAGGATTTGGGGTGGGGGGAGGCCCCCTTCCGTGCTCTCAGGGGCGGGGTGGAGTCCGTGACTCAATGCAGCGAGGCCTGGTGACTCAGGCCTGGGCTGGGGGCCAGAACGGCATATTTTCCGAGGAAAAGTGACTCTGGGGCCCTCCCCCCGGGACATCCCTTCCTCCCACCTCCCGCGGCGGGGGCCTGGGAACCAAGCCCTGGGGCGCGCGCGGGGTGTGTGTGTGTGTGTGTGTGTGTGTGTGTGTGTGTGTGTATTCGGGCACGAAGTGCTCTCCCAGCTCCCGCCCTGCCCGGCAACGTGCCCTTGCACAACCTGGGTACATAACTCCCGACGCGTAACACCAGGAACACGCTGGTTTCTGGTTGGGGAAGTGGTGACCTTGCCCACACGGGCTGCCAGGAGTGTGCGCGCGCTCACGCACCGGGGACTCTTGGCCAGAGCTGGGCAGCGCACCGTGCGCGCCGAGTCCCGCGCACTCACATCCAGGCCACACCCACGGCGTCCCGGGACACGCTGGCCGCGCACTCATCCCGCCCACGCGGGCCCAGTTTCGCGGCTCGCGGCGCCCCCTGGCGGACGCTCAGAAAACAGATAGGCTGTGGTCGCCAAAATCCCTGCCCAGGTGATTCGGCGCTCAGGTCTCGGGGCTGCGATCCAGGGCCTGTCACCTTTAGGGCCTGTCACCTTTCCAACGCTCTGCGCAAGGATCCAGTTGAATTTCGCTGTGTGACCATGCGTGTGTCGCCTGCCCTCTCTGTGCCTTTTTCCTTTATGAGTCCAGAGTGGCTTTTATGAGGCCTGGATTCCTTTGATTTGATTGTTTTGTTTTTGAGACAGGGTCTTGCTCTGTCACCCAGGCTGGAGTGCAATGGTGCAATCACGGCTCACTGCACCCTCCAACTCCTGGGCTCAAGCGATCCTCCCACCTCAGCCTCCCGAGTACCTGGGACTACAGGCGCACACCATCACGCCTGGCTAATTTTTAAATTTTTGGCAGACACAGGATCTCACTATGTTGCCCAGGCTGGTCTTGAATTCCTGGGCTCAAGCGATCCTCCTGCATCGGCCTCCCAAAGTGCTGGGATTAGAGGCGTGAATCACCACGCCCTGCCATGGATCCCTTTGAATGGCTGCCAGGGCCCAAGAGCCTCTGAGCTTCCTTCCTTATTTGTAAATGACAAAGATGAGTTGATTCTAAGATGAAGCCTCAGAGGGCAAGGCAGTAACAATAGCTAACACTCAGATGCCAGACGCAGCCTTAAGCGCTTTACATATGTTTAATCTTCTGCATGACTTATGACGCAGATGTACTGTTATCATCTTTATTTTACAGATGAGGAAACTGAGGCACAGTGAAGTAGCCCGCTCAAGATGAATGATTCTGAGTCTGCACTTCTAGGGTCCTAAAAGTGTATGTTTCTAACATTCCTCTAATGTTCTGTGCTTCCAACTTTGATATTCCGAAAGTTACTTGATTTCTAAGATCCTAGGATTGGAACATTTGAGAGGACAAAACTTCTGAGATTGGAATGTGTGTTGTGCGGAATCTGCCACTGACGGTTCTGACTTTCTAAGAAAACGAGATTAAAAAATAATCAGGCCGAGCATGGTGGCTCACATCTGTAATCCTAGCATTTTCGGAGGCTGAGGAGGGAGAATCACTTGAGCCCAGGGGTTCAAGACCAGCCTGGACAACATAGTGAGACCTTTGTCTCTTAAAAAAAAACACACACACATCAGTTTGGACCGGGAGTGGTGGTGTGAGCCTGTAATCCCAGCGCTTTGGGAGGCCTAGGAAGGAGGATCACTTGAAACCAGATGTTTGAGACCAGCCTGGGCAACATGGGGAGGCTCCATTTCTACAAAAAATAAAAATAAAAAATTAGCCAGGTGCGGATGCACCCTTCTGTGGTCGCAGCTACTCGGGAGGCTGAGGTAGGAGAATCCCTGAGCTTAGGAGTTGGAGGCTGCAGTGAGCCATTACCCTTCCACTGCACTCCAGCCTGGGGGCAACAAAGTGAGACCTTATCTATTAAAGAAAAAAATCAGTTTGAGCAAAGACCCCAGGCGGCCGGGAAAGGTGTTCGCTTAAGGGCGAAAGCTAAGAACCTGCAACCTTCCCGTCTCTTTCCTACCACCCGCCGCCGTTAGGAATCTTCAGATCCCGCTGTAAAGAATGGAGGAAGGAGGAGCCATTTATCCTTTACCAAGATGGCAGCCTCCTGGCAACTCCAGTCACTTTATAAATATGGCTGCCACAGGAAGTACGTCACGGAAGAGGGTGGGAAATCTGCGCGCGCACGCTGCAAAGGGGCTTTTTGGGACGCCAGTGGCTGAGTTCTTCCTTTGACAAGATGGCGGCAGGAGGCAGTGGCGTTGGTGGGAAGCGCAGCTCGAAAAGCGATGCCGATTCTGGTTTCCTGGGGCTGCGGCCCACTTCGGTGGACCCAGCGCTGAGGCGGCGGCGGCGAGGCCCAAGAAATAAGAAGCGGGGCTGGCGGCGGCTTGCTCAGGAGCCGCTGGGGCTGGAGGTTGACCAGTTCCTGGAAGACGTGCGGCTACAGGAGCGCACGAGCGGGTACGTTGGGCGGGACTTCCGGGAGGTGGGACGGTTCCTGCGCCCAGGTGCAAGGCCAGGCGTGCTTGCGTGGACTCGTCGGGGGTCGGGGGTCGGGGGTCGGGGGTTGGGGGCTCCTGTCCCGGGGACCGCCGAGGAAATGGAGAGCATGGGCAGGGGACTCAGCATGGGAAGCTGGAGAGCTTGATAGAGTTACCAGATTTAGCAGATAAATATACAGGACGCTCAATTAAATTTGGATTTTAGGTAAACAATGAATAATTTTTAGCATAAATACGTTCCATGCATCCACCTTAGCTTGCTGTTTTCTAAATATGTGTGTGTGTGTATGTATATATGTGTGTGTATATATATGTGTATATGTGTGTATATATATATGTGTATATGTGTGTGTGTATATATATGTATATATATATGTTTTTCAGACGGAGTCTCGCTCTATCGCCCAGGCTGGAGTAGGCGCGATCTCAGCTCACCGCAACCTCCGCCTCCCAGGCTCAAGCGATTCTCCTGCCTCAGCTCCTTAGTAGCTGGGATTACAGGCGGGCGCCACCACGCTCGGCTATTTTTCTTTTCTTTTCTTTTTTCTTTTTTTTTTGAGACGGAGTCTTTCTCTGTAGTCCAGGCTGGAGTGCAATGGCACGATCTCGGCTCACTGCAACCTCTGCCTCCTGGGTTCAAGTGATTCTCCTGCTTCAGCCTCCCAAGTAGCTGGGATTACAGGCATGCACCACCACGTCCGGCTAATTTTTGTATTTTTAGTAGAGACAGGGTTTTGCCATGTTACAGGCCAGGCTGGTCTTGAACTCCTGACCTTAGGTGATCCACCCGCCCCGGCCCCCTAAGGTGCTAAGATTACAGGTGTGAGCCACCACACCCAGCCTAATTTTTGTATTTTTAGTAAAGGCAGGGTTTCACCATGTTGGCCAGGCTGCTCTTGAACTCCTGACCTCAGGTGAGCCACCCGCCTGGGCCTCCCAAAGTGCTGGGATTACAGGCGTGAGCCACTGCGCCTGGCAGTCCTTCCTAAATACTAAGTTCTGTAAACTGCTGGGCGAAGCCTTAGCCTGGAAGAGTCCGGTGGCGGGACTTGACTAAGCGGAAGATGAAGGCTGGACCTGCCAGGTTAAATCTCTTTCCTCTCCAACATCTCTGGCTGATGTTCTGCATTTCTGTCCCCCAGTGGCTTGTTGTCAGAGGCCCCAAATGAAAAACTCTTCTTCGTGGACACTGGCTCCAAGGAAAAAGGTGAGGAGAGGCTTTTGTGGTGTGGAATGGCGGTTATTCATTGTTAGTCAGCTTACGGTAGCCTCTGAGATCTGTGTTAATGATGTGGCTTGGAAGGCAAATATCTGCGGAAACAGGTCAACCTTAATATAAACAAGGGGACCTCAAATGGGCAGAAAGCAAGCTGGAGACGAACTTAGAGAAGGCAGGTTTTTCTTTTGAGATGTCAGTGATCTCCATGCACAGATAAGCTGCTGGGAGTCTGCCTTGATGAATAAGTTAGAAACACATTAAAGGATCTCTTTTTAGCTTGCAGAAAAGCAAGTCAAGGACCTGCTTAACTCAGTCCTGCCGGTTGCGGTGAGTCACGCCTGTATTCCCAGTACTTTGGGAGGCTCAGGCAGGCAGATCACCTGAGGTCAGGAGTTCGAGACCAGCCTGGCCAAGATGGTGAAACCCCGTCTCTGCTAAAAATACAAAAATTAGCCAGTTGTGGTGGCGGGCACCTGTAATCCCAGCTACTTGGGAGGCTGAGGCAGGAGAATCACTTGAACCTGGGAGGTGGAGGTTGCAGTGAGCCGAGATCGCGCCGCTGAACTCCAGCCTGGGATTACTATTATTTTTTTGAGACAGTGTTGCGCTGTCATCCAGGCTGGAGTACAGTGGTGTGATCTCAGTTCAAGCGATTCTCCTGCCTCAGCCTCCCAAGTAGCTGGGACTGCAGGCTGCACCATCAAGCCTGGCTAATTTCTTTTCTTTTCTCTCTCTCTTTTTTTTTTTTTTTTTTTTTTTTTGAGATGGAGTTTCAAGCCCAGGCTGGAGTGCAATGGCGTGATCTCAGCTCACCGCAACCTCCACCTCCCAGGTTCAAGCGATTCTCCTGCCTCAGCCTCCTGAGTAGCTGGGGTTACAGGCATGTGCCACCATGCCCGGCTAATTTTGTATTTTTAGTAGAGATGGGGTTTCTCTATGTTGGTCAGGCTGGTCTCGAACTCCTGACCTCAGGTGATCCGCCCGCCTCGGCCTCCCAAAGTGCTGGGATTACAGGCATGAGCCACCACGCCTGGTCAAGCCTGGCTAATTTCTGTATTTTTAGTAGAGATGGGTCTTCATCATGTCAGCTAGGCTGGTCTCAAACTCCTGACCTCAGGTGATCCACCCGCCTTGGCCTCCCAAAGTGCTGGGGTTATAGGCGTGAGCCGCTGCGCCTGGCCAAGATGAGCTTTAATAGGAATAAGAGGACTTGCTTTAGTGAGCGGGTAACACACGTCTTAACTTGCTTGCCTTAAGTTGCTAGAATGTAGGGTGGGGATCTGCTGAAACAAGATGAGGCGTGAGGGAGGGATTGCTCTGGTGAGTAATAGTGTTTACTTCAATATGTAGAAAAACAAACTAAGAACAGATGATCTGCTCTAATGAACAGCCTGGAAGCAAGCGAAGGGGTCTGCTTTAATGAGCAAGAGAGTGAGCTTGTGTGAGATCAGTCAAAGGGTATGTTTTAATGAAAATGAGCGGACCTGGTTCAGTGACCAGATAGAGTGGAAGGAGCTGCCCTGAGGTACAGGAGACTTCCAATAGGCAGGTAAAAAGTGGTTATTAGAGTCTGGGTGCAGTGGCCTACACCTGTAAGCCCAGCGCTTTGGGAGGCCGAGGTGGGGCGGATCACTTGAGGTCAGGGGTTGGAGACCAGCCTGGGCAGCATGGCGAAACCCCGTCTCTACTAAAAATACAAAAACTAGCCGGACGTCATGGTACACGCATGTAATCCCAGCTACTGAGAAGCGCTTGAACCCGGGAGGCAGAGGTTGCAGTGAGCCAAGATCATACCACTGCACTCCAGCCTGGGCGACAGAGCAAGACTCTGTCTCAAGCTGGGCGTGGTGGCTCACGCCTGTAATCCCAGCACTTTGGGAGGCTGATGCGGGTGGATCACCTGAGGTCGGGAGTTTGAGACCAGCCTGACCAACATGGAGAAACCCCGTCTTTACTAAGAGTACAAAATTAGCCGAGCGTGGTGGCGCATGCCTGTAATTCCAGCTACTCAGGAGGCTGAGGCAGGATTGTTGCTTGAACCTGGGAGGCAGAGGTTGCAGTGAGCCAAGAGCGCATCATTGCACTCCGCTCCAGCCTGGGTTACAAGACTCTGTCTCAAAAAAAAAAAAAAGTGGGGGGTTATTAGAGAAGTCAGCCTTGACCGAAGTGAGTTGATCTGGTGTGTGAGTGTAAAGGGTAAGTCAGTGACCTGCCCGTAATGAACAGATGGGAAAGTAGTTACCGGCGTGCTTTGGCGAGTGGGAAGCCTCTTTGGGGGGCAGGAAAGAGGCAGTTTATGGGTTCCACTTTAGTAAGGAAACACGGACAAAGATCATAGTGGTTGTGAGCAGTCAACCAGGTCAGCCCCTGTGCTTTGTGGGCCTTAAATGATTACATCTTCATAACGGCCTAGTGAGGGAGGTATCCACATCCTCATTTTGGGGGCACGGAGGAGCTAAGCCTCTTGTGTGAGGTCCCACAGTCCATGCAAGGGTGTTATTCCATTCTAGAGTGTTTTGCTGTAGAGTTACTGCTTTTAACTGTTAGGCTTTTGAAGTAAAAACCACAGGTATCTTTGTGGGAGGAAAAAGACAGTAAAAACCAGAGAACTAGAAGTTATGCTGAGAAGTGGCCATCCTGGGTCCCAAGTCCACTTCTGTGGCCCTCCCTGGGCTTCAGTGTCAACTGATGACTTGCTTTCTTCCTTTTTTTTTTCCCCCTGAGATGAGATCTCACTATGTTGCTCAGGCTGGCATCAAACTCCTGGGCTCAAGCGATCCTCCCACCTCAGCCTCCCAGAGTGCTGGGATTACAGGCGTGAGCCACCATGCAGGGAAGAGGTTCCCTGTTTGTCTGGAAGACCCTCCTATGTGGCTGTGGGCGTGACTCTTCGTGTCCCCAGCATGGGGCCTGCCTCCTGCTGGCCCAGCACTTGGTTGTGGAGGGTCAGAGCTTGGGCACCTTGGGCCCCATCCTTAGGGGCCTCTACCTCCAGGTAGGAGCCTGGGGACCTCCAAGTCTCCTGGGGTGACTTGGGATTCAGGTCTGATGGCTCCCATGGAGGTGAATAGGGTGGGTGGTCTTTGGCAGTGGGTAGGGCTGAGGCCTTGACTTGTTCTCTTTCCCATTCTTAGGGCTGACAAAGAAGAGAACCAAAGTCCAGAAGAAGTCACTGCTTCTCAAGAAACCCCTTCGGGTTGACCTCATCCTCGAGAACACATCCAAAGTCCCTGCCCCCAAAGAGTGAGTGTCCCAGCATCCCTGGGCCCTTCTTTCCCACCAGACTCTGGTCCTAAAGGGTTTCCGGGGCTGGGGGCTGGTAGGTGAGGGTCATTTGAAGGGTAGGGCAGGCTCAGGTTTGGGCTTCGGAGTGCAGATTAGAGGGAGGGAGTCTGGGTGCCCTGGTGCTGGGCCGAGGCAGGTGAGGAGGGGCCTGGACCCAGCTGGGGGCTTCGGGGTTGGAGAGGAGGGGCTGAGTGGGAGGCGTGTTCAGGAGGCACATCAGGTGGGTCTTGGGGCATGAGCGGGTGAGAGGGTGGACAGCTGGCCTTCCCCTGAGATGGGGATGTGGAGGAGTGGGATTTCGGGTGATGCTGAGGTTGGTTTTGACGTGGTGGTGTGAGGTGCCTGGGGTATGTCCAGGACGGGGCTGTTGCTTCGTTGAGTCTGGGGCTCAGAGGGGAGGCCTAGGCTGGAGACAGACGTGGGGAGAGGAGTTCTCTGAAGAGGGGGCGGAGTGCCACCTTTTGGAGAGGGGGTGCTGAAGCTGCCTTAATGGTGGAGGAAGCCCGACGGGGAGGAGGCCCTGCTGCCGTTCAGGCTGCCACCTCACCTGCTGCACTTGTGCCCCCTCTCCCCGACCAGCGTCCTCGCCCACCAGGTCCCCAACGCCAAGAAGCTCAGGCGGAAGGAGCAGCTATGGGAGAAGCTGGCCAAGCAGGGCGAGCTGCCCCGGGAGGTGCGCAGGGCCCAGGCCCGGCTCCTCAACCCTTCTGCAACAAGGGCCAAGCCCGGGCCCCAGGACACCGTAGAGCGGCCCTTCTACGACCTCTGGGCCTCAGACAGTGAGTGATCCTGCTGTCACCTATGAATGGGGACAGGACGGCCATGTGCAGTTTGTGTGTGTTGTGCACTGCACGAGAGTACAGTGTGAAAGGGAGTGCTTTGTGGGTGCTTTGGTGACCTCCCAGCAGAGTCGTGCGTCCTGAAGGGGCGGCCGTTTCCCACTCGTGCTTTTCCTTTCCTGAGTTGTGAGGCTTCAGGAAAGGAAGCCTTCAGCTTTGGTCTCTTCCACTTTCTGAACCCGTCCAGACACAGTTTTGTCCTGGTGATCAAGGCCCTTGGGGTCTAGAATCAGTCCTTCCCTTGCCTGAGCTTCAGGGTCACCTTTTTGAAATGTGGAGGGATTGGGGGGGAGCCTTTGGTGCCTCTTCCATGCTGGGACTGTCCCAGCAGCTCCCCTCGCTGTATCCACAGACCCCCTGGACAGGCCGTTGGTTGGCCAGGATGAGTTTTTCCTGGAGCAGACCAAGAAGAAAGGAGTGAAGGTGAGATGTGTGGGAAGGGCATCCTGGGTGATGGGAGGGTGAGGAGGGCCGGGAGCTGCTCTGTGTTCCTGCAGTAGAGTCTGTCTCAGAGCCCTTCCATCCCAGTGGCCGAGAACTCTGTGCTGGAGCCAGGTGGCTGGGATTCCTGTCCCAGCTCCAGTGCTGACTGATCCTGGGAAGGTGGTCTCACCTTTCTGCAACCTATATCTTCCTCTAAAATGCAGATGAGGGCCGGGCATGGTGGCTCACGCCTGTAATCCCAGCACTTCGGGAGGCCGAGACAGGTGGATCACCTGAGGTCGGGAGTTTGAGACCAGCCTGACCAACGTGGTGAAACCCTGTCTCTACTAAAAATACAAAAAAAAAATTAGCTGGGCTTGGTGGCACGTGCCTGTAGTCCCAGCTATTAGGGAGGCTGAGGCAGGAGAATCGCTTGGACCAGGGAGGTGGAGGTGGCAGTGAGCCGAGATCATGCCACTGCACTCCAGCCTGGGCAACAAGAGCGAAACTCTGTCTCAAAAAAAAAAATAAAATAAAATACAGATGAAATTGTACTTAGATCATGGGTCGGTGGGGAGAATGTAAAGAGGTAGCACATGAGAAGGTGGAGCCCGTGCTGGCAAGTGGCAGAAGTGTCACGGGTTTGAGTTTGGATTTGCAGCCTCCTTCTTGAGCTGCTGGACCCCAAGTGTTAGAGCCCAGGTGCTTACAATCTCCGGGGCTCAGCCTCGTGGGTAGCAGAGGATAGGCTGCTATCCTTTTTCTGAGATGGAGTCTTGCTCTGGAGTCACCTGAATGCCCCTTGAGCTCTTCCCACACCCAACCACTGGCAAGGCCTGGAGCATCTGCCCCATGGCTGTGTCCTGGGTCACCCGCAGCCCCAACGCACGGCCTTACCCTGCCTCGGCCTTTTCTCCACAGCGGCCAGCACGCCTGCACACCAAGCCGTCCCAGGCACCCGCCGTGGAGGTGGCGCCTGCCGGAGCTTCCTACAATCCATCCTTTGAAGACCACCAGGTACACTGCCCCGTCCAGGCCTCCCTCCTCAGTGGGCTCTGCCTCTTGGTCAGGCCTTCACTAGCTTCCTCCCTGTGCTGGGAACTCCAATGACCCAGACAGCCCTGGGCCTGTCCGCAACGGGGCTCACGGTCCAGTGCAAGAGACCTGTTCCCAGACAGTGATGGGCAGAGTGGTTGGGGCTGGGAGCCCAGACGGGGCACCTGGCCCAGCCTGGGGGGTCAGGAAGGGCTCCCGGGAGGAGGGGTCGCCTGAGCCGAGGCAGAGGCTGAGGGAGGGGTTTGCAGTGGGAGGAGGGGAGTGGGTTTTCCAGGTGGTGGGAACAGCACTGCAAAGGCACAGAGTTGAGAGAGACCGTGGCGCCTTCCAGGAAGCCTGTGGGGCAGAGATGAAAAAGGCTGTGGTGACACGGTGGCACACTGGCAGCCAAGTGACAGTTATATATGGGCGAGGCTAGCTCAGCGATGGGAAAGTCTAGCTGGAGCCACTGTGCATTTAGCGGGCATCTGTTGAGCACAGATGCTGTGGACAAAGGGGACAAAAACCCCTCCCTTGGCCGGGTGCGGTGCCTCACACCTGTAATCCCAGCACTTTGGGAGGCTGAGGCGGGCAGATCATTGGAGGTCAGGAGTTGGAGACCAGCCTGACCAACATGGTGAAACCCTGTCTCTACTAAATACAGAAAATTAGCAGGGCATGGCAGCACGCATCTGTGGTCCCAACTGCTTGGGAGGCTGAGGTGGGAGGATTGCTTGAGCCCAGGAGGTCCAGGCTGCAGTGAGCTATGATCGCACCACGGCACTGCAGCCTGTGTAACAGAGCGAGACTCAAAAAACAAGCACAACCCTCCCTCAAGGAACAGCCCTTCTCATGGGGTCACGTGACTGGAGAGATGCTGAGATGTTTGCGGTAGATGCAGGACCGCTTGTCCGAATCGTTTTCAGCATTCATAAGAAGGAGATAGCTAGCCAGGAACAGAGGCAGCTTCCTCATCTGGTAGAGAAAAGTGTCTGCGGAAAAAAGCAACAGTGTGCTCATGGTTGAAAGCGTGAGGGTGCCGCTCACTGCCATCTGTTCCTGGACCAGATGTGGGAGGGGGCGTGGAGATCAGACATTCACTTTTAGATTTGTACAGAACTACTTCGTAGAGATAAAATTCACTTAACCATACGGTCAGCCTAGTTAGAGTATGTGATTCAGTGGCTTTTAGTGACCATTGTGTAACCATCCCCGCAGTCAATTTTAGAACATTTTCACTGTCCGTAAAGGAAACCTCACACATGTCAGCCATCACCCCCGCAATTCCCTGTCTCGTGTGGTCTTGGGCTGCCAGGCTTCCTGTCTCAGGGACCAGCCCACCCTGACCAATTCACATAGATGAAACTGTGGGCCGGGCATGGTGGCTCACACCTGTAATCCCAGCACTTTGGGAGGCCGAGGTAGGTGGACCACCTGAGGTCAGGAGTTCAAGACCAGCCTGACCAACATGGAGAAACCCCATCTCTACTAAAGTTACAGAATTAGCCGGGTATGGTGGCACATGCCTGTAATAGTAGCTACTCGGGAGGCTGAGGCAGGAGAATCGCTTGAACCCAGGAGGCGGGGGTTGTGGTGAGCTGAGATCACACCATTGCACTCCAGTCTGGGCAACAAGACAGAAACTCTATCTCAAAAAAAAAATGTGAAGCGTGCAGGTCAGACTGCCTTCACAGACGTGCAGAGCAGGTGTGAGGGCGAGGGTTTGAGGTGCCCTCTGGCTCTGTGCAGGGTGGGTGTGCTGGTAGACGGGGTGTGGGGAGGAAAGCCTGGGCCGGGGCGGGATCCACGGGCACTGGATGAGGGACAGATGGGAGGTAAGAGGGTCTAGTCTCAGTGTCCCAGGAGGGGTTCAGGGACCCATCCTCACTCCCGCCCCTCAGACCCTGCTCTCAGCGGCCCACGAGGTGGAGTTGCAGCGGCAGAAGGAGGCGGAGAAGCTGGAGCGGCAGCTGGCCCTGCCCGCCACGGAGCAGGCCGCCACCCAGGTGAGCCCCGCACCTGCCCACTCCCTCCCCTCCCCGGGCCTCCTACCCACCCCTGACACTGCACCCCGCCTCCCCAGGAGTCCACATTCCAGGAGCTGTGCGAGGGGCTGCTGGAGGAGTCGGATGGTGAGGGGGAGCCAGGCCAGGGCGAGGGGCCGGAGGCTGGGGATGCCGAGGTCTGTCCCACGCCCGCCCGCCTGGCCACCACAGAGAAGAAGACGGAGCAGCAGCGGCGGCGGGAGAAGGCTGTGCACAGGCTGGTGAGCGCCTGGGCCAGCGGGGCCTGCCTCTGATGCCTCGCCCCCTTCCTTCCTTCCTCCCACCATGGGCTGCCCTGGGTGCTGCGGGCAGCCTGCACACCCCAAGCCCCGCATGTGGCCTGTGGTTTGGGCTGTTTGGGATCCTCACAGCTGAGACTCATTTCCCAGCCTCTTCCAGGCAGGGCTCGGGCTGGGGTGGGACAGGGTCCCTGGCGCTTCTGTTTGAGGGGCGGGGTGGGGGGAGGTTTCTGCACCGCAGACCAGGGGAGATGGATGACAAAAGGGGCTTCAGCAAACAGCTGCTGGGAAGGCACTGGAGGGGCCGCTGATGTGACGGGGTTAGGAAGGGCCTCCGGGGACAGGCAGGTTTGTGCAGGGAAGGCTCCCTGTGTAGAGAGAAGGTCTCCCTGTGTGGGCAGCACCGGCCTGAGCCCTGACCCTCCCCCGTCTCCACAGCGGGTACAGCAGGCCGCGTTGCGGGCCGCCCGGCTCCGGCACCAGGAGCTGTTCCGGCTGCGCGGGATCAAGGCCCAGGTGGCCCTGAGGCTGGCGGAGCTGGCGCGGCGGCAGAGGCGGCGGCAGGCGCGGCGGGAGGCTGAGGCTGACAAGCCCCGAAGGCTGGGGCGGCTCAAGTGAGAACCAGGCCGGGGGTTCTGGGAGAGGCTGGGGAGGGGGCCGGGTCCCAGGTCCTGACACCTTCCTGCCTTTGTTCAGGAACTGCCCACCCCCCCCATCGGGAGACCACCTCTTCCCCCACAAAACCCCACATTCTCAGAGGCCCCTTCTTCTCCAGGAGGGGGCTTTGGACTGGGTGTCCTGGGCCCCGCGGGGGTGATATTTCTGAACACCCGCCCTGTTCTGCAGGTACCAGGCACCTGACATCGACGTGCAGCTGAGCTCGGAGCTGACAGACTCGCTCAGGACCCTGAAGGTGCTCACTGTGTCCTGCCGTGGAGCCCCGTGCCCAGTGATGACACCATCCTTGCTCCCCGTGCCCCCCAGGGGCTATGGGCGACACCATGGCTGCCCCTGGGCTGGGCCAGTGGGGCCAATGCCCAGGGGCTGAGGGCACGGGATGCTGGGATGAGATCCCAGGGTGAGGGGCCAGGCTAAGGTTTGAGTCCGGGACCCTAAGAAGGCCTTTCCTTCCAGCTGGTCCCTGTTGCAGTCCCGGTCACCTTTAGGACTAGAGGGACCTTCCTGAAGCTCAGAACCAACCCTGTCCCTCCCCTGCTCGGAACCTGCTGTGGCTCCCCAGTGCCCCTGAGGAAGCCCAGCTCCTCTGTCAGCCACACGCCTGGGCCGACCCGGCCGTGGGGCTCCAGCCAGTTGTGCTCATGAGCGGACTGTGCCTTCTCCCTCTGATCCAGCCTTTGCCCTCGCTGTCCCCTTTTCTGTGTCGTCACCAGCCCACTTCCCGTGACTCCTCTAAGCCCAGCTTAGAGATGGCCATAGGTTGGTGGCTGTCATCCCAACACTGAGCCCCAGCAGCTGAGGGCCAGGCTGAGTCCCTGGTGCCCACAGGCTGCCCTGGGGGGAGACTGCATGGGGCTGAGCCCTGCCAGGACCCCGAGGAGAGGTCCAGGCCCTTGGGCTTCTGCCAGGCCCTGCTGAGGCCTCCCTCTCTGTCCTGTAGCCCGAGGGCAACATCCTTCGAGACCGGTTCAAGAGCTTCCAGAGGAGGAATATGATCGAGCCTCGAGAGAGAGCCAAGTAAGGGGCGGCCGGGGCTGCTGTGGGGCGAGGGCATCTGGGATTGGCCCCGGGCACTGATTGCTCCATTGTCCCTGCTCCAGGTTCAAACGCAAGTACAAGGTGAAGCTGGTGGAGAAGCGGGCGTTCCGTGAGATCCAGTGAGTCCACCCGGCTTCGGCGCAAGGAAGGGAGCCCTTCTCCCACCCCGTGGTGCCCACCGAGTCCCAGGGCCCCTTCCAGAGTGTGGCTAGTGGCTGAGCCACACCCCCTTGGCCATGCCCAGAAGAGGCCCTGAAACCAGAGCGGGGTTGGGAGGGTCCCCAAAGGGAAACTGAAAGGCAGGGGGTGTCAGGTCGGCAGGGGGTATGGGGCACCCTCTCACCCACCCTCAGCTCCTTTCCTCTGTCCCCAGGTTGTAGCTGCCATCAGATGCCGGAGACTCGCCCTTCAATAAAAAATCTCTTCTAGCTGATCAGTGGGCTCCACGTGTGGCTTGTGTGCCTCCTGCGGGCGGCTGCTCCCGGGTGCAGACTCTGCGTGTCCCCCCGTGGCGCACAAGCATGTAGGTGCCAGAACTCACCGCCAGAGCCTGGTGAGGGCCTAGGGTGTGTCTGAAGGGGTCATCAGCCGACTGGATCGTGGTCTGTCCAATAGCTGTGAAGCTGGCAGCCCTTCCAAGCCTGGGCAGATCCTAAAAAGACAGCAGGCAGAGGGCGCAGGGCTTATGGCCTGGCCGGAGTTGGGAGGTGAAGCAGAGGGCACAGGGCTTATGGCCTGGCCGGAGGTGGGAGGTGAAGCAGAGGGCGCGGGGCTTATGGCCTGTCTGGAGGTGGGAGGTGAAGCAGAGGTGAGGAGGAGGTTCCCCCACTGGATTCCGACTTGGAGAATAGCCCAGTTCCTTCTGCTGCGGGTGACGTAGCAGCTCTTGCCACACTGATAGAAGGAGTGGTGGCAGCTGACCTCTGCCGATAGAACACCTGCTATCGGGTTTAAGCAGGTGGATTCACTCACTGAACTCACAGCGGCCTAACCAATGAGGGCTGTACTTATTCCCATTTTAAAGGTGAGGAAATAGGGCTGGGCACAGTGGTTCACTCCTGTAATCCCATCACTTTGGGAGGCTGAGGCGGGCAGATCACTTGAGCCCAGGAGTTTGAGACCAGCCTGGGCAACATAGCCATACCCTATCTCTACCAAAAATTCGCCAGTTATGGTGGGATGCAGCTATGGTCGCAGCTACTGGGGAGGCTGAGGTGGGAGGATCACCTGAGCTTGGGAGGTGGAAGCTGCAGTGAGCCATGATCACGCCATTGCACTGCAGCCTGGGTGACAGAGGGAGACCTGTACCAAAAACTTAAGTAACAAAGGTGAGGAAACAGAGGCACATAAAATGAGGTAATTTTCCTCCCTTCTGTGCCTATTTTGAAAACGTTTTTAAAATCTTTACAAGAAACGAAAAACTTATTCTCACTGTAAATCATTGTCAAAACGTGTCTGTCACTGTTGACCTTTGCCCTCCAGTCACATCCACGCCCCTGTTCTGGAGCTGCCTGTCAAGCAGTCACTGCAGTGTGGTTTGAGTGATTATGCTCCCTGTGTGATTCTATTAAATTACATAATCGATTAGCCAGGCATGGTGGTGTGCACCTGTAGTCCCAGCTCCTGGGGAGGCTGAGGTAGGAGAATCGCTTGAACCTGGGAGGTGGAGGCTACAGTGAGCTGAGAT
The DNA here is from genome assembly GCF_000001405.40 of Homo sapiens. Lineage (NCBI taxonomy): Eukaryota > Metazoa > Chordata > Mammalia > Primates > Hominidae > Homo > Homo sapiens. Next base: position 47,758,313 of record NC_000019.10, read on the forward strand.
TGCGCCACTGCAGTCTCTCCTGGATGACAAAGAGGACCCTGTCTCGACCCCCCCACCCCCCAAAAAACTAACGTAAATTTCACGCATGTACTTGTGAGGATAGAATTGGTTTTTTTTTTTTTTGGTGTCTTAGGATCACACTGTGCGTGATTCTGCAGCTTGCTGTCAGTGCATCTTGGAGGTAATTCTGTGTCTGTACAGAACTGCTTCCTTCTGTTTTGTGGCTGTGTGGAATCCCATTACGAGGGTGTGCCTTGTGTTTCTTAACCAGGCCAGTGTGGCTCCTCCTAATGAAACCGAAACAATGTCTTTGTCCACGTGCCTTTTTACTTGTGTCTGTAGTTAAGTACCTGGAAGTGAATCTTGGCTGAAGGATACATGTGTCTGTAACAGGTCATTTGATAGGTTCAACCCAATTGGTCTCCAAAGGGGCTGTGCTGATTTTTACTCTCTGGTAGCATAGGAGGAGCCTGCCTGTTGCCGTGTAGCTTTGCTACGGTGCGATTCCATTATTTTTATTTGATTGTGTCTGGTTACCAGTGAGGTTGAACTTTTTTTTTTTTTTGAGGTAGGGTTCCCCAGGTGGGAGTGCAATGGTGCAATCCCAGCTTCTTGGCTCACTGCAGCCTTGACCTCCTGGGCTCAAGTGATCCTCCCACCTCCGTCCTCCCAAGTAGCTGGGATTACAGGCACATGCCACCATGCCTGGCTACTTTAGTATTTTTATTGAAGATGGGGATTTGCCATGCTGCCCAGGCTGGCCTCAAACTCCTGACCTCAAGCGATCCACCCACCTTGGCTTCCCAAAGTGCTGGGACTACAGGCATGAGCCACTGTACCTGTCTTAAACATCTCCTTATATGATTGCTGACCATTCATTCACATTCCTCTTCTGTGTTGGTACAAACCTTTTGACCATTTTTCTCCTGTGCTGTTTGTCATTTTCTTGTTTATTTGTAGTAGCTCTTTATTTATTGTGGACCCACAGTCTGTCATACACGTCGCAAACATTTCCCCTAGGCTGCTTTTGACTTTTGACTTTGTATGTGGTGTCTTTTGTCAGGAAGGAAGGGTGTTACGTTTTCTGTTGGTCTTTCTCCGTTTTATACTATGGCCTTTGGGAAAGCTTCTCTAGGACAAAATGTTTATAAAAATAGAGCAGGCAGTTTATAAAAGAAATGAGTGAGGCTGGGCATGGTGGCTCATGCCTGTAATCCCAGCACTTTGGGAGGCTGAGGCGGGTGGATCACCTGAGGTCAGGAGTTCAAGACCAGTCTGACCAACATGGAGAAACCCCGTCTCTACTAAAAGTACTAAAAAATTAGCCGGGTGTGGTGGCGTGTGCTGGTAGTCCCAGCTACTTGGGGGGCTGAGGCAGGAGAATTGTTTGAACCCGGGAGGTGGAGGTTGCAGTCAGCCGAGATAGTGCCACTGTACTCCAGCCTGGGCGACAGAGTGAGACTCCATCTCAAAAAATAATAAAATATAATATAAATAAATAAATAAATAAAATAGAAGGGAGAGACTTACGTCAGAACTTCCCACCTCCCCACCACATGCCACAGAACAAGGCTTTAAGGAGCTATTTCTGCTGTTCTTCCCCCTCCCATATTAAATAAAAAGGTGTGTTCTGCAGGTAGGAAAACAGCTGTGTGTGTGTGTGTTGGGGGCGGCGGGGGGTGGATGTGTGGACGATAGAGCAGTAGGGAGAGGTAAAAATGAGGCCGGGCATAGTGGCTCACACTTGTAATCCCAGCACTTTGGGAGGTGGAGGTGGGTGGATCACCTGAGGTCAGGAGTTCGAGACCAGCCTGGCCAACATGGCGAAACTCCATCTCTCCTAAAAAATATAAAAATTAGCTGGGTATGGTGGCACGCACCTATAGTCCCAGCTACTTGGGAGGCTGAGGCAGGAGAATCACTTGAACCTGGGAGGCGGAGGTTGCAGTGAGCTGAGACCGCACCACTGCACTCCAGCCTGGGCAACAAGAGTGAAACTCCATCTCAGGAAAAAAAGAAAAAAAAAAACACCATCTATCAAGGAGGCCAGCCTCTGACCCAGTGACTCTGCCAGGGGTGACTGAAGGAAACTGCTGGAAATGGGGAGGAAGCTCTTAATGCCCGGACACGGCGATTGGAGCGTCGGGCACATTCCTGGATACCCAGGGGTGAGGGTGGTCACAGCCACTCAAGGACAAACTCTGTGGCCTGGACACTTAGTGTCCTCAGGAAGTCCTTGGTATTTAATTGCCTGGGAAAATGTGTCTGTTTCCGTGTGTGAAATGGGGGGTCCACAGCAAAGGGGTTTGTGGGTGTTTGCACAGAAATGACATTTCACATCCGAATTTTATGTCAGAAGCCTAAAAGTACAGAATTCAGCTGGGCGCAGTGGCTCACGCCTGTAATCTTGTCACTTTGGGAGGCCCAGGCAGGAGGATTGCTTGAGGCCAGGAATTGGAGACCACCCTGGGCAACACAGCGATACTCCATCTCTAGAAAAACATTTTTTAGGCCGGTGCAGTGGCACTTGTAATCCTAGCACTTTAGGAGGTTGAGGTGGGTGGATTGCTTGAGTCCAGGAGTTCAAGACCAGCCTGGGCACCATGGCAAAATCCCACTGGTTTCTACAAAAGATGGAAAAAATTAGCCAGGTATGGTGGTGTGTGCCATGTAGTCCCAGCTACTCAGGTGGCTGAGGTGGGATGATCAGCTGAGCTTTGGAGGTTGAGGTTGCAGGGAGCCAAAATCTACTGCCTTTCAGCCTGGGTGACACAGTGAGACCCTGTCTCAAAAAAAAAAAAGTTTTAAATTATTTAGTCATGGTGTTGTGCTCCTGTAGTCCTTGCTACTCGGGAGGCTGAGGCTGGAGCCCAGGAGGTGGAGGCTGCAGCATAGTATAATGATGCCACTGTGCTCCATCCTGGGTGACAGCGAGACTAAAACAAAATACAGAACTCTGGCTAACAATTTACAAGCCGAATTTCACTAATGTCTGCAGTTTCCTTTGAAAAATGTAAAACAGGCCTGGCGCGGTGGCTCATGCCTGTAATCCCAGCACTTTGGGAGGCAGGCGGATCACCTGAGGGTCAGGAGTTTGAGACCAGCCTGGCCAACATGGTGAAACCCCATCTCTACTAAAAATAGCAAAAGTTAGCTGGGTGTAGTGGCAGGGCGTCTGTAATCCCGGCTAGGCTACTTGGGAGGCTGAGGCAGGAGAATTACTTGAACCCCGGAGGCGGAGGTTGCAGTGAGCTGAGATCACGCCATTATACTCCAGCCTGGGCAACAAGAGTGAAACTCTGTCTCAAAAAAAGAAAAAGAAAAAAAAAACGTAAAACAAGGTGGATTAATGAACAGATGCCCCATAAAACAAAAGCACTGAAATGTTAAGGGCAGAATCTAGGTGGTGGGGTATGGGGGTATGCACAGAAAAATTCCCTTGACTTTAACTGAAAGTGTCCTAATAGGGAAATGGCACATTGGGGTTTCGGGGCCATGTAATGGCACAGGTTTCTATCATGGCCCTGCACCTGCTTTTGAGTCTGTAACTTGGTATTATTTTTCCTAAAGCGGGTCCTCCAGATTATAAAAGCCTCAGGCATCAGCCAGGTACAGTGACTCACGCCTGTAATCCCAGCATTTTGGGAGGCTGAGGTGGGTGGCTCACCTGAGGTCAGGAATTCGAGACCAGCCTGGACAACATGGTGAAACCCCATCTCTACTAAAAACACAAAAATTACCCAGGCGTGGTGGCAGGTGCCTGTAATCCCAGCTACTCAGGAGGCTGAGGCAGGAGAATGGCTTGAACCCAGGAGGCGGAGATTGCAGTGAGCCGAGATCATACCATTGCACTCCAGCCTGGGCAACAGAGTGACACTCCATCTCAAAAACAAGACAAAACAAAACAAAAAGCTTGTGGCATGGGTATGACTTTGCTTTTTAGAAGGATGGAGACCAGACGAATGTAGTGGCTTGCTCCTGTCATCCCAGCCCTTCAGGAGGCTGAGTTGGGAGGATTGCTTGAGGCCAGGAGTGAGACCAGCCTGGGCAACATAGCAAGACCCCATCTCTAAAAGAAAAAAAAAATGAGCTGGGCATAATGGCATGTGCCCATAGTCTCAGCTACTCAGGAGGCTGAGGTGGGAGGATCTCTTGAGTCCAGGAGTTTGAGGCTGCAGTAAACGGTGATCGTGCCACTACACTCTAGCCTGGGCAACAGAGTGAGACCCTGTCTATTTTTTTTCCTTTTTGAGTCTCGCTCTGTCACCCAGGCTGGAGTGCAATGATGCGATCCTGGCTCACTGTAATCTCCGCCACCCTGTCTCTTTAAAAAACAAAAACAAAAACAAAAACAAACCATGGAGACCATCTGTAGGCAGCAGTATGGGGTTGTGAAGAGCATGGTGGAGTCCGTGTCCTGATTTCAGACCCGCTCTGTTACATACTGGCTGTGTGATGTTGTGCAGGTTACTCAACCTCTCTGTGCCTCAGTGTCATATCTGTAAAATGGACATAACAATAGTGCTTATCTTGCTGTGGGTTATTACAAGGATGAGTGAGTCTGCACGGAAAGCGATCGGAACAGGCCCTGGCACAGGGGAAGCTCTAGGTGAGCATTTGCTGTTATAACAATGTTAGGGTAGGGGAAGATGATTTTAAAAAGATGCAGAAACTTGCAATTTGTGCCAGAGGCTCCTCCCAAATGCTCTGACCCTTTGACGCAGTGATTGCACGCTTGGGAACGTGGCCTACAGAAACAGCCGGAAGTTGGGGAAGAGCATTTTGCACAGGCCGGTCCTTGAGAACGTTCTGCAGAATGGGAGGAAACGTGGTCATGGACATGGGGCGGGCCCTGGCCACATGGACGCCACCTCTGTGGCCATTAACTGAGGGGTCGGAAGTGCCTGCAGCCACTGGGAGGTGTTTGTGTTTGGATACTTTGTGGGAAAAAGCAAACAGGATCTGCTGCCGTCCACACTGGCGTTCATCAGACAAACCCCCATGCCAAAAGTCTCTTGAGTGGGAGGATTTCAGAGGACTCCTTCTTACTCTTTTTTCCAGCATTTCCAATTTTTTTTTTTTTTTTTGAGAAAGGGTCTCATTCTGGAGCACAGTGGCTCTGTCTCAGCTCACTGCAGCCTCAACCTCCTGGGCTTAAGTGATCCCCTAAACTCAGCCTCCTGAGTAGCTGAGACTTACAGGCCCACGCCACCATGCCTGGCTAATTTTTTTCTTTTTGTATTTTTAGTAGAGACAGGGTTTTGCCATGTTGCCCAGGCTGGTCTCAAACTCCTGACCCCAAGTGATCCACCCACCTCGGCCTCCCAAAGTGCTGGGATTACAGATGTGAGCCATTGAGCCAGGCCCCAAATTTTCTGTAATGGAGCAAACTTGAAAAAAAAGGAATCGACAGGATTCTTCCTTTGTTTTTGTTTTTGAGATAGAATCTTGCTCTGTCCCCCAGGCTGGAGTGCAGTGGCACCATCTCGGCTCACTGCAACCTCTGCCTCCCGGGTTCAAGCGATTCTCCTGCCTTAGCCTCCCGAGTAGCTGGGATTATAGGCATGTGTCACCACGCCTGGCTAATTTTTGTCTTTTTGGTAAAGACTGGGTTTTGCCATGTTGGCCAGGCTGTTCTCGAACTCCTGACCTCAGGTGATCTACCCGCCTCGGCCTCCCAGAGTGCTGGGATTACAGGTGTGAGCCACCACGCCCTGCCTGGCGGATTTTTATTTTCTTCCTTAGATCTGCTTTTCTGTGTCCTCTCCACGTGCTCCCACGCTCTTCGTGGTGGTGGGTGCTGGGTGGGCAGGGCTGACCTCCCTCCATCCTTTCATCAGAGGTTAGAAGCAACATCTGTATTTCCCAGACACCTCAGCAGCTGGGATTCTGGATGAGAATTCGGTGCCAACAATTAGAGACACCCTGTGAGGCGTGGACGGCAGGAGTGATCCCGGAATTGCAGCTGGACCTGGCGTCCTTGAACCGAGCAGTTCCAGCAGCGGAACTGGAGACAGCAGTGCCCCTGCTGGGTCAGTTCAGTGCTGTCCTGGGTGTCATTTCTGAGGGCTTGGCCTAGAGCTGCTGCTTCCGCTTCCCATGATTTTTTTTTTTTTTGAGACGGAGTCTTGCTCTGTCACCCAGGCTGGAGTGCAGTGGCGTGATCTCAGCTCACTGCAAGCTCTGCTTCCCTGGTTCACGCCATTCTGCCTCAGCCTCCCGAGTAGCTGGGACCACAGGCGCCCGCCACCGTGCCCGGCTAATTTTTTCAATTTTTTTTAGTAGAGACAGGGTTTTACTGTGTTAGCCAGGATGGTCTCGATTTCCTGACCTCGTGATCCGCCCGCCTCGGCCTCCCAAAATGCTGGGATTACAGGTGTGAGCCACCGCGCCCGGCCAGCTTCCCATGATTTTGTAAGCACTCAATTCCCTGTAAGATACCTGGAGTGGTTTCTATTTAGGTGCTAGAGACAATCATGCATTACAGTTTTTTTTTTTTTTTTTTTTTTTTTTTTTTTTGGAGACAGGGTCTTGCTCTGTTGCCCAGGCTGGAGTGCAGTGGTGCGATCATGGTTCACTGCAAGCTCCACCTCCCCAGGCTCTGGTGATCCCCCCACCTCAGCCCCCCAAGTAGCTGGGACCACAGGTGCATGCCATTATGCCTGGCTAATTTTTGTTATTTTAGTGGAGATGGGGTCTCCCCATGTTGCCCAGGCTGGTCTCAAACTCCTAGACTCAAGTGATCCTCTTGCCTCAGCCTCCCAAGGACCGAATTAAAGGCATGAGCCATCTTGCTCAGACTCCTGTCTCTATTTTTTTTTTTTTTTTAAAAAAAGGCTGGGCGTGGTGGCTCACGCTCACGCCTGTAATCCCAGCACTTTGGGAGGCTGAGGGGGGTGGATCACTTGAGGTCAGAGGACTCCTGGCCAACATGGTGAAACCCTGCCTCTATTAAAAATACAAAAATTAGCTGGACGTGGTGGTGGGCGCCCGTAATCCCAGCTGCTCAGGAGGCTGAGGCAGGAGAATCACTTGAACGCGGGAGGCAGAGGTTGCAGTGAGCTGAGATCCCACCACTGCACTCCAGCCTGGGGGACAGAGCGAGACTCTGTCTCAAAAAAGAAAAAAGAAAAAAAAAAATCCATGTTAATGGGTAGACACAACTCAAGTGAGAGTAGGTTTTGGGGCAGAGAAATTCAGATGAGGCTTTGGCTGGATTAGGCCTGAGCTTCCCGTTTGGCTTGTGAACGGCGATGTTGCTGAGCTGGCGGACACAGGAACCAGAGCTCTGGGGACCTGGCAGGGAGAGATGTGTGGTCAGCGTGTGGGTTTGTGGCATTTGAGGCAGTGGGACTGGGTAGGAGTTGCACGTAGACCAAAGGTGACAGGTGAAAGGCAGGGAGGTCTGGGGGAAGGAGAAAAAGGTGGGGGGTGGGGACCAGCACAGGGCACTGAGCAGAGGTGGCGGGGAGGGTGTGGGAGAGAATCGGGGCTGCGGATGAGCTACTCCCCAGCCTGCCCACACAAGGCTGGAAGGCACCCTAGGAGGGTCAGCCAGGAGGCCGGGGCAGGGTATCCATTGCTGAGAACTGCCCGGGGAGGGGGTGTTCAGGGCTGGGAGCAACCTCATAGCACCACCATGGTCCTGCGTGATCAATAATGCCCCCACTCCCTGATCCTGTGTGACCATCAAATGCAGGGCCGCCCAAGTTCAAGGAGAATCTGGACGTGGGAGACAGTGGCCGCCAGGAGGCGCCTTGAGCCTGTGCCAGGAACCAGACAGTCTGGGAGGTCCCAAGCGGCCCTAGCTCTCCTGTCACTCCTGCTCAGGATCCCTCAAGGGGTCACACTGCAGCAGGCAGGGTGACAGCTAGACCCTGGGAGGGCCAGCGGGTTAGTGCTGCTTTCTGAATGGGCAGGAGCAGGTCCATGGAGACCGCTTCCTAGGTCTGTCCAGGGGGCCTTCTGGAGGTCTAGGGGCTGTGGCTTGGGGGTCAGTTGGTGAGACTTGAGTGGCTCACACTGGTTACAAAGGCCTCCACACTGGCCCTGACCGGGACTGCGGCCCACTGGAGTTGGGGAGCGGGAGCCAGCAGGGGTTCCTGACCTGGAGAGTGGGAGACGGGGGGTTTAAGGTAGAGGGTGAGCAGGAGGGAAGGGTGTGGATTCTGGCAGTGGGCCTGGAGGCGGACAGGGGTCCCTGGCCATTAGGGCCATGTGTCTGCCATGGTGGGGGCAGGGCGAGAAGTTGCTGAGACAGATCTGTCAAACCCTTGCCGCTTTTCAGTGAGCAAGGGTGTCAGGCTTCACCCCTAACAACCACCCACCTGTCTTTTCTCCCATTGCCAGTCTGGGACCTTACCTAGAACCCCTAGGGGCTGAAGGAATGTTTCCCCCTCCAGGGACAGAATTTCAGGGTGTCACATACCCAAAGCTGTGGTGGTCTAGGATTCCACATAGAGGTTCTGGGCTTCCAGTCCTGTGAGTCACCAGAGGTAGTAGGGAACCTAAGGAAGGAGAGACGAGAGATAGAGGGAGACAGACTCAGGGAGATGACGTCAGAACATCTGGATCCAGCTGTGCCTGAAGCCCTCCCTTAGGCTTTTCCATTACACGAGCGAAGTGCTTAAGCCAGTCACAACTCGGCTTCAGACACTTATGAGCAGAACTTACCTGAAACATGCCCTGATGTCCCCTCCCCCATCTCAGCTGCTTTCCCCAGGCTTCGCTTCTGCCCCTGTCACTGGCGGGAGTCCATCCAAACCTTGAGTCTGGCGTTCAAGTCTGGCCGCCTCACCCCTCCTCTTGTTGGCACATCAGCCTTGGGCCCCTCTCCCTGGCCCACTGGGTTCCTGCCCCTTTGTCCTCAAGCCCCTCTACTCCAGAAAGTCAGCCTGAATTGCACCCTTCTCCCCACCCCACCCACGTGAAGTAGAATCAAGAGCAATACCGGGCTCCCCACCTAAAAGCTGGGGGGTTGGTTTCAAGTCTTCTCAGTCCGATTATTCCCATCTGAACTCCATGAACAGGGAACTACAGCTTCTCCTCTGACATCCTAAACATCTTTAACTATTAGGGGTCATGTGAACCTTGTATGCAGAAGGTGCTTAATCAACGCCTGCTGATGCAGGTGATACAGGGCATTGGTTAGTAGCATGGACTCTGGAGCCAAGCTCCTGGAATCACATCTTGGCTCCATCCCTTACCAGCTGTGTGTCTTTGAGGAAGTTAACCTCTCTGAGCCTCAAGAGAGAGAATACTAGTGTCTATCGTTAAATGAGGTAATACCTATTACTTTATTTATGCTGTAAATGCTGACAGCAGTGCCCAGCACATTGCCAAGTGCTGTGTGATTTTTACTATATAAGGAGCTCAGAAGAAAAGGAAAGAAAAAGGACCACAATCAATTCCTTTTCTTTTTTTTTTTTTTTTTTTTTGAGACGGAGTCTTGCTCTGTCACCCAGGCTGGAGTGCAGTGGCGTGATCTCTGCTCACTGCAATCTCCACCTCCCAGGTTCAAGTGATTCTCCTGCCTCAGCCTCTGGAGTAGCTGGGATTACAGGCGCCCGCCACCACGCCTGGCTAATTTTTCTATTTTTAGTAGAGACAGGGTTTCACCCTGTTGGCCAGGCTGGTCCCAAACTCTTGGCCTCAAGTGATAGGCCCGTCTCAGCCTCCCAAAGTGCTGGGATTACAGGTGTGAACCATGGCACCTGGCCAGTAGAGTCTAGATTTAACTCCCAGTTTATAGAATATACTAGGGACAGAGGAGCATGTTAGATGACACCACAGAGTGAAACCAGTCAAATCTAGACAGTAGGAAACCCAATCAACCTGCTTTCTTCAACAAATGAATGTCATTTAAAAAGCTGAGTGATTGGCTGGGCACAGAGGCTCACGCCTGTAATCCCAGCACTTTGAGAGGCCAAGGCGGGTGGATCACGAGGTCAGGAATTCAAGACCAGCCTGGCCAATGTGGTAAAACTCTGTCTGTACTAAAAATACAAAAATTAGCCAGGTGTGGTGGCATGTGCCTGTAGTCCCAGCTATTTGGGAGGCTGAGGGAGGCTGAGGCAGAAGAATTACTTGAACCCGGGCAGCAGAGGTTGCAGTGAGCCAAGATCATGCCACTGCACTCCAGCCTGGGTGACAGAGCGAGACTCTGTCTCCAAAAAAACAACCAACCAAAAAACTGAGTGATTACTTCCACGTCAAGACACAGATATTGAGGAGGGTAGAAGGCACTGCCGTGACTAGACTGGAATCCAGGCCATCTGAAGCCCCAGGTGGGCAGAGATGCTCTGGTTACCTGGACATCCTGAATTCCAGAATTCCAGCAGGTGTCTACTTAGGGCTGCCACCTCCTTGCAGTTGATTTTTGGAGCCTCTTGTTGCCTCTGGCTTGAAGGCCCAGCTGTCTTTCTAGGTGTTTTCCCAGTGGGCATGGAGCTGCAGCGTGGCTGCTGGGAGCAGCACTATGTCTCCCTGCCCACTAGCTGGAGCTCCAGCTAGATGTGAACCACCAGGCAGGCGCAGTTGCTGCTGGTGTCCAGGGAGCATTGAACAGCAGGAGGGACTGAGGGTAGTAGGAGAGAGGAGAAAGAAGGTGGGTGTGAAGGACAGGATGTCATATCAGTGGTCTTCCTTCTGGGAGGAAACCTCACCTGGCTAGACTCCTGTCCACTCACCTACTTGCCCATCAACCCATTTATCCACCCAACTGCCCACCCATCTGTCCACTCATCCATCCATCCATTTATTCATCCATCCATCCATCCATCCACTTATTCATCCAGCCACTCATAATCCACTATTCATCCACTCATCCATTCACTAATCCACTCATCCATCCATCCATTTATTCATTCATCCATCCATCCACTCATCCATCCATCCATGGGCAACCATCATCAATGGCTGCTAAAACCATTTGGTTTAGGCCGGGCATGGTGGCTCACGCTTGTAATCCCAGCACTTTGGGAGGCTGAGGCGGGCAGATCACTTGAGGTCAGGAGTTTGAGACCAGCCTAACATGGTGAAACCCCATCTCTACTAAAAATACAAAAATTAGCCGGGCGTAGTAGCGGGCACCTGTAATCCCAGCTACTCGGGAGGCTGAGACGGGAGAATCGCTTGAACCCGGGAGGCGGAAGTTGCAGTGAGCTGAGATCACGCCATTGCACTCCAGCCTGGGCAACAGAGCGAGACTCCGTCTCAAAAAAAAAAAAAATCATTAGGTTTAGCATCCACTCATCCATCCATCCATCCATCCATCCATCCATCCATCCACCCACTCATCCATCCAATTATTCATGCACTCATCCACTTGTGCATCCGTTGATCCATCCATCAATCATCCATCCATCCATCCATCATCTATCCATCCATCCATCATCCATCCATCAATCATCCATCCATCATCCATCCATCCATCCATCCATCCATCCATCCATCATCCATCCATCCATCCATCCATCCATCCATCATCCATCCATCCACCCGCCATAGACATAATGTCAAGGGAAAGAATCCAGACATAAAGAGTACACAGTATGTGATTACGTTTATATGAAGTTTGAGAACAGGCCAAACTGATCTATGGTGAAATAAGTCAGGCCAGTGGTGACCCTTATGAGGGAATTAACTGGGAGGATGTGTGAGAAAAACTTGGGGAACTGGAAATGATCCATATCTTGATCTGGGGTGGTTAAATGATATTATACATATGGAAAATTTGCTGATCTGTACATCTGAAGATTTATGTAAAAAATATATTTTTAAAAGAAAAAAGACCTCACTGAGAAGGTGGCATTTGAGGAAGTCACCTGCACTGCAGAATGCTCCCAGACACCTGCAGATACCGTATACCTTTGTGTAGCCAGCACACAAATAACGGGATGGCTACTTTGAGTACCGTATTGACCAGAATAAATTATACCAGATTCCCGCCTCGCACCGTATGCATTTGTATTGTGGTACAATACAAATTTCAGTGTGCCTATGTTCCTGGCAAACTGAAGAGGCCTGACGGGAACTCAGTGGGTCTTTGGAAAATTCTGCACCCAGTGGAAGAAGAGCCTATAAGCCCTACTTAAAAAAAAATTTTAAATCTGAAATATGCCTTTTCCCTTTAAGGAGGTACAAAGGCTTATTTGAGCAGGAAATTAAACAGACACCCCCTCCCCACCAACATGCCTGAATTCCAAGCACCTGGTGCTGGCCCAGAGAGAGAGAGGGGAGTTATCGCAGGGAGAGTGAGATAAGAATTTCCTTGGTTGGTGCTAACAAATGACCGAGTTTGCTTTCCTGTTTCACATACGGTTTTTACATGATTTAATTGTTTTAAATGTTTGTGAACATTCAGATAAGTGCCATGTGGTTTTTTTGTTGTTGTTGTTGAGACAGAATCTCGCTCTGTCACCCGGGCTGGAGTGCAGTGGCGCGATCTCGACTCACTGAAACCTCCGCCTCTCAGGTTCAAGCAATTCTTCTGCCTCAGCCTCGCCTTGTGGTTTTATAGATGGTTTTTGTGAAAATGAATAATGTTCGAAATTGTATTCATTAATATAAGCGACTCAACAGTAAGGTTTTTTTTTTTTTTTTTTTTTTTGAGACAGAGTCTTGCTGTTGTCGCCCAGGCTGGAGTGCAGTGGCACAATCTCAGTTCACTGCAACCTCCGCCTTCGGGTTCAAGCCATTCTCGTGCCTCAGCTTCCCTAGTAGCTGGGATTACAGGCATACACCGCCACGCCTAGCTAATTTTTGTATTTTTAGTAGAGACAGGGTTTCACCATGTTGGCCAGGCTGGTCTCGAACTCCTGACCTCAGGTGATCCACCCACCTTAGTCTCCCAAAGTGCTGGGATTACAGGCCTGAACCACTGCATTCAGCCAACAGTAAACTTACTAAATATTTTCCTAAAGATGCATTTATCTGACAAGGATTTGAGTGCTTGTCACGTGCCACTCACTGTTTAGTTTCTGGGCACATACCAGGAAAGAGAACCAAAAAGAAAAACTCGAGGTGCACATTCCAGTAGGGAGAGATGGAACAGAACATGAAAAAATCATGCTTAGGCTGGGCGTGGTGGCTCATGCCTGTAATTCCAGCATTTTGGGAGGCCAGGGCTGGTGGATCACGTGAGCCCAGGAATTTCACGCTGGCCTGGGCAACATAGTGAGACTCCATCTTTGTGAAAAAAATACAAAAATTAGCCAGGCATGGTGATGTGCACCTGTAGTCTCAGCTACCTGGGAGGCTGAGTTGGAAGGATCACCTGAGCCCAGGAGGTCGAGGTTGCAGTGAGCCATGATCATGCGACTGTACTCCAGTCTGGGCAACAGAGCAAGACTCTGTCTCAAAAAAAAAAAACCAAAATCATTATTGGTAAGATACATAGAATGTCAGAGGTGACGAGGGCCATGAGGAAGAGGGGGCACAGAATGTTGGGGGAGGGGTTGCAGTTTTAAATAGGATGTCAGGGGAGGTCACAGTGAAAAGTGACATTTTGGCCAGGCATGGTGGCTCAGGCCTGTAATCCCAGCACTTGGTGGGAGGCTGAGGCGGGCAGATCATCTGAGGTCAGGAGTTCGAGACCAGCCTGGCCAACATGGTGAAACCCCGTCTCTACTTTTATAAAAATTAGCTGAGTGTGGTGGCAGGCACCTGTAATCCCAGATACTAAGGAGGCTGAGGCAGGAGAATCGCTTGAACCCGGGAGGCGGAGGTTGCAGTGAGCTGAGATTGTGCCACTACACTCCAGCCTTGTTGTCCAGCACTCCAGGCAACAAGAGCAAAACTCCATCTCAAAAAAAAAAAAAAAAGAAAGAAAAAGAAAAGAAAAGAAAAGTGACATTTGAGCAAAGATATGAAGGAAGCGAGGAGAGAAACTGGCAATTATCTGAAGGAAAACTGTTCCAGGCAGAGGGCACAGTAAATGCAAAAACTGTGAGGTGGATACGTGCTACAATGTGTGTGAACCTCAAAAACGTTATGCTAGGCCGGGTGCAGTGGCTCACACCTGTAATCCCAGCACTTTGGGAGGCCGAGGCAGGTGGATCACTTGAGGTCAGGAGTTCGAGACCAGCCTGGCCATCATGGTGAAACCCCGTCTCTACTAAAAATACAAAAATTAGCCAGGCGTGGTGGTGGGCGCGTGTAATCCCAGCTACTCGGGAGGCTGAGGCAGGAGAATCACTTGAACCCAGGAGGCGGAGGTTGCAGTGAGCTGAGATCGCACCACTGCACTCCAGCCTGGGCGACAGAGTGAGACTCCATCTCAAAACAACAACAACAAAAAACCCAAAAACGTTATGCTAAGTCAGATACAAAAGGTCACCTGTTGTACGAGTCCATTTATGTGAAATATCCAAAACAGGCAAATCCTTTAAGGCAAAAAGCAGATTCATGGAGCCAGGGACTCCTGGGGAGATGAGAAGTGGAAAGGGGCTGCTTGATGAATACGGGGCAACGTCTAGGGTGAAGAAGATATCTTGGAGCTAGACAGGAGTGATGGCTGCAAAACAGTGTCAATGCACAAAATATCCCTAATGGTACATTTTAGCTTACGTGTATCGTTTGTATCGTTTATTTATTTATTTATTTTGAGATGGAGTCTTGCTCTGTCACCCAGGCTGGAGTGCAGTGGCGTGATCTCGGCTCACTGCAACCTCTGCCTCCCAGGTTCAAGTGATTCTCCTGCCTTAGCCTCCTGAGTAGCTGGGACTACAGGCGCCTGCCACCATGCCCAGCTAATTTTTGTATTTTTAGTAGAGACGGGGTTTCACCATATTGGCCAGGCTGGTCTCGAACTCCTGACCTCAGGTGATCTGCCCGCCTCGGCCTCCCAAAGTGTTGGGATTACAGGTGTGAGTCACGCCGCGCCCAGCCTAGGAATATATTTTGAAAGTAGATCCACCGTAACTGGCCGAGGTACAAGGGGAATAAAAAAGAGCCAAAGGTGACTCCAAGGTTTCTGGACTTGGTCTAGAGTTGCCATTGCCTGAGATGGGGAAGACTGAGGAAGGAGGGGCTCAGAGGTGGGGCAGGTGCAGGGGAGAAATGGGAACTCGTGATTGAGATGCCCATTAGACGCCCGAGTATAGATGTGAAGTAGGCAGTTGGAGGTAAAAATTTGGAATTCAGAGAAAATTCCTGGGCTGGAAATATGCATTTGGAATTTGCTTATATTCACAACCTTTAAAACGTTGGGAGTGTGCCTTGTGTCTTCAACCTGTGAAAACTGCCCATTCTCTCCCTACCTAATGTAGTAGAATTTTTTTGTTTGTTTGTTTTTTATTTTTGAGACAAGAGTCTCACTCTGTTGCCCAGGTTAGAGTGCAGTGATGCAATCTTGGCTCACTGCAACCTCTGCCTCCCGGGTTCAAGCGATTCTCCTGCCTCAGCCTCCCGAGTAGCTGGGATTACAGGCGCCCGCTACCACACCCGTCTAGTTTGTATTTTTAGTAGAGACGGGGTTTCACCATGTTGGCCAGGCTGGTCTTGAATGCCTGCCTGCCCTCAAGTGATCCGCCCACCTCGGCCTCCCAAAGTGCTGGGATTACAGGCATGAGCCACTGCGCTTGGCCAGGGCTGTCATGTATTGAGAACAAGGTGTGCTTTTGTATAGCTGTGTGGCTGAATAAAGGTGTTTGATGTGTTGTGTCTCTGGGTTGGGTTTGTCTGGATGTGCAATTGTGTAAATGGGTGAAGGAGATCACTTGTGTGTTACCATTTGTCATGTGTGTGTTTGTGTGTGTGAAAGAGAGAGAAAAGGGGAGGGGGATGGCCTCCCAGCCCAGAAGTCATTACTAATTCCTCCAGCATCCCCCACTTCTGGGCAACAGAGGCCCTTTTGTTCACAGTGGCAGAGGCAGTGATGTCCCTTCTCTCTTGAGGCCCCTGGCAAGTTCTCAGCCCTGAGCCTGGTCAACAAAAGGTCCTGTGAGCTTTTGCATTGAGCCCGGCCACTTGCAGAGTGTGCTGAGGACATCAGTGAGGGCACGGGACCTGTGACAACCACAGTGGCTTGGCCAGCGATGGAGGAGCCAGGGGCTTAGAGAGGGCCTTCTTGAGGATAATGTTGTTACAAGATAATTATGGGAAAAAAGGGAAAACCATGACTGTCCTACAGATCTAAAAATGAACACATGGGGCGGACATGATGGCTCGTGCCTGTAATCAGCATTCTGGGAGGCCGAGGTAGGAGGGTTGCATGAGCCCAAGAGTTTGAGACCAGCCTGGGCAACATAGTGAGACCTCATATCTATTCTTATTTTTATTTATTTTTAGTTTTCATTTTTTCTTGAGATGGAGTCTCCCTCTGTCACCCAGGCTGGAGTGCAGTGGCATGATCTCAGCTCACTGCAACCTCTGCCTCCTGGGTTCAAGCGATTCTCGAGCCTCAGCCTCCTGAGTAGCTGGGACAACAGACATGCACCACTAGGTCCGGCTAATTTTTTTTTTTTTTTTTTTTTTTTAGTTTTAGTAGAGATGGGGTTTTGCCATGTTACCAGGCTGGTCTTGAACTCCTGGCCTCGAGTGATTTGCCCGCCTTGGCCTTCTGAAGTGCTGGGATTACAGGCGTGAGCCACCACGCCTGGCTCCATCTCTATTTTTTTTTTTTTTTTTTTTGAGACGGAGTCTCGCTCTGTCACCCAGGCTAGAATGCAGTGGCGCGATCTCTGCTCACTGCAGGCTCCACCTCCCGGGCTGACGCCGTTCTCCGGCCTCAGCCTCCGGAGTAACTGGGACTACAGGTGCCCGCTACCATGCCTGGCTAATTTTTGTATTTTCAGTAGAGACGAGGATTCACCATGTTGGCCAGGCTGGTCTCGAACTCCTGACCTCGTGATCCACCCACCTTGGCCTCCCAAAGTGCTGGGATTACAGGCGTGAGCCACCGCGCCCAGCCTGAATGATGTTGTTATGGGTTGAATTGGGTCCACTCCCAAAATTGGCATATTGAAGTCTTAACCCACCGTACTTTAGAATGTGACCTTACCTGGAAGTAGGGTCGTTGCAGATATAATCAGTTGGGGTCATACTGGAGTAGGATGGTCCCTAAACCATCATGACTGGTGTCCTTAAAAAATTCGGAAATTTGAGCCTGGAGAGGTAGCTCATGCCTGTAATCTCTGCTCTTGGGGAGGCCGAGACAGGAACATCACTTAAGCCCAGGAGTTTGAGAGCAGCCTGGACAACATAGCAAGACCTTGTCTCTACAAAATATTTTAAAAAATTGGCTGGGGCCGGGCCCGGTTCTCAAAGCCTGTAATTCCAGCACTTTGGGAGGCCGAGGTGAGCAGATCACTTGAGGTCTGGAGTTGGAGACCAGTGTGGCCAACATGATGAAAGCCTGTCTCTACTAAAAATACAAAAATTAGCTGGGCATGGTGGCGCATGCCTGTAGCTCCAGCTTGGGAGGCTGAGGCAGGAGAATTGCTTGAACCTGGGAGGCAGAGGTTGCAGTGAGCCGAGATTGTGCCACTGCACTCCAGCCTGGGCAACAGAGTGAGACTCCGTCTCAAAAAACAAACAAACAAACAAACAAAAAAATATATATGGTATGTATATATTTATTTTGTATATATATTTTTGTGTATATACATATCTATATATATAATTTGTATTTATAGAGATGGGGTCTCACTATGTTGCCCAGGCAGAGGTTTGAGTTTTTGTTGAGGGCTCTGGGAGTCACAGAAGATAGCTCTATTTGTGGGTCATTCACTTTTTGCCCAGCCCTGTGTTGCTTTACATGCACTTGCTCATTAAATCCTCCCAAGATCAGGGGGATCAGACTGAGGTGGGTGGAGTCGACTTGAACTTTGCTTAGGGTTCTAAGAGGTAAAGACTAGGGGATCTGGGGACAGGGAAATCCCAGATAGAGTTAACCTTTTTTTTTTTTTTTTTTTTTTTTTGATACAGTCTCGCTCTGTCGCCCAGGCTGGAGCGCAGTGGTGCAATCTCAGCTCACTGCCTTCTGTCTCCTGGGTTCAAGTGATTCTCCTGCCTCAGCCTCCCAAGTAGCTGGGATTACAGGCGTGCACCACCACATTGGGATAATTTTTGTATTTTTAGTAGAGACAGGGTTTCACCATGATGGCCAGGCTGGTCTTGAACTCCTGAGCTCAGGTGATCTGCCTGCCTCGGCCTCCCAAAGTGCTGGGATTACAGGTGTGAGCCACCTCATCAGGCTGAGTTTATTGAGTTATCCCCGTGTGCCAGTCAGAGCTCTAGTTCTTCCTACCTGTATAAACTCGCTTACTGCTCACATCAACCATCTAATGGAAGTGCTGTTTTCATGTTGTTTCCTGCCCTTTGTCTCTACCTGCCAGATCACTCCCATGAAGGAAGGGACTTTGTTTATTTATTCATTGCTGTATCCCTGGAAACTGGGACTGCAGGTGGTTATGAAGTACCTATTTGTTAAATGAGTGAACATTTCCTGTAGGCAATTACACCCAACTTCCAAATGGAGAAACAGGCTCAGAGATAAGCCCCTGCACCCTCACTCCTCAACTCAACTGCCTGTTTCTAGCACTTTCCATGACGATCCCCTCTGCACGGAGAGGGTTCATGGGGAGTGACTATTGTTCTGTAATGAATGACCAGGCTGTGCCAGGTCCGGCAGTAGGCCTTTTCCTTTTCCTTTTTTTTTTTTTTTTGAGATGGAGTTGAGTTTTGCTCTTGTCGCCCAAACAGGAGTGCAATGGCGTGATCTTGGCTCACTGCAACCTGTACCTCCTGGGTTCAAGTGATTCTCCTGCCTCAGCCTCCCGAAGAGCTGGGACTACAGGCATGCGCCACCACGCCTGGCTAATTTTCATATTTTTAGTAGCGACGGGGTTTTGCCATGTTGTCCAGGCTGGTCTCGAACTCCTGACTTCAGGTGATCCACCCACCCTGGCCTCCCAAAGTGCTGGGATTTCAGGTGTGACCCACTGTGCCTGGCCAGGCCTTTTCCTTTCTTTCTTTTTTCGAGACAGTGTCTTACTCTGTTGTCCAGGCTGGGGTGGCAGTGGCACAATCACGGCTCACTGCAGCCCCAAACTCCTGGGCTAAAGTGATCCTTCCACCTCAGCCTCCCCAGTAACTGGGAGTACAGGTACATGCCACCACACGGACTAATTTTAAAAGTTTTTGTAGAGATGGGGTCTTGCTATGTTGCCCCAGCTGGTCTCAGACTCTTGGGCTCAAGCAGTCCTCCTGCCTCGGCCTCCCAAAGCATTGGGATTACAGGTATGTGCCACCGTGCCCAGCCGCAGCAGGCCTTTTGTTTTTTTAGAGAGGGTCTTGCTTGGTGGCCTAAGCTGGAGTGCAGTGGTGCAATCACGGCTCACAGCAGCTTCCAAACTCCTGCGCTCAAGCGAGCCTCCTGCCTAAGCCTCTCAAGTAGCCTGGGACTGTAGGCACACACCACCACGCCCGGCTGATTTATTATCTATTTATTTATTTGAGGTGGAGCCTCGCTCTGTCACCCAGGCTGGAGTGCATTGGCCTGATCTTGGCTCACTGCAACCTCCGCCTCCCAGGTTCAAGTAATTCTCCTGCCTCAGCCTTCCGAGTAGCTGGGACTACAGGCACGCGCCACCACGCCCATCTAATTTTTGTATTTTTAATAGAGACGGGGTTCCTCCATGTTGGCCAGGCTGGTCTTGAACTCCTGACCTCAAGTGATCCGCCCGCCTCGGCCTTCCAAAGTGTTGGGATTACAGGCGTGAGCCAACGCACCCAGCCACTAATGTATTATTATTATTATTCTGTAGAGACGCAGTCTGGCTATGTTGCCCAGGCTGGTCTTGAATTCCTGCCTCTGCCTCCCAAAGCGCTGGGGTTACAGGCGTGAGCCACCGCGCCCTGCGGCTGCAGGTCTTTATAAGGCAACTGTGGGCCCTGGACCGCTCCCTGAAAACCTCCCCCTCAACTCCCTGTCTCCTCCCTCACCTGGTCTACCCCGAATCCTTCCCCTCTCGCCCCCTCGCCCTCTCCAGGGGAGGTGAGGGACTCAAGAATCGCGCCCTGCTTCTGTCCCCACCGCGCCGTCCCCAAGCCCACGCAGTGAAAAGACCACCCTTGAGGCTGATTCCGGGTCCAGCTGGGAGCGGCCAGCCGTAAATCACCGCCCCCGTGGGCCGTACCATTCTGGCCGGGGGGACCTGGGAGGGGACGCGCGGAGGGCTTCCCCCGGGGACTGCCTGTATCGAGACTCTCTCCAGCCCAACAGGAGGATGGGAAGGAGACTTGTGTGGGGGCCTCGGGCTGGCGGGTCGCGGGTTCCTTATCCTCCGCCTTGGCGCCTCTCCGCCCACCGCCCACCGCCCCTCCCTGGCATTGGTTGGCGCCAGGGGAAGCCGAGGCTCCATCCTTTCTGCGCAGGTTCCCGCCGCACTCGCGCAGACCTAGCGCGTCCAGGTGGGAGGTTAGTGTGGCCCGGGCGTCCGCTCCTCAGCGGATGTGGCAGCCCCGAGCCATGGCTCTCGCCGTCCGAGTCGTTTATTGGTAAGCCCAGCGGCCAGCGGCCCCCGTCCCCGACCCCCGCCGGGACCCGATTCTCGGAGCCGGGGTCAGGGAGCCCCGGGGAGAGGACCCATGGGAGCCCTTGTATGGGAAAAGGGAGCCCCTGTATGTGGGTGGGGTGGGCGTACGGAGGGGCGAAAAACAGAGGGCGGTCGTCCCTAGGCCCCGTCTTCGACTTGTGACACGCTGGGCATCTCGGGTTATAAAAGGTGGGGCTGAGACGAGTGTGTGTCAATTTCGAACCCCCGACTCCGGGGCTCCGCTGGGGAAGGGGCTGGGGGTCAGCTTTGTAAAGGGACCTAAGGCTCCTCCACCCTAAGGCTTCCCCTCCCCCAATATCCCGAACAGTCGCGGGGTGGGGACAGTGAGAGCCCAGAAGGTTCGAGAATGTCTCAGCCTGTGTTTCAGAAGCACTTGAATTGTTGGCCTCTGCCCAGTGGGTTCCCTTGGCCACGAACCCCACTCCTTTTCTGGCCTCAGTTTTCCGTCTGTGGCAAGAGGGAGGCTCTGTGTCAATACCGAACACGCTTAATTTCTGCAAGTCTCAGGAAGGGTATAATAGGATAGGATATAAATTACGTTCTCTCCACTCCCCAGCACCTAATACTGTGTGGCATGCTGTAGGTATTTAATAAATACGTGTTCAATGAATTTATCCTCCCAGGAATCCCTTAAGAGAGGGGAATTTTAGGCCAGGTGCCGTTGATCACGCCTGTAATCCAAACACTGGGAGGCTGAGGCGGGTGGATCGCTTGAGCCCAAGAGTTCGAGACCAGCCTGGGCAACCCAGGGAGACCCCCCCCTCGTCTCTACAGAAACTTAAAAAGTTAGCCGGGCATGGTGGCGCACTCCTGTAGTCGCAGCTGCTTGGGAGGCTGAGGCAGGAGGATCACTGGAGCCCGGAAGGCGGAAGTTGCAGTGAGCTGAAATCGTGCCACTGCACTCCATCCTGGACAGCAGAGCGAGACTCTGTCTCAAAAAAAAAAAGTAAATTAAAGAGAGGAATTTTAGTTCTATGTTACAGGTGAGAAAACTGAGGCTGGGACTGGGGTGGGGGCAGGTCAGTAGCTTCAAGTCTGGACTGCAGGTGACAGGGGTAACTGGAACCTGGGTTTGTCGGCAGCTTTCCAACGTCTCTGCCTGCTCGACAAAGCAGAGGCAAGAGTGACATTTTGAGACGCCTACCAGGCCTGTACACCAGATTCCAGTCCCGAAATAGCCTGCTGTGGGGGTTGGGTGAGCCTGTATTTCACCCTGGGGACTGGGAAGGTGTTCAGAATCTAGGAGCTGCGGGGCCGGGTGCGGTGGCTCCTGCCTGTAATCTCAGCACTTTGGGAGGCTGGGGCGGGCCGATCCCCTGAGGTTAGGAGTTCGAGACCAGCCTGGCCAACATGGTGAAAATACAAAAATTAGCTGGGCGTGGTGTAAGAATCCAGGAGCCGCAGGGTTTTCCTTGGAGTGCTGCGAGGGCTGTGGGTGAGGGTGGTGGGCACAGGGAGTGGGTGGGGACCTTACGTGTGCTGTTCTTCTCCTAATCCAGTTCTCCTGGTTTTCCCCCGTCCCCGTCTCTCGTATTTGTGGTCTCCTTGTCTCCTCTCTCCCCTTTTTCCCCTCCCCCTTCTCTGTCTCTTGCTTGGTGTTGGTTTTCTGTGTGTCTCTGTGTGTCCCCGCGCCACCCCCTGTGCTGTGTCCCAAAACTCTGCCTGGCTGGTGCCTGTCTTCTCTCTTGAGGGCATCTGTCACCTCTTCTGCTTGGTCATCTGTGTTCCTCTTTATTTCTTCCTGGCCCCATCTTGCTCTCTCCCCACACCGCCTGTGTCTACCCTCCTCTCCCCGATCCCCCACTTCTCCCTCTCTCCCCTGGGCCCCAATGTCTTGGACTCTCCTACCAGTGGCGCTTGAGGCTACAAGTCCAAGGTAAGCAGAGTGGATGCCCGGGGGGCATTCCTGGGAGCTGGGGAGGGGTAGAGTGCATATTGGGAGGGGGCTGACTGGTATGACCCCTGCTGTGACCTCTCACCGCGTTTTCAGTATCTTCAGCTCAAGAAGAAGTTAGAAGATGAGTTCCCCGGCCGCCTGGACATCGTGAGTCTTGGGATGGGGAGAAAGACTTGAGCACAGCCACTGTGTCGGTCCGTTAGGCCTGGATGGCACTGCAGGGGGGTTAGGTCAGCCCTACGCCCTTCACCCATGTTCTCATCCCCCTGGGAAGGGGAGGGTCTCCCCAAGAGGACATCTTAGCCCCTCCAACATCTCCCCTACCCCCTTTCCTCAGTGCGGCGAGGGAACTCCCCAGGCCACCGGGTTCTTTGAAGTGATGGTAGCCGGGAAGTTGATTCACTCTAAGAAGGTATGTCTGTCTGTCCGTCCTGCCTGGTTTTGGGGCTAGCATGGGGTTGGGGCTGAGGTTGGTGTCTCGGTCCCAGCTCACCCCTTCCCTCTTCCTCCCCTCCCTAGAAAGGCGATGGCTACGTGGACACAGAAAGCAAGTTTCTGAAGTTGGTGGCCGCCATCAAAGCCGCCTTGGCTCAGGGCTAATGCGCCCTGAAGGCAGAGGTGAGGGGGCCCACTAGACAGGGACACCACCCTTTGGATCTTCTCCCTGCCCCATGCTCTGACTCCTTGGCCCAGGGTGGAGAGCCTGGGAGATGGGGGGGACATCACGTGTGTCCCCAGAGCGAGCGGGATAAAGTTAGACCCGGTTGGTGGAGGACAACAACTGAGATGGGGTCAGAGGTGTGCAGGGTGACAGCTGAGATGGTGATGGGTCAGAGATATGCAGGATGACAGCTGAGATGGGGTCAAAGGTATGCAGGATGACAGCTGAGATGGTGATGGGTCAGAGGTGTGCAGGATGACAGCTGAGATGGTGATGGGTCAAAGGTATGCAGGATGACGGCTGAGATGGTGATGGGTCAGAGGTGTGCAGGATGACGGCTGAGATGCTGATGAGTCAGAGGTGTGCAGGATGATGGCTGAGATGGTGATGGGTCAGAGGTGTGCAGGATGACGGCTGAGATGGTGATGGGTCAGAGATGTGCAGGATGACAGCTGAGATGGGGTCAGAGGTGTGCAGGATGACAGCTGAGATAGGGTCAGAGGTATGCAGGATGACAGCTGAGATGGGGTATGCAAGATGACAGCTGAGTTGGTGGTGGGGTCAGAGGGCTGCCCTAAAACAGCTCTCCTGGTTTGGGAATGAAAAGTGCTAGCAACCCAACGGTTCAGAATCCGGAACTCTAGGTCTTTGTCCCATTGCCAAGAAACAGTTCCCAACCCAGCAGGTCATGTGACAGCGTCCGGCCAAGTTCCCAGCATGTTTTGAGACAGAATTTCCTTGCTCCACAATTTCGAGTAGGTCACTAATTATCACCGGGCTCTGAACCTGAGAATTAGTTCTAGGAATATTCCAGACCTGATCCAGCTCCAGAAACTTACCCACTTTGGAACTGAACATGAGTCCAAGAATGCTCTAGAAACAAATGCTAACTCTAGAATGGAT
Organism: Homo sapiens; assembly: GCF_000001405.40. Lineage (NCBI taxonomy): Eukaryota > Metazoa > Chordata > Mammalia > Primates > Hominidae > Homo > Homo sapiens. The sequence continues at coordinate 47,782,335 of NC_000019.10, forward strand.
TGTCTGCTCCAAAAAAACCCTAGAGCTGACTCCCAGTTCTCCCCATAGAGCCGAGAATGAAATACACCACCAGCTCCCAACACACTGTAAACCTGAGCCCCCCTTCCCAACCCAGCAATTGAAAAATGTGAACCAGCTCCTAAGCACTAGAATTGACCACTAGTTCCTGGAGTTGGCTACTGGTTCCTTATCACTGTTTTTCTTTCTTTCTTTCTTTTTTTTTTGAGATGGAGTCTTGCTCTGTCTCCCGGGCTGGAGTGCAGTGGCGCGATCTCGGCTCACTGCAGCCTCTGCCTCCCGAGTTCAAGCAATTCTCCTGTGTCAGCCTCCCAAGTAGCTGGGATTACAGGCACATGCCACTATGCCCGGCTAATTTTTGTATTTTTAGTAGGTCTGATCCTGTTGGCCAGGCTGGTCTTCAGGTGATCCACCTGCCTTGGCCTTCCAAAGTGTTGGGATTACAGGCGTGAGCCACCGTGCTTGGCCTCCTTAAGCACTCTGAACCAAGTATTGTTTCCAGCCTAATACATTGTGGAACAAGTGGCAATTTCTATATGAACCTCAGGAACAAAGAACTACTTTCCAGCACCTTCTGAGTCTGATTTTCCAGTTTGTAAGCCAGTATGGTCCAGATAAGCGTGAAACCCAACCCATTCTAGAACAGTTACTAGCCCTTTTTCTGGTCTCTGGCACTGCAGGGCCTGGAGCATAGTTTATTTTTTGAGGTGGAGTCTCGCTCTGTCGCCCAGGCTGGAGTACAGTAGTGTGATCTCGGCTCACTGCAACATCTGCCTCCTGGGTTCAAGGGATTCTTGTGTCTCAGCCTCGTGAGTAGCTGGAATTACAGATGTCTGCCACCATGCTGGGCAAATTTTTTTTTTTTTTTCTAAGACGGAGTCTCTGTCGCCCAGGCTGGAGTGCAGTGGCGTGATCTCGGCTCACTGCAAGCTCCGCCTCCCGGGTTCACGCCATTCTCCTGCCTCAGCCTCCCAAGTAGCTGGGACTACAAGCGCCTGCCACCACGCCTGGCTAATTTTTTGTATTTTTTAGTAGAGACGGGGTTTCACCGTGTTAGCCAGGCTGGTTTTGAACTCTTGACCTCAGGTGATCCGCCTGCTTCGGCCTCCCGAAGTGCTGGGATTATAGGCGTGAGCCACTGCGCCTGGCCATACTTTTTACTCCCCTCTAACCTTCAGCACCAGTTCCCATTCCATGTTGATCTAGAACAGAGTATCCCATCCCAACACACTGTGGACCCAAGTACCAGCTCCCAGTGTGCCTTGTGCCAGAAAACTAGTTTTCAAATGCGTTAAACTCAAGTTCCATTTCCTAAAATTCTTTACCAGAGCAGAATGAGGTCATGTTCAATGTGAATTGGGACGTGCCAATTTGAAGTAATGCAGAAACGATATCTTGCCTTATGTGCAGGTCTGAAACAAAGCAAATCCCTCTAACATAAAGGAAAAGAAAAATGGAATTGCCTAATTCCAAAGCTGCATCAGCTGAATGCATTGTGGACTGTTGCTGTTGAGCGTGGGGTGGGGTGCCACCATGCAGGCTTTGAATTCTTTTTTTTTTTTGAGACAGAGTCTCGCTCTGTCACCCAGGCTGGAGTGCAGTGGCGCGATCTCAGCTCACTACAACCTCCACCTCCCAGGCTCAAGCGATTCTCCTGCCACAGCCTCCCAAGTAGCTGGGACTACAGTTGTGCACCATCACGCCCAGCTAATTTTTCTAGTTTTTGTAGAGATGGGTTTTTTTCACCATGTTGCCCAGACTGGTCTCAAACTCTTGGGCTCAAGTGATCCGCCCGCCTCAGCCTCACAAAGTGCTGGGATTACAGACGTGAGCCACCACACCCGGCTATCTTTCTTCCTTTTAACATGGGCCCCACGCCTGGCCTCTGTTCCTGCAAACTGACTCCCTACCCCAACCACCTCTTTTTCTCTCCACAGTCCAGGGACCTTGACCCAGCCCCTCTCAGCAGACGCTTCATGATAGGAAGGACTGAAAAGTCTTGTGGACACCTGGTCTTTCCCTGATGTTCTCGTGGCTGCTGTTGGGGGCAGAGATTGACGCCCCCGGTCTTTGCCTCTGAGCGGGAGAGTCTGTGTGTATGTGTCTTCCCCGGAATCCACACCACCCCACCCTCCTCCTGTCCCGTGGTTTCATCATATCTCTTTGCATACCCCATGTCTTCCCCAGTTGTCCCCTGGAGTTTGGGGGGACATCCCGCCTCAGGCATCCTTCTCAAGGGGAAGCCAAGAGAGGCATCAGGATGGGTGGGTTTCTGATTGTGGCAACGTTTGCAACCGTTCACGATTCAATAAATATTGGATGAATTTAACTGAATGTGCCTGTGAGGAGTGTATCTTGTTTTACCCCTGTGCCTCCTCCCTCCAGGACCCCGTCCCAGAAATTAGCAACCACGTGTTGAGTGCTCAGTGCACCAACCCTCTGTAGGGAAGCACCTTACTGCAATGCTGAGGTTGTTATTTTTTAAGACAGTCTTGCTCTGGAGTGCAGTGGTGCGATCCCAGCTTACTGCAGTGTCCCTCTCCTGGGTTCAAGTGATTCTCCCGTCTCAGCTTCCCGAGTAGCTAGGACCACAAGTGTGAACTGCTATGCCTGGCTAATCTTTTTCTTTTTCTTTTTCTTTCTTTTTTTTTTTTTTTTTTGAGACGGAGTCTTGTTCTGTCGCCCAGGCTGGAGTGCAGTGGTGCGATCTTGGCTCACTGCAACCTCCGCCTCCCGGTTCCAGCGATTCTCCTGCCTCAGCCTCCCATGTAACTGGAATTACAGATGCCCGCCACCACACCCAGCTAATTTTTTGTATTTTTAGTAGCGATGGGGTTTCACCATGTTGGCCAGACTGGTCTCAAACTCCTGACCTTGTGACCCTCCCGCCTCGGCCTCCCAAAGTGCTGGGACTACAGGTATGAGCCACCGCGCCGGACGTAATTTTTGGATTTTGTAATAGAGACAGGGTTTCACCATGTTGGCCAGGCTCGTCTTGAACTCCTGACCTCAGGGGATCCTCCCGCCTTGGCCTCCCAAAGTGCTGGGATTATAGGCGTGAGCCACCATGCCCGGCTGTTTTTGTAACTATTGATAGCCATGAAGTGCATGGACACTTTCCTCAAATCAGGTACAATTCTAAACTGTTTCACTCTCAAACCTTGACCCACTCATTCTGGGAGGACAGAAATAAAATTGTTCCTCCCCCAAGTCAAATGCTGCGACTCCTGAAACCCACCACATTCCATGGATCTCTGCTCAGTGACATCTGGGAAACACAAGACAGCCATCAACAATAGCAACAAGAGGCCGGGTGCAGTGGCTCACGCTTGTAATCCGGCACTTTGGGAGGCCAAGGTGAGCAGATTGCTTGAGGCCAAGAGTTCAAGACCAGCCTGGGCAACATGGTGAAACCCCACCTCTACTAAAATTAGCCCAAGTGTGGTGGCAGGTGCCTGTAATCCCAGCTACTCGCCACCTGCCACTAGGTTGAGAACCGCTTCAACCTGGGAAGCAGAGGTTGCAGTGAGCTGAGATCGTGCCACTGCACTCCAGCCTGGGCGACACACTGAGACACTGTCTCAAAAAACAAAAAAACCCCAAACCAAATGAACAATAGCAACAAGAAACAAGCCCCCACATGGCTTCATTTCTAATGATTCTGAGGATTTTCTTAGTATGACAGTCCTTTGGTGGTATAGTTCTTTATTTTTTTTCTAAGACAGGTTCTCTGTCACCCAGGCTAGAATGCTGTGGTAGGATCATGGCTCACTGCAGCCTCGACCTCCTGGGCTCAAGTGATCCTCCTGCTTCAGCCTCCTGTGTATCTGGAATCACAGGCACATGCCATCATGCCTGGCTCTTTTTTTTTTTTTTTTTTAGAGATGGGGTCTTGCTATTTTGCCCAGGTGGTCTCAAACTCCTGGCCTCAAGTGATCCTCCTCCTTTGGCCTCCCAAAATGCTGGGATTACAGGCGTGAGCCACGGAGCCTGGCCTGGTGGTGTAGTTCTTTTTTTTTTTTTTTTTTGAGATGGAGTCTCGCTGTGTCGCTGAGGCTGGAGTGTAGTGGCGCGATCTTAGCTCACTGCAACCTCCACCTCCCTGGTTCAAGCAATTCCCCTGCCTCAGCTCCTGAGTAGCTGGGATTACAGGCATATGTCACCACGCCTGGCTAATTTTGTGTGTGTGTGTGTGTGTGTGTGTGTTTTGTTTTTCTTTTTTCAAGTAGAGATGGGGTTTCACCATGTTGGCCAGACTGGTCTCAAACTCCTGACCTCAGGCGATCCCCCCGCCTCGGCCTCCTAAAGTGTTGGAATTACAGGCGTGAGCCACCGCACCGGGCCCTGGTGGTGTAGTTCTAAGCTAGGTAGAGAGAGATCACAGAGAGTGGCATCTGAACATCTGAGACTCAATGGAGGTTGACCGTAATCCCATTTGCCAACTGGTCTCACATTTGGGGTCAGCCCAGTATCAACATCCTCAGCTGTCAGCACTCCACCTGTTAGCCAAGGCACACTGTGGCACCCATTCATCATTTAAATGACACAAGACTTTTCAGTTCTTTGTTTAAGCAAGAATTCTGGCAGGGCTGGGCTAGGTTGGCTTATGCTTCAGTGGGAACCTAAATCTAAACGAACCTAAAGCAGAACGAACCTAAATCTCCATGGATGAACACAGCACATGCAAAGCCCTCTCCAGAGCAACAGTTCTCCTGCTTCTAGTCAGGAATCTAGCGCAATGTTGTCCAATAGAACTTTCTGCACGATGGAATTTTTCTCTTTTTTTGTTTTTTTGAGATGGAGTTTCACTCTTGTTGCCCAGGCTGGAGTGCAATGGTGGGACCTTGGCTCACTGCAACCTCTACCTCCTGGGTTCAAGCAATTGTTCTGCCTCAGTCTCCCAAGTAGCTGAGATTACAGGCGCCTGCCTGTAGCTACCATGCCTGGCTAATTTTTTTTTTAATGTATTTTTAGTAGAGATGGGGTTTTACCACGTTGGCCAGGTTGGTCTCAAACGCCTAACCTCAGGTGGTCCACCCACCTCGGCCTCCCAAAGTGGTGGGATTACAGGCGTGAGCCACCGTGCCGGCTAGCATGATGGAATTTTTCCATATCTGCCCTGCCCAACACCATAGCAACTGACTTCATGTTACTGGTGACAACTTGAAATGTGACACGACCAAGGAACTGAATGATTATATTTGGCCGGGCGCAGTGGCTCACGCCTGGAATCCCAGCACTTTGGGAGGCTAAGCTGGGAGGATCACTTGAGCCCTGGAGTTTGAGACCAGCCTGGGCAACATAGTGAGAACCTGTCTCTACAAAAAATACAAAAAACAGCTGGGCATGGTGGTGCATGCCTGTAATCTCAGCTTCTTGGGAGGCTGAGGTGGGAGGATTGCTTGAGCCCGGGAGGTCGAGGCTGCAGTGATCTGTGATGGCACCACTGCACTCCAGCCTGGGCGACAGAGTGAGTGCCTGTCTCAAAAAAAAAAAAAAAAAGAAAAATAACATTCAACCCATGTAATATGTGGCTAGTTGTTATCGGACTGTGCAATTCTGTTATTCTGTTGCTGCACCTGGCCCCAAAGCAGCTTTAGTAGACAGAGCGGAGACAGCGTAGGCAATCTTGCATTGGCTTTTCTTTTCTCTTTTCTTTCATTTTTTTTTTTGAGACAGAGTCTTGCTCTGTTGCCCAGGCTGGAGTCCAGTGGCATGATCTTGGTTCTCTGCAACCTCCACCTCCGGGGTTCAAGCGATTCTCTTGCCTCAGCCTCCTGACCAGGTGGGACTACAGGCGCACGTCACCACGCCCAGCTAATTTTTGTATTTTTAGTAGAGACGAGGTTTCACCGTGTTGGCCAGGCTGGTCTCAAAGTCTTGACCTGGTGATCCACCCTCCTTGGCCTCCCAAAGTGCTGGATTACAGATGTGAGCCACTGTTCCCGGCCTGCTTTTCTTTTTTTTAAAGAGACGAAGGTATCGCTGTGTCGCCCAGGCTGGAGTGTTAGTGGCATGATCACGGTTCACTGCAGCCTGGAAGTCCTGGGCTCAAGCGATCTTGCCACCTCAGCCTCCGTAGTAGCTGGGACTACAAGCGCACCACCACTTCCAGCTAATTTATTTTTTTTCATTTTGTTGGGGAACTGGGCGAGGATGGGGCAGGGTGGGAGGCCTTGCTATGTTGCTCAGGCTGGTCTCGAACCTGGCCTCAAGCGATCTTTCCCGCTTCGGCCTTCAGAGCAGGCATTGGCTGCTAAAAGCATCAGCCAGGAAGTGATGCGTATCAGCTTTCGTCACAGCCCATTGGCCAGAACCAGTTACGCAGCCCCGCCCACTTTGAGAACCCCTACCACGAAACCCCTGCCTACCTGCAGAACTTGGCTGGGGAACTTAGTCTTCCTGTGTTTAGGAAAGGGATGAGAACTTGAAAACTTGGTGAGCACTACAAATATCTACCAGGGCTCTTATTTTAATCGTACCGTATGCATGAAAACGCCAGCATCGGATTTTGGCGTAATCAAGACAATTCACACCTTCAAAGAATTCAGCCTGACCATCACCCAGCCTGAAAAGGGGAGACACCGTGAATTCCTTTCTAACAGCGACAGCATGTGGCCGCGTCTGAGAACTGCATCTTCTCAGTTCACCTCGGATCACCGCGGAAGACCAGGAATCACTGTGGAATCCCTGTGGGTCACCAGGAATCACTTCCGGTCATCTAGATTTTAGGGTAGTCAAGTGAATCACCATCTTTGAATTGGTGACATGACACTTTCTTTTTAAAACTTAAAAATTAAAATTTAGCCGTGCGCGGTGGCTTACGCCTGTAATCCCAGCGCTTTGGGAGGCCGAAGAGGGCGGATCACGAGGTCAAGAGATCTAGACCAGTCTGGCCAACATGGTGAAACCCCGTCTCTACTAAAAATGCAAAAATGAGCCGGGCGTCGTAGCTCCCAGCTACTCGGGAGGCTGAGGCAGGAGAATCGCTTGAAGTCGGGAGGCGGAGGTTGTAGTGAGCTGAGATCGCGCCACTGCACTCCAGCCTGGGTGAGAGTGAAAAAAAAAAAAAAAATTAAAATTTTTCTAGGTACATAGTAGGTGTATATATTTATGGGGGACATGGGCTATTTTGATACAGGCATCCAATGCATACTAATAACATCAGGGTAAATGAGTTATCTATCCCCTCAAGCATTTAACTTTTGTGTTACAAATAATCCAATTAAACTCTTTTTTTTTCTTTTTTCTTTTTTTGAGACGGAGTCTTGCTCTGTCCCCCATGCTGGAGTGCAGTGGCAAGATCTCGGCTCACCGCAACCTCCGCCTCCTGGGTTCAAGCGATTCTCCTGCCTCAGCCTCCCGAGTAGCTGGGATTACAGGCATGCGCCACCACGCCCGGCTAATTTTTGTATTTTTAGTAGAGATGGGGTTTCACCATGTTGGCCAGGATGGTCTCGATCTCTTGATCTTGTTTATCCGCCCGCTTCGGCCTCCCAAAGTGCTGGGATTACACGCGTTAACCACCGCACTTGGCCTTTTTCTGTATTTTTAGTAGAGGCGGGGTTTCACCATGTTGGCCAGGCTGGCCTCAAATTCCTCACCTCAGGTGATCCACCCACCTCGGCCTCCCAGAGTGCTGGGATTACAGGTGTGAGTCACTGTGCCCGGCCACACAGGCGTGAGCCACACTGCGCCTGGCCAGGAGATTCTTTTTAATTTAGCAGTTTTCAGAATATTAAATTGGAGCCTCAACAACTTTCTCTAGTTTTTTTTTTCTCTCTTTTTTGAGGACCATTGTGAACCAATGGACTTTCATGCATCTGACGTCTTTCAATTCATTGCAGCTCTTCTTTGTAAGCTCAAGTTGTTCAGCCTTTGGTTTCTTTTCTTTTCTTTTAAAAAATATTATTATAGAAACGGGGTCTTGCTATGTTGCCTGGCTGGTCTCGAATTCCTGGGCTCCGGCGATTTGCCCGCTTCGACCTCCCAAAGCAGGAGGGGCTTTTGTTTTATCCAAGCTCTCTGTCCCCGCCCCCTCCCCCAGTAGCCTGTCGGGTGTCTCCTGCCTCCAAATCGGATCTAATTCTCTCTCTGCTCTGCTGAGACTGGCCCTGGCTTAAGAGGACTGGAACACTTGCTACATGGGACCAGGACAGGGTCAGAGAACCAGCGCCGGGGAGACCCAAGGGCCAGGATTGCCACCAGGGGGCAGCAGAGAGGCAGAGTAGCAGAAGGAAGAGGTGGGGGTGCTTCCATCTGACGGCGGGCAGTGGGAGGGCGGGGTGGTGGATGAGGAGGGGATGGTATAGAGGGAACAGTCCTCCCACCCCCACCAGAGTGGGTTAACAGTACTTACATGGTCACTGGATGCGTATTGAAGAATGAGCCCGGGCTCAGTGATTCACGCCTGTAATCTCAACACTGGGAGGTTGAAATGGGAGGGTCTCTGGAGGTCAGGAGTTCGAGACCAGCCTGGGCAATGTGAAAAAACCCCGTTCCTACCAAAAATACAAAAGATTAGCCAGGCGTGGTGGCACGCGCCTGTGGTCCCAGCCACTCGGGAGGCTGAGGTGGGAGGATCCCTTGAGCCCAGGAGGTGGAGGTTACAGTGAGCTGAGATCACACCCATTGCACTCCAGCCTGGGCGACAGAGTGAGACCCTGACTCAAAAAACAAACAAACAGACGAAAAAACAACAACAACAAGATAATTGAAGAAGATGTGGGCCAGGCGAGGTGGCTCACGCCTGTAATCCCAGCACTTTGGGAGGCCAAAGTGGTTGGATCACTGGAGGTCAGGAGTTCAAGACCAGCCTAGCCAACATGGTGAAACCCCGACTCTACTAAAAACACAAAAATGGCATGGTGGTACGTGCCTGTATTCCCAGCTACTTGGGAGGCTGAGGCAGGAGAATTGCTTGAAACTGGGAGGCAGAGGTTGCACTGAGCTGAGATCGCATCACTGCACTCTAGCCCCTGGGTGACAGAGAGACTTCATCCCAAAAAAAAAAAAAAAAAGAGAGAGACTGACAGAAAAAGACCAAGAACATTCTGTATGTGATGCTATTATTAGCTATAATAATGGCAGATATGGTTTGTTGATCACTGACCATAATCAGTGTTAAGATTTACATGATTTGACTCATCTAACCCTTCTCCAAACCCTCCCTTTCACCAAAAAATCTTTCATATTAAAAATTCACAGTTTTTTTTTTTTTTGAGATGGAGTCTCACTCTGTCACCTAGGCTGGAGTGCAGTGGCATGATTTCGGCTCACTGCAACTTCTGCCTCCTGGGTTCGAGAGATTCTCCTGCCTCAGCACCCCAAGTAGCTGAGACTACAGGCACGCACCACCACACTCAGCTAATTTTTTATTTTATATTTATTTATTTTTATTTTATTTTATTTTTTTGAGATGGAGTTCCGCTCTTGCTGCCCAGGTTGGAGTGCAATGGCGCGATTTCTGCTCACTGCAACCTCTGCCTCCCAGGTTCAAGCAATTCTCCTGCCTCAGCTTCCCGAGTAGCTGGGGTTACAGGCATGTGTCACTACGCCCAGCTGATTTTGTATTTTTAGTAGAGACGGGGTTTCTCCATGTTGGTCAGGCTGTTCTCAAACTCCCGACCTCAGGTGATCTGCCCGCCTCGGCCTCCCAAAGTGCTGGGATTACAGGTATGAGCCACCGCACCAGGCCCAATTCACAGAGTTTTAAAACATCAACTTTTAAAGATAGATGCTTTCTTTACATTAGATAAAACACACTTGTCTTAAGTGTTCAGTATAATTGCTTTGATAAATGTATGCAACTGTCTGGGTGCGGTGGCTCATGCCTGTAATCCCAACACTTTGGGAGGCTGAGGCAAGAGTATCACTTGAACCCGAGAGTTCAAGAGCATCCTGGGCAACATAGCAAGACCCTGTCTCTACAAAAAATAAAAAAAAATTGGCTGGGCATGGTGGTGTGCACCTGTAGTCTTAGCTACTTGGGAGGCTGAGGTGGAAGGATCACTTGAGCCTGAGAGCTTAAGGCTGCGGTAAGCCATGTTTGTGCCACTGCACTCCAGCCTGGGTGACACAGTGAGACCCGTCTCAAAAAAGGATCAACAACAACAAAGTATACAACTATGATACCAGCACCCAAACAAGAAGCATCCATCAGCCCCCAAATTTCCCTGGGACCTTTTTGCAGTCATTTTATATTCATTCTCACACCTGCCTGGGCAACCACCAATCTGCTTTCTCTAACTATAGATTACTTCTGTCTCTTCTAGAATTTCATATAAATGAAATAGTATCATATAGAGCTTTCTGTAACTACAGATTATTTCCATATCTTCTAGAATTTCATAGAAATGAAATTGCATCACATACAACCTCTTGTGTCTGGCTTTTTTCACCCAACATAAATGATTTTGAGATTCTTCCATATCACATGTGTATCCACAGCTTGTTCCTTTTCAGTGCTGTGTTATAGTCCATTGTATGGACATACCATAATTTGCTTAACCATTCACTTGGGCTGTTTCTATTTTGGTCTTTTATGAATAAAGTTGTTATGAATATTCTTGTACAAGTCTTCCTGTGGACATATGTTTATTTCTTATTTATTATTTTTCTCGAGACAGGGTCTTGCTTTGTCACTGAGGCTGGACACAAGGCTTGCTGTGTCCTTGTCCTGGGCTCTAGTGATCCTCCCATCTCAGCCTCCTAAGTAGCTGGAATTACAAGTGTGTACCATCATGCTCAGTTAATTTTAATATTTTTATAGAGATGGGGTCTCATTATATTGCCCAGACTGGTCTCAAGCAGTCCTCCTGCCTCAGCCTCCCAAAGTTTTTTTTTTGAGACGGAGTCTTGCTCTGTCACCAGGCTGGAGTGCAGTGGCATGATCTTGGCTCACTGCAACCTCCACCTCCTGGGTTCAAGCAATTCTCCTGCCTCAGCCTCCCAAGTAGCTGGGACTACAGGCATGCACCACTACACCCAGCTAATTTTTGTATTTTTAGTAGAGATGAGGTTTCACCATGTTGGCTAGGATGGTCTCGATCTCTTGACCTTGTGATCCACTCGCCTCGGCCTCCCAAAGTGCTGGGATTTCAGGCGTGAGCCACTGCATGTGGTCCATTTTAGTTTTAATATGCATTTCCCTGATGATTTTTGATGTCATGGGCTTACTGGCCTTTTTGCATATCTTTTTTTTTTTTTTTTTTTTTTTTTGAGACGGGAGGCTGGCTCTGTCACCCAGGCTGGAGTCAGTGGCACGATCTTGGTTCACTGCAACCTCCACCTCCTGGGTTCAACCAATTCTCCAGCCTCAGCCTCTGGAGTAGCCACCACACCTAATTTTTGTATTTTTAGTAGAGACAAGGTTTCACCATGTTGGTCAGGCTGGTCTCGAACTCCTGACCTCAGGTGATCCTCCGGCCTCGGCCTCCCAAAGTGCTGGGATTACAGGCATGAGCCACCGTGCCCAGCTTTTTTTGTATTTTTAGTAGAGACAGGGTTTTGCCATGTTGCCCAGGTGGTCTTGAACTCCTGGGCTCCAGCCATCCTCCTGCCAAAGCCTCTCAAAGCGCTGGAATTACAGGCATGAGCCACTGTGCACAGCCTGGTCTAAGAAATCCTTGCTCACTCCAAGACTGTAAAAATATTCTCCTATGGATGCTTCTAGAAGCTTCCTGGTTGTAGCTTTTCATTTGGAGTGAGGTGGGAGTCAAGGTTTTTTTTGTTTTTGTTTTTGTTTTTTTTTTTTTTTTTTGAGACAGAGTTTTGCTCTTGTTGCCCAGGCTGGAGTGTAATGGCGTGATTTTGGCTCATTGCAACCTCCACCTCCCGGGTTCAAGTGATTCTCCTGCCTCAGCCTCTCGGGTAGCTGGGATTACAGTCATGCACCACCACGCCCGGCTAATTTTTTAGTAGAGATGGGGTTTCTCCATGTTGGTCAGGCTGGTCTCGAACTCCTGACCTCAGGTGATCTGCCCGCCTCAACCTCCCAAAGTACTGGGATTACAGGGGTGAGCCACCGTGCCCAGCCCAGTTTATTTTTATTTATTTACTTTTTTATGGTGAAAAGATATACATATATTGAGAATTAGCCAGCTGGACTCAGTTTAGATGATCCCAATTTTGTTGGCAACATCCAAAGCATTGTAACCAGGAGTCGGTTGAACATGTGACTTCTTCTCTCCGTCAGGCCGAATCAGAGCTTCTTCACAGCCTGTTTGATCTGGTGCTCCTTGGCTTTAACATCTATAATGAAGGCAAGTGTGTTGTTGTCGTCTGTCTTCTTCATGGCGGACTCAGTGGTCGGCGGAAACGTGATGATCGCAGAGTGGCCAAGCTTGTTTCTCCAGGGGGCGCTCTTCTGAGGATATTTGGGCTCCCTCCGGAGTCGCGCTGTCTTGGGCCGCCTGAAGGTGGGTGACCTGCGGATCTTCTCTTCTGTGTGGCTGTGGACGGCTTTCAACACTGCTTTCTTGGCCTTTAAAGCCTTCGGTTTGGCTTGGGCTTTAGGAGAGGCAGGAGCTTCCTTCGCTTTCGGCAGCATCTTGTGAAAAGACAAGGTTAATTTTTGTTTTTGACCTTTTTTTTTTTTTTTTTGAGATGGAGTCTTTGCTGGGCGTGGTGGCTCACGCCTGTAATCCCAGCACTTTGGGAGGCTGAGGTGGGCGGGTCACGAGGTCAGGAGATCAAGACCATCCTGGCTGACACGGTGAAACCCTGTCTCTACTAAAAATACAAAAAATTAGCCGGGTGTGGTGGCGGGCACCTGTAGTCCCAGCTACTCGGGAGGCTGAGGCAGGAGAATGGCGTGAACCCGGGAGGCAGAGGTTGCAGTGAGCCGAGATCGCGCCACTGTACTCCAGCCTGGGCGACAGAGCTAGACTCTGTCTCAAAAATAAAAAAAAAAAATAAAAAAAAATAAAGAGGGAGTCTCTCTCTGTCGCCAGGCTGGAGTGCAGTGTCCTGATCTCGGCTCACTGCAACCTCCGCCTCCCAGGTTCAAGCAATTCTCCTGCCTCAGCCTCCCAAGTAGCTGGGATTACAGGCATGTGCCACCACGCCTGGCTAATTTTTTGTATTTTTAGTAGAGACGGGGTTTCACCATATTGGCCAGGCTGGTCTCGAACTCTTGACCTTGTGATCTGCCCGCCTCAACCTCCCAAACTGCTGGGATTACAGGTGTGAGCCACCGCGCCCGGCCCAGGACCATTTGTTAAACTCCCCATCCTCTCATCAAATTGACTTGATACTTTGTTCAAAACAAGTTGATTGCATATGTGGATCTATTTCTGGATTTTCTCTTTTATTCTACTGATCTCTTTGTTGATCTTTATGCTCATAACACACTTTCTTGACTACTGTAGCTTTATAATAAATCTTGAAATTAGGTAGTATACGTTCTCCAGTTTTGTTCTTTTTCAAGATTATTTGGCTATTCTAAATCTGCATTTCTGTCTAATTTTAGGATCATCTTATCAGTTTTATCAGAAAACTTGACTGAGATTTTGATTGGGATTGCAATGAATTTATAGGCAGATTTGGGGAGACTATCCATGAACATCAGATGCCTTTCTGTTTATTTAGGTCTTTTTTTTTTTTTCTTTTTTTTTTTGAGACTGAGTCTCGCTCTGTAGCCCAGGCTGGAGTGCAGTGGCACCATCTCTGCTCACTGCAAGCTCTGCCTCCCGGGTTCACACCATTCTCCTGCCTCAGCCTCCCGAGTAGCTGGGGCTACAGAGGACTGCCACCAGGCCCGGCTGATTTTTTTGTATTTTTTTTAAGTAAAGACGGGGTTTCACTGTGTTAGCTAGGATGGTCTCTATCTCCTGACCTCATGATCTGCCTGCCTCGGCCTCCCAAAGTGCTGGGATTACAGGCGTGAGCCACTGCGCCTGGCCTTATTTAGGTCTTCTTTAACTTCTACGGGCAATGTTTTGATAATTGTGGTCGTAGCTGTCCTGCACATCCTACTTTCTTCCTAGGCATTTTATAGGTGTGTGTGCATGCGTGCGTGTGTGTGTGTGTGTATTTTGAGACAGGGTCTTGCTCTGTTGCCCAGGCTGGAGTGCAGTGGTGCAGTGATGCTGCCTCAAACTCCTGGGCTCAAGCAATTCTCCTACCTCAGTCTCCCAAGTAGCTGGGACTACAGCTGTGCACTACCATGCCCAGCTAGTGTTATTTTTAATTTTTTTTGTGTAGATGGAGTCTTGCTTTATTTTACAGACTGGTGTTGAATTCCTGGCCTCAAAGTAGCTGGGACGACAGCTGTGCACCACCATGCCCAGCTAGTTTTATTTTTTATTTTTTTGTGTAGATGGGGTTTTGCTATGTTGTACAGGCTGGTCTTGAATTCCTGGCCTCAAGCGATCCTCCTGCCTCGATCTCCCAAAGTGCTGGGATTACAGGAATGAGCCGCCACACTCAGCCTATTTTATGTTTTTTAATGCTTTTGTAAATAGTGTTTTTAAAAAACTTATTTTCCAATTTTTTGTTGCTATTATATAGAAATATAATTTGTTTCTTTTTTTAAAAAAAAATTCCCACACAACACCAAGATATACAATTGGTTTTTGTTTATTGATTTTGTATCCTGGAACCTTGCCAAATTCATGAATTAATCCCAGGAGTTTGAGTGTGTGTGTGTGTGTGTGTGTGTGTGTGTGTGTCTGTGTGTGTGTTTATTCTGTAGATATTTTCTTATGTTAGCTACAAGAGTTACCACTTTATCCAAGATACAGTTCTGTAATGATAAAATAAAAGCACTTCTCTAGCAAGAAATTCTGAGTGTACAAAAGTGAATAGGCCGGGCGTGGTGGCTCACATCTGTAATCCCAGCACTTCGGGAGGCCAAGGCAGGTGAATCACTTGAGGTCAGGAGTTTGAGACCAGCGTGGCCAGCATGTGAAACCCTGTCTCTACTAAAAATACAAAATTAGCCAGGTGTGGTGGAGGGTGCCTGTAATCCCAGCTACTTGGGAGGCTGAGGCACGAGAATTGCTTGAACCCAGGAGGTGGAGGTTGCAGTGAGCCGAGATAGCACCATTGCACTCCAGCCTGCGTGACACAGCAAGACCGTCTCAAAAAAAGAAAAAAAAAAAAAGTGAATGAATACAGAACTAAAAATAAATTTCCATTCCATCCCCATTCCCAGAGCTGACTGCAGCCAAAAGACAGAAGAAAAAAGTGGAAGGGTTTACTTTTTTTTTTTTTTTTTTTGAGATGGAGTCTCGCCCTGTCACCCAGGCTGGAGTGCAGTGGCACGATCTCGGCTCACTGCAGCCTCTGCCTCCGGAGTTCAAGCGATTCTCCTGCCTCAGCCTCCTGAGTAGCTGGGATTACAGGTGCCCGACACCACGTCCGGCTAATTTTTGTATCTTTAGTAGAGATGAGGTTTCATCGTGTTAGCCAGGCTGGTCTCGAACTCCTGACCTCGTGATCGGCCCGCCTCAGCCTCCCAAAGTGCTGGGATTACAGGCATGAGCCACTGCGTCCGGCCAGTTTACATTTTTCATCACATATGCAGAGAAAATCAGGTGTGTCTGCGGAACATCTACAACACGTTCCACTCACTGCCCCAATCAGGGAGAGCAGATTCTGCAGCTTTGTTTTGTCTTCCTGAGGAGTCTCTCTGGGGCTTATATAGGGGAAGGGCTCCAGGAGACCCTGACAGCACCTACTGCTGTAACTGAAGTCTCACGGCCAGTAAGGAGGCATGAGAAGGTGCCAGCACGGGCTTGAGAAGGGTTTTGACATCATCCACCAATATGTCCCATCTCCCCTTCAACTCTTCTGTGACCCGGCTGAGATTCTGCAGATGCCGCCTCACCGGGCTCTAAGAGGATTGGGGCAGGTGGTGAGTTAGATTAGGTCAAGGCCAGGGAAACCTGCAAGGGAGAAACGCAGGGACTGAGAGGGAGGGAGAGAGACTAGGGAAGGAGAGGGAAGGGGAGCATGGGTCTGCACAGGGCAGAGAGAGGTAGGAGATGAGTCGGAGGTGGGAAGAGATATGGGAGGAGGGTGTTGTCTAAATGGCAGAATAATAAGATCCCCCGTTTCCTCCGAGCTTCCTGTAAGCTAGGCTCTGTGCTGGGCATGTCAATGACACAGCTCCATGTTGCTCACACCCCACACGTATGGAGAAGGTGTAGTTGATACCCAAAGTCTCATGGACATCCAGCTGTCCACAGGTCCTCCTCCAAACACTCCAAGAAGCAGATGAGCTTGGTATCACTTGATAGAGTGGAGGAGTTAAGGGCTGTGCTCTTTGGCTGGGTGGCCTGGTACATGCTCAGACTGAATCTTTTTGGTCTTCTCAGAAAGGGACTTAAACACCCTGATGTTTGGCGTAACCCCCCGTAGGCAAAGGGATTACAGGCTGCCAACCTCAAAGGACCTTTTGTAAGGATATTAGAGCACATAGGACAGCTGCTGTCACGTGGGAAGTGACACGGGCTGGGGAGACCCTACCTGTTCTGGTTTTGAGGGCAGGAAACTCCCATGCCTCAGTTTCCCCTTTTCTTTGCACCTCACTTTCCCTCTCTCCCTCCCCCTCAGTCTCTCCCTTTTCCCATCGCTCTGCCTCCCTTGGGACAGTCTCAGTGTGGTTTTCTGTGTACATCCCTCTCAGGGTCTCTCTGAGGAGCAGGAGCATTTTTCATTATATCCCGGCAGTCTGTCCCCACCTCCAACCACAGCCTGTCACATGTTTCCCCCAAATCCGCGCTAATTCTCCCTATGTTTTGCTGAGGCTGGCCTGACTTAAGAGGATTGAAGCATTTGCTAAATGAGACTGGGACAGGGTCAGAGAACTAGCTGTGGGAAGACACAGGGGCCAGGATGGCCACAAGGTGATGGCAGAAGAAGCAGGAGAGGAGAGGACAGAGGCAAAGGGTGGCATGCTATTGGTGCAAGGATATAGAGACCAAGAACCCAATAGAGACTTTCCGTAGAGCCAGTCATTGTGGCTCACACCCGTAATCCCAGCAATTTGGGAGGCCAAGGTGGGAGGATCACTTGAACCAGGAATTCAAGACCAGCCTGGGCAACATGGTGAGACCTTGTTTCTGCAAAAAGTAAAAGGAAATTAGCCAGGCATGGTGGTGTGTGCCTGTGGTCCCAGCTACTCAGAAGGCTGAGGTGGGAGGATCAGTTGAGCCTGGGAGGTTGAGGTTGTAGTGAGCTGTGATTGTGTCACTGCACTCTAGCCTGGGCAACAGAGTAAGATACTGTCTCAAAAAAAAAAAAAAAAAAAAAAAAAAGCCAGGTGTGGTGACACATACCTGTAATCCCAGCACTTTGGGAGACTGAGGCTAGCGGATCAATGAGGCCAGGAGTTCAAGACCAACGTAGCCAACATGGCTAAACCCTGTCTCTACTAAAAATACAAAAAATTAGCTGGGCATGGTGGTGCACGCCTGTAAAACCAGCTACTCAGGATGCTGAGGCATGAGAATCACTTGAACCTGGGAGGCAGTGGTTGCAGTGAGCTGAGATGATGCCATTGCACTCCAGCCTGGGCAACAGAGTGAAACTGTCTCCAAAAAAAAAAACAAAAAATAAAATACAAAAAAGTTTGTAGATACAGACTCATACATTAATGAACCCTTGATTTATGACAAAATACAAAATAAATTGCAAGCTTCTCAATAAATTGACAATTAGAAATCCATGAGAAAAGAAAAATCCTTACCTCACACCATAAACAGTCAATTATACATGTATTAAAGACCTAAATATGAAAGGTAAAACTATAAAAATTTAGAGAAAAAAATGGAATACCTTCATCATCATGTGATAATGCAAGATTTCTTTTTTTCCTGCTGTTTACCTGATCTTGGGGAAAGTTTTTTTTTTTTTTTTTTGGAGATGGAGTCTCACTCTGTCACCCAGGCTGGAGTGCAGTGGCACGATCTCGGCTCACCGCAACCTCCGCCTCCTGGGTTCAAGCGATTCTTCTGCCTCAGCCTCCTGAGTAGCTGGGATTACAGGCATGTGCCATCACACCCGGCTAATTTTTGTACTTTTAGTAGAGGTGGGGTTTCACCATGTTGGCCAGGCTGGTCTCAAACTCCTGGCCTCAGGTGATCCACCCTCCTCGGCCTCCCAAAGTGCTGGGATTACAGGCGTGAGCCACTGTGCCCGGCCTGGAGAAAGACATTTTAGACAAGCTATTAAAAAAAAAAAAAAGCATTACTCTTAGAAGGCAAAAGTGAGAAAATGTAGCAATTTTCGAAGCAGTAAGCTGGACACCTCAGACTGGTGCCACCTGTGGGCTTTGTCTCCAATTAGTAACAATTAGTAACAGAGGACTTTTAGAAACACCAGCTTTTAGAAGTTTTTCTGTCAATTTGAAAATACAGATATATTGAGATATTTTGTAAAAGTCATTTTATTTTATTTGATTATTTTATATTTTTTAGACAAGGTCTCAGTCTGTACTCCAGGCTGGAGTACAGTGATACGATCTCAGCTCACTGCAACATCCACCTCCTAGGTTCAAGTGATTCTCCTGCTTTAGCCTCCCAAGTAGCTGGGACTACAGGCACCTGCCAGCATGCCCGGCTAATTTTTGTATTATTATTATTTTTTTAGTGAAGATGGGGTTTCACCATGTTGGCCAGGCTGGTCTCAAACTCTTAACTTCAAGTGATCCACCTGTTTTGGCCTCCCAAAGTGTTGGGATTACAGGCATGAGCCACCGTGCCTGGCCCATTTTAATTTTTATTAATAACTTCATTGTGTTTTACAACATTATCAGTCTGCCACTGATGGAAATGAAAAATAAAACAAGACAAAACTGGTCCAAAACAATAGGTAATTTGAAAAGCAGTGAAATAGACAACATTAAAATCAAGAAATACTAATGAAACAAAATGCAAATAGGAAAGGTGTCTGCAGAACTTTAATTGCCAAGAGAATATAAGAATACATTCAAATAAATGAAGGAAAAGGGGTAAACAAATACACATTATGAAGATATCTAAGGTTCAATTAACATGTGAGGGTTTAACTTCTCAATCATCAGGGAAATGGATATTACAACCACAACAAAACCACAAGTCATTGGATCGACAAACATTAAAAAGTCTCACAATCCTAAGTGTTGGGGAAGATGCTGACCATCAGAAGCCCTGGGAAAAGCCCTTTAGAAAGCTCTCGAGCAGCATCCACTAATGCCAGATATCCCAGTGAGCAGCGACTCCAATCCCAGCAGAGAAACGCTCAGGCTCAATTCAAATGACAGGCAGGCACATTCACAGCAGAGCCACCTGTGATAGCTGCACAGTGAAGACAGCAAATGTCCACCTGCAGCAGGGTGGGTAAAGGGTGATGCATTCACTGCAGAAAGTCACCAGCAGTGTAGATCAGCCACTCCAGGCCCTCTGGGATCTGAAGAACTTTGCAGGCACAGGCCCCCTATAAATCCAGTAATAACCTGGGGCCTGAGTGATTTTCATTCACAGAGCCACCCTCCTCTTGGGGCTGAGACCCTGAGTGTTTTTTGCCCATAGAGTCATCCCCTTCTTGGTACTGAGAGGTCATGGTGGAGACTGAGGATCCCTCCAAGGGGTCTAGGGGTAGGAGCAGCTCTGTGAAGTGAGGGAATAACTGGGTGTCTGGCAAGAAGTCGGAGGCATCGGGGCTCTGAGGCCATAAGGGGGCTGGGGCTGGGAGTGATCCTGGGCCTGGGATTGGAGCTGGGACTGAGCCTGAGCCTGGGCCTGAGCCTGGGCCTAAAATCGGGGCTAGGCCTGGAAGTGAGCCAGGGCTTCGCATCCGGCCAGGACTTAAGATGGGACCTGGGCCTTGGAGTCTGCCTGGGCCTGGGATCTGGGCTGGGCTGGGAATCGGGCCTATAATTGGGCCTGGGCCTGAGATTGGGCCTGGGATTGGGCCTGGGATCAGGCCTGGGTTCGGGCCTGAGATTGGGCCTGGGATCGGGCCTGGGTTCGGGCCTGAGATTGGGCCTGGGATTGGGCCTGGGATCGGGCCTGGGTTTGGGCCTGAGATTGGGCCTGAGATTGGGCCTGGGATCGGGCCTGGGATCGGGACTGAGATTGGGCCTGGGATCGGGCCTGAGATTGGGCCTGGGATCGGGCCTGGGTTTGGGCCTGGGATCGGGCCTGGGTTTGGGCCTGAGAATGGGCCTGAGATTGGGCCTGGGATCGGGGCTGGGCCTGAAATTGGGCCTGGGATTGGGCCACGGAATGGGCCTGGGATCTGGACTGGGCCTGAAATTGGGCCTGGGATTGGGGCTGGGATCGGGCTTGGGATCTGAGCTGGGCCTGGAATTGGGCCTGGAATTGAGCCAGGGAGTGGGCCTGGGATCTGGGCTGGGCCTGGGATTGGGGCAGGGATCGGGCCAGGGCCTGGACTCAGGGCAGCTGGGATGCCCTTCTGGGCTCTGCACCCAGGGCCACCCCAGGCCTGGTGGAGGCTGCAGATCGTGGGTTCCGCCGCTGGAAGGATTCCCGAGGGGCCCCGCTGAGGTGCGGAGGCAGAGGCTGCAGGGACTAGGGGCGCAGCGCGGGCTCCTCGGCCTCTCTGCCCAGGGACGCGCTGGGGCTGCTGCTGGAGCCGCCGCTCCCGAGCTAGTTTGGCGCGGCGATTCTTGAACCACACCTGGGGGGCAGAGGGGACAGGGAGAAGGTGTGAAGGAGGGGCTCGCGCGGCCCAGTGAGCCTTTTGGGGTCGGGGCCAGCCTGAAGCCTCTCCCTGTGCTCAACAGCCCCCCATCCCCCACCCCACCAAAAGAGGGCCCCGGCTCCAAGGCCTGGAGAATGGAGGGAAGAGGGAGGGAAAAGTAGGGGGAGGAGGGTGGGGTGGGATGGGAGGAGCGGGGTCTGCCGCCCAGGTGCCCGGGGGGCCAGGGAGGGTTCGAGGGGAGGGACCGCGGGTTCTCACGGGTGCCTGAGGTCCGGGCACCGGGAGACCCCGTGGGGGACAGCCTGGGCCGATCATGTGGGCGAGTTTGGGCTAGCATAGAGTTGGAACAGGACTCAGGATGCAGCCCTGGTCTACACTGGCGGGACCCCTTGCGTGGCAGGGCGGGAGGTGGTCGGGCGGGCCAGGCCCCGGTGAGTGACAGCGGTGGGGAGGCTCCTTGGGGTGACTGGGGCGGGCAGGGTGGGGGTGGGGGTCAGACCTGCAGCTGTTGCTCCCTGAGGCTGAGCATCTCCGCCAGATTCAGTCGCTGGTCGTAGTTCGGGTACTGGTCCTTCTGAAAGTAAAATTCTAGCACTTTCTGCTGGCTTTCAGTGTAGACCGTGCGCTCCTGCCGCTGTCTCCTTGGAGGGTCCAGGGCCAGGGGAGGGCCTGGGGGTGGGAGGGAAACAGGTCACAGAAACCCCCAGGCAGCCCCCAGCCCCCCTAGGGACCCCGTCCCCTGCACCAGGCCAGGAGCCCAGGCAGTGTGGGCTGGGGCGGCACCGCGGATAGCAGCCTGGTATCCAGACCAGACCTTGCACCTCTCTGGGCCTCAGGGTCCACATCTAGGAAATAGGCGCGATAACAGCTCCTGGGAAGGCAGGCAGCGTAGGCGCCTCACCTCGGAGCAGACGGGGCTGCCTCAGGCCTGCTCAACCCTCCCCAGCTGCCCCGTCCCCTCCCATCCAAGGGTTATAGGGACCCTGACACTTGCAGGGGAGCCGCCACCTGCCCAGTCCTCTGCTCCACTCAACTGCATGGTTTAATTTCTTTCCTTCTTTCTTTTTCTTGGAGGGGATCTCGCTCTGTCACCCAGGCTGGAGTGCAGTGATGTGATCACGGCTCAAGTCAGCCTCCACTTCCTGGGCTCAAGGAACCCCCCGCCTTAGTCTCCCGAGTAGCTGGGACCACAGGTGTGCACCACGACCCCTGGGTAATTTTTGTATTTTTGCTAAAGACGGGTCTCCACTATGTTGGCTCGGCTGGTTTCAGAGTCCCGGGCTCAAGTGATCCTCCCACCTTGGCTTCCCAAAGAGCTGGGATCACAGGCGTGAGACGCTACACCCAGCTGCATGATTTTTCATTTCCCAGACACCACTAAGTTCTCCCCCGTCTGCAGGACAGGAAGCCGCCCGCACAGGCCCAGCCCTTCTCTGGCTGCCCAGATTTGCACTCTGCAGCCTCAGCCACAGGATCAGCCCAGACCCCTCACACCTCTGTCCCCGCTCACCTTGGAGATGACCAGGGTCTTGCATCCTGAGTCCTGATCTGTTCCCAAACACAAGTGTGTACTGACAAGGGCTTGGCTCTTAAATCACTTCTCTGCTGTGCCCACCCTGGCCCACCCTGCCGGGACCCTCCCTTTCCCACCCTGCCCTGCAGTCCCGCCCCCTGGAGGAGTTGAATGATGGATTAATCCTTCATCACTGATCAGGTACTGCCTGCTGAGCTGTGCTAGGAGCTGGAGAACCTCAGTGGACAACACAGCCTTGGTTTCACCCTCATGGGCCCTAGCCCAGGTGAGGTGGCATTCCATGCGGGTTTGGTTGGGGGAGTCAACATCGTGACCTGTGGTTGGGGTCCCCATCTCAGGAGAGGCACCGCCAGCCAGCCCCCAGGAGTCATCCTTGTTCCTTCCCAGGGCTGGGGCCCCGAGTGACCAATGCCGGTGAGTCTACCCACTCCTCCTGGCTCCTGGGCTGCCTGCCTTGTCCAGCCACTATCCCTCCTTCCTGGATGACCTTGCAACCTCCTCTTTGGTACCTCAAGGCCACTCTGGCCCCTACTATCCATTCCAAAAATTGCTCCCTAGGTGCCTATAGGTGTAAGCAGAGCTTAGTACACATTGGCCCTGCTGATAATGGTTTGGTTTCTGTAGTGGATTTGCCTATGGGGTGAAGTTCTGATAGGCATTCACATAGACCTCTGTTGGTTTCTCCTGGAGAGTAAATGACCTCAGTGCTGGTTTATTCCAGTTTATATACGGGGCTCGTGTGCTGGGTTCACATGAGCCCAGCCTCTCCAAGCTGCATAGACCTGTATCAGGAGGGGGCACAGGTCTGATGGACGTGCCCATGGACCGCTGCTGGTCTGCCCTTGTGAGTGAATGAACCTACTGCTGATGATACAGGGGACCCATGACCTTGGTCTACAGAGATCGGATCCCTCAGAGATGCGTCTTCTCTGTCAGACACCTGGCTGTCCTCATTTCCCCATGGCAGGACCCACGTGGGTTCAGGGATTAGAGAGATTGACAAGGCTCATGGTGCAGGGAACTAGAAATGACTCATGCAATCAATTTCAAAATTCAATAAAACGTAGACATTGTTACCACGGGCCTCGCTCATTGTTTTCACCTGCTACTTAGAGTTCTGCTGTAGAAAGCAGCATCCCCAGCAATGATTCCTCATCGCACACATTGTCCGGCTTCATCTACAGGACATGCTGGGAACACAGTAGTGACCACAGAGATTTTGCACCATGGCTATTTATTTGGTCAATAAAGACATAAACAGATGAACAAGCTCACTGGTACTATTTTGTGAAAATAGACATTTAAATATAAGCAAGTTCACGGCAGCATGATTCACTATCGCCCAAAAGGAGAAAATGCTGAAAACATCGATCCACTGATGCATGGATAAATAAAATGCTGCATGGCCAGGCGCGGTGGCTCACGCCTGTAATCCCAGCACTTTGGGAGGCTGAGGCAGGCAGATCACCTGAGGTCAGGAGTTTAAGACCAGCCTGGCCAACATGGCGAAACCCTGTCTACTAAAAATACAAAAATTAGCTGGGCGTGGTGGCCAGCACCTGAATTTCAGCTACTTGGGAGGCTGAGGCGGGGGAATTGGTTGAACCCGGGAGGCGGAGGCTACAGGGAGTGGAGATTGTGCCACTGTACTCCAGCCTGGGCAACAGAGTGAGACTCCATCTCAAAATAAATAAAAGTGGCTGGGCACGGTGGCTCACGCCTGTAATCCCAGCACTTTGGGAGGCTGAGGTGGACGAATCACTTGAGGTCAGGAGTTTGAGGCCAGCTTGGTCGACATGGTGAAAATCCGTCTCTACTAAAAATACAAAAAATTAGCCAAGCATGGTGGCGGGAGCCTGTAATCCCAGCTACTTGTTAGGCTGAGGTAGGAGAATCACTTGAACCCGGGAGGCAGAGGTTGCAGGGAGCTGAGATGGTGCCACTGAACTCCAGCCTGGGTGACAGAGGGAGACTCTGCCTCAAAAAACAAAACAACATCCCCCAAAAAAACCCACAAAAAATAGAAACCCAAAATGTCATATATTTACACAATGGGATATTACTCAACCATGAAAAGGAATAAAGCTCTGATACGTGCTACAACATGGATGAACCTTGCCAACATGATGCCGAGTGAAAGACGCCAGACTCAAAAGCACATATACGATTCTATTTATACAAAGTGTCCAGAATAGGCAAATCCATAGAGACAGAAAGCAGATTAGTGGTTGCTACGGGTTGGGGAGAAGGGAAAATTGGGACCAACTGGGAATAGCTATGGAGATAGCTATTGGGGACGGTGAAAAATGTTCTAAAATTGACTGTAGTGAAGGAGGCACAACTCTGCAAACAGACTAAAGACGATTTAATTTTTTTTTTTTGAGATGGCGTCTTGCCCTGTCACCCAGGCTGGAGTGCAGTAGTGGTGTGATCTCGGCTTGCTGCAACCTCCATCTCCCGGGTTCAAGTGATACTCCTGCCTCAGTCGCCCAAGTAGCTGGGATTACAGGCATGCACCACCACGCCCAGCTAACTTTTTGTATTTTTAGTAGAGAATGGGTTTCACCATGTTGGCCAGGCTGGCCTCGAATGCCTGACCTCAAGTGATCCACCCATCTCGGCCTCCCAAAGTGCTGGGATTACAGGTGTGAAACACCGCGCCCGGCCAAAACCATTTCATTTTGTACTTTATGATTATTCTTTTCTTTTTGTTTTGCCGTGTTGCCCAGTCTCGTCTCGAACTCCTGAGTTTAAACAACCAGCCCACCTTGCCTCCCAAAGTACTGATATTACAGGCGTGAACCAGCGTGCCCGGCCTGAATTGTATACTTTATTTAATTAAATTTATTTATGTATTTGTTTTGAGACAGAGTCTCTGTTGCCCAGGCTGCAGTGCAGTGGATTGATCTCAGCTCTGCCTCCTGGGTTCAAGTGATTCTCATGCCTCAGCCTCCTGAGTAGCTGGGATTACAGGTGTGTGTTACCACACCCAGTAAAAAATTTTTTCTATTTTTAGTAGAGATGGGGTTTCACCATGTTAGCCAGGCTAGTCTCGAACTCCTGGCCTCAAGTAATTCGCTCTCCTTAGCTTCTCAAAGTGCTGGGATTACAGGCATGAACCATGGCACCCAGCCCTGAATTGTATACTTTAAGTGGGTACTTTTATATTACGTGGATGACATATCAATAAAAAATATAAATTAATGCAAAACTCAGCATATTGCCCTGTGGATTGGCCAAGATCAAAGAGATGGATCAAGTGTAGACCCAGAGAATGTGGTTTTCTCTTGCCATTGATGAAGTGTAGGTTGGTAAAATATTTTTGGAGGTTTTTTTTTGAAATTGACTCTGTGACATCTATTAAAGGATGAAATGTGTATAGTACCCTTTGACTCAATGATTTTTTTTGAGACAGGGTCTTGCTCTGTTGCCCAGATTGGAGTGCAGTGGAGTCAATCGAAACTCACTGCAACCTCGAACTCTGGGGTTTAAGCGATCCTGCAACCTCAGCCTCCTGAGTAGGTGGGACTACAGGCAAGTACCACCATGTCCGGGTAATTTTCTTATTTTATTTTATTTTCTTTATTTGTTTTGAGATGGAATTTCACTCTTCTTGCCCAGGCTGGAGTGCAATGGCGCGATCTCAGCTCACTGCAACCTCCGCCTCCCAGGTTCAAGCAATTCTCCTGCCTCAGCCTCCTGAGTAGCTGGGATTACAGGCACCCACCATGATGTCTGGCTAATTTTTGTATTTTTAGTAGAGACGGGGTTTCACTGTGTTGTCCAGGCTGGTCTTGAACTCCTGACCTCAGGTGATCCACCCGCCTCAGCCTCCCAAAGTTCTGGGATTACAGGTGTGAGCCACCATGCCTGGCCAATTTTCTTATTTTATTTATTTATTTATTGAGACCGAGTCTCGATCTGTCACCCAGACTAAAGTGCAGTGGCTCTGCACTTTAATGCAGATATCGGCTCACTGCAACCTCTGCCTCCTGGGTTCAAGTGATTCTCCTGCCTTCCGAGTAGCTGGGACTACAGGCGCCTGCCACCACATCTGGCTAATTTTTAAATTTTTATTTAATTTTTATTTTATTTTTAGTAGAGATGGGGTTTCACCATGTTGGCCAGGCTGGTCTTGAACTCCTGACCTCAAGTGATCCGCGCACCTTGGCCTCCCAAAATGCTGGGATTACAGGTGTGAGCCACCGTGCCTGGCCTCAATGTTTTATTGTAAGAGACTTATCCTGGGAAAATACTTGCTCCGCTGTGAATAAGCGCAGATATCAGTGTTCAGTGTAACATTTCTTTGAAATATCAACTGAGTTAATTGGATTAATTCACGCCCACAAATTAGAAGATGATTAATTTGTGGCAGCCTCAGACTATGGAATGCTAATGAAAGTTTAAGAAAGGGATGAAGTGGTAACCAATTAGTAAGAAATGATGATCTTTAATGTATTTGTTGTTTTGTTTGCCTGGTGGATGTCTGCTTGCTGTTTGCTGAAATAAATGTGTCTTGAACACAGAGACTTTGTTGGGCTTTTTTTTCCCTCCCAAATCCCCATGTCTGTAATAGGAAAAGCTCAAAGGTGCTGAGTAATAATGTACTAAATGATTGAGTTTGTGTTTTCCATATCAAATGCTGTCTCAGGCACATTGTTTATTTTGAAGAATGTACACATTTAATAAGCACATACAAAAAATATATATTATACATATACATATTCTTTTTTCTTTTCTTTTTCTTTCCTTTTTTTTTGGAGACAGGGTCTCTCTCTATCACCCAGGCTGCGTTGCACTGTCATGATCTCGGCTCACTGCAACCTCTCCCTCCTTGGCTCAAGCCATTCTCCCACCTCAGCCTCCCAAGTAGCTGAGAGGACAGGCGCATGTGCCACCACATCTGGCTAATTTTTGTATTTTTTGTAGAGACGGGGTTTTGCCATGTTACCCAGGCTGACCTCTAACTCCTGACCTCAAGTGATCCATCCATGTTGGCCTCCCAAAGTGCTGAGATTACGGGTGTGAGCACAATATATTTGAATGAACAATAAATAACAACAAAGATAAAAACTCCTGCAAAAGTAATTACCCAGAGATGACGCGGAATGTCTATTTTCTCTATTTCCTGCTGTTTATAATTATTATTTTTTAATGGACAACCTGGAAAACAAGAAGCATTTCTGGCCTTGAATGCCACCCTAGGACTCGTCAACACCCTGCCCACAGAAGTCCCCATGCCTTTTCTCGTCCTGATGTGTCTTCAGGGTTGGATGGAATTTCTGGAGATTCCTCCTGGGGCTCCCCAGGCAATGGCCAAATTCCTAGAGTCAGGTGGATGGAGGGAGGTCTTCTGAAGCCTGGGGCAAGAGTGATGTAAGTGGGAATGAAGTCGGTGGAAAAGTGTGAAGAAGGGATTATGAAATCCATTCTTGGCCAGACGCAATGACTCACACCTGTAATCCCAGCACTTTGGGAGGCCGAGGTGGGCGGATCACCTGAGGTCAGGAGTTCAAGATCAGCCTGGCCAACATGGCGAAACCCTGTCTCTACTAGAAATACAAAAATGAGCTGGGTGTGGTGGAGGGCGCCTGTAATCCCAGCTACTTGGGAGGCTGAGTTAGGAGAATCACTTGAACCCCTGAGGCAGAGGTTGCCGTGAGCTGAGATTGTGCCACTGCACTCCAGCCCCGGCGACAGAGTGAGACTCCATCTCAAAAAAAAAAAAAAAAAAAAAAAAAAATCTATTCTTATTTGATTCCTTCAGAACAGAAACAGAAACAATGGCTCTCTCCTTATCCATCAATTTTTTTTTTTTTTTTTTTTTTGAGACAGAGTCTCGCTCTGTCGCCCAGGCTGGAGTGCAGTGGCCGGATCTTGGCTCACTGCAACCTCTGCCTCTCAGGTTCAAACCCTTCTCCTGCCTCAGCCTCCTGAGTAGCTGGGATTACAGGCGCCCACCACCACGCCCGGCTAATTTTTGTATTTTCAGTAGAGACAGCATTTCACCATATTGGCCAGACTGGTCTTGAACTCCTGACCCTGTGGTCTGCCCGCCTCAGCCTCCCAAAGTGCTGGGATTACAGGCGCGTCCAGCCTTCCATCAATTCTTCAATCTCCTCTTTTACCCTATGCCTGTGGGCTCTGATGGGGTTGACCTCTTGGTGGGGTTGACTCATCTTTGCTCCTGCCCCCAAGAGGCCCACAGACACCTCCCCATCCTCTGCATTGTGAGGGTATCTCTTGGTGCAGGGGGAGGGGGTTCAGGAGGGGCACATGGGCAACAAGGAGTTGTTTGGGCTTTGAAGACAATATTGGGGCAGATCAGAGTGGGGGTGACAAAGGCATGAGGTTGGCCTTTGCTTTCTAGAATCTTGTTGT
This sequence comes from Homo sapiens, assembly GCF_000001405.40. Lineage (NCBI taxonomy): Eukaryota > Metazoa > Chordata > Mammalia > Primates > Hominidae > Homo > Homo sapiens. The sequence continues at coordinate 47,810,920 of NC_000019.10, forward strand.
TCAATGTCTTTCTGACATTGGGGTTCCTCTCGGTGTCTGGACATTCATTCTTGAAACACTGTCCTTGCTCTCTGTTTTTTTTTTTTTTTAATTTTATTTTTTGAGACAGGATCTCTCTCTGTCACCCAGGCTGGACCGCAGTGGAGTGATCTCAGGTCACTGCAACTTCTGCCTCCCGGGTTCAAGGGATTCTCCTTCCTCAGCCTCCAGAGTAGCTGGGATTACAGGCGCCCGCCACCATGCTTGGCTAATTTTTGTATTTTTAGTAGAGACAGGGTTTCACCATGTTGGCCAGGATGGTCTCAAACTCCTGACCTCAGGTGGTCAGCCCTCCTCAGCCTCCCACAGTGCTAAAATTACAGGTGTGAGCCACCGCACCTGGCCGGCCCTGAGTTTAATTTGAATGAATCAACAACATATATTCAATAAGGTGTCTTTAAACCGAAACACGCATGAACCAGGGTGAGGTATTGATCGATTGATGACAATAGTGTGAGCAGAGCCTTGTGGGACCCCAAATCTGTATTTCCCCTGGGAGCAGGGGTTCCTTATTGGCTGAGACCATGTTCATGGCAACTTTTTTTTTTTTTTTTTTTTGAGACAGCGTCTCACTCTGTTGCCCCGGCTAGAGTACAGTGGCGCGATCTCGGCTCACTGCAACCTCCGCCTCCCGGATTCAAGCGATTCTCCTGCCTCAGCCTCCTGAGTAGCTGGGACTACAGTCATGCGCCACCACGCCCAGCTAATTTTTGTATTTATAGTAGAGATGGGGTTTCACCATATTGGCCAGGCTGGTCTCGAACTTCTGACCTCGTGATCCGCCCACCTCAGCCTCCCAAAGTGCTGGGATTACAGGCGTGAGCCACCGCGCCCGGCTAATGGCAACTTCACAGAACATAACAAGTAAGAATGAGGAGAACTGCCTGTATTTATTTATTTTTAATTTCTTTTATATATATTTTTTGAGACGGAGTTTCGCTCTTGTTGCCCAGGCTGGAGTGCAATGGTGCAATCTCAGCTCCCTGCAACCTCTGCCTCCTGGGCTCAAGCAATTCTCCTGCCTCAGCCTCCCAAGTAGCTGGGATTACAGGCACCTGCCACCACGCCCGGCTAATTTTGTATTTTTAGTAGAGATGGAGTTTCTCCATGTTGGTCAGGCTGGTCTTGAACTCCTGACCTCAGGTGATCCGCCCACCTCGGCCTCCCAATGTGCTGGGATTACAGGAGTGAGCCACCCGTGCCCGGCCTGAGAACTGTCTGTATTTATTAAGTGCTCAGTACATTCAAGGGACTGATCTAGGCACCTCCAGAGAGTTAACGGGTGCAGTCCTTGTTCTCAGGGAACTCGTTGTTCAAGTGGGGGAAGGCAGGCGTTACTCAAAGAATCACAGAATAGGCTGGGCGCTATGGCTCATGCCTGTAATCCCAGCACCTTGGGAGGCTGAGGTGGGTGGATTGCTTGAGGCCAGGAGTTCGAGACCAGCCTGGGCAACATAGCGAGATCTTGTCTCTCTTAAAAAATATAAAGAAATGGCCAACCATGGTGGCTCATGCCTGTAATCCCAGCACTTTGGGAGGCCGAGTCAGGAGGATCAATTGAGGTGAGGGGTTCGAGACCGGCCTGGCCAATATGGTGAAACTCTGTCTCTACTAAAAGTACAAAAAATTAGTCGGGCATGGTGGTGTGTGCCTGTAGTCCCAGCTACTTGGGAGGCTGAGGCAGGAGAATCGCTTGAACCCAGGAGGGGAGATTGCAGTGAGCCAAGATCACACTGAGACAGAAATTAAAAGAGAGAAACAGAATAAAGCAAAGGTTAAGTGAGAAACACTGCACTTCATCCTGGGCCACAGAGTGAGACTCCATCTCAAAAAAACCCCCCAAAACCAAAAACTAAACAAAAAAAGCCTGGGCCTGGTGGCTCACGCCTGTAATCCTAGCGCTTTGGGAGGCCGAGGCGGGTGGATCACTTGAGGTCAGGAGTTCAAGACCAGTCTGGCCAACATGGTGAAACCCCGTCTGTACTAAAAATACAAAAAATTAGCCAGGTATGGTGGCACGCGCCTGTAATCCTAGCTACTCAGGAGGTTGAAGCAGGAGAATCGCTTGAACCCAGGAGGTGGAGGTTACAGTGAGATGAGCTCACACCACTGCACTCCAGCCTGGGCGACAGAGTGAGACTGTGTCTCAAAAATAAATAAATAAATAAATAAATAAATAAATAATAATAAATAAAACAACCCCCCCCACCCCGCCAAAATTAGCCAGGCGGAGTGGCGTGCTCCTGTAGTCCCAGCTACTTGGGAGGCTGAGGTGGGAGGATCGCTGGAGTCTGGGAGGTTGAGGCTGCAATGAGCAGTGATTCCCCGACCTGCACTCCAGCCTGGGCAACAGGGTGAGACCCTGTCTCAACAAACAAACAACAAACAAAACTCCCCAAAAGCCCACGACCCCCCCAAAACACACAAAAAACAAAAAGCCACATGCCAAGAATTAATAAGTAACTCTGGATGAGGGAATCGGGTCCTTGTAGAGAGGGGAGTTGTTCCAGAATTGCAGGTGGAGGCACTAGGCACTCCGGTGACCGTGGCGGCGAGAGTCAAGCTGGGAAGACACTTTCCAGGCGCGGGGAGCAAGATCTCTCAGCCTCCAGGTGCCCTCTCTGCCCCTTGGCATTCCCCCACCCTGCCCCTCTGTCTCCCCCTTTCTCTGTTCCTCAGTTTCCCCTCCTCGTTGTCCCTTGTGGGGTCCCAGTGTGTGAGTTGCTTTGTGTCTACCCCCTTCCAGGGTCTGACAAGCAGAAGGAGTTTTCATTATATCCTGGCAGTCTGTCCCCCAACCCCCAAATCGGATCTAATTCTGCTCTGCTGAGGCTGGCCTGGCCTGGCCTAAGAGGATTGGAACATTTGCTAAATGGGACTAGGACAGGGTGAGAGAGGCGTCGCTGGGGAGACCCAGGTGCCAGGACGGCCACCAGGGGGCGGCAGAGGACGAGGGAGACCAGAAGACAGAGGGGACAGAGAAGGGCGTGGTGGGGGCGGGGTGGGGGTGGGGTGGGGAGAGGCAGGGAGTGGATACAGGCATATTCCCTGGCTGTTTAGGGAACCACATTTAAGGGGTTAGAAGGGTGCCAACATTGCTGATTTTTTTTTTTTTTGAGACAGAGTCCTGCTCTGTCAGCCAGGCTGGAGTGCAGTGGTGTGATCTCGGCTGACTGAAACCTCTGCCTCCTGGGTTCAAAGGATTCTCCTGTCTCAGCCTCCCAATAGCTGGGAATACAGGCACCCACCACTACGCAGAGCATATTTTCGTATTTCAGTAGAGGCGGGGTTTCACCGTGTTGGCCAGGCTGGTCTCGAACTCCTGAACTTAAGTGATCTGTTCACCTCGACCTCCCAAAGTGTTGGGATTACAGGTGTGAGCCACAGTGCCCAGTCAACATTGTTGATTTTTAAGGTTTATTATGCGCTGTGGCTCACGCCTGTAATCCCAGCACTTTGGGAAGCTAAAGCAGGAGGATCATTTGAGCCCAGGAGCTTGAGACCAGCCTAGGCAACATAGCGAGACCCTGTCTTAAAAAATAAGAATAAAGTTTATCATTAACCTCTACCCTGACTTTCTACTCACTCTCCCCTCTCTGTTCCTTTAGGGATAATGGGGGCCTGGAGAGTGGGAAGGGGAGTGCAAGCATGGGGGTCTGGAGGTGTCTGATCAACGACCTCAGAGATGACCTGAGGTTTCCTGAGCTGGGAATGTTTTGGAAGGGTCTGAACTGCAAGGAATCTTTGCAGAGTCCTGGGGTCTACCTCTGATGTGAAGCATCTTGCATTTTGGAGCTGTCCAAGTAAAACATGAAAAAGAATTTGATACAGAATTAAAAATACATTTTTGTTTTTTCTGAGACTGAGTTTCGCTCTTGTCGCCCAGGCTGGAGTGCAATGGTGTGATCTTGGCTCACTGCAACCTCTGCCTCCTGGACTCAAGCAATTCTCCTGCCTCAGCCTCCCAAGTAGCTGGGATTACAGGCATGTGCCACCATGCCTGGCTAATTTTGTATTTTTAGCAGAGAGGGAGTTTCACTATGTTGGCCAGGCTGGCCTTGAACTCCTGACCACAAGTGATCTGCCCGTCTTGGCCTCCCAAAGTGCTGGGATTACAGGTGTGAGTCATTGTGCTTAGCTCAATAAATAGATAAATTATATATATATATATATATATATATATATGCAAATATATATATATATATTTTTTTTTTTTGAGACAGTCTTGCTATGTTGCCTAGGCTGGAGTGCAGTGGTGTGAGTTCGGCTCACTGCAACCTCCGCCTCCCGGGTTCAAGCGATTGTCCTGCCTCAGCCTCCTGAGTAGTTGGGATTACAGGCGTGCAACACCATGCCCGGCTAAGTTTTGTAGTTTTAGTAGAGATGGGTTTTTACCATGTTGGTCAGGCTGGTCTCGAACTCCTGACCTCGTGATCCACCCACCTTGGCCTCCCAAAGTGCTGGGATTACAGGCATGAGCCACCGCACCTGGCTCAAAGAATACTTTAAGTAAAATTCAAAATCTTCAAAAGTGTTTTTAAAATTCCACGCTTTTAATTTCTACTTCATGCCAGGCCCAGTGGCTCATGCCTGTAATCCCAGCACTTTGGGAGGCCCAGGCAGGAGGATCACTTGAGATCAGGAGGTTGAGACCAGCCTGGGCAACATAATGAGACCCCCGTCTCTACAAAAAAAAAAAAAAAAAAAAGCAGGTGTGGTGGTGTGCACCTGTAGTTCCAGCTACTCAGGAGGCTGAGACGAGAGGATCATTTGAGCCCAGGAGGTTGAGGCTTCAGTCAGCCGAGATCACGTCACTGCACTTCAGCCTGGGCAACAGAGCAAGACCCTGTCTCAAAAAAAAAATGTAAAAGAAATAATTTCCAATACAGTAAGTAGCAATAGATATATAGTCAATATCAACAAAAGCTCTTTGAGCCTTCGGTTACTTTAAATTTCAAGAGCTGGAGAGGACCCTGGAGTGTTTCTTTGGGACTTGGGACAAGTCTTATTTAGACTCTGGGTCATGTGTAGCGGGGTAGTTGAGGGCACGGTTTTGAGAGGCAAACACGGCTGACCCAAATATTGTTTTTCTGTTTATTTATTTATATTTATATATATATTTTTGAGACAGGATCTTGCTCTGTTGCCCAGGCTGGCATGCAGTGGTGTGGTGAGTCTCGGCTCACTGCATCCTCCGCCTCGCGGGTTCAAGCAATTCTCATGCCTCAGCCTCCTGAGTAGCTGGGATTATAGGCGCACACCACCATACAGCTAATTTTTTGTATTTTTAGTAGAGACGGGGTTTTGCCATGTGGGCCAGGCTGGTCTTGAACTCCTGAGCTCAAGCGATCCTCCCACCTTGGCTTCCCAAAGTGCTGGGATTACAGGTGTGAACCACTGTGCCTGGCCTTCTTTTTAATTTTTTAAAATTATATTTTTTTGGCCTCCTTCCCCTCCTAATATATTTTATTTTGTAGAGATAGGGTCTCACTATGTTGCCCAGGCTGGCCTCAGTCTCTAATCCATAGCCTCAAATGATCCTCCTGCCTTGGCCTCCCAAACCCCTGGGAATTTTTTTTTTTTTTTTTTTTTGAGATGGAGTCTCACGCCGTCGCCCAGGCTGGAGTGCGGTGGCACAATCTCGGCTCACTGCAAGCAACGCCTCCCAGGTTCATGCCATTCTCCTACCTCAGCCTCCCGAGTAGCTGGGACTACAGGCGCCCGCCACCACGCCCGGCTATTTTTTGTATTTTTTAGTAGAGATGGGGTTTCACCATGTTAGCCAGGATGGTCTCGATCTCCTGACCTCGTGATCTGCCCGCCTTGGCCTCCCAAAGTGCTGGGATTACAGGCGTGAGCCACCACGCCCAGCCCACTGTGAGCTTTTCTTTTGCATTTCCCTGATGATCAATGAATGTGAGCCCAGTTTTATACACTGGTGGATTATTTGCTATTCTCACTTTTGAAATGCCTGTATAAGTCTTCTGCAACCTGGTTGAATATCAGGCATTGATGTTTTATGATCTCAAATGGTGGAACAAGGGAGATCAGTGTCCTTGCCCTGGGGATCAGCCTGGGAGGCCCAAGGCTAGTTCTCAGAGCTGTGGAGTTCGGCACCCACTGGGTCCCAGGTTCCCACCTGAGCAGTTGTTCTCACAGGTAAGGCCTGAATGCTCACAGCCACCTTGTGGTGCAGACACACAGATAACTCCATTCTACAGGCAGGGAGACTGAGCCTGGGAAGGAGGGAGGTGCCCACAGGTCCCAGCTTCTCACACACTGCATGAACCACAGACCTTGGGAACAAGATCTCAGGGAACAATAACTCCATGGAAACTTCCTCCCAGGCGGCTTCTGGTATCATCCCCACTTTACAGAGGAGGAAACTGAGGCTGAGAGAAGTGTAGTCTCCAGTTCTGTCTCCCACGTCAGCGGCAGAGCCAGAGCTGGGCCAGCACCTGCCCCGGAGCCTGTGCCCTCCTGATCACCAGGTGATATGGCCTCTTAGGATGCTCGCCACAGCCCCACGGAGCTCAGAGGTCCCTTTCTCAGAGGAGGAAACTGAGGCTGAGAGAGGTTTCGTCAATTTCCGAGGTCACACAGGTGATGAGTGGAAGAACCAGGGGTAGAATTTAAATCTCTTTGGCCCCCGAGCCCCGCTCTTCACCCCCGAGTCTGCCTGGGATTCCTAGAAGATGGATGAGGTCAGCTTCCTCCCCTGCTCCCATGGGATTCCCAGGGCTCATTGTGACAGCTTGTCACTGTATCCACTTTGCAGAGGAGGAAACTGAGGCCCAGGAGCCCATATGAAGGGCCCAAGGCCACGCAGTGAGAAAACAACAGGATTTAAACCCAAACTCATGTGGCTCCATGCCAGCTCTTGGCAAGACCCTCCCGACTCAGCCATGTTCAGGGCCCTCCCTTGTTGGCCCTGCCAGCCTCTCTCTGCCGCATCCGTAGGCTCCTCTGTCCAGTGAGGACAAGGAGCTGAGTGGATGCACCCACTACCAGGCATGGGACCTGGTAGAAGCAGGGATTCATGGCACAGTTAGAGCCTGAATGAATTAACTCAGGAACAATATGATCCCTGAAGCATCCAGAGATTCAAACACTAGTGGGCAGCCCCACAGTCTGACCTCACAGTGCTGCAATCACAGACCCTTGGTCCTTTTGGGAAAACATCACACCACTTCTCTGTGCCAGTGTCTCTACCTGGTTCTGCCCCACCATCCATCCATCCATCCATCCATCACCCATCCATCCATCCATCCATCCACCCATCCATCACCCATCCATCCATCCATCCATCCATCCATCCATCACCCATCCATCCATCCATCCACCCATCCATCACCCATCCATCCATCCATCCATCCATCCATCATCCATCCATCCATCCATCCATCCATCATCCATCACCCATCCATCCCTCCATCCATCCATCCATCCATCCATCCCTCCGTCCATCCATCCATCCATTTCTTTCACATTTATTGAACACACACTTACTGCTGTGTGTCTGGGACAGTCCTAGGTACTGGGAATACAGCTGAGAACAAGACAGACAGGGCCCCATCCTCCTGACAAGGGCAGACAAGAAACAAGATGTCAGTAAGAGTTTTGCAAAAGATTAAATAGGATGAATGTGTTAGGGAGCTAAGGGGGTGCAGGTATGAGGAGCACCCCCATCCTGCAGTAGAGCCTGGAGTGAAACTCATCAACAACCTGATCCAAGGATCCTCCAGTATTCCATACATCTTCAGACTGTCCCCAGAATTTAACCCCACTTTTTTTGTTTATTATACTTTAAGTTCTAGGGTACATGTGCACAACGTGCAGGTTTGTTACATATGGATACATGTGCCATGTTGGTTTGCTGCACCCATTAACTCATCATTTACATTAGGTATTTCTCCTAATGCTATTCCTCCCCCTGCCCCCCACCCCACAACAGGCCCCTGTGTGTGATGTTCCCCACCCTGTGTCCAAGTGTTCTCATTGTTCAATTCTCACCTATGAGCGAGAGCATGCGGTGTTTGGTTTTCTGTCCTTGTGATAGTTTGCTCAGAATGATGGTTTCCAGCTTCATCCATGTCCCTGCATAGGACATGAACTCATCCTTTTTTATGGCTGCATAGTATTCCATGGTGTATATGTGCCACATTTTCTTAATCCTTAACCCCACTTTTTCCAGCTGCAATCATGTGCATTACAATAAGTCTCAAAGTCAGGTAGCGTAAGTTCTCCAACTCGTTTTATTTTTCCAAGACTGCTTTGATTATTCTAGATCATTTATATTCCATAGCAACTTCAGAATCAGTTTGACAATCAATTTCTACAGAAAAATCCTGATGAGATTCTGATTGGGATTGCAGTAAATCTAAAGATTAGTTTGAGAAGAATTGACCTCTTAATAACATTGAGTCTTCTAAACCATGAACATGGTATAGTTCACTATTGACTTGAGTCTCCTTTAATTTCTTCCAGCAGTGCTTTATATTGTTTCAGTAGGATAATGATCTGATAGAAGAGATGACAGGACTTATGGATGGATTGGATGTAAGTGGTGAGGAGAAAGGGGTTAGGGGCCAGGCTGAGTGCCCAGATTTCTGCCTGAGCCACTGGGTGGAGATGAGAAGGAAAGCAAGTTGCCTCAGAAGACCTAGCTCAGAGAAGAAGTGCTTGGATTTGATTTCAGCTTACTTGATCCCAGGGCCATGTGCAGGACCAGCTGAAACCCACCTCTCTGTACCCCCACCCCTGGAAGGACTCTGGATCCAGGAGCCAACCAGTACCCAGATTCCCCAGGGCAGGTGATTTAAGAGTTGCTGACACCTTCTCTGTCCCGCTGGAAGTTATTTTCTCCTCCCTCTCCCTGTACAGCTGACCTTCCTTCCCTGCTGCAGGGCCAGGGGGTCTGTTCCAGGACTGGATTCTCCCATCAGGAGCCTCTGGACTGGTCGCCGAGGGTCAGACGGCCCCTCCCTCTCTTGCTGTCATCCCTGGCTCTTCAAGCTAATGAGACCTGTCCTGATTCCTCAGCCAGGCCTGTAGCCTTAATCTCTCCTAGCAGGGGGTTTGGGGGAGGGAGGAGGAGAAAGAAAGGGCCCCTTATGGCTGAGACACAATGACCCAGCCACAAGGAGGGATTACCGGGCGTGTGTGTGTGTGTGTGTGTGTGTGCTTGCGTGCGTGTTTGGGTGCACGGGGAAGTGAAACAGACCCGTGTGGGACCCAGGAGCTCAGGGACATATTAATATCTAGAGAGACAGACGAGAGGAGAGAGACACAAAGAGGGCCAGAGACCAGGAAAATCAGAAATACAGAGCAACAGAGGTACCAAGACAGGGAGAAGGACAGAAATGAAAGGAAATCCTCCCAGCTACTCGGGAGGCTGAGGCAGGAGAATTGCTTGAACCGGGGAGGTGGAGGTTGCAGTGAGCCGAGATGGTGCCACTGCACTCCAGCCTGGGTGACAGAGCAAGACTCTGTCTCCAAACAAAAACAAAACAAAACAGAAATGAAGGGCAATCCAGGGAGAGGGGAAGCAAGAATCAGAGAGAGAGAGAGAGAGAGAGAGAGACAGGGAAAAAGAGAAGGAGGAACAGAGATTGGAGCTGCAGAGGATAAGCGAGGACAGAGGGACAGAGATGAGGCTGGAGTTACAGGGACAGGTGGACAGGCAGAAAGACAGCAAAGGGAGGGACAGACAGACAGGAACAGAAGGACATGGAGGCTGAGGGAGAGGGGAGAAAGAGCAAGATAGACAGGGAGACACAGAGAAAAAGAATAAGAGAGACCAAGGGGATAATGCAGGTTTATCAACAGAGACAGGGACGGAGAGGAGCAGATGGAGAATGAAAGAGTGGTATTCAGGAAAGTAGGCAGAAATGCCACAGCCTAAGGCCCACAGGAAAAGAAACTGAGGTACAGAGAAGCCAGACAAAGACCAATGGTGTGTAGAGAGATGGTGAGTGCTGGGTTTGTTGGCTCACGCCTGCAATCCCAGCACTTTGGGAGGCCGAGGTGGGAGGATTGCTTGAGGCCAGGAGTTTGAAGCCAGCCTGGGCAACATAGAGCGACTCCATCTCTACGAAAATAAAAAAATTAGCTGGGCATCGTGGTATGTGCCTGTAAAGTCTCAGCTACTGGGGAGGCTGAGGAGGGAGGATCCCTTGAGCACAGGAGGTCAAGGCTGCAGTGAGCTGTGATCATGCCACTGCACTCCAGCCTGGGCGACAGAGTGAGACCCTGTCTCAACCAAAAAAAAAAAAAAGGAAAAAAAAAAGAAAAAAATCCCAAACCCCAAACTCCACCAAAAACAGAAAAACAAAACACCCTTTCTAATAAGTCTGCCTATTTTCAGTGCTGGAAGCAGCCCCTGCCACCTCCGCCCCCAAAAAGAGGAGAATATCATGTCTGACAACACAGAGACAGAGAGGCCACAGACAAGACTTGACCAAGTCAAAGAGAGAGAAACAGGGGAAACTGAGGCAGAAACCGAGACCAATGAGGCACTACAGAGATAAACTAGCTGTCGGACAGACTGTTGTGGAGAGAAAGGGGGACCCAGGAGAGGGATCCCGAAAGCTCCGTGCCTCTCTTTTTTCAGACGATCTCTCAGGACCATCTGACAGTGCTCTCCTTCCTCTTTGATGCCTCTCTCTTGGGATACTAGCTGAAGCTGGAGAGACACCAGTTAGACCTAAGGAAGGACTTCCCTGAGGAGTAGGGGCTTATGGTCACCGGCAGGAGCTGGGGCCTCCCTTCCCCATCAGCCCTAATTGCCAAGATGTCATGGGGGGAAGAGGAGGGGATTAAGCAGACGGGTGCCCCTCCCCCTCCCAGCCAATGTCACCTCCTGGTGCCCAGTCGAGTCCCCCACCTTGGCCGGGATTACCCTCCGAGTTCCAGGCCATGACAAATGACATCACTCCCGGCCCAGGCTTAAAATCTCCCCATGTGAGGGGATGTGTTTCCTTCAGCCTCTGCTGTCTGGCCGCTCTGTCTAGGTCCTGGGCCACGGGAGAGCCCCGTCCCTCCTTTCTGAAGGTGAGCGTCTGCAGGAGAGGCGGAGGGGACCGAGGAGGGGAGAAAAAAGAGAGGGGAGAAGTTGGGTTTATCTTATTCGTGGCTGTGTTTGCCGTGCTCTGCAGGTGATGTTTGCTGAATAGTCACACACAAAACAGAGGTGCCGTCCTGGCATTTGTGGAAACGGGGCTAGGCTGTGATTGCAGCAGGAGGGAGTAAGGTTAGACAGCAGGGACTGGCTGATGGCACTCGGGGCATTGGGAGGATTCAGGGTGGCTTGTGGGCAAGGGGGTCCCCTCAAGCCCTGACGGCATCCGGGGTTGGGGGCTTCTCACCGTGGTTCTAAGGCAACTCCTCAGCATACCGCTCTGTTGGATGTTCTTTAAAACTCTTAGCACTGCCTGAAATTTTCATTTGCGCGATGATCCACAAATGGCCTGTCTCCCTCCCTTGTTGAGCACTGATTTTTCCCCAGTGCCCAGCGTGTGGTTGGGATTTGCCTAAATATGTGTTGCATAGATGGATGGATGAATGACAGACAAGGGACGGAACAGACATATACGCAGAGAGCCCAGGTCTGTGGCTGCAACAGGAAGAACTCCGGGTGGACTTGGGCCTGCCCGAGAGAGCCAGGAATGTGATGACTGGGGATCACTGTGCTGGTGAATTGATCACTTAGGGCCTCAATGCACCCAGAGGCTCTGGCTTTCAGCCCAGGCTCTACTTCGGGACTGGGGAATCCTCACGCCCCCGCCCTCTTAGCTTCCAGCACAGTCACTCTCTCTGATCTTCTTTCTGCAAAGTTTTTTTTTGTTTGTTTTTGAGATGGAGTCTTGCTCTGTTGCCCAAGCTGGAGTGCAGTGCCACGATCTCCACTCACTGCAACCTCTACCTCCTAGGTCCAAGGAGTCCATCCACCTCAGCCTCTTGAGTAGCTGGAATTACAGGCGCGTGCCCCCATGCCCAGCTATTTTTTGTATTTTTAGTAGAGATGGGGGGTCTCTCCATGTTGTCCAGGCTGGTCTCGAACTCCTGACCTCAAGTGATCAGCCCGCCTGAGCCTCCCAAAGTGCTGGGATTATGGGTATGAGCCTCTGCGCCCAGCCGGTCTCCTGCAAAACTCTTGATTGACACCTTGTTTCCCGTCTGCCCCTGTCAGGAGGGCTGAGGCCTTGTCTGTCTTGCTCTCGGCTGTATTCCCAGTGCTTGGGTCAGTCCTAGACACACAGTGAGTGCTCAGTGAATATGCAGGGAATGAATGAATGAATGAAGGGCAGAAGGGTAGAAGCAGGTAGACAGACTGCCACAGAGAGGAGGTGTGATGCGGTTTTCCCAAAAGGAACGAGCGAGGGCTGTGATTGCCACAGAGTGAGGTCCGACTTCAGGGCTGCCCACTGTGTGTGAATTTCTGGATGCTTCAGGGATCACATTGTTGATCACGGAGTTGATTTGCTCAGGCTCTAACTGTGCCGTGGATCCCAGCTTCCCCCAGGTCTCATGGCCGGCAGTGGGTGCATCCACCCAGCTCCTTGTCCCCGCTGGACAGAGGAGCCAACAGAGGCTGCAGAGAGAGGCTGGAGTGGCTGACAAGGGAGGGCCCTGAATGTGGCTGAGCTGGGAGGGTCTTGCCAAGGGCTGGCATGAAGCCACATGAGTCTGGTTTTTTTTTTTTTTTTTTGAGACGGAGTCTCACTCTGTGGCCCAGGCTGGAGTGCAGTGGCATGACCTCAGCTCAGTGCAACCTCCACCTCCCAGGTTCAAGCGATTCTCCTGCCTCAGCCTCTCAAGTATCTGGGATTACAGGCGTGCACCACCATGCCTGGCTTATTTTTGTATTTTTAGTAGAGATGGGGTTTCACCTTGTTAGCCAGGCTGGTCTCAAACTCCTGACCTCAGGTGATCCACCTGCCTCGGCCTCCCAAAGTGCTGGGATTACAGGCGTGAGCCACCACACCCGGCCGAGTCTGCGTTTAAATCTTGTTCTTTTCTCACTGTGTGGCCTTGGACCCCTCATGTGGGCTCTCTGGGCCTTGGTTGCCTCCTCTGCAAAGTGGGGACAATGATAAGCTGTCACCATGATCCAGCCAGATGAGCCATATTGCAGGCCTGGCCTGCAGTGGGAGCAGGGCAGGAGACCAGCCTCATTCTGTTTCTAGGGTCCCTAGGTAGACTTGGGGGTGAAGAGCGGGGCTCGGGGGCCAAAGAGATTTAAATTTTACCCCTGGTTCTTCCACTCATCACCTGTGTGACCTCGGGAATTGACGAAACCTCTTTCAGCCTCAGTTTCCTCCTCTGAGAAAGGGACCTCTGAGCTCCGTGGGGCTGTGGGGAGCATCCTAAGAGGCCATATCGCCGGGTGATCAGGAGGGCACCGGCTCCGGGGCAGGTGCTGGCCCAGCTCTGGCTCTGCCGCTGACGTGCGAGACAGAACTGGAGACTACACTTCTCTCAGCCTCAGTTTCCTTCTCTGTAAAGTGGGGATGATACCAGAAGCCGCCTGGGAGGAAGTTTCCATGGAGTTACTGTTGCCTGAGATCTTGTTCCCAAGGTCCATGGTGCATGCAGTGTGTGAGAAGCTGGGGCCCCCTGGAGGTCCTTAAGGTCATCAGCCACCTGAACTGTGGGCACCTCCCTCCCTCCCAGGCTCAGTCTCCCCCGCTGTAGAATGGAGTTATCTGCATGTCTGCCCCACCAGGTGGCTGTGAGCATTCAGACCTCACCTGTGGGAACAACTGCTCAGCTGGGAACCTGGGACCCAGTGAGTGCCGAACCCCACAGCTCTGAGAATCAGCCTGGGGCCTCCCAGGTTGATCCCCAGGGCAGAGACACTGATATTCTTTGTTCCACCCCTTGAAATCATAAAACATCAGTGTCTGGAAATTGTTGTCATTGTGAGATCTTGTATATAAAGCCTGGGCCAAGTGTCTGCCGAGTGATGAATTCCTGGACATTCTTTTTTTTTTTTCCTCCCCAGGAGACAGGTCCTCTTTCGATTGATTGATTTTTTTTTTTTTTTTTTGGGATGGAGTCGTGCTCTGTCGCCCAGGTTGGAATGCAGTGGTGCAATCTCAGCTCACTGCAGCCTCCGCCTCCCGAGTTCAAGAGATTTTTGTACCTCAGCCTCCCCAGAAGCTGGGACAACACCATGCCCGGCTAATTTTTGTATTTTTAGTAGACGGGGTTTCACCACGTTGGCCAGGCTGGCCTTGAACTCCTGACCTCAAGTGATCCGCCTGCTTCAGCCTCCCAAAGTGCTGAGCCACTGGCCTGGCCTGTTTTGTTTTGTTTTGAGAGAGGATCTTGCTCTGTTGCCCAGGCTGGAGTGCAGTGGCTGGATCATAGCTCACTGCAGCCTCCAACTCCTGGGCTCAAGCGATCTTCCCACCTCAGCCTCCCAGAGTGCTGGGATTACAGGTACGTGCCACCACGCCCAGCCCTCACTGGAGGCCCTTCTGTCATCAGCTGCCTCAGGTTGCTGCCAAACCCAGGGAAAGATTTCAGTGGATGTTCAATATTATTATTGTTATTATTCTCTGCTGACATCTTGTCTAGGCAGCACTTTATCATTATTATCAGCTGTTTGATCTGGGGCCCACACTTTCCTCCTGCTGAGCCTCCTCTCCCCTATCCGTTAAAAGGGATGATCCTGGCCAGGCACTGTGGCCCACGCCTGTGATTCCAGCACTTAGGGAGGCCGAGGTGGGCGGATCACCTGAGGTCAGAAGTTTGAGACCAGCCTGGCCAACATGGAGAAACCCAATCTCTACTAAAAATACAAAAAAAAAATTAGCCAGGCATGATGGCACATGCCTGTTGTCCCAGGTTGGGAGGCTGAGGCAGAAGAATCGCTTGAATCCGGGAGGTGGAGGTTGCAGTGAGCCAAGATTGCGCCACTGCACTCCAGCATGGGTGACAGAGACTCCGTCTCAAAATAACAACAACAACAAAAACAAAAACCCAGAAAGTGGTGATCGTAAATGTGAGCTTTCTTGGCTTTCCTGGAAGGTTAACTGCTTAGCCAGGCAATCTGACTCAGATTTGACGGCGAAGACAATGAAAGTGTGTGCTTTTGTTCCAGGCCCTGCAAATGGTCCCCAGTGGGGCAGGTTCACCAGTTTCCTTGTCTCCACTCTCTGGAGGTTCATATTTAACATTATTGGTTTTTGGAGAAGTGGGAGAGGACAGAGGGAACCCAGGTTAGGGGGCTGGGGGAATAGGACCTTCAGGAATTACTCTAGCCTTGAAATCCTGGATTCTCCACTGCCAGCCTGTGTGTGATCCCGGGTAAGTCACACTTTCGAGCCTGAAGATGTTCTCTAAACTGTAAGCATCAGGCAAAAGCAGTGTCTCATGCCTGTAATCTCAGCAATTTGGGAGGCTGAGGCAGGAGGATCTGCTCAGGCCAGGAGTTCAAGACCAGCCTGGGCAACATGGCAAGACACCTCTCTCTACACAAAAATTTAAAAAATTAGCTAGGCGTTGTGGCACACCTGTAGTCCCAGCTACTTGGGAGGCTGAGGTGGGAGGATGGCTTGAGCTCAGGAGGTCGAGGCTGCAGTGAGCTATGATTGTGCCACTGCACTCCAGCCTGGGTGACAGAGTGACATGCTGTCCCTAAGACCAAAACCAAAACCAAAATGTAAGCATCATAGTAATACAGTCTCTACCTCCCAAGGTTGTGCTGGGGATTTAATGACTACCTGTATAGAGAAGGCTTGTGTATTAGTTAACTATTGCTGGGTAACACTTATCCTAAAATTGAGCAGCTTCAAACAATAAACATTTCTGATCTCTTATAGTTTCCAAGGGACAGGAATCCAAGAGTGGCTTAACTGGATTATTCCGGCTCAGGGTGTTCCATGTGGTTGTGGTCAGATGTCGGCCAGGACTGAAGTCACTTAATGGCTTGGCTGAGGCTGGGGAACTAACCTCCATGGTAGCTTACTCTCATAGCTGTTGGCAGGAGGCCTCATTTCTTTGCCACATAGACCTCTCCGTGGGATGGCTTGAGCATCCTCACAACATGGCGGCTGGCTTTCCTTAGAGCTAGCCTTGGAAGCCACGCTCTGTCATTTCTGCAATATCCTGTTGGTTACACACGTCAGCCAGCTTGTTAGTAGGGACTACACAGGGCATGAATATCAGGGGGTAAGGATTATTGGGAGTTACCTTGGAGGCAGTTTGATTTTGGGGATTTAATGTAGCTGCTTTTGATTTTATTGTCAGCACTGAGCCTTCTCGTGACATTCCTACCAGGTTTTACTTGTTCTTTCTGCTTTTCTCCATGATCAATCTGCTATGGTCACACAGGGTGCCTTGTTTCTTCTCCAACAAGACCAAGTTGGAGACCCTGTCTTGCTCAGGGTGACGGTGTGAGATTCCAGCCTCCAAGCCTTTGCACCTGCTGTTTTTTTAATTTTTTTTTTTTGCCTGGAAATCTCTATTCCAGATCCACACAAATTCCTAGATGCCTCACCCACCCCAAATGCCTTCACTCTCATAACAACCTGTTTTATTTTCCTGGGAGTTCTTGAAACTTTCTGAAGGCTTTTTTTTTTTTTTTTTTTTTGACAGAGTCTTGCTCTGTTGCCCAGGCTGGAGTGCAGTAGTGCCATCTCAGCTCACTGCAACCTCCGCCTCCCGGGTTCAAGCGATTCTCAAGTAGTTGGGATTACAGGCACCCATCATCATGTCTGGCTAATTTTTGTATTTTAGTAGAGATGGGGTTTCACCATGTTGGCCAGGCTGATCTCAAACTCCTGACCTCAAGTGATCCTCATAACTCAGCCTCCCAAAGTGTTGGGATTACAGGCAAGAGCCCCTGCTCCTGGCCATGGCATCTTTATTAAAAAAAAAAAAAAAAAAAAAAAAAAAAAAAAAAAGGCAGGGCGTGGTGGCTCACGCCTGTAATCCCAGCACTTTGGGAGGCCGAGGCGGGTGGATCACATGAGGTCAGGAGTTCGAGACCAGCCTGGCCAACATGGTGAAACCCCATCTCTACTAAAAATACAAAAATTAGCCAGGTATGGTGGCAGGCCCCTGTAGTCTCAGCTACTTGGGAGGCTGAGGCAGGAGAATCACTTGACCCTGGGAGGCAGAGGCTGCAGTGAGCCGAGATCAAGCCATTGCACTCCAGCCTGGGGGACAAGAGTGAGACTTCATCTCAAAAAAAAAAAATTTTTTTTTCCTTGTTTGTTATTGGTTTCTCTAGGAACGGAACCAAGAAGTTCAATTCTATGAGAACAGAGAAGCTGCGGTCTTATTTCTTCCTATATTCCTAGTTCCTAGAGCAGGGAAGGCATTCAAAAAATATTTACTGAATGAACAGTAGAATCTCAACTTAAAATAAACAGAATCTGTCCCCCTCCTCATGTGAGGGATGAGAAGGAAAGGACAGTGAGAGGAACGGAAGAGTGGGAGCTCACAATAAACACCATCCATTTTTAATTCTTTTTCTTATGTTTCAAATATTTATTGGGGGTGCTGGGGACATGGCAGGAACCGAGATATTACCAGTCCCTGAACTCAGGTAACTGATAGAATTTGAGGGAGAGAGATAGATAAACAAACATATAAATATGTCGTTTAATACAAGCTGTGTCTTGAAGAAAAGGAGGTAGGGAGCGTGTGTGTGTGTGTGTAAAATCCAGTTTAGGGGCGTAGGTTGCTTTCTCTGGGGAAAGTAGCTGAGCTGAGACGTGGAGGAGAAGGGGTTAGCTGGTGAGAGGGGCTTTGGGGTGGGGGAGAGGCGTTCCTAGCCCAGGAAACGGCTTATGCAAATAGCTGTGGAGGGTGAGAGGTTTTCTGAGTCCATCCTAATGAGGGCAATGAGGAACCCTCAGAGGGTTTTCATGTTCTGTTTGCTTTTTTGAAGATTTTATTGTTGTTTTTGCTTTTGACAAGAACACACACACACACACACACACACACACACACACACACACACACACACAATTAAAAAGTAATCCAAACTATAGAGACAAGATATGGCTTTAGCATTCCTTCCCAGAGGCAGTCACTGGTGCCAGTAGCTTGCTTCCTTCCTGGGAATTTTCTACGCATATACAAGTGTATATTCTACACATGAGTAAAATCAATGCCTCATTTTGTTTATTAATTCATAATTATAATACTTATTATTTTTGAGATGGAGTCTCACTCTGCCTCCCAGGCTGGAGTGCACTGGCATAATCTCGGCTCACTGCAACCTCCACCTCCCAGGTTCCAGAGGGTCTCCTGCCTCCGCTTCCCAAGTAGCTGGGATTACAGGCATGCACCACCATGCCTGGCTAATTTTTGTATTTTTATTTTATTGTATTTTTATTTTTAAATTTACTTTATTATTATGACTCTTTTTTTGAGATGGAGTTTCGCTCTTGTTGCCCAGGCTGGAGTGCAATGGCGTGATCTCGGCTCACTGCAACCTCTGCCTCCCGGGTTCAAGTGATTCTCCTGCCTCAGCCTCTGGAGTAGCTGGGATTACAGGCGCCCACCACCACGCCTGCCTAATTTTGTATTTTTAGTAGAGACAGGGTTTTGCCATGTTGGCCAGGCTGGTCTTGAACTCTTGACCTCAGGTGATCCATCTGCCTCGGCCTCCCAAAGTGCTGGCATTACAGGCGTGAGCAACTGCACCTGGCCTATTTATTGTTATTATTGAGACAAGGTCTTCCTCTATTGCCTAGGCTGGTGTGCGGTGGCATGCTCATAGCTCACTGCAGTCTCCAAATCCTGGGCTCCAGTGATCCTCCTGCCTCAGCCTCCTGAGTAGCTGAGACTACAGGTGCGGACCACCATGCCTGACCAATTTTTGTATTTTTTTTTTTGTGGAGACAGCGTTTTGCCATGTTACCCAGGCTGGTCTCGAACTCCTGGGCTCAAGCAATCTGCCCACCTTGACCTCCCAAAGTGCTGAGATTATAGGTGTGAGACACAGCACCTGGCCATCTGCATTGTTTTAAAAATCACAAATGGTTGCGAGGTATACATACTGCCCAGCACCATACTTGTTTCCTTTGAATATATAAATATTATAATTTTATAATATTTATAATATATAATAACACAAATAATAATAAATATATATGGTTTGGTCATATACAATATATAAAATAACATTCACAAACACTTATTGTCAAAGTGCAATTAAATGGGAAAAAAAGAAAAACATTTGGCCAGGTGTGGTGGCTCATGTCTGTAGTCCTAGCACTTTGGGAGGCTGAGGTGGGAAGATCACTTGAGCCCAGGAGTTGGAGGCTGCAGTGAGCTATGGCAACGCCGCTGCACTCCGGCCTGGATGACAGAGGGAGACCTTGTCTCTTAAAAAACCCCAAAAAACAAATCTGATTCTCTGACGCATATATAATAAGCACAGGTCAAAGATTTATTTAAGTCATGAATGAAGGAACCAGCTGTTTCAAAGGAGAATTTGGGCCGGGTGCAGTGGCTCACGCCTGTAATCCCAGCACTTTGGGAGGCTGAGGTGGGTGGATCACGAGGTCAAGAGATTGAGACCATCCTGGCCAACATGGTGAAACCCCGACTCTACTAAAAATACAAAAATTAGCTGGGCGTGGTGGCGGGTGCCTGAGGTCAGGAGTTCGAGACCAGCTTGGCTAACAATGGTGAAACCTTGTCTTTACTAAGAATACAAAAAATTAGCTGGGTGTGGTGGCTCATGCCTGTAATCCCAGCTACTTGGGAAGCTGAGGCAGGAGAATAACTTGAACCCAGGAGGTGGAGTTTGCAGCAAGCCGAGATTGTGCCACTGCACTCCAGCCTGGGCGACAGAACAAGACTCCATTAAAAAAAAAAAAAAGGAGAATTTGATGAACAGAAGTTGATAGGTTTAGTCAGGAAAGACGGGCTGGAGAAAATTTGCCAGGTTAGATACAAAACTGGTTAAAGACCTACAGGACAATACAACTGTAACCTTTGAGGTTACCTTTTCTACCAGAGAGAAATCATTTGCAACCAAACTTCCTGGGGTTACCATTTACCTTGTCGAAGTCTAGACTCTAATCAATAATGAATAACAGACCGGGTGTAGTGGCTGACGCCTGTAATCCCAGCACTTTGGGAAGCCGAGGCAGGCGGATCACGAGGTCAGGAGTTCGAGACCAGCCTGGCCAACATGGTGAAACCCCGTCTCTACTAAAAATACAAAAATTAGCCGGGCATGGTGGCGCATGCCTGTAATCCCAGCTCCTCAGGAGGCTGAGGCAGGAGAATCGCTTGAACCCAGGAGGCAGAAGTTGCAGTGAGCCGAGATCGCGCCACTGCACTTTAGCCTGGGCGACAGAGCAAGACTCTGTCTCAAAAAAAAAAAAAAAAAAAAAGAATAGTAAATCAAATACAGGTACAGTCCCTTAGAATAGGGTCCCCAACCCCCGGTTTGTAGTCTGTTAGGCATGGGGTTGCACAGCTGGTGAGCAAGCATTACTGCCTGAGCCCCGCCTCCTGTCAGATCAGCGGTGGCTCTAGACTCTCACAGGAACGTGAACCCTATTGTGAACTGCACGTGCGAGAGATCTAGGTTGTACACTCCTTATGAAAATCTAAGGCACTGCCCACTCCCATCCATGGAAAAATTATCTTCTACGAAACCAGTTTTTGGTGCCAAAAAGGTTGAGGACTGCTGCCTTGGAATATGAAGCAAACTTTGGGTGGGTCTGTTAGACAAGACTCCCAGATGACTTGGAAATGGCATGCTGTCAGCTTTTTTTGTCTTATTGCCGAGCCTAGAACTTTTTTTAATTTTTATTTTTTTTGAGATGAAGTCTTGCTCTTGTCTCCCAGGCTGGAGTGCAGTGGCACGATCTGGGCTCACTGCAACCTCTGCCTCCCGGGCTCAAGCGATTCTCCTGCCTCAGCCTCCAGAGTAGCTGGGATTACAGGCGCCTGCCACCACGCCCGGATAATTTTTGTATTTTAGTTGAGACGTTTCACCATGTTGGCCAGGCTGGTCTCGAACTCCCGACCTCAGGTGATCCGCCTGCTTTGGCCTCCCAAAGTGCTGGGATTGCAGATGTGAGCCACCACACCTGGCCCCTAGAACAATTTTTTAAAACTATATAATGGAGATCTTTTAAAATCAGTTCAGAGAGCAGCCTTATGTTTTTTTTTTTTTTTTTTGAGACGGAGTCTCGCTCTGTCGCCCAAGCTGGAGTGCAGTGGCTTGATCTTGGCTCATTGCAACTTCTGCCTCCCGGGTTCAAGCGATTCTCCTGCCTCAGCCTCCCGAGTAGCTGGGATTACAGGCACGCGCCACCATGCCCGGCTAATTTTTGTATTTTCTGCAGAGACGGGGTTTCACCATGTTGGCCAGGCTGGTCTCGAACTTCTGACCTCTGGTGATCTGCCTGCCTTGGCCTCCCAAAGTGCTGAAATTACAGGCATGAGCCACTGCGCCCAGGCTTACTTTAAAAAAAAAATTAATTTTTTGTAGAGACAGGAGAGTTTCGCTATGTTGCCACCTGAACATAAATGCTATTTTCTTTTTCTTTTCTTTTCTTTTTTTTGAGACGGAGTCCGTAGCCCAGGCTGGGGTGTGGTGGCACCATTTTGGCTCACTACAGCCTCCGCCTCCCAGGTTCAAGCGATTCTCCTGCCTCAGCCTCCCAAGTAGCTGGGACTACAGGCGTGCACCCCTGTGCCCAGCTAATTTTTGTATTTTTAGTAGAGACGGGGTTTCACCATGTTGACCAGGCTAATCTCAAACTCCTGACCTCAAGTGATCTGCCTGCCTTGGTCTCCCAAAGTGCTGGGATTACAGGTGTGAGCCACTGCGCCTGGCCCATAAATGCGATTTTCATTCCCATTTTCCAACAAGGCGACTGAGGTATACATTGAAGGTGAATTACTAGGACAAAAGAAAGATGGCATTTTACTTCAATAACAGTTTGTTACAACCTGTACTGCTACCTATCTGCCATGGGAGTGTGCCTTTCCCCACACTGACACCAGTGCTGGAAGTTATCAACCTCCTTCATCTTTGCCAACCTGATAGGTCAAAAGTGATCATGGAAGATCCACACTCGCTTTTTTTTTTTTTTTTTTTTTGAGATAGGGGTCTATTTCTTTTTCTTTTTTCAGAGATGGGGGGTCTCACTATTTCTTTTTCTTTTTTTCAGAGATGGGGGTCTCACTATGTTGCCTAGGCTGGTTTTGAACTTCTGGGCTCAAGTGATTCTCCTGCCTTGACCTCCCAAAGTGCTGGGATTACAGGTGTGAGCCGCCTTGCTTAGCCCTTACTGTCGTTTTTTTGTTTGTTTTTGTTTTTGTTTTTTTGTTTTGTTTTGTTTTGTTTTTGAGACAGAGTCTCGCTCTGTCGCCCAGGCTGGAGTGCGGTGGTGCGATCTTGGCTCACTGCAACCTCTGCCTCCCGGGTTCCAGTGATTCTCCTGCCTCAGCCTCCCAAGTAGCTGGGATTACAGGCACCCGCCACCACACCTGGCTAATTTTTGTATTTTTAATAGAGATGGGGTTTCACCATGTTGGCCAGGCTGGTCTTGAACTTCTGACCTTAGGTGATCCATCCATCTCAGCCTCCCAAAGTGCTGGGATTACAGGCGTGAGCCACCTTGCCTGGCCCTTACTGTTGGTTTAATGCCACTCTCCCTTAGGGTGACCAACCAATCCAGTTTGCCTGGGACCATTCTGGCTCTAGCACTGAAAGTCCTGTGTTCCAAGAAACACCCACCTCTCCTCCAACCTGGGCAAAGAGGGACGGTTGGTCAACCTGCAGTCCTGGGTTATAAGTGAGGCTGAGCGTGTTTGCCCATGGTCAAGAAAGAAGGGATCTTGGATGAGGGTGTGTAACAGGATCAGATTTGTTTTGTTTTTTTCTTAGAGTCTTGCTGTGTCACCCAGGCTGGAGTGCAATGGCCTGAACACAGCTCACTGCAGCCCCAAACTCCTGGGCTCAAGTGATCCTCCCACCTCAGCCTCCTGGGTAGCTGGGATTACAGGCATGCATCACCACACCCAGTTAACTTTTTAAAGAACACTTTTTTTTTTTTTTTAAGAGACAGGGTCTTGCTATGTTGCTCAGGCTGGTCTCAAACTCCTGGGCTCAAGTGATCCTCCCGCCTTGGCCTCCCAAAGTGCTGGGATGACAGATGTGAGCCATTGTGCCTAGCCAGGACGAGATTTTTAGAGGGTAGAGTAGGAATAAGAGCTTGCACTTATGAGGCACATGATGGCTTCAGCTGTCTGCTTTGCAGAGTCTCAAGAAAGCTCTGAGAACCTTAAGCAGAGGCCATTTTACATGTGAGGACACAGAGGTACAGAGAGGTGAGATAAATGGCCAAGGTCACATACCTAAGAGGAGAAGGAGGCAGGATTTGAATCGCAGCCTGCACGTCACCCCATGGTGAGTAACTGGTAAGTGAGTGAGCATCCCTCCTCTTCTCTTGCAGGCCCCCTGACTTGGGCCTCAGTGTCCCCGAAGATCATGATGGCGTATATGAACCCGGGGCCCCACTATTCTGTCAACGCCTTGGCCCTAAGTGGCCCCAGTGTGGATCTGATGCACCAGGCTGTGCCCTACCCAAGTGAGTACAGTCGTTTCTCTTGGCACCCCAGGCTGGCCTCATCTCTTGGAGGACCTCTGGGGTCCCTTTGCCCCCAGGAAGAAGGCAATCACAGGGGCGACTTCAGGGCCATACACCAGCCCTCTGGGTTCATCTGAAATGTATGTCACTTAGAAAAACATTAGCAGTCCTAGAAATTCAGGACAGAGGTTCCTTTTGGGGTGAGGAAGAGGGGATGTAATCTGGAAGGGGAATCAAGAGGAATTTTCATCTGTTACCAAAACTTTATTATTTATTTATTTTTCAGAGACAAGGTCTCACACTCTGTCACCCAGGCTGGAGTGCAGTGGTGGTGGTCACGGCTCACTGCAGCCTCGAACTCCTGGGCTCAAGCAATCCTCCCACCTCAGCCTCCTGAGTAGCTGGGACTGCAGGTGTGAGCCATTGTGCCTAGGCCCGGGGGGCACTTTTTTTTTTTAATTTTATTTTTGAGACAGGGTCTCACTCTGTTGCCCACTCTGAAGTGCAATGGTGCAATCACAGCTCACTACAGCCTCGAACTCCTGGGCTCAAGCGATCCTTTTGCCTTGGCCTCCCAAATAGCTAGGATTACAGGTGCACGCCACCATGCCTGGCTAACTTTTTTAAGTTTTTGTAGATTTTGCAGGATCTGGATTATACAAAACATAGAAAAAATTATTATTATTTTTTTTTTTGTAGAGATTGGGTCTCCCTATGTTGCCCAGGCTGGTCTCAAACTCTTGGGTCCAAATAATCCGCCTGACTCAGCCTCCCAAAGTGCTGGGATTACAGGCATGAGCCACTGCACCTGGCCTGCAAAGCCTTATTTCTTTTTCTTTTTTTTTCTTTCGAGACACAGTTTAGACGGAGTTTCGCTCCTGCCCAGGCTGGAGTGCAATGGCGCGATCTTGGCTCTTTGCAACTTTTGCCTCCCAGGTTCAAGTGATTCTCCTGCCTCAGCCTCCCAAGTAGCTGGGATTACAGGCGCACACCACCATGCCCGGCCAATTTTTGTAAAGCCTTATTTTTAAGAGAAGTGAGTACTCAGTTATTTGTAGCATTATTCTTTAGCTCTTGTTTTTTTTTTTTTTTTTTTCAAGACCGAGCCTTGTTCTGTTACCAGGCTGGAGTGCAGTGGCATAATCTTGGCTCACTGCAACCTCTGCCTTCTGGGTTCAAGCGATTCTCCTCCCTCAGCCTCCCGAGTAGCTGGGACTACAGGCATGCACCACCACACCTGGCTAATTTTTTGTATTTTTAGTAGAGACAGGGGTTCCCCATGTTGGCCAGGATAGTCTCAATTTCTTGACCTTGTGATCTGCCTGCCTCAGCCTCCCAAAGTGCTGGGATTATAGGCGTGAGCCACCGCACCCAGCCCAGACTTGCTACTTTTATAGGCTAGAAACGGTTGAATGTCAGCAATGTCATGCTTCAACTGATTATGTCTTAGTGCATAAGAAAGTTTAGAAGAGGGAAAAACGACTCGCACACCTCCTTGTTGAGCTAAAGCCTTGGGGTCAGGCATGAGCCACAGAGTGCCAGGCACACAGTGAGGTGTAGAAGGGCAGGGAATGTGTATTCCATCCTTAGTTTAGGCAGATGGCAACCAGGATGGAATTCTTGGCATCCCACCCAGCCTCAGGGCCTCACACCAGCCCATGTGGATGACCTGAGGGTCCTGTTTCCCATCCCACCCCAGGCGCCCCCAGGAAGCAGCGGCGGGAGCGCACCACCTTCACCCGGAGCCAACTGGAGGAGCTGGAGGCACTGTTTGCCAAGACCCAGTACCCAGACGTCTATGCCCGTGAGGAGGTGGCTCTGAAGATCAATCTGCCTGAGTCCAGGGTTCAGGTGGGGTGGTGGGTCCCTGGACCCCTCCCGACACTTCCTGTGATCTCAGGAGGCCTGCCCGGAACAAAGAGTGATGGGAGGAGGGAGAGATCACAGAGTGACAGCCAAAGTTATAAAGGGGACAATAATCCCTCTCCCCACCATCCCACTGACCGCCTCATGGCTCTCATTGCCCCTCGCTCCTCTCCAGCTGCGCTGGCCCTGACCTGCCTGCCAAGCACCCTCCTGCCTTGGGCCTTTGCACTCAGTTTCCTCTATCTGGAATGCTTATTTCCAGATAACCACACAGCAGGCCCCATCGCCTTGTTCGAGTCTTTGCTTATCCATCAGTGAGACCCACACTGAACACAGCATTTAAAATTGCATATGATTTACATATGGTATCTCAGAGTCTGTTTATTTAGACTCTGTCTCTCCCAACTAGAATGTCAATTCCACTGACGGACACTCAGAGTAGTAGAAAATGGTTAATACATGTTTATTAACTGACTGAATAGACGGATGGATGGATGGGTGGGTGGATGCATAGATGAATGTATGTATGTGTGACTGTAGGTGTGCGTGTGCATGTATGACTGGAAGCATGGATGAGTGTATGTATGTGTATATATGAGTGTCTGTGTGTATGATGGGATGGATACATGTATATATGTGTGTTTGCATGAACGCACATAGGTATGATTAGATAGATGATGAATGTATGCATGCATGATATATGTATACGTGGTGTATGTGCACATGTATGTATACATGCTTGCATGATTGGATGGATGGGTATATTTATTTATTTGAAATGGAGTCTCGCTCTGTCGCCCAGGCTGGAGTGCAGTGGCATGATCTTGGCTCACTGCAACCTCCGCCTCCTGGGTTCAAGTGATTCTCCTGCCTCAGCCTCCTGTGTAGCTGGGATTACAGGCGTGTGCCACCACACCGGGCTAATTTTTGTATTTTTAGTAGAGATGGGGTTTCACCATGTTGGCCAGGCTGGTCTCAAACTCCTGACCTCAGGCAATCCTACTGCCTCGGCCTTCCAGAGCGCTGGGATTACAGGCGTGAGCCACCGCGCCCGGCCGGATGGGTGTATTTATGTATATATGAGTGTATGCATGTATATATGATTGGACTGATAAATAAAATGTGTGTGTTAGTATGATTGTATATAGGTATGACTGGATGGATTAATGTATATGTATGCATGATGTATGTGTGTATGATGTATGGGTGTATAATTGTATATTTGTATGTTTGTATAATCAGATGGATGGATGAACATGCATATGATGTATGTATGATTAGATAGATCCATTAATGCATGTATGATGTATGTGTGTATGACCTATGTTTATATAATTATATGTATAAGATGGATGAATCTATGTATGATGTATGTGTGTACAATTGTATGTATCATCAGATGGATAAGTCTATGTATGATGTATGTATGATCAGATGGACTGGTGAATGTGTGTATGACATATATATGTGTGAGGTATGTATATATGATCAGATGGATGTCTACATAATGTATGTGTGTATGGTGTATGTATGTATAATTGTATGCGTGTATGTTTGTATGCTGTAGGTATGATGTTACATATATGTGCATACACACGTGTGTATGATTGGAAGGATAAATGAAATATGTATGTTTGTGTGATTGTATGCACATATGATTAGATAGATTAGTGTGTAGCTATGTATGCTGTATGTGTGTACAATGTATGTGCCTATAATTGTATGTTTGTATGTCTGTATGATCAGATGGATGAATATGTATATGATGTATGTATGATCAGATAGCTGGATAAATGTATGCATGATGCATGTGTGTATGGTGTATGCATGTATAATTGTATGTATGTTTGCATTAGATGGATAAATGCCTGTAGGTATCATGTATGTACGCATACATGCATGATTGGATGACTGGATGGGTTTATTTGTGTATATATGAGTGTACGCATGTATATATAATTAGATGGATAAATGAAATGTGTGTCTGCATGATTGTATGTATGGATTAATGTGTATATATGTATGATGTATGTGTGTACAATGTATGTATGTATAATTGTATGTTTGTATGATCAGATGGATGGATGAATGTGTATGATGTATATATGTATGATCAGATGGCTCCATTAATGCATGTATGATGTATGCGTGTATGATGCATGTACACTTGCATGTATGATCAGATGAGCCAGTGAATGTATGTATGATGTATATGTGTATGATGTATGTATGTATGATCAGATAGATGGGTAAACGTATGCATGATGTATGTGCGTATGGTGTATGTATGTATAATTGTATGTGTGCATGTTTGTATTAGATGGGTGGATGAATATGTGTATGATGTATGTATGATCATATAGATGGGTAAATGCAGGCATGATGTATGTGTGTATGGTGTATGTATGTATAATTGTATGTGTGCATGTTTGTATTAGATGGATGGATGAAAATGTGTATGATGTACGTATGATCATATAGATGGGTAAATGTATGCATGATATATGTGCGTATGGTGTATATATGTATAACTGTACGTGTGCATGTTTGTATTAGATGGGTGGATGAATATGTGTATGATGTATGTATGATCATATCGATGGGTAAATGCAGGCATGATGTATGTGCGTATGGTGTATGCATGTATAATTGTACGTGTGCATGTTTGCATTAGACGGATGGGATGAATGCACATGGGTATGATGTATGCATGTGTTCATGCACACATGCAGGTATGATTGGATGGATAGATGGATGGATGGGTGAATAGACGCCCCACAGCTGGATGCAAAGTAGACAGATGTGAACCCAGCACCTCTCACCAATAAGTGTCCTCATCCCCGGGCACCCTGCGGCTCTCCTGGGCCTCTTCCCCACTTACCCACCCCCATCTCCGCTCTTATCCCCCAGGTTTGGTTCAAGAACCGGAGGGCTAAATGCAGGCAGCAGCGACAGCAGCAGAAACAGCAGCAGCAGCCCCCAGGGGGCCAGGCCAAGGCCCGGCCTGCCAAGAGGAAGGCGGGCACGTCCCCAAGACCCTCCACAGATGTGTGTCCAGACCCTCTGGGCATCTCAGATTCCTACAGTCCCCCTCTGCCCGGCCCCTCAGGCTCCCCAACCACGGCAGTGGCCACTGTGTCCATCTGGAGCCCAGCCTCAGAGTCCCCTTTGCCTGAGGCGCAGCGGGCTGGGCTGGTGGCCTCAGGGCCGTCTCTGACCTCCGCCCCCTATGCCATGACCTACGCCCCGGCCTCCGCTTTCTGCTCTTCCCCCTCCGCCTATGGGTCTCCGAGCTCCTATTTCAGCGGCCTAGACCCCTACCTTTCTCCCATGGTGCCCCAGCTAGGGGGCCCGGCTCTTAGCCCCCTCTCTGGCCCCTCCGTGGGACCTTCCCTGGCCCAGTCCCCCACCTCCCTATCAGGCCAGAGCTATGGCGCCTACAGCCCCGTGGATAGCTTGGAATTCAAGGACCCCACGGGCACCTGGAAATTCACCTACAATCCCATGGACCCTCTGGACTACAAGGATCAGAGTGCCTGGAAGTTTCAGATCTTGTAGAGGACGCAGTCTCCATCTCTCTCCATCGGGCCTCGGGACCCTTTCTCTTCTGAATCTGCTTCCCTGCAGTTTAGATCCCGGGATGGCATTCCTGAGAAAGCAACCCGAACCAGCTGTCCTTCTGACAGCTCGGTGTTCAGCTTACAGAGACCACCCCTTTCCTCCACAGGGAGAGGCTCCTCCCTCTCCTGGGACAGCTCACAGGTCCTAGTGATTCTCTCAACCCTAACACCGTCTGGCACGATTGTGACCGCTGAAGTACACCACGAGCTCCAGGCTTCAGAAAGTGGTGCTGAGAACTTGCTCCAAGAAGAAGTCAAACCAAACTTGCAGTTGATTTGGGGTCATGTTTAGGTCAGAATCACCGTGCCCTTGAACAAGCAGGTAGGGGGGCTTGATAACTTAACTTTCCACGTGGACAGAATTTTTTTTTTTGTTTTGTTTTTGTTTTGCAGACACAGTCTAGCTCTGTCGCCCAGGCTGGAGTGCAGTGGCACGATCTCAGCTCACTGCAAGCTCTACCTCCCGGGTTCACGCCATTCTCCTGCCTCAGCCTCCCGAGTAGCTGGGACTACAGATGCCCACCACCAGGCCCGGCTAATTTTTTTTGTATTTTTAGTAGAGACGGGGTTTCACCGTGTTAGCCAGGATGGTCTCGATCTCCTGACCTCGTGATCCGCCCGCCTCGGCCTCCCAAAGTGCTAGGATTACAGGCGTGAGCCACCGCGCCCGGCCCTTTTTTTTTTTTTTTTTTTTAATTGAGACGGAGTCTCACTCTTTTGCTTAGGCTGGAGTGCAGTGGTGTGATCTCAGCTCACTGACTGCAACCTCCACCTCCCGGGTTGAAGCGTTGCTCCTGCCTCAATCTCCCAATTAGCTGGGATTACAGGTGTGCTCCATCATGCCCGGCTAATTTTTCTATTATTAGTAGAGACAGGGTTTTACCATGTTGGCCAGGCTGGTCTGGAACCCCTGACCTCAAGTGATCCGCCTGCCTCGGCCTCCCAAAGTGCTGGGATTACAGGCATGAGCCATTGTGCCTGGCCCTACACGTGGACACTTCTTTAGCATATGGTTAGGGACCTTTCTAGAAATTCCAAAGACAGACTTTAAGAAGCCCCGTCGGGAAACCTTAGGCCAATGATGTGGTTACATTAAAAATAAATTATCTGGGAATTTCACAGACTTCACAAATGTCAGGCTTACATGGTAGGTTTAGGGGACCGTTTGAGAGACAAAGATCTACATTCATATATGTAGCTATACATATATGTACTTTTTCTTCTTAGTTTCTTTTTAAAGACATTTTATCACTCATTCGCTCATTAGCACATTGGGAATGTGTGTATTTGGTAGGGAAATGAAAGGCACCTTGCCTGTTCCATCTCTACTCCTTTTTTCTTTTGTTTTAGGATTTTCTAAAGGTGAGACACTGGTGGAACTGGGGTAGCTGCTTGGGACGTACCACCTATAGTTGTGGCTATTTCACAGAGAAGCAGCAGCTAGACAGACTCCCATCTGTAAATAAACAAGAGATAGGAAGAGGGGGAAATAGATTTGGAGGAGGCAGCCCTACATTTCAAACATACATTCCCTTTTTTAGATTTTTTTTTTTTTTTTTTTGGTTTTCAGTTTTGATGGTGGGATTGGAAAATAGAGCTTGGCTTGAGGACATTTTCCTGGGGTGGCACCATTATTTCTTGAAATAGAATCTTACTTATGGTGACACTGGCAAGCACTTGTGAGAACCTGAAGACGGATTGAGGTCATTTGATGCTCAGAAGTTGGGTGCTGGGTCCCTGCCTTCTCAGTCCGAGTTCTCCTTTCATTTTTGGGTGGGGAGGCGGGTTCCAAGAGCCCTTCATTGGTGGAGTTCACAAGGCAAGGTGTAAAAAAAAAAGTAGGGCAGGAAGACAGTGGTGTGCTGGCAGAGGTCTAACAATGGGCTCTCCAAGGAAGAGGAAAAGGTTGGTTGTGGAGTGTTTGTCAGTTTCCGTGGTGTAAATACTCCCACCACGGCTGACTTCAAGCTAGCAACCGGAGGTCACTGAACTAAGAGTTGGGAAGAGATAGGGCACAATATATGCTTACGAGTTGGTACACACCGTCAGCAGCAGCCAGGGTCAGGAGAAAGGCGAGATGTGAAGAGAGGCCGGGAGGTATCAGATGACGTTTCCAGCACTAGACCAGAAGAGGTGCACACAGCCTAGACCCCCTGAGGGGTACACCCTGATCTCTAGAGCCCACAAAGAGGTTTTTATTCAACATAAAACGTGTTCATCTCTCATAGGCCTGAGTCATGCTGGGTTCTGGGACATTAAGCCCAGGAGTGGGCCGGGTGCGGTGGCTCACGCCTGTAATCCCAGCACTTTGGGAGGCCGAGGCGGGTGGATCACCTGAGGTCAGGAGTTCGAGACCAGCCTGGCCAACATGGTGAAACCCTGTCTCTACTAATAATACAAAAATTAGCCGGGCATGGTGGCACGCGCCTGTAATCCCAGCTACTCGGGAGGCTGAGGCAGGAGAATTGCTGGAACCCGGGAGGCGGAGGTTGAAGAGAGCAGAGATTGTGCCACTGTGCTCTAGCCTGGGTCACAAGAGCGAAACTCCGTCTCAATAATAACAACAACAAAAATAACCCAGGAGTGGCTCAAGAGTCCAGTGTGGGATGAAAATATAAACAGAGGAAGACAACATATGTCACTGGGGAGGCTGGGGGAGCTAGACAAAATTCACACGGGAGGGGCAGGGATGAGACAATATTGTGCCCTGGGTCTGTGCAAACGTTGGGACCAGAATCCACTATAAGTTTCATTCTTCGGAGACACGGAAGCTCTGCACTGGAGGCCGGGACTCAGGCGTGGAAGAGAATCTTCTCCTTATTCACCGGGGAGGCTGTGTCTTGTGCAAACAAGTCATAGAAACTTGATGGGAGTTGGGGAGGGACTGAAGGATGCATGCAAGGTTCTGGGAAGGAGTGAGAAGTAGTGAAGGCCAAGGGGCCCCCATCACAGGCCGATGGGGTAAGACTTCGAGAGAGCCTGATCCTGGGGTCTTCTGAGACTCCACCAGGAGCCGGAGAGGGCAGGGAGCCAAATCCAGCTAGGAGGTTACAGATTGCTTTTCCTGGGCTGGGCTCCTGAGTGTTGGTTCTTCCAGCTGTGCACAGGGGATTTCAAACGTTCTACGTCCTAAAGCCAGGAAGAGTGACAAGGCAGGTGGGGACAGAAGGAAGAAGCCAGGAGCCTCCCTGAGAAGGTGTCACCTTATCTGTCCTCCTCTTCCCCACACACTGGCCTCTGGGTCCCCCTTCTCTGTCCACCCACAGAGTGAAACCAATTAAAATGTTGGATCTCATTTAAAGTCTGGGTGATTCTTTAGTTTCCGTGTTTTCTCCAGGAGGGGCAGGTAGAAACAGGAACTACTCTGTTCCTTCTGTCTGTGGGGCCTGGGTCCCTCCATGTGTTTCCTGTCTCATCACCCTCCTTTCCTTGACATCTCTCTAAAGCCAATTTATGAAGGATCAGGGGCTGGGTGCAGTGGCTCACGCATGTAATCCAGTGCTCTGAGAAGCTGAGGAGGGAAGATTGATTAAGGCCAGGAGTTTGAGACCAGCCCAGGCAACATAGCGAGATCTCTGTCTCTACAAAAAATTAAAAAAATCAACCGGGTGTGGTGATGTGTGCCTGTGGTCCCAGCTACTCGGGAGGCTGAGATGAGAGGATCGGTTGAGCCCAGGAGTTTGAGGCTGCAGGGAGCTATGATTGCACCACTGCACTCCAGCCTGGGTGATGCAACAAGAGACCCTGTCTCCAAAAACAAAAAATAAAAAAAAAAAAAAAAGAAGGAGGAGGAGGAACAGGGGTCCCCAGGGCCAGCCCCAGCCCCACCCATCTGTAACCTTCCAATGCCCCTCCCGAAAAAACAGGGGGGTGACGAGAATGCTCCCTGCCTCAGTGGCAGGATGTGAAGCTTAACGCCAGCATTTAGAGCCACGCGCAGCCTCTGGCCCGCCTTCCCTCTCAGCATCCAGCCTTCTGCAGCTTCAGCTCTTCCACCCCTTTGCTTTCCATCTCTTCCCCCGGATGCTTTTCAGTTTCTCAATCTCACCCTTGCTCTGTCATCTCTTCTCCTCTCTCTCTTTCCATTCTTCCTCTTGCCTTTCAGACTCCCAGCTCCTCATTTCATTTGGATGGATTTTCACCTTTTTCTTTCTTTCCTTCCCTCTTGTCTCTTTTTCTTTGCTGCTTACTTTTTTCTGACTTTCTTTCTTTCTTTCTTTTTTTTTTTGAGACAGGGTCTCCCTCTCTCACCCAGGCTCAAGTGCAGCAGCGTGATCTTGAATCCCTCCAGCCTCTGCCTCTTGGGTTCAAGCGATCCTGTTGTATCAGCCTCCCGAGTAGCTGGGACTACAGGTGCCTGCCACTACACCTGGCTAATTTTCGTATTTTTAGTAGAGACAAGGTTTTGCCATGCAGCCCAGGCTGGTGTCAAACTCCTGGGCTCAAGCAATCCACCTGTCTCGGCCTCTCAAAGTGCTGGGATTATAGGTGTGAACCACCATGACTGGCCCACCTCTGAGTTCTTGTTTTTCCAGCTCTAGGTCATTTTTTTTTTTTTTTTTGGAGACAGTGTCTCGCTCTGTCACCTAGGCTAGAGTGCAGTGGCTCGATCTCAGCTCACTGCAACCTCTGCCTCCTGGGCTCAAGCGATTCTCCTGCCTCAGCTTCCCAAGTAGCTGAGACTTACAGGCGTCCACCACCACGCCTGGCTAATTTTTGTATTTTTTAGTAGAGACGAAGTTTCACCATGTTTGCCAGGCTGGTCTCAAACTCCTGACCTCAAGTGATCCACCCCCCTCAGCCTCTGCAAGTGCTGGGATTATAGGCCTGAGCCACCGCTCCTGGCCTCTAGGTCATCTCTCTCTGCCTGTATTCCTCTCAGTTGCTGAATCCCAGGTTAAGATTTTTGTTGGGGGATGACTGGGAGTTATATACAGGAGGGAGGGTCAGGCAGACTTGCTGTCCGAGCTTGGCTTAGCCTCTTCTGGTCGTCTGACCTCGGGTGATTCATTTCTCCCAGCCTCAATTTCCCCACCTGTAGCATGGAGCATCTAAGGAGACCCATCTCAAGAGAACAAAATGATGTTATTCTATTAATTATGGACCTGAAGCCGGGTCCAGGGTAAGAGCTCAATAAATATTTATCTATTTTGTGGTAAAATACACATACTATAAAATGTACCACTTTTCCCATTGCATGATTCTTAATTCATTTTTTCCATTTTAAGTTACTTAATTCAGTGGCATTAAGTACATTCACAGAAGAAGCCAGACACAAAGACCATATATTGTATTATCCTAATTATATGAAATATTCAGAATAGGCAAATCCAGCCAGGCACAGTGGCTCATGCCTGTAATCCCAGCATTTTGAGAGGCTGAGGTGGGTGGATCACTTGAGGCCAGGAGTTTGAGACCAGCCTGGCCAACATGGTGAAACTCCATCTCTACTAAAATACAAAAATTAGCTGGGTGTGGTGGTGTGTGGCTGTAACCCAAGGTACTCGGGAGGCCGAGGCAGGAGAATCACTTGAACCTGAGAGGTGGAGGTTGCAGTGAGCTGAGATCGCAGCACTGCACTCCAGCCTGGCAGCCTGGGCAACAGAGTGAGACTCTGGCTCAAAAAAAAAAAAAAAAAAAGAAAAGGCAAATCCGTAGAGACAGAAAACGTAGTGGCTGCCAGGGGCTGGGGTGAGGGGTGCTGTGTGGTGGAATGGGGAGTGACTGCTTAATGAATATGGGGTTTCCTTTTGGGATGACGAAAATGTTCTGGAGCAATATAGTGACCTTACAATTCTGCTCTGAAGTATATGCCGCAAAGAACGGAAAGCAGGTGTTCAGACAAAAACTTGTACGCTCAAATTTATAGCAGGATGATTCACAATGGCCAAAAGATGAAGCAATTCAAATGTCTGTCCACAGAAACAAATGAGGTCTACCCATGCAAGGGAATATTGCTCAGCCATGAAAAGGAAGAAGCACTGATAAACACAACTTGGATGACCTTGAAATCATCATGCTAAATATTTATCTTTCTTTTTTTTTTTTTTTTTGAGACAGAGTCTCACTCTGTCACCAGGCTAGAGTGCAGTGGCGCGATCTCGGCTCACTGCAACCTCCACCTCCCAGGTTCAAGCAATTCTCCTGCCTCAGCCTCCCGAGTAGCTGGGACTACAGGCATGCACCACCACGCCCAGCTAATTTTTGTGTTTTTTAGTGGAGACGGGGTTTCACCATGTTGGCCAGGATGGTCTCCATCTCTTGACCTCCTGATCCACCCGCCTCAACCTCCCAAAGTGCTGGGATTACAGGTGTGAGCCACCACGCCCGGCTGCTAAACGTTTATCTTAACCTATTATTATTATTATTTTGAGATGGAGTCTTGCTGTGCTGCCCAGGCTGGAGTGCAGTGGCGCGATCTCTGCTCACTGCAACCTCTGCCTCCCAGGTTCAAGTGATTCTCCTGTCTCAGCCTCCCGAGTAGCTGGGATTACAGACGCGTGCCACCATGCCCAGCTAATTTTTGTATTTTTAGTAGAGACGGGGTTTCACCATGTTGGCCAGGTACTTGGGTCTTTATTATTATTATTTTTACTCAACTCGTACTTATGCTATTCCTGGCAGCTTTAGTCATAATGGCCCCAAGCTGAAAACTATCCAGACGTCCATCAGCAGGTGAAGGCAGAAACAAACCCTGATGCATCCATACAAAAGGATACCCTGAGCCAGGCACGATGGCTCACACCTGTAATCCCAGTACTTTGGGAGGCCTAGGTGGGCGGATCGCTTGAGGTCAGGAGTTCGAGACCAGCCTGGCCAGCATGGAAAAACCCTGTCTCTACTAAAAACACAAAAATTAGCTGAGCGTGGTGGCACGTGCCTGTAATCCCAGCTACTTGGGAGGCTGAGGCATAAGAATCGCTTGAACCCAGGAGGCAGATATTGCAGTGAGCTGAGATTGCGCAACTACACTCCAGCCTGGGCGGCAGAGCAAGACTCTGTCTCAAAAAAAAAAAAAAAAAAGATATTCCTCACTGATGAAAAGGAATGAACTCCCAGTAGTCAATACCCCAGGAAAAGAAACTAGGGCTGGGCACAGTGATTCACACCTGAAACTCCAGCACTTTGGAAGACTGAGGTGGAAGGATTGCTTGAGCTCAGGAGTTCAAGACCAGCCTGGGCAACAGAGTGAGACCCCATGTCTTTAAAAAAAAAAAAAAAAAAAAGAAAGACAGACAATTAAATCCAGGCTGGGCACGGTGGCTCACCCCTGTAACCCCAGCACTTTGGGAGGCCGAGGTGGGAGGAGGATCGCTTTAGCCTGGGAGTTCCAGACCAGCCTGGGCAACATAGTGAGACCGTGTCTCTACTAAAAAAATTCAAAAAATTAGCTGGGTATGGTGGCACATGCCTATAGACCCAGCTACTTGGGGTGCTAAGGTGGGAGGATCGCTTGAGCCCCTGAAGTTGGGACTGGAGTGAGCTGAGATTGCACCAATGTACTCCAGCCTGGGCAACAGAGTGAGACCCTGTCTAAAAAAAAAAAAAAAAAGAAAGAAACGAAACCAGAAACAAAGAAGCAAATACTGCTGAAATAAATAAATAAAAATAAAATTTTTTAAAAAAGAAGCAAATATTGTACAATTCCATGCCTATGAGATTCTAGAAAAGATAAAACTTATACAGGGCAGAGAGCAGATAGTGCTTGCCAGGACCTAGGGAGCAGCTGGTGAGATTTACTGCAAAGGAACAAATGAGGATCTTTTGGGGGTGCTAGAAATGTGCCCTATCTTGATTATGGTGATGGTTCTGGGACTGTATATAATTCCCCAAACTTATAACACCCTAGAAAACAAATGTATTTCAATAAGAGAGTGAACAGGGAGTCAGGTAGGCTGGGTGCGGTGGCTCATGCCTGTAATCCCAGCACATTGGGAGGCCGAGGAGGGCGGATCACCTGAGGTCAGAAGTTCGAGACCAGCCTGGACAACATGGTGAAACCCCGTCTCTACTAAAAATATAAAAATTAGCTGGATGTGGTCACGGGTGTCTGTAATCCCAGCTACTTGGAGGGCAGAGGTGGGAGAATCACTTGAACCTGGGAGGCAGAGGTTGCAGTGAGCCGAGAATGTGCCACTGCACTCCAGCCTGGGCGACACTGAGACTCTTATCTCAAAAAAAAAAAAAAAAAAAAAAAAAAAAGAGAGTTGGGGAAAAAACAGAATGGATTTTATAGGACATAAATTATACCTTAGTAAATCAGAAGGAAAAGAAAATAAAATTATTGAGCAGGCAGTGGTGTAAGCCGGTTCTAACTCTTTTAATCCTCAGAATGATACTATTTTTATGATCCCTATTTCACAGATGAGGAAACTGAGGCAGAGGGCGGCTGGGTGACCTGCCCAAGGTCCCAAGCTAGGAGGGGATGGACCCAGTCTTGATATTCATCTTGTCAGGTGGCCAGCCTCCTTGCTGGTCTCTGTCCCCTCCATTTTCTGTCCTTCATTTTATTCCTGTTCTCGAATTTTTATTTATGCATTTGTAGAGATGGGGTCTTGCTATGTTGCCCAGTCTGGCTTTGAACTCCTGGGCTGTAAATGATCCTCCTGCCTCGGCCTCTCAAAGCGCTGGGATTACAGGGGCAAGCCACTGCGCCTGACCGCCACTCGTGTTCTCTTCTCTCTTGTTTTCCCCTTCCTAGGTCTCAACGGTGAGTGATTCTCTCCCCTCGTTCCCTCTCTCCGTCTCTTCCCTCACCCCCGTATGTGTCTGTCCCTCCTGGTCTCCAAACACCCTCCCTTCCCCCAGCTGTTTCCTCTGCCCCTGACCAGGACTAATTTAGCAAATGCTCCAATCCTCTTATGGCAACAGCCCAGCCTCAGCAGAATGGCAGGGGAATTAGCGAGGATTAGGTTCAGACGCATGACCCGTGGGGGAGGGGACTTTGGGGAGTTTTAACGAAACGATGCCCCCTCCTCCTCCCCTCCTATCCCCTCCATGGAAAAGCACTCGTGCCTGGGGCACACAATGATGATAAAATCACGGCTAAACCCTTCACGGTGCGCCTCCTATGTGCCAGGCACTGTTAAGCCCCTTCACTCATTGAAACGTCGGTGCAGCTCCCTGAGGGAGGGGCCGTGCCCCTCCCTGGATTTAAGGATCAGGAGAGGTTAATTAACTTTCCTGAGGCAAATGGGATCCAATCTCAGCCTTCTTGGTGCTTCTCAGGTTAAAGATGAAAAAACACTGGAGGGAAGTAAACTGAATGGGCCTGGGGGTCACACCGCAAGGGGGCGCAGCTTCTGTTTGGGTAACTTCGGGACGATTTTTTATTTATTTATTTTTTTTGAGACGGAGTCTTGCTCTGTAATGGCGAAATCCTGCAACTTCCGCCTCCCGGGTTAAAGCGATTCTCTTGCCTCAGCCTACCGAGTAGCTGGGATTACAGGTGTCTGCCACCACGCCCGGCTAATTTTTGTATTTTTTAGTAGAGACGGGGTTTTGCCATGTTGGCCACGCTGATCTCGAACTCTTGACCTCAGGTGATCCACCCGCCTTGGCCTCCCAAAGTTTTAGCCTCCGTAAAGTGTGGAAGAGAGAAGAGAGAGAGAGAGAGAGAGAGAGAGAGAGAGAGAGAGAGAGAGAGAGAGAGAGAAAGAAAATGCATTTCAGAGGAGAAACGGAAAGCAGGGTGGAGGAAGAGATTAGGTGGGAACAGAACAGACAAAACAGACGCCAGGAGGAGCTGAAGGACGTTATCCACCGGCCACATTCATACCTCACTGTGCAATTTGCAATACAAAGGACACCATGGGAATCCAGCTCCTGACATGCACCTGGGGCGCTGGGAAAGACAATGACTGTGAGGGAGGGATAATTAAGGACAGAGTGAGGGGACGGGTGGGCACGGAGGCCGACACCTGTCATCTCAGCACTTTGGGAGGCCAGGCAGGAGGATCGCTTGAGGCCAGGAGTCTGAAGCTGCAGTGAGTCATGATCGCGCCACTGCCCTCCAGCCTGTGCGACAGAGCGAGATCCTGCATCTAAAAAAATAACAAAAAACCTCACTGTCAACAGAGTAAAGAGGCAAGTCACAGAATAGGAGAAAACATTTGGAAATCACACATTTTTTAAGGGATTGATAATCAGAATATACCCACTCCTAAAACTCAACAGTAAAAAAAACAAAAAACCCTGATTTAAAAATGGGCAAAGGACTTGAACTGACAGTGCTCCGAGAAGATATATAAATGGTGAATAAACACTCAACAGTCTGGCCAGGCACGGTGGCTCAAGCCTGTAATCCCAGCACTCTGGGAGGCTGAGGCGGGCAGATCACTTGAGGCCAGGAGTTTGAGACCAGCTTGGCCAACAGGGTGAAAACCCGTCTCTACTAAAAATACAAAAATTAGCCAGGCACGGTGGCGGGCACCTGTAATCCCAGCTACTTGGAGGGCTGAGGTGGGAGAATCGCTTGAACCTGGGAGGCGGAGGTTGCAGTGAGACGAGACTGCACCACTGCACTCCTGCCTAGGTGACAGAGCAAGACTCTGTCCCCCTCCCCACCCCCAACCCCTGGCAAAAACAAACAAACAAACAACAACATCAACAACAAAAACACACACAAAAAAAGACAGACCATGCCAAGTTTTGGTGAGGATATGGAGTAACTGAAAATGTAAACTGGTAAAACCGATTTGGAAATCTGTTCAGCGTTATCTATAAAATTTGAACAAATGGCTTCTCTGTGACCCCAAAATTCTACTTCTAGTATTGTACTAACAGAAATGCATACATGGCTGGGTGCGGTGGCTCACGCCTGTAATCCCAACACTTTGGGAGGCTGAGGAGAGTGGATTGCTTGAGTCCAGGAGTTTGAGACCAACCTGAGCGACATAGGGAGAGCTTATCTCAAAAAAAAGAGAGAGAGAGAGAAAGGGAGGGAGGGAAGGAAGGAAGGAAGGACACACCTGTGTAATCACTACCCAGAGTGAGAAACAGAATATTCCCAGCAACACCAAGCTGTATGAGCCGTGACTGCACCACTACACTTGGTTTGTGAAGTTTCCTCAACCAATGTTTTACTTCAGTGCCCCTATAGGTGGGCCAGAAAGGAGACATTTTCCAGAGAAAACCTGAGGCCCAGAGCAGTAGAGGAAAAAGCGG
Organism: Homo sapiens; assembly: GCF_000001405.40. NCBI lineage: Eukaryota > Metazoa > Chordata > Mammalia > Primates > Hominidae > Homo > Homo sapiens. The sequence goes on from NC_000019.10 coordinate 47,851,196, forward strand.
CTATTTTCTATGAATTTGGGAAAAAGAAACTCCATTCCCAAGACAAAGGGAATGTGGTCTAGAGAGATCAGAGAAAGGAACCAATTTTCTAAAAACAGGATAGACCTTATTTTATTTTATTACTTTTTTTTTTTTAGATGGAGTCTCATTCTGTTACCAAGGCTGGAGTGCAGTGGCACGATCAGGACTCACTACAACCTCTGCCTCCTGGGTTCAAGTGATTCCCCTCCCTCAGCCACCCAAGTAGCTGGGACTACAGGTGCACGTCACCACGTGTAGCTAATTTTTGTATTTTTAGCGCAGACAGGATTTCGCCTTGTTGGCCAGGCTGGTCTCAAACTCCTGACCTCAAGCGATCCGCCCACCTTGGCCTCCCAAAGTGCTGGGATTACAGGCATGAGCCACTGCGCCTGGCCTATTTTACTTATATTTTGCATCGTTAAAAACCCTGCACCGTGGGGAATTCACAGTGCATGCCATGAAAATTGTCCCCAGCCCCATGGCGGCCCTTCCATGGGGCTACCATTCTCAGCAGCTTCCTGTGTGTCACCCTTCATGCCTGCTGTGCATTTGGGAGCAAAACTGCCTATGTCTTGTTTTCCAATTTCTACACTTTCATATTATGTTTATTTTTATTTTTATTTTTTTGAGACAGAGTCTCGCTCTGTCACCCAGGCTGGAGGGCAATGGCGTGGTCTCGGCTCACTGCAACCTCTGCCTCTCGGGTTCAAGAGATCCTCCTGCCTCAGCCTCCTGAGTAGTTGGGATTACAGGCGTGTGCCACCACACCCGGCTAATTTTTGTATTTTTAGTAGAGACGGGGTTTCGCCATGTTGGCCAGGCTGGTCTCAAACTCCTGACCTCAGGTGATCTGCCCTCCTCGGCCTCCCAAAGTGCTGGTATCACAGGCGTGAGCCACTGCACCCGGCTCAGTTTCTACACTTTCTTATCTCTTTACTTTGTTCCTCAAGCATGGTTCAAGAAACTTCTGTGCTTTCTATTTTTATTTTTTTAATTTTTTGAGACAGGTTCTTGCTGAGTTGCCCTGGCTGGAGTGCAGTGATGCCACCACAGCTTACTGCAGCCTTGACCTCCCACACTCAAATGGTCCTCCCACCTCAGCCTCCCGAGTAGCTGGGACTATAGGCATGCACCACCACGCCCGGCTAATTTTTGTGTTTCTGGTAGAGATGGGGTCTCACTTTGTTGCCCAGGCTGGTCTCAAACTCCTGGGCTCAAGCGATCCCCACAACCCCCTGCCTCAGCCTCCCAAAGTGCTGGGATTACAGGTGTGAGGCATTGCGCCTGGCCTCCCTTTCTTTCTTTTCCTTCTTTTCTTTCTCTTCTCTTTTCTTCTCTTTCTTTCTCTCTCTGTTTCTTTCTTTTACTTTCTTTCTCTCTCTCCCTTCCTTCCTTCCTTCCATCCTTCCTTTCTCTCTCCCTCTCTTTCTTTCTTTCTTTTTTTAAATAGAGTCTCATTCTGTCACTTAGGCTGGAATGCAATGGCACGATCTCAGCTCACTGCCACCTCCGCCTCCCACGTTCAAGTGATTCTCCTGCCTCAGCCTCCCGAGTAGCTGAGATTACAGGCACCTGCTACCCACGCCAGACTAATTTTTGTATTTTTAGTAGAGATGGGGTTTCACCATGTTGGCCGGGCTGGTCTCAAACTCCTGACCTTGTGATCTGCCTGCCTTGGCCTCCCAAAGTGTTGGGATTACAGGCGTTAGCTACCGTGCCTGTCTTCCTATTTTTTTTTCTTCTCCCCGCTGCGCCCCCCCGCGACGCCCGGCTTCCCAAGCTCATGATGTCTTCCTACTTCTGCACCTCTCTCTTATTTTGTTTTCTGGGAATAACATTTGAGCTCCTCCAAGGTCTGATGCCATCCGGCCCTGGCTCAAGTCTCCATCCTTCCTGCCCTGGCTTGCCGCCCTCTTCCTGTCCCTAAACAAGGCAAGCTCTGAGACAGAGGCCAGGTGTGGGGCTGAGGTGGATAGAGAGGCTTGCCGCTGAGCTGACCATAGCCACTCTCAAAGTGTGGTTCCTGCTGCTTCTCAGTGGCGTCAGCATCACCTGCTAATCAGAAACTGAAATTCTAGGGGTGAGACCCAGGGATCTGGGTTTTAAGGAGCTCTTCAGGGGATTCTAATGCCAACTAGACCTTGAAAATTGCTGGCTTATGGCTGGGCGCAGTGGCTCATTCCTGTAACCCCAGCACTTTGGGAGGCTGAGGTGGGCAGATCACCTGAGGTCAGGAGTTTGAGACCAGCTTGGCCAATGTGGTGAAATCCTATCTCTACTAAAAATACAAAAATTTGCCAGGCATGGTGGTGGCCGCCTGTAATCCCAGGTACTCGGGAGGCTAAGGCAGGAGAATGGCTTGAACTCAGGAGGCGGAAGTTGCAGTGAGCTGAGATTGCGCCACTGCACTCCAGCCTGGGCAAGAGAGGGAGACTCTGTCTCAAAAAACCAAGAAACAGAAAACAAAAAATTAAAAAAGAAGATTGCTGGCTTAAACTTGGTGCATTGGTGGGGGCTGGGGAGGAGGCTGGTTTTCAAGGTAATAACGTTTGATCAGTATCTCTTGCAGGGAGGAGGTGAGGTGAGGCAGGGCCACTAGTGACATTGCCCTGGGGACAAACTTGCAGGGACTGGGGAGGATTCTCCAAACCAGGGGAGCCAGGGGAGGGATTAGGGAGAGTTCTCTGTTCCAGGTCCCCTCCTGAGCAGATGTCATGATAAGAGATGCCTGAATCCACCCAGGCCCATTGTATAGGTGGGGAAACTGATCCTGGAGGGAGGAAGGCTTTTGCCCAAGGTCAGACAGCTGATAATGATGAGGACCTCCAGGGCTTCCCAGCTGCTCTGAGACACTGTGCCCAGAATGTTCAGTACAAGGGAGTTGGTGAAATATCAGAAAGAGAAAAGCAGCCCCCAATGGCCAGGGGCTGGCCTTGCACTCACAGCCAGGCCTCCATGCTCTCTCTTTGGATAGAAGGGACTTCAGGCCGGGTGTGGTGGCTCATGCCTGTAATCCCAGTACGTTGGGAGGCTGAGGCGTGCGGATCACCTGAGGCTGGGAGTTCGAGACCAGCCTGGCCAACATGGCGAAACCCCATCTCTACTAAAAATACAAAAATTAGCCGGGCGTGGTGGCGGGTGCGTGTAATCCCAGCTACTCGGGAGGCTGAGGCAGGAGAATCGCTTGAACCCAGGAGACAGAGGTTGCAGTGAGCCAAGATCGCACCACTGGACTCCAGCCTGGGTGACAAGAGTGAAACTCCATCTCAATAAATAAATAAATAAGTAAACAGATAAACATTATTAAAAAGAGAGGATTTCATAAAACACAATGCATGGTGCAAGAACTGGATTTAAACAAAGAAACAAGGACAAACGGACAAGGTTATTCTTTGTGTTGCCCTGAGCTCTCTGTAATCATGTCTGAACCCAGAGAGTTCAAACCACAAAAACATGTTGTTCAAACCACAAAAGAGATCCGTGTCCTCCTATTCTGTCGAATACAAGTGACACTGTTTCTAGACAAAAACCCTAGTTCTGGGCACTCCTCATCCTCCTCACTTTCAAGGTAAGAGAATCAGAGTGACCCTCTTTTCCTGACAGCATCGAACCCAGAGCAAAACCACTTTTCTTATTTGTTAAAACTGCAGTAAAATAGGCATAACATACAATTTACCATCCTAACCTTTATTTATTTACTTTTATGTTTTTAGAGACAGGATCTCGCTCTGTCGCCCAGGCTGGAGTGCAGTGGTGCTACCTTGGCTCACTGCAACCTCTACCTCCCGGGCTCAAGTGATCCTTCTGCCTCAGCCTCCCGAGTAGCTGGGATTACAGGTGCCCGCCACCACGCCTGGCTAATTTTTGTATTTTTAGTAGAGACGGAGTTTCACCATGTTGCCCAGGTTGGTCTGGAACTCCTGGGCAAGCAATCCACTCGCCTCAGCTTCCCAAAGTGCTGGGATTACAGGCGTGAGCCAGGGCACCCGGCCCCAAACTGAAACTTTGTACCTATCAAATATTGAACTCCTCATTCTCCCCATCCCCAGCCCTTGGGAACCTCTAACTTATTTTCTGTCTCTATGAATTTGTCTATGTTAGATATTTCTTGGGAGTGGACTCATACAATATTTGTCCTGGCTTATTTCATTTAGCATAAATACTCTCTAGGTTCATGGAGGTTGTAGCCTGTGCCAGAACTTCTTTCTTAAGGCTGAAGAATATTCCATTGCATGGATAGACCACATTTTGTTCATTCATTTGATAGACATTTGGGTTGTTTCAGCCTTTTGGCTATTGTAAAAGATGCTGCTATGAACATTAGTGCACAAATATTTGTTCACTTCCCTGATTTAAATTCTTTTTTTTTTCCTGTTTTTAAACATTTTTTTTAGTTTGCATTCTTTTAGGTATAAAAGTCACTCTGTTTTGAATCCTTTCCAAAATTATCAAACAAGCTCAAATCCTATAACATTTGCCATTAAAAGCAAGGGCAGCCGGGCGCGGTGGCTCATGCCTGTAATCCCAGCACCTTGGGAGGCCAAGGTGGGCGGATCACTTGAGGTCAGGAGTTTGAAACCAGCCTAGTCAATATGGCAAAACCCCATCTCTACTAAAAATACAAAAATTAGCTTGGTGTGGTGGTGGGCGCCTGTAATCCCAGCTACTCGGGAGGCTGAGGTAGGAGAATCGCTTGAATCCGGGAGGCAGAGGCTGCAATGAGCCAAGATCGCGCCGGCAACAGAGCCAGACACCGTCTCAAAAAAAAAAAAAAAAAAAAAAAGCAAGGGCAAAAGCCACAATTCCTTTCACATCAATCTAAAACATCCTTTCAAACACCCTCTTACTGAGAGGCCCCAAAGGTTCCCTTTGTGTTCCTCCTTCTTGCAACAAGACAATAAACCCAACTTTGCTTGACTACTGGTGTCCCTCTGATGGTCTTCAGCTGATCAACATTGACAGGTTTCACCAAGTCAGTCTTAAAAACCAACCACCTGGGCATGGTGGTTCACACTTACAATCCCAGCAATTTGGGAGGTTGAGGCAGGAGGATCGCCTGAGCCTGGGAGCTGGAGATCAGGCTGGGCAACAGAGCAAAACCCTGTCTCTACAAAAAATAAAAGAAATTAGCCGGGCATGGTGGTGGGTGCCTGTAGTCCCAGCAACTTGGGAGGCTGAGGTGGGAGGATTGCTTGAGCCCATGAGGTCAAGGCTGCAGTGACCTTGACCTGTTGCCACTGTACTCCAGTCTGGGCAACAGAGCAGGACCCTGTCTCAAAACCAAAAATACAAAACAAAAACAAAAACAAACAACAACCTATGCTCCAAAACCATTTCTGGGGAAATAATCAGATTCCCTACCCGTTCACCTACGAAGCCCAGCTAGAGTCTCTCGTCTTAATCTTTGCCAATCGAATACACAAAGTTTTTTTTTTTTTTTTTTCACAGAGTCTCGAATTGTCGCCTGGGCTGGAGTGCAATGCTGTGATCTCCACTCACTGCAAGCTCTGCCTCCTGGGTTCAAGCAACTCTCCTGCCTCTGCCTCCCAAGTAGCTGGGGTTACAGGCGCCCGCCACCACGCCCAGCTAATTTTTTTGTATTTTTTTGTAGAGATGGGGTTTCACTATGTTGGCCAGGCTGGTCTCAAACTCCTGACCTCTTGATCCGCCCGCCTCAGCCTCCCAAAGTGCTGGGATTACAATCACGAGCCACCACGCCTGGCCTCAAATATGCAAAGTTTTACATTTAATTTATTTTAGAAATTATAGAGAGGGGGACCATCTACTCACATCTTATAGACCAAGAAAACTGTGAGATCATTCCTGTTGACAGCAGGGCCATCATCTGCTTTGGTGAATAATGTGTTCCCAGCCACCTAAAAGCCGAACAAAATGTGCAATTATGGTAAAATGTTTCCAGAAAGGAAGCAGAATATAGATACAATGATGGAAGAATGCCACAGTGAGATACTAAGCAACCTTTTAAGAGCGTGCAGGGAACTTGTAAACATACCATCTATTTGTTTTATAATTTATTTATTTATCTATTTCCAAGACAGGGTCTCTACTCTGTCGCCCAGGCTGGAGTGCAGTGGTTTGATCATGGCTCACTGCAGCCTCGAATTCCTGGGCTCAAGCGATCCACCCCCCTCAGCAGCCCAAGTAGCTGGGACTACAGGTGCATACCACCACACCTGGCTAGTTTTTTGTTTTTTTTTAAAATATATTTTGTAGCGATAAGGTCTCGCTATGTTGCCCAGGCTGGTCTCGAACTCCTGGCCTCAAGTGATCTTCCCCCCTTGACTCCCAAAGCCCTGGGATTACATGCATGAGCCACCATGCCCAGCCACTATTTGTTTTGTTTCAGTTTATATTTATTTATTTATTTATTTTGAGACAGAGTTTCACTATTGTTACCCAGGCTGGGGTGCAATGGCACGATCTTGGCTCATCACAACCTCCACCTCCTGGGTTCAAGCAATTCTCCTGCCTCAGCCTCCCGAGTAGCTGGGATTACAGGCATGTGCCACCATGCCCAGCTAATTTTGTATATTTAGTAGAGATGGGGTTTGTCTATGTTGGTCAGGCTGGTCTCGAACTCCCTACCTCAGGTGATCCACCCACCTCGGCCTTCCAAAGTGCTGGGATTACAAGCGTGAGCCACTGCGCCCGGCAGAACTTTCTTATATTTAAATGTCTATCTTCACAAAATAGTACCAGTGAGCTTGTTCATCTGCTTATGTCTTTATTGGCCAAATAAATAGCCACGGTGCAAAATCTCTGTGGTCACTACTGTGTTCCCAGCATGTCCTGTAGATGAAGCCGGACAATGTGTGCAATGAGGAATCATTGCTGGGGATGCTGCTTTCTACAATAGAACTCTAAGTAGCAGGTGAAAACAATGAGCGAGGCCCGTGGTAACAATGTCTACGTTTTATTGAATTTTGAAATTGGTTGCATGAGTCATTTCTTTTTCTTTTTTTTTGGGAGGGGGCCGGAGTCTCCCTCTGTCACCCAGGCTGCACTGCAACCTCTGCCTCTCAGGTTCAAGTGATTCTCTTGTCTCAACCTCCCAAGTAGCTGGGATTACAGGTGCCTGCCACCAGGCCCGGCTATTCTTTTTGTAGTTTTAGTAGAGACGGCGTTCTGCCATGTTAGCCAGGCTGGTCTCAAACTCCTGACCTCAGGCGATCTGCCCGCCTCGGCCTCCCAAAGTGCTAGGATTACAGGCGTGAGTCACCGCGCCCAGCCTTGCATGAGTCATTTTTAGCTCCCTGGATCATGAGCCTTGTCAATCTCCTTGACCCCTGAACCCATGTGGGTCCTGCTATGAGGAGATGAGGGCAGCCAGGGGTCTGACACAGCAGATGCATCTCTGAGGGACCTGACTTGTGTGAACCAAGGTAATGGGTCCCCTGCATACATCAGTAGCAGTCCATGGAAATGTCCATCAGACCTGTGTCCCCTCCTGGTTGGGGGAGCAGGAAACTTCAAGAATGACTAGTAGGGGCCAGAGTGGCCTCAAAGGACCAAAGAGGAGGCTGTGGGGTCATCCAGGAGAGAGGGATGGTGACTGGACAAGGCGGGCAGCCCGGGAGCCGGGAGGAGTGGGTAGACTCGCTGGCATTGATCATGTGGGGCCCCAGCCCTGGGAAGGAATAAGGATGACTCCTGGGGGCTGGCTGGCGGTGCCTCTCCTGAGATGGGGACCCCAACCACAGGTCATGATGTTGACTCCCCCGATCCCATGTGGAATACCACCTCGCCTGGGCTAGGGCCCATGAGGGTGAAACCAAGGCTGTGTTGTCCACTGAGGTTCCCCAGCTCCTAGCACAGCTCAGCAGGCAGTACCTGATCAGTGATGAGGGATTAATCCACCATTCAACTCCTCCAGGGGGCGGGACTGCAGGGCAGGGTGGGAAACGGAGGGTCCTGGCAGGGTGGGCCAGGGTGGGCACAGCAGAGAAGTGATTTAAGAGCCAAGCCCTTGTCAGTACACACTTGTGTTTGGGAACAGATCAGGACTCAGGATGCAAGACCCTGGTCATCTCCAAGGTGAGCAGGGACAGAGGTGTGAGGGGCCTGGGCTGATCCTGTGGCTGAGGCTGCAGAGTGCAAATCTGGGCAGCCAGAGAAGGGCTGGGCCTGTGCGGGCGGCTTCCTGTCCTGCAGACGGGGGAGAACTTAGTGGTGTCTGGGAAATGAAAAATCATGCAGCTGGGCGCAGAGTCTCACGCCTGTGATCCCAGCTCTTTGGGAAGCCAAGGTGGGAGGATCACTTGAGCCCGGGACTCTGAAACCAGCCGAGCCAACATAGTGGAGACCCGTCTTTAGCAAAAATACAAAAATTACCCAGGGGTCGTGGTGCACACCTGTGGTCCCAGCTACTCGGGAGACTAAGGCGGGGGGTTCCTTGAGCCCAGGAAGTGGAGGCTGACTTGAGCCGTGATCACATCACTGCACTCCAGCCTGGGTGACAGAGCGAGATCCCCTCCAAGAAAAAGAAAGAAGGAAAGAAATTAAACCATGCAGTTGAGTGGAGCAGAGGACTGGGCAGGTGGCGGCTCCCCTGCAAGTGTCAGGGTCCCTATAACCCTTGGATGGGAGGGGACGGGGCAGCTGGGGAGGGCTGAGCAGGCCTGAGGCAGCCCCGTCTGCTCCGAGGTGAGGCGCCTACGCTGCCTGCCTTCCCAGGAGCTGTTATCGCGCCCATTTCCTAGATGTGGACCCTGAGGCCCAGAGAGGTGCAAGGTCTGGTCTGGATACCAGGCTGCTATCCGCGGTGCCGCCCCAGCCCACACTGCCTGGGCTCCTGGCCTGGCGCAGGGGACGGGGTCCCTAGGGGGGCTGGGGGCTGCCTGGGGGTTTCTGTGACCTGTTTCCCTCCCACCCCCAGGCCCTCCCCTGGCCCTGGACCCTCCAAGGAGACAGCGGCAGGAGCGCACGGTCTACACTGAAAGCCAGCAGAAAGTGCTAGAATTTTACTTTCAGAAGGACCAGTACCCGAACTACGACCAGCGACTGAATCTGGCGGAGATGCTCAGCCTCAGGGAGCAACAGCTGCAGGTCTGACCCCCACCCCCACCCCGCCCGCCCCAGTCACCCCAAGGAGCCTCCCCACCGCTGTCACTCACCGGGGCCTGGCCCGCCCGACCACCTCCCGCCCTGCCACGCAAGGGGTCCCGCCAGTGTAGACCCGGGCTGCATCCTGAGTCCTGTTCCAACTCTATGCTAGCCCAAACTCGCCCACATGATCGGCCCAGGCTGTCCCCCACGGGGTCTCCCGGTGCCCGGACCTCAGGCACCCGTGAGAACCCGCGGTCCCTCCCCTGGAACCCTCCCTGGCCCCCCGGGCACCTGGGCGGCAGACCCGGCTCCTCCCCTCCCACCCCACCCTCCTCCCCCTACTTTCCCCTCCCTCTTCCCTCCCTTCTCCAGGCCTGGGAGCCGGGGGCCCTCATATGGTGGGTGCGGGGTGGGGGTGAACACCGGGAGAGTTTTGAGGCCGGCGCCGCCCCCGAGCGGCTCACCCGGGCCGCGCGAGTCCCTCCTTCACACCTTCTCCCTGTCCCCTCTGCCCCCCAGGTGTGGTTCAAGAATCGCCGCGCCAAACTAGCTCGGGAGCGGCGGCTCCAGCAGCAGCCCCAGCGCGTCCCTGGGCAGAGAGGCCGAGGAGCCCGCGCTGCGCCCCTAGTCCCTGTAGCCGCTGCCTCCTTCCCTGGGGGTCCTGAGTTCCCGCAGGGCAGGGGTTCCTGGATCTCCCCTCAGCCGGGCCCCTGGGGAGTCCTCCCAGCAGCAGAACCGAAGATCTACAGCCTCCCCCGGACCTGGGGTGGCCCTGAGTGTGGAACACAGGAGGGCCTCAAGGCTGTCCCGGCTCCAGGCCCTGGCCCAATCCCAGCCCCTATCCCAGGCCCAGCCCAGATCCCAGGCCCAGTCCCAGGCCCAGCCCCGAATTTAGGCCCAATGTCAGGCCCACTGTCAGTCTCGATCCCCGGTCCAATACCAGCCCCCATCTCTTGCCCAGGCCCAATCCCAGACCCAGTCCTAGGCCGAACCCTGATGCCAGGCCCAGGATCACTCCCAACCCCAGCCCCAGGCGCCTTGTGGCCTCAGAGCCCCTATGCCTCCAACTTGTCGCCAGACACCCAGTTATACCCTGACTTCACCAAGCTGCTCCCGCTCCTAGACCGGTTCGAGGAATCCTCACTCTCCACCACGACGTCTCAGTACAAAGAGGAGGATGGCTTCGTGGACAAAAATCACTCAGTCCCCAGGTCATTACTGGATTTATAGGGGGCCTGTGCCTGCAAAGTTCTTCAGATCCCAGAGGGCCTGGAGTGGCTGATCTACACTGCTGGTGACTTTCTGCAGTGAATGCATCACCCTTTACCCACCCTGCTGCAGGTGGACATTTGCTGTCTTCACTGTGCAGCCATCACAGGTGGCTCTGCTGTGAATGTGCCTGCCTGTCATTTGAATTGAGCCTGAGCGTTTCTCTGCTGAGACTGGAGTCGCTGCTCACTGGGATGTTTGGCATTAGTGGATGCCGCTTGAGAGCTTTGTTAAGGGCTTTTCCCAGCCCTCCTTCTGGTCAATGTCCTCCCCAACACTGAGGCTTGTGAGACTTTTTAATGTTTGTCGATCCAGTGACTTGTGGTTTTGTTGTGGTTGTAATATCCATTTCCCTGATGATTGAGAGATTGAGAAATTCTCATATGGGTATTAGGCATTTTCAAATAGTGACTATTTTTCGTTTTTTTTTTTGAATATTTTCTCATTTTTATTAAATAGTGACTATTCATGGTCTTTTTGGCCCATTTTTTGTAGTTGATTTCTTTACAAATGTTTATAATTTTTTTTTTTTGAGTCAAAGCCTTGCTCTGCCACCCAGGCTATCGTGCAGTGGCACGATCTTGGCTCACTGCGGCCTCTGCTTCCTGGGTTCAAGTGATTCTCTAGAGTCTCAGCCTCCTGAGTAGCTGGGACTACAGGTGCCCACCACCGTGCCTGGCTAATTGTTGTATTTTTAGTAGAGATGGGGTTTCATCATGTTGGCCAGGCTGGTCTTGAACTCCTGACCTCAAAGTGTTCCGCCTGCCTCAGCCTCCCAAAGTGCTGGGATTACAGGTGTGAGCCACTGTACCCGGCCACGATGTTTTAAAATAAAACTCCATTGGGAGTTAATATTCTGCGAGGATCTCCTATTATGTGGTTCGTCTTCTTGCTTTTGTTAAGTAGATCACTGTGCATAGCATTCAAAACATTCATCAGCAGATTCATTCTTCAGTAGAAGAAAAAACTCAATTTAAAAATCAGACTTGATGGACAAAAACTGTTATAAAAGTTTATTTTTTTTTTGAGACAGGGTCTCACTCTGTCATCCATGCTGGAGTGCAGTGGTGCCATCTTGGCTCACTGCAACCTCCGCCTCCCACGTTCAAGTGATTCTCCTACTTCAGCCTCCTGACTTGCTGGAACTACAGGTGTGGGCCACCACACCTGGCTAATTTTTGTATTTTTTGTAGAGACAAGGTTTCTCCATGTTGCCCAGACTTGAGCTTTCAAGTTTCTTCAAGAAAATTGTTGGAATTTTAATTGGAATGACATGAAATTTAGAAGTGTTTTTGGGAGAAATTGAAATTTTTACAAAGTCTAGTCGACCTAGTACTTATTTATATTCATTCAATCGGTGTTTTACAAAGGTTCTTCATGAAATGTTGTTATTGTTATTATTATTATTATTTTTCTGACAGAGTCTCGCTCTGTCGCCCAGGCTGGAGTGCAGTGGTGCAATCTTGGCTCACTGCAACCTCTACCTCCTGGGTTCAAGTGATTATCTTGCCCCGGCCTCCTGAGTAGCTGGGCTTACTGGGATTACAGTAGCACACCACCACGCCCGGCTAATTTTTGTATTTTTAGTAGAGATGGGGTTTCACCATGTTGGCCAGGCTGGTCTTGAACTCCTGACCTCAGGTGATCCACCCCCGTCGGCCTCCCAAAGTGCTGAGATTACAGGCGCGAGCCACCGTGCCTGGCTGAAATGTTATTATTTAATCACAGAGCTCTTGCATGCATCTTTCTGTAGATTTATTTCTTGCACTTCATTTTTATTATTGTCTGATATTTTACATGGTATTTTAAATTTCTTATTTTAAAAAAATGTTTGTCTTGCACATAGAATTCAGTTGATCTGTTTATTTTGTTTCCAGGAACCTAGTTCAATTCTTTTGAATTCTCATAACTTAGCTGGACATTGTAAATTTAAAAATGAATAAAACTTCATGGTTACTTTGTGGACATTGATTGCTGCTAAGCCGACGAGTGCCTCTCCTCAGCACTCCACACCCCTCTCCGCGTCTCGCTTCCTCTGCCGCCCCCTAGTGGCCATCCTGGCCCTGGGTCTCCCCACAGCGGGTTCTCTGACCCTGCCTGTCCTGGTCCCGTTTAGCAAATGCTCTAATCCTCTTAGGCCAGGCCAGCCTCAGCAAAGCAGAGAGAGAATTAGATCAGATGTTGGGGGAAGGGAGGACGGCTGTGCGTGTGTGCGGGGGACAGACTTCCAGGATGTAATGAAAGCTCCTCCTTATCTAGCCGACCCTGGTAGTAAAATACACACAAAAACACCGGAACTTCACACCAGTCAGACTCTGACAGTGTGGGAAGAGTAGGGAGGAATCTAATCCATCTATTGTAGGCGAGGGAGCCCCTGTGGACATTCTGGGGGCATGGGGGAGAGGTGGTCCAGTCTGACTGTAGATTCAGAATCACATCCTGGGCCTAGGGGAGGGACGGTGGTGCTCCAGGGCCCTGCAGGCATATCAATGAATGGAAAATGGATTAGTTTATTAATGAAGATGGAATTTGCATGTGCCCTGATTAGCTGAATAGAAAGTGAATGGATTAAGTAGAACAGAATTCCTCTCTTTTTCATCTCCTCAATTCTTCTTTTTTTTGGATACAGGATTTCACTCTGTCACCCAGGCTGGAGTTCAGTGACGCGATGTCAGCTCACTGCAACCTCTGCCTCCCCGGTTCAAGCGATTCTCCTGCCCCAGCCTCCCGAGGAGCTGGGATTACAGGTGCCCGCCACCACGCCCGGCTAATTTTTATATTTTTAGTAGAGATGGGGTTTCACTATGTTTGCCAGGCTGGTCTGGAACTCCTGACCTCAGGTGATCCACCTACCTCGGCCTCCCAAAGTGCTGGGATTACAAGCATGAGTCACCAGGCCGGGCCACGGATTAGTTTGTTAATGAATGAAGATGGAGTTTGCACATGCCCTGATTAGCTGAACAGAAAGTGAATGGATTAAGTAGAACAGAATTCCTCTCTTTTTAATCTCCTCAATTCTTCTTGTTTTTGGAGACAGGGTCTCGCTCTGTTGCCCAGGCTGGACTGCAGTGATGCAATCTCGGCTCACTGCAACCTCCACCTCCCAGGTTCAGGCTATTTTCCTGCCTTACCCTCCCTAGTAGCTGGGATTATAGGGGCTAGCCACCACGCCCAGCTAATTTTTGTATTTTTAGTAGAGATGGGGTTTTACCATGTTGGCCAGGCTGGTCTTGAACTCCTGACCTCAGATGATCCACCCACCTCAGCCTCCCAAAGTGTTGGGATTACAGGCATGAGCCACTGCTCCTGGCCTCAATTCTTTTTTTTTTTTTTTTTTTTGGAGACAGGGTTTTGCTCTGTCACCCAGGCTGGAGTGCAGTGGTGTGATCTCGGTTCACTGCAACCTCCGCCTCCCAGTTTCAAGCAATTCTCCCACCTCAGCCTCCTGAGTAGCTGGGACTACAGGTGCATGCCACTGTGCCTGGCTATTTTTTTTTTTTTTTTTTTGATAAAGACAGGGTTTCTCCATGTTGCTGAAGCTGGTCTCGAACTCCTGAGCTCAGGCAATCCTCCAGCCCATGTCTCCCAAAGTGCTGGGACCACAGGCAGGAGCCACTGCCCCCGGCTATATCTTCTCCATTCAATTTCCCTCCTTTTTCACCCAAGCAAGCAGCCCCCTTCACTCCCTTTGGAAACCGAAAATTCCAAGGGAATTTTACCATCTCCTAGGAAGCTCTCCCGCCTCTCCTCATCATCCCAGGCTGTGTTCTGGGCATCCCCAAGGGAAGCATCTGGACTTCTCACTGGACCAAGGAAGAGGGGACGAGGTGACGTTCAGAAGGCGGGCCTTCGAAATTCCCCATGTCTGTCTTGGCAAGAGCAAGAATTTCTCTTGTTTTCCTGCCTGTAGCCAAAAAGCATAACAAGAAAGGATTCAGGGTACGTATGAGAACAGTTCATTGTACCTTCGACAAATGGGTCAAGTTCAAGCTAATACTGCCCTGCATGCTCCGGGATGGAGATGGAGGCAGTGCAGGTAGAAATGTCATTGTCTTGTAAGGATCAGAGAGAGGGGGAAAAGGGCCAATTTTTTTTTTTTTTGTAGAGGGAGTCTCACTCTGTCTCCCAGGCTGGAGTGCAGTGGCTCGATCTTGGCTCACTGCAACCTCTGCCTCCCGGATTCAAGCGATTCCCCTGCATCAGCCTCCTGAGTAGCTGGGACTACAGGCGCCTGCCACCACCAAACCCAGCTAATTTTTTTATTTTTATTTTTATTTTTTGAGATGGAGTCTCGCTCTGTCACCCAGGCTGGAGTGAAGTGGC